>NC_000009.12:119470552-120095552 GCF_000001405.40 Homo sapiens | reverse complement strand
GCATTTTATGGGGGCAGAGAAAACCCGCAATGCAAAGCAAGAGATAACGTAGCTGAGATAAGTTTCTGTCAGGATATAACTGACTGTAGGTTGCCACCACAACAGCTGGGGCAAAAAAGTACACCAAGAGGAAATAAAACAGTTTGTAAAAAAAAGTCTGACACAGTCCACCCTTTGCATCTGCTGTGCTCAACGTGAACTTCAGTCTATCACAGTCTGCAGGCAGTAGTTGGCTGCAATCTCTGCAAAACAATCTATATAGACAGATTAGTAGATCGGCCTGGCACAGTGGCTCATGCCTGTAATTCCAGCACTTTGGGAGGCCGAGGCGGGTGGGTCATCTGAAGTCAGGAGTTCAAGACCAGCCTGGCCAACATGGTGAAATCCCATTTCTACTAAAAATACAAAAATTAGCCAGGCATGGTGGTGCATGCCTGTAGTCCCAGCTACTCGGGAGGCTGGGGCAGGAGAATCGCTTGAACCTAGGAGGTGGAGGTTGCAGAGAGCCAAGATCACACCACTGCACTCCAGCCTGGGTGACAGAGCAAGACTCCATCTCAAAAAAATTCTCAAAAAAAATATAGATAGATTAGTAGATCAAATTATAATTCCTGCTACTACTGCAGGTCCTAAGGCCATAATTGATCTTTATCATTTCTTACCTCAAGAAACCATTCTAGATTTCCTTTATGTTTGGCAAATATTTCAGCAGATCTAGGTTTCTTACCTTGTGCTGAAACATAAACCTTACTCCTGAAAAGTCAGACCTCTTAATTACCTTACTGTTGTCAGTTGTGGTTGTTTCAGCTGCCATTTACAGTGACTACACACTATGAAACCACCAAGAAATGATACCCGCCCCACCCCCCCGCCCTGTGTGTCCCCTGGGTTCCAGATATGCTTCTTTCTGCCACCATTACACAGCAGAAGTATCAGGGTCAACTATCCCTGACAATATTGGTGGGTTGTTTTCCCCCCTCTTCAGAGTAAGTTTCCCTCCTTCACTCCATGGATACCAGGATGCAGGAATGGGAGCATAAATATCATGAGTGTGTCATGGAATGGGAGTCAGAGAGACCAATCCTACTTGTACTCTTGATTCTTGGACCTGTACATTCTAGCTATCAGTGACCCAGCTTCATATACCTCATCCTGTAGGACAGTGTCCTAGTCTTGCAGGTCATTGTTTTGGAGTTGGCTCCTTTAATTAAGCCTTTAGTAGATTATTTACATGTTCAAATGTCCTGAAGTCATGTACTCATTGTTACAGCACTTTCATGAGTCTCTTAGTCCAAGGTGACATGTAGATAGCATTTTAGCAAGTTACGTATTCTTTAAGTCCATAATTGGTAGTGCTGGCTACAGGCAAAGCAGAAAGAGGATAAACCCATAGCTAGAGTGGGTATCTATTCTTATACAGACAATTTCTGCCCTATGTTCAATAAGATAAGCCTGGTGTAGTTAATCTGCCACGAAGTGGTTAGTTGATCTCATGGTACCATTTCGAAGGCTCATTTTCAGCCTCTACTGCTGTTAGTTTTGGCATTCATCAGTGGCAGTAGTTAGATTAGCCTTAGTGAGAAGGAGCCCATGCTAGTAAGACTATGCATATCCTCCATCTCTGCTGTCATGGTTGGTCTGTTCATAGGCCCCTTGCACAACACTCAGGCTCAGGTGGTCAAGGAAGGACACTGGCTGATATCCACTGGTTGGCTCATCCTATCTGTCTAATTGTTGAATGCTTCTTCCACTTGGATGATCTTTTGCATGAAATAGAGTGAGACACAAAGATCTGTGCATATTCCACATTCATAGCTACATTCACATGATTCTTCTCCAAGTTTCCCTGTCCCTAATCTTTGACTATGGTCTTTCCAGGCCTCTGATCCACCAGCCAAGCCATTTGTCATTTCCAGGAATCTATCTACAGTCATACCTCAGCCCCTTTCTCTCTCCATACAAGGTGAGCAACCAAATGTACTCCACAAAATTCTGCTAACCGTGAAGAATCCCCTCACCTCTGTCCTTCAGGGTTACCCTGGGGAAGGCTGTAGTGCAACTGCCATTCATTACTATTTGTTCTGAAGAACACTGAAATATCTGTGAACCAGGCCTCAGTTTAGTTGGTCATGAGAAAGTTCTCTTGAGGTCATGGGTGCAAGTTGAGAGAGAGCTGGTGCAGTCAGGCTGCACCCAGAGATAGTTGTAACTACACAGGTGGTTGCCAAAGCAGGGACTAGAATAAAAAGATGGGTTGAGGGAATGTGAGATGGGGCATTTGAAATATCTAAGATTATGCTATAATTCCCATCGTACTCATGGGAAGATCAAGGCTGGGAGAGCTAGTAATTATAGGTGACGAGAAAGGAGAAATCTAACTTCTTTTGAGAGCCTATGATATGATGGGGCTTTGGTGTATGTGACAATATTTAATCCTCCCAAAATTTCTATTAAGGTGGGTGGTACTGTTTTCATCTTATAGATTGGGAAACTGAGATTTGGAGAGAGAAAGTCAGCACCCCAAGGATACATTGTAAGTTAGTATTGGAGACAGGTTTTAATCATGTATCAGTTTGTCTCTGCTTTACTTGCAGGACTAGGTCTATTGTACTGGCAGGACACAGAATGCTTTCCTTATTTAATTTTACCTTTTGGACCACAAGTTCTCCCTTGATTGGGGAGGACCTAGTTATAGGAATCTTCTATGTCCCTGGGTTCTTAGATTCAGCCCCCGTGATGAGCAAACGCATGAAGTAGTCATCTGTCCGGCCCCTTTCCCCCGAGGTACTCATTGCATCAATAATGTCTTTAATCTTTGATCCTTGGATAAACAGTTGTCCTCCAAGAGTATCATGGGGTTCCCTATCTTTTGAATATTTCAGCAATCACCAAAGCTTACCCTTCCAGAGTCTGGTTCCCAGAGGGGAGCTTTGAAGGAGAAACATGATCAAGTTTTTCTACAGAAATTATAATAGCTAATATTTATTGGACACCCACATGTGCCAGGTGCTGTTCTAAGCCTTTCACATACATCAACTCATTTAATGTTTTTGGTAATCCTATGAGATAGTTACAATTTCCATGCCTGGTTTTTACTTGGAAAAACAACAACTAAGTAAGTGCAGAGATAAGTGTTTTGCCTGAAGTTGTGTACCTGGAAGGAGACAAGAAGTCCAAAATGAGAGCCCGTACTGTAACCATTATGCATGCCATCTCACTTAGGCTGCAGTTTGGAGAAGGATTGCAGGATGCCAGGCTGGAGGCAAGAAGACCAGTCAGTGATGATTGCAAAAGTCAGATGGTGATCTGGACAGAGAGAGAGGGATCTAGAATGGGGAGAATATAGATGATCAGAGCATCATTTAGGCAATAGACACCACAGGACTCGTTGTTGTAGCTGACTCTGTGGATGCCCTGCCTGCCTCCCGTGAGTTCCACCACTTCCTAGCTTACTTCCAACTGCAATGTCTGCATCTCTTTGCCTGAAGGCTCTCTCTGAAGCTGGGAAACTGCCTGTGGGTAAGACAGGATGTAAGTGCCAGGGAGTAACAGCCCCCCGGAGTACCCTCAACCAATAAATGATGTTATCATTCTGATGCTTTTTTCTACACCATATCCTCAAGTTTTCAGGTGGAATTAAGCTTCAATTGCCCACAGCACAGATGGCTTGATACGTGATGTGTATCACAGGCTGACTTTATTCTCTTCCCTATCTCATGTTCCTACTCCCTTGTCCTGGGTTTTCCGAAATCCCCTCAAAAACTATTTGTGTTTAAATCCTCGACTCAGGATCTTCTTCTGGGAAACTCAAACTAAGGCACAAGTGAGTGGTTATGGGGAGTGAAGAAGAGATAAGAGTCAAAGATACTCCTGAAAGATTATGTGTCCAGCTTGAATGATGTTCTCTGAAATCTGGAGCTCTGGGGCAGGAATGCCTTTGAGAGGGTGGTGAGCTACACTCAAGACCTAGTGAATCTGAGATGCCTGTGGGACATCTTAGAGGAGACACTTCACAAGCAATTGGCTCTGTGGGTCTGGAACTCAAGAAAATGTTCTGGGTTGGGGAGAATCTGTGTTAGGATCCTCAGGATAGTTCATGACTCACCTTAAGGGGTGGGTGTGGGTATCCCTGCTCCATCTCCTGAATCATGTCTGTTCTTTTCTCTTCGACTCCTACCCAAATGGAAGGAAAGAATATGAAGGTGTTTAGGTGGGTGGAAGCTGAGAAAGTGTTTGTTAGAGGGAAAAGAGAGAAAGCACGTTTACATTGAGGGAGTATTTATTGAAGTTCTGTCAGTGGCTGCAAGCAAATCACTGATACATTTCAAAAAAAATGTCTCGAAGATTTTCCTTGCCCTGCAGGGAGTGTTTTTTAATAAGTGATGTGGTCAGAAGTGTCGGTGTAATTTTTCTCAGCTGGTGCTGCAGACACTCTAAGAGTTTGTTGGAGAAATTCATTTGGTCTTTATAAAGGCTAACATGGAGATATCAGCATGCCTTGTTAGCACTACCCACTCTCAGAGCAGAAGGTGTCCTTGCCGGCATCTGGTCTAACATCCTACTTGGTAGATGCTGGGATCCCTTTGCTGTATCTCTGGCTAGAGGTTGTTATACCTGAACTTGGATTCTTCTGGTGATAAGGAGCTCATTTCTTTACAAAGTAGACCATTTAATGCTTCAACAGTTTTCATTGTTAAGCAGTTCTTTTACTGAGCTGAAATATGCCTCCCCATCACTTTGGCTCATGGGCTCCAATCTTGTGGGTACCACACTGACTTTCTTTCCTCCCTGTGCACAGGAGAGCCTTGCTAGAGAGCTGGAGGTAGTACCTACCAAGTTCACTTGAGTCTTCTCTTGTTTCGACTGAACTTGCTTTTGATTGTTTTGCTCCCAAAGATGGGGAATGGTCAATCCAGAGTCAAGAGTTAAGGCCAGAGAGTCTAACATGCCAGAATGTACAGGCTGCTATGTAGTCTGTTCAATCTTAGGGGGCACCATTCGTATTGCAGACATCCTGCACAACCGTCCCTGGCAGCCTTTAGAATGGGCCTCAACTTCTTCTCAGCAACTGTGTAGATGCTGATTCCTCAGAAACACCCAGTTGCTTGTTAGGTAGACCGATATTTATGGAAAATATCAATAGATAGAGATAGAAATAAAGAAAGAAAGAGCAAGAGCGTGAGCTTATAAGATCAGAGTGAATGGTTCCATATCCAACTTGTCTCTCACACTTGTTTTCACCAAGTCCTGGCAAATTTGCCTTCTCCTAAATAGATCCTAAATTCACCTGCTTGTCTCTGTCTCACCTGTCATCATCCCATCCAGTCTGTCATCATCTTTCGTCTGGATTATCTCAATAGACTTTGCACTAGTCTCCCTTGATGCCTTCCCATTCACTCTCCACACAGTCGCCAGAGTTATCTTCCTTAAATTCAAATTCACTACATGGCTTCTCTGCTGAGAATTCTTCAGGGCTTCCCAATGTTCTTAGGCCGAAGATCAACATTTCAACAAGGGTTACCCCAGGCATTACATGATCTAGGACCCCATTCTCCTGTTGAGCTTTTCTCTAGCTAAGGAGCAGTTGTGACTGGATGGGTGCAGTAGGAGTGTCTTAGTCCATTTTATGTTGTTACAACAGAATACTTGGGGTTGAGTAATTTATAAAGAACAGAAGCTTATTCAGCTCACAGTTCTGCAGGCTGAGAAGTTTAAGGGCATGGCCCTGGCTTCTGCTGAGGACTTTCATGCTGCATCATAACATGGCCAAGAAGGTCAAAGGGGAAGCAGACATATGTAAAGAGGAGACAAAACCTGATGGGTGTCCTGGCTTTCTAAAAACTCACTCTCACGGGAACTAATCCATTTCCTTGAGAACTAATCTAGCCTTGCCGTAGTGAGAATTCACTAACATGAAAGTGGCACCAAGCCATTCATGAGGAATCCACCCCATGACTCAAAGACTGCCCACTATGCCCCACCTCACCACACCACCACGCGGGGGACAAAATTTCAACATGATCTTAGCTGGGCACAAACAAACCATATCCACACCATAGCGAGGAGGTAGTGGGAGACTTTAGATAGAGCAGAGTTTCCTCAACCTCAGTGCTGTTGGCATTTTTGGCCATAAAATTCTTTGTTGTGGGGAGTTGTCTTGTGCATTGTAGGAGGTTGAGAAATACCTCTGGGCTCTACCCATTAGATACCATTAGCACTGCCCTCCCCTACCCCAGTTGTGATAATGTACAATATCTCCAGACATTGCCACATGTTTTCTGAGGGCAAAATAATACCCAGTTGAGAATCACTGCTTTAGGGAGAGACCTAGACTTGAGTCCCATCCCAACTCTGCCTGTTTGTGGTTGTGTCATCTTTCATAGGTTGCTTAACATCTTTGGGTCTGTTTCCTTACCTATAAAATGGGATTACTGGTAGGAGACACAACATGCAGGTATGACCATCAAATCAGATAATTCATGTATAATACTTGACAAGGTAGTGTGAAGTATAGAGTAAGTGTTCAATAAATAAATATGTCATTATTATTGCTATTATTGTTGTTAGCTTTGTCTAACAGAACTCTGTGAGTGGGTTGACACTGGTGAGAAAATTCCTTTGCATACACACAATCGTGCACTCCCACCAACCACAATTTAAAAAAAAAAAAAAGCTGCTTCCTCCCAAGCCAGGGAAGAAATCAACCTGTATTTTTTTTTTCTGAAAAGTCATTATCTTGCAGGAATGAGCATAAATGGGCTCTCCTCCTTCGGGAAACAGTGGCCTTTTCCAGGGGATGGTTTAATCTTTTGGAGACAGATGAATATGAGCTGCAGTAATCCTGCAATGCTACCAGGAGAGTTGGGGAGAGGGAGAGAATTTCGATAGAGCCTTGGAGACACTCAGGGTGTTTCAATAACTGCACTTTGTGACTTGAACTCCCCCACTGTGATGCATTCCTGGAAATAACAACCCAAGCTAATAGGAGGGAATTTCATGAGTGGAAGAGGTGAAGGTCATAACTTTCCAAGGTCATGTCCAGTTCTCTGTAGTGGGCAGGTGTGTTGGGTGAGCTCTTTTTGTTCCTCTAGATCCTCTCTCCATCTTCCTCCCTACTGCTCTGTGTCCTGGGAGGCCAACCCTTATAGAGCACATCAATGCATTTTCCTTGCATTTTAAATTCCTATTGGATTCAGCCAATGGAAAGCAACAGCAGGAGATCAAAGGGTGGAGGGAGACAGAGGTCAGACTAATTTTCCTTCCCTTTTCTCCATCCTCAGGCAGGCCCCTTCTCAGCTATAGCCACCTTGTCTGGATTTGGCAACTGCTGTCTGTCTCCATTCTACCCCCAACCCTCACCTATAAGTGGTGGCTCTGGAATACTGCACTGACCCTCTGGTTTGCTGCAGCCTTGCCCTGGCCTTTGTAATAAGACACTTTGTTAAACTCCTCCAATTGCCACGTTTGAGTACACCTCTGGTTTCCTACTGGGCTTCTGATGCAGCAGACCTTCAAGGAGCCCAGATAAAAGGGTAAAATGCAGTTTTGGATTAATCCTCCCCCACCCTCTGGGTTGTTAGGACCATGTTTTGTTCATTCTGATTCCTCACTACAGTACCTGGCACAGAGTAGGTGCTTGGTGAATGTTTGTTGATGATCCGAATTAATGGGATTTGGAGTTAAGATAGGAAAGTTAGATCAGAGAGCTCCTTCTCCCTGAGCTTGCCAATACACGCTAATGCTGTGGGCATCTTAGGGACATTTTGCTATGTGGCAGAAGATGTGGATGGATTCTGTGATTTAGTCAGGCAGTCTTAACATCAGGGTCTTCTTGGGCTTATGGAAGGTTCACTGGGGAAATTGGTCACCCATGTGACATGTATGGGAAGGGCAGTACTCTAGTGGAGATTCTGGAGATGAGGGGAGTGGGAAAGGCTCAGAGAAGGAAAGCTGCCTATCCAAGGCCACAGAGCCAGGAGGGACAGAGCAAGCTTAAAGCTTGTAACCCATTTGCCAGCAACAGTGTTCAACTATTGAGCACTTACTGTGGCCAGGTGCAGTGCTCAAGCTTATCTCAGTTTTCACAATGTTGTAAAGAGGATATCATCAACTCTTTTCTCAGGTGGTAAAACAGCGACTCGGAGAGATAGTGATTCACTCAAGGTCACACAGCTAGAAAGACACAGCTGAGATTCAAATATAACACTAAAACTGTGTTCTTAACTTCTGTTTCAATTTGCTGTCTGTGGCTATTAAAAAAAAACTGTCTAGCCAGGTGGGTGGTGCATGCCCGTAATCCCAGCTACTCGAGAGGCTGAAGCAGGGGATTACTTGAGGCCAGGAGTTCGAGGCTGTAGTACACTATGACAGTTCCTGTGAATAGCCACTGCACTCCAGCCTGGGCTACATGGAGAACCCCCATCTCTTTTTTTTTTTTTTTTTTTTGAGACGGAGACTCCTCACCCTGTCGCCCAGGCTGGAGTGCAGTGGTGCAATCTCGGCTCACTGCAAGCTCCGCCTCCCGGGTTCACACCATTCTCATGCCTCAGCCTCCTCAGTAGCGGGACTACAGGCGCCCACCACAACGCCTGGTTAATTTTTTGTATTTTCAGTAGAGACGGGGTTTCACCATGTTAGCCAGCATGGTCTCGATCTCCTGACCTCGTGATCTGCCTGCCTCAGCCTCCCAAAGTGCTGGGATTACAGGGAGAACCCCCATCTCTTAAAAAGAAAGGAGAAGTGTCTAAATCTACTCTCCTAGAAGTGGCTTCAAGGAAGCAACATTTAAGCTGAGACCTGAGTTCAGGATGTAAGTACAGTGGAAAGAGAATCTACAAAAGCCAGGAGGAGGCTGATGAACTTGAGGAAATTAGAGAAGTTCAGTGGGACAGGAACAGGAATGTGATTGGAACAGGTGGAGGGGGAGAGATGAGGTAGAAGGACTTTCCAGAGGCCAGATTTTGGAGGCCTTTGGAGGATGTGTGGAGGAGTGTGAACTATTCCATAGGTACCTGGAGGCACTGAAGGTTCTTGAGCTGCCTTGATGAGAACTAGAGGCTGGCTGTGGCTGCCTGGTGGAGCTTAGAAGGAGTAGTACTGAGGCAGGAGAGTCCACAAGGAGGTTGCAGAGAAGTTTAGGTCAACGATGATGCCAGTCTAGACTGGTACAAAAGAAGTGATGGAGGAAGTGGATAGATATGAGAAATTTTAGAAAGTAGAGATTGTTGGACAGGAAGCTGGTAGAGAAGGATTATTTGGAACTAGTTGTCTCATTGTGGTTTTCCATATCCTCATATTCTGAATGAAGAAGCTAAACCCCAAATTTCAGACAATGAACCTGATCCTGTTATTCATTATACCTCTGTTCCCTGTTCTTGGAGGGACCCATGCTTTACCCATCCTGTGACCCTAACTTCAGCATTAATCATTCCAAAAAGATGTATTGAGTACCAACTATGTATCAGGTACTGTTGTAGCTGCTGTGAATCTACAGCAATGTACAAGTCAGACAAACTCTCCACCCTCCTGGATGCTAACATTTTAATGGGAAGACAAATGAAAGAAGATGACAATTTCAGAGACAAATGCTATGAAAGAGTGTTGCAGGAAGTCAGGGACCCCAAGCAGAGGGACCAGCTGGAGCCGTGGCAGAGGAACATAAATTGTGAAGATTTCATGGACATTTATCAGTTCCCAAATAATACTCCTATAATTTCTTATGCCTGTCTTTACTTTAATCTCTTAATCCTGTTATCTTCATAAGCTGAGACTGTATGTCACCTTAGGACCACTATTGTACAAATTGGTTTTAGAACATGTGTGTTTGAGCAATATGAAATCTGATTGTAAAACATGGGTGTTTGAACAATATGAAATCAGTGCACCTTGAAAACGAACAGAATAACAGCAATTTCAGGGAACAAGGGAAGACAACAAAAGGTCTGACTGCCTGCAGGGTTGGGCAGAATAGAGCCATATTTTAGTTCTTGCAGAGAGCCTATAAACGGACATGCAAGTAGGAGAGATATCACTAAATTCTTCTCCTAGCAAGGAATATTAAATATTAAGACCCTAGGAACAGAATTGCATTCCTGGGGGGAGGTCTATAAATGGCCACTCTGGGAATGTCTGTCTTATGCGGTTGAGATAAGCACTGAAATACGCCCTGGTCTCCTGCAGTACCCTCAGGCTTATTAGGGTGGGGAAAAGATCCCACCCTGGTAAATATGAGGTCAGACCAGTTCTCTGCTCTCGAACTCTGTTTTCTGTTGTTTAAGATGTTTATCAAGACAATACGTTCACAGTGGAACATAGACCCTCATCAGTAATTCTAATTTTGCCCTTTGCCTTGTGATCTTTATTGGCCTTAGAAGCATGTGATCTTTGTGACCTCCCTGTTCATACACCCCCTTCTCTTTTGAAATCTCTAATAAAAACTTGCTGGTTTTGCAGCTCAGGGGCATCACGAACCTACCGATATGTGATGTCACCCCCAGGAGCCCAGCTGTAATATTCCTCTCTTTGTACTCTTTATTTCTCTGACCGGCCAACACTTAGGGAAAATAGAAAGAACCTACACTGAAATATTGGGGACTGATTCCCCGGATAAAATAGTAGATAAACTAGGGAAATGTGACAGGGAGTGACTCTGCTGGGCAATTCTAGATGGAGTGATGTCTCTAGGGAGATGTCTCTGTGGGGACATCAATGTGGGGGCATGGAGAGAGTTGGGGGGGCAGGGGTAGGGGGTTCATTCCCAGGAAGGAAAGTGAGTGCAATCAAGAACTGAAAGGTGGGGAGTGCTGCTGGTTTGTAGCTGGGGGCAACATCAGAGAAGCCTCTGGCCTGAGCACACAGGACTGTGCAGACTTTGGCAAGGAGTTTTGATTTTATTTTAGGATTGTACACAGGAGAGTGATGAACTGATTTATTCTTTGGAAAGAAAAACTTTTGCTGTTGTAGCAAGTATAGATTGTAGAGATCCTGTTGAGGGCAGATGCAGGGAAACCACTCCTGAGGCCCTTGTGTCAATCTAGGTGGGGGATGATGGTGACTTTGACAATGGTGGTGCCACAGGAATGGAGAAATGAGCAAACCTAGGGGGCAGGTGTATGTGTTACAGTAGGTAGATGAGACAAGGGGGATTATGGGGGAAAGTAAGAAATCTTTTTGGTCGTGGACAAGCTGCTGGAGTCACCTGTCTGAAGCCCTTGGCATTTTTCCTTTCATACCTTTTAGGTTCTCAGAACGTCGCTCCATGTAAGGAATGGAATGGGATTACCTGCTCGTCTCCTGTCAAGCTTGGGGTAGCACTGCCTCTCTCAGGATGGCTTCCTTCTTGAGAGGTTGAAGAACCCTTCCCAAGACTGGGCCATCTTGCTCTGAGGTAGACATCTCTTACCTTTGTTCCCAAGAACACCTTCCTTCTTATTTATTTTCTATGTCCAAAGAATATGGCAGAAATATCTACAGTGTCTCAAGCTCTCCTTGCTGTTCTTTCACAGCCACAGTGATTAAAGAAAATGAGGAGGACAGGGATTATTTTAAGAGACCTGAAAAGTCCTGGCTGACAGCTCCCCTGGTAATCTAACATGGTGCCTAAAATTCCACTGTCAGTGAGCATCTTCTTCAGGTTAATCACAGTTCTCTTCAAATGCAAATGAGGCTAGAATGGGCATTGTACATTAATCCCCACCTACATATCAACTTTGTTTTTGTTCCTAGCACAGAGAAATCACACAGGCTAAAAGTTAGATACCTGGGAGTGGCAGAAAGAGCACAGACTTCAAAACCAGAAAGATTCACCTTCGAGTCTTGGCTCTGCCACTTACCAGCAGTCTGACCTTGAATGAACCTCAGCTTCCCCATTGTAAATGGGGGCTCAAGAATACCTCCCTTGCAACACTATTTGAAGATGAAAAGTGACAGAAGTGAAGGACCTAGTGCACTGCTTGGCCCATAGTAAGTGCTCAAAAAGTTCCCTTCCTTTTCTTACTTTTGAGCTTTGTGTCAGGCTCCATCCTGTCTGCTTGGCCCAAGCTCCTCCTCCTTCTTTGGTCTTGCATGGTTATTAAGCGGGTCTTGGCTGAGACATCGCCTATGGCAACCCATGGTGACCTCTCTTTGCAGAGGCTGCCAAATGTCAGCCCCTCTATAATAAAACTTTCTTTCCCCTTCGGGCTAGAAGGAGGGCTAGACAGTCTGATTGTGCCCGTCCCTCTGTGATTAAGGTCCGTAATCAGTCCAGCTGCTTGATGGAATCCGAACTGGCTGATTAGCAGGGCGCACTTTGGCCTCAGGTTAATGGATGATCTCACACTGTGGCTGCAGAGTAATTACCAGTTAAAAGGTCTGAGGCCAGGGTTCTGTGGTCTTGGGTAGGTCTGGCCCCATTTAAATGCAGAGTCAGGAGAATAATCTTCTATTAGCCAGCAGCAGGTAGCTAAGAGGGGAAGGTGGGGGGGTGGGTGGGGCGGGACCCCATGGATGTGTCTCCAGAGGTCTAGGCTTATTCTCAAATTGGCCAGGTGGACTTTACTTACCTTTAGGGAGCCAGTTCATGGGTGTGGCAAGAACAAGTTTAGGGATTCAGGCAGACTTGGGAGGAATTCCAGCTGGGCCACCTCTTGTCCATGGGATCTTTGGCAATGCATTTAACCTTTCTTGCCTTGATGTCCTCATCTAAAAAGTTCAGTTAAAAATGCCTGCCTTATAGGGTCAGTGTGAGCTTAATCAGTTATATGTATAGAGGTGCATAGAGGTGCTCAACACAAACTATGTCTTTCTCTTCCCAGTAGTATGTGCCTCTGGCTGGTCAGTGATTCTCCTTCCAATTCTTTGCACAGACTGTTCTGAAAATTGATCGACTTTACAAGCATTTACTAAATATCTATGGTGTGCCAACTACAATGTCAGTTGTGGGGATAAGATGCAGTCCAAAAATTCAAGGAGTTCATGATCTTGTGGGGGAGTCAGGCTAAGAAACTGGCTGCTGGAACAATGTAGTGATAGAGATAAACAGGATGAGTATGGAAACCTTGAGCTGAGCCCTTAACTTAGACCATGAGTCAGAGAGGCTTCCTGGAGCAGGTGATTCTAAACCAAGGACTGTAGTTGGAGAAGAGCAGAGGTAACATTTCAGGCTATGAGAACAACTGATGCCAAGGCCCAGAAGCGAGGCGGGCATGAGACATGTTTGTGGGAAGAAATGAAAAGGGCTCAGTGCCTGAGACACTGGTGGGTGAGTGAGCTCATGAACGAATGTATGAATGAGTGAGCAAGAAAATGGGGCAATGAATAGTGAATGAGTAAATGAGGAATGAGTGATTGAGTGAATGAATGGATACCTGCATGGATGAAGGAGTGAATGAATGAACGGTGTCATGAATGCATGGGGTAGTGAGTGATTGAGTGCATGCATTCAGGACACCACCCCCACATCACTGTTTCAATAAGGGCTACCTTGTTCACCTTATCAAAAATTGCAAACTCCCCACTCCTATCCCACACTCTCAATCACCCTTTTCCTCCTGTGCTTGTTTTTCCCTTAGCCCTCAACACCCTGTGAATACATGTAATGTGCTGATTTATTAAACATACTAAGAGTTGTGTGTATCCTCCCTCTTATCCACTGGGGCAGGAAATTTTTTGTTTTGCTCACTGACATATGGTGCTCTGGCAGTAATAGGTATTTAATAGACACTTGTGGAATAAATAAATTACTTGAGGTGTTGAGTAAGAAAGGGACTGGAGAAGAAGGAGGAGAGCGTTCTCAGAGCCTGAGCTTCTGGACCCAATTGTCACACTCCAGTGAATGTATACAGCTGGCCTTCTTTCCAGATATTTCTTTTTTATTTTTATTTATTTATTTTTTTGAGACAGGGTCTCGCTCTGTTGCCCAGGCTGGAGTACAGTGGCACGATCTCGGCTCACTACAACTTCCGCCTCCTGGTTTCAAGTGATTCTAATGCCTCAGCCTCCCGAGTAGCTGGGACTACAGGTACACGCCAACCGTGTCTGGCTAATTTTTGTATTTTAAGTAGAGACAGGGTTTCACCATCCTGGTCAGGCTGGTCTCGAACTCATAAGCTCAAGTGATCTGCCCACCTCAACCTCCCAAAGTGCTGGGATAGCAGGCATGAGCCACTGAGCCCGGCCTCCAGATATTTCTTAACAGAGCTCAGCAGCCTGGCCACATGGATCCTCAGAGATGCTGCCCTAGGTCTGTCGGGCACTGCCCTGAGGCTGGCCTTGTAGTGGGTGGTGTGGTGGCCCCTGAAGGAAAGAAGGGAGGGAAGGAAGGAAGGAAGGGAGGCAGCAGGAAGGCAGTTGCTGCTGGGGAAAGCAATTCTGTCTCCTTCGGCAATCTCAGCAGTGGCCACTTGTCAGAAGAGCCGGCAGGGGAAAAAAATGACAAAAAAATCAGGTCCAATTTATCACCTTCAAATTGTGTTGAATAAGCTACTGTAGCTACTTGGTTTTGAAGAACTCTCCCTTCTTCCCCCTACACAGAACAAACACCACTAAATGCCTCTCCACCTGCGCAGCTGAGCGTTGGCAACGTCGCTGCCAATTAAAGGGCTCCCTGCTGTGGGGGCTGATCCAGGGTGGTTGTCGAGGGGGGCGGTGGAGAGAATGGAATCATTAAAATGGGAGAACAAAGGAGGTAGGACAAGTTCAAATGAGATTAAGGCACAAAGGGAAAGGCTGCCTTTCTGGGGCATTTATGCCTAGGGACAGCTGGGTGCCTCTGGCAAAATTTACCTGTAGCCCAGCAGTTGGTAATGGCCAGATGCCTGCAGCGGGGGAGTGGGCTCCATTTAAACAGAGGAATTTCAGGGCACCCCAGATATCTCCATGCCTCCTGTGTCCCCGTCTTCTCAGGTCCCCAGCTCACAGGGAGCAATGGTCAACATGGTTCCCAGACGTGGTAGAGCCAAGGCTTGCCCCAATCAATGCTTCAATGTACTTTTCTGCAGCTCCCTGAAAGGTCTGCCGACCACCACTGTGGGATGCCTCCCACGACAGGGAGCTCTTTGTCTCTTGCAGCAGCACCTCTCCTTCTTGATTCTGGTGACAGTGATGACAAAGAATCTGAGTTTTCTGAGCACTTACTGTGTGCCAGGCACCGTTCCAGAAGCTTTATAGGTGTGAGTCCCATTTATTGTGTTCTGTGTCCTCTTGCCCCTTCTGCTCTTTGTTTTCCACTCTCCAGCTGTCTATCTTCTCCCTCTCAGAGTCTTTGCATGGGCTGTTCCCTCTGCTGGGAGGGAACGCCATCCCTGCCTCTCTCACAGAGTGCTGTCGGGCTGAAATGGGTTGATGAATGTGAAAGCCCCATACATCTTGCAGCCCCTAGGGAGAGCCCTGCAAATGACAGCTATTTTTATTGTCCACCCAGAGTTCCAGCTTCAATTGACTATGAAATAAAGTTTTCTCTCTTCAGAGGCCCCCAGCTGCGATGATTCTTTTACTATACACCTGGATGCTTATTCGCCATCTCTTAAGATTTTAAGAGTACCCCACCTCATGGGGTCTGGTGAGTGTCATCACAGCCTGGCTTAATTAAAGGGCAACATCATCATTTCATTTATCATCATCACCACCACCACCGCCACCATCATCACTTTCATATCATTGAAGTCTACCATATTTTGAGCACCTATTTTATGCCAGGCATTCTGTCAATTGCGTCACATCTGTTTTCTCTAATCTTTCAAAAAAAACCGGTGGAGGAGATTAGGGCTTGGCAAAGCAAAAGAGCTTCCTGAAGGTTGAGCAGCTACTAAAACCCGTAGCCAGGATTTGAACCTGTATTTGTCTGACTTCATAGCCTCAGTGCTTTTTATTGGGTCACTGGCCCTTGTATCTTTGTTTTCCATTCCCTTTGCCAGCTTTAAAAGATGCCTCAGTTAAATTCTGACTGTACATCTGACTGTCATGCATTTGGGACAACTGTAAAAAATCTAGGTTTAATTTAAGGCTGGCTTCTACAGAGCTTGCAGTCGTCTTTTACTTTTAAATCTTTTTCATAGAAACTTCTCTTAAACTGTATTTCTTCCATTTGGAGGCTTAGGCAGTTGACCTTTGGGTCAAAACGCAAATATTTTACATCCATCTTTATGTGTCGAGTGCAGCCTGGCTTCCAGACTCTGCCTCAGTCTGCACCCTATCCCCAGATTGAGCACTTGAACCCCTCTGTGACTTCATCTTGCCACTGGGGCTAGGACTGTTCCTGACTTGAGGCCAGAGGGGCTCCAGCCTCAAGCTCTGGACTCATCATTGAGTTCTCTTCCCCCAACCTCCATTCTGTCCCAGATCTGAGGGGTCCTGTTTTCTGTCCTAAGTCACGTTTCCATTTTGTTACCTCCTGCTTACCCAGGCCCTTCAGTTGAAGCCTCAGTCTTGCTACTGTTGGCAACATGACTGCCCTGCTCCACCCCAAGACATGGTGGTTAGGACCAGGACTTAGCTTAAAGGTCAACCTTATCTATTAAGTTTTTCTAAACCTTCTCTTGTCTCCACTGGTAGAATTGACCTTACTGTCCTTTGTAATCTGGGACAGTGGACAGGTTCCATCTCAGCACCAGCATCTCCAAAGCCTTCATTTCTCTGACTCCTTTCCCCAGGCAGTAAAATGAGACCATTTCAAACTGGTTCTTTTTAGTGCCATATTGGTCAGGGGTTGAGGATTTTCCTTCAGGCCACAATCATCCCATAAGGTGTCCAACACCTCTGTCCTCTCCTCTGGGATCCTTGAAAGTGTCAAAGACCCTGGGACCATGGATGGTTTTCATGGAATGAACCAATGGGAGGCACAGTCTGCAGGGCACAGACAACAACCATGGAAGGCTGAATGACCAACGGTTGAAGGACTTGACCTCTGGCCGATGGGGTCCCCTTCAGATGCTGCTGAGGCAGTTTGCATTCCTGTATACCCTGACACTTAGGTACAAGGTCATTTTATTCCTCTAGACAAATCTCCACCTCACCCTTTTTGGTCCCCCGGGTCCCTTTTCAACTTTTTCTCTCCCTTTTTTCATTCTTATGCCCTTTACTTGGTTTCTGCAATCACAAAAACTCTCTCTGACTCTGTGAATTTGAAAGTATTCACAACAACCTTTGTTTTACATTCCACAATAGATGACTTTTACCTTCACAAGCAGCCTGGGGAGCTGGAAAAAGAAGAGGCCCTTGGGGTACAATTGAAAGAATTCCGTGACCCCAGAGTCTAGGAGCAAGCACATAGATTAATACTTACAAGCATTCCCTACCACACTGCATTTCCCACAAGAGCAAGGATTTGGTCTCATTTGTCTTTCTCCCCACAACACTTTACCTGGTGCCGGGCCCACAGCAGGTGCTCAATGTATGCTATGAGTGTTGGAATGAATGCAGATCTAGTTTTCTGTTGCTGATTTCCAGCTGCCATTATTTCTGAATGTTGCTACTGGATGCCAGGGACCATGGTAACTCCTTTAAGGAGCTTGAGGCTCAGGACATATAAGTAATTCCCCTGAGCCACCTGACTAATCACCTGAGTAGTACATGGTGGAGCCTGGAATTGAACCCAGCTCTTCCTCAGCGATGTTCCTACTGTTCATTAATCACCTCTCATTTTTTCCTAAAACTATACGAGAATCAGCCCATGTCTGCTTCAAATGACTCATCCATATTACTTCTTATGTATTTCTGCTTAGACAGTTTTTGGCTGTGCTTCTTCAGGTAATTACTTAAATTCTCTGTGCCTCAGTTTCTTCATCTATAAAATGGGGATAGTAATAATATCTAACTAAGGCTTATTGTGAATTGTTACATAATGTTATATATATGCAAGGCATTTAATTACAAGACTTGGATATAATAGAATTACGCAAACATCATGTAAGTGTTGGTCGTCATCATGATCATCATCATCAATGGCAGGGGAAGGGTATATTTTGATGTTCTACTCATTCTTCAAGACCCCACTAAAATACCACCTCTTCCATGAAGCTGCCCTCAACCCCCCAGTCAGAATCAGTTTCTCTCTCTCTTCCTTACTCCCACAGTTTTTATCTTTTGTATCTTTTGTGGTATTTTTAAATGCCTTTCTCTCACTGGACTGAACAATATAGGACCCAATATGCACAATGGGAATTCCATAAATCCTGAGTGGATTGACCAAAGCCTGGAGGATTTGTCTCCTTGGACTTCCTCCAGATCAGCAAGGGTTAAGTGAGCCATCCCTAGAAGATGCCAGAAGGTGGGCTTTTGGCTCTGGGAAAGCCTGCTTCTGCCTTCACTTCCAAGCATTCATCATCACTCCTATCTCCTGCCTAATGAGCACCCAGAGTGATTTTCTATTGCTTGTAATTCACCAAAATTGTTGCAACATTTGGAAGGGCTCGGAAATTGACAGCCTAATACCCTTGCTTGCCTGTCGTCTCGATGACTTGTCGAAGGCTGAGCTGATTGCTTCTCCTGCAACAA
Source organism: Homo sapiens (assembly GCF_000001405.40). NCBI lineage: Eukaryota > Metazoa > Chordata > Mammalia > Primates > Hominidae > Homo > Homo sapiens. The sequence continues at coordinate 120,077,081 of NC_000009.12, read as the reverse complement.
TTATCCTGGAGCTTCAGACAACATCAGAGGAAATAAATAGTTGGAAAGTTTAGAGACAGGGACTGGAGGAAAAAGTCAGGGAGGACATTTAAGAAACGGGGTGAGCGGGAAGATGTCCTGAGCACTCGCTGGGAGGAAAGGTAGAGAGGAGGAGCCCCTTCCCATCCTAAGCTCTCATGGTTCTTAGGAAGCATCCATGATTGTTGGAATCTGAAGCGATGCAGGAGACAGCAAATTTGCTGCTTTTTAGAATTAATGGGGATCTTCTGGAATTTCCTAGCCCCATGTTCTTATTTTATAGATGAAGACACTGAGGCCTAGATGGGGGAAGGGGTTGACTTTGCAGAGTGGTGGCGAAGACAGGATTGAAGTCAGATCTCTGTCATCTCTAAAATGGATTTAAGGGCATGAGAGTTCAGATGTCTTTTCAAGATCTTGATTTCAATTCTTTCTTTTTTTTTTCTTTTGAGAGACTTGGTCTCACTCTGTCACCCAGGCTGGTCTTGAACTCCTGGTCTCAAGTGATCCTGCTGCCTCAGCCTCCCAAAATGCTGGGATTACAGGCATGAGCCACCTGCCTGACCTGATTTCAATTCTTTGGATGAATACCCAGAAGTGAGACTGCTGGATCATATGGTAGTTCTATATTTAATTTTTTGAAGAATCTCCATACTGTTTTCCATGGCAGGGGACATCATTTTATATTCCCACCAACAATGTACAAAAGTTCCCTTTTTCTTCATACCCTCACTGACACTTGGTGCCTTTTGTGTTTTTGATAATAACCATCCTGACAGATGTGAGGCAATATCTCATTGAAGTTTTGATTTGCACTTCCCTGATAATTAGTAAAATTGACTACCTTGTCACATGTGTTGGCCATTTATTTGTCTTCTTTGAAGAAATGTCTATTCAACTCTTTAGCCCATTAAAAATTAATATGTAATTGTTGTACATATTTTTGGAGTACTGGTGATATTTCGATACCTGTATATAATGTGTAAGAATGAGATCAGGATACTTGACATATCTATCACCTCAAATGTTTATTTTTCTTGTGTTGGGAACATTACAAATGTAGCTATTTTGCATATACAATAAGTTGGATTTTGGGGATTCTTTGGCTATTGAGTTGTAGAAATTCCTTATATATTCTAGAAATTAACGCCTTATGAGATATATTGTTTGCAAATGTTTTCCTTCATTGCATAGTTTGCCCTTTCACTCTGTTGATTGCTTCCTTTTCTGTGCAGACACTTTTTAGTCTGATGTAGTCACATTTGCCTATTTTTGCTTTTGTTGCCTGTGTTTTTGGTGTCCTATCCCTGAAGTAATTGCAAAGACCAATGATATGAAGCTTCTCTTGTGTTTTCTTCTAGGGGTTTTAGGAGTTTCAGGTCTTAGGTTTCAGTGTTTAATCCATTTTGGGTTGATTTTGGGGTATGGCGGAAGAGAAGTTCCAATTTGTAACTTTTGCATATAGATATCTGTTTTTTCCAACACCATTTGTGAAAGAGAATGTCTTCTCCCCAGTGTGTATTCTTGGCAGCAGTACTATTTATAATAACCAAGATGTTGTAGAAACAACCCAAATGTCCATCTATGAATGACTAGATAAAGACAATGTGGCATATAAATACAATGAAAAACTATTTAGCTTTAAAAAAGAAGGAAATCCTGTCATATGTGACAACATGAATGAACATTGAGGACATTATGCCAAGTGAAACAAGCCAGGCACAGAAGGACAAATACTGCGTGATTCCACTTATATGAGTTAGATAGGTCCAGGCAAGGTGGCTCATGCCTGCAATCCCAGAACTTTGAGAGGCTGAGGAGGGAGGGTCACTTGAGGTCAGGAGTTTGAGACCAGCCTGGTCAACATGGTGAACCCCCGTCTCTACTAAAAATACAAAAATTAGCCAGGCATGGTGGTGCAGGCCTGTAGTCTCAGCTACTTGGGAGGCTGAGGCGGGAGAATTGCTTGAACCCAGGAGGCAGAGGTTGCAGTGAGCCGAGATTGCATCACTGCATTCCAGTCTGGTGACAGAGTGAGACTCCATCTAAAAAAAAAAAAAAACCCAAAAAACAAAAAGAGAGAGAGAAAGATAGATATAATAGTCAAAATCATAGAGGCAGAAAGTAGAATGTGGCTGCCAGCAGCGGAGGGGAGGGGAAACTGGGGGGTTACTACTGATCTCAGGTGTGCAAGATGAATAAGTTCTAGAGATGTGTGGTACAACATTATGCCTATAGATAACAATGCTGAATTGCCCACTTGAAAGTCTATTAGGGGGGTAGATCTCATATTAAGTTGTTCTTACCACAATCAAATTGCAAAAAAAAAAAAAAAAAGGAAGAAAAGAAAAAGAAAACAAAGAACCTACAGCTAAAAGGGAGCTTGTCCTAATAGACACCATGTTGGATATGTTACATATACTTTCTTGTACAATCTTGACAACTTCATGGGAAGTGGGCATCATTTTCTGTATTATAGAGATGTAAAAACTGGAGCTCAGAGAGGTTGAGTCTGTTTTCTAAAATCATCCAGCTACTAAACAGCAGGAAAAGGATTTGAAGCCAGTAGGTCTGGCTTCAGAAACTGCATTCTTCTACCACACTGTGACTTCACTTTATTAGTCTGCCTACTGCTAGAAGCCTTTGCACATTTTAAGTTATAATTAGTTAATCTTGTCCCTTTCAAATTTTTAATTATGCAGCTGCCAATCAGAGTATCTAATCAGTGTGAAAGTCCAATGTTTCTGAATTGAGTTAATAATGACTTTAAAAAAATAAGTCATATCATAGTAGACTGTCAATTCCTCAAGGGCGGAGACAATTCCTTAACCTTACTACTCATTTCTGCATCCCAGCATCTAGTCAAGGGCTGGCACATAGTAGGCATACTAATTAGCTATTACCACAATACTATCGCATAACAAACATCCCTAAATCTCAGTAGCTTACAGCAACATGCCTTTGTTCTTAGGTTTCCAAGTCTGTGGATTGACTGTGGGTGGTTCAGCTGATCCAGGCTGAATGTCTCTGTTTCAGGCTGGCTGTGGCCAGCTGGGTGTGGCTCCAGACTGGGGGATTGTTTTGAGGACCAGGCTGAAGGACAGAAGCTACCTGGGAAGACACCGCATGAGAGGTCACATGAGCACAAGGGCCTGGACAATCTAGGTAGGACATGTAAGGCCCCTACTTGCATAACATGTGCTGGCTTCCCTGGGCCAAAGCAAATCACCTGGTCTGGCCAACATCCTACCACCACAGGAAGGAGAGGGGAGTGAATATTTACTGAACACTGTGACCTGGGTCCTTGAGCTCTGGGGCCTGACCTTAGATAAATGGTATCCCCATTCCTGAGTCAAGCATCTGAAGACTAATTTCTTTGATTATTGAGGATCTGGGATCACAGGTCAGGAGCCTTGGAAAGTGGCTCTAACAAGGACCTGCTCAGGACCTCATTTGGTGAGTGCCCTGTGTATGTTTGTGGGATCATTCAGACTTGTAACTGAGGGTAGCACAGGGTGATGAGAACAATATGAGCTCCAGAGTCAGGTGGACTGAATCCTCCACATAAAAGACAACCCAAACTCTACCAAGACGTGGCCTGGCTTTGCTTCCATATCTGACCTCACCTCTCCTTTCCTCCTCCCCCTGATTCTTTTCCTCTGGGCTCTCTCTGGTTCCTGGGGAACAGAAGCTCCTTCCTGCCTCAGCTTTCTCTTGCGATTCTCTTTGTCTAGAAGGTTCTTGCCTGAGCTATTCACGTGGATGGTTCCTTCTTATTATCAAGATTCTAGCTCAGATATCACCTGCTCACAGAGATTTTCTCTAACCAACTGATTTCAAATAGCACCTGCATTGTGTTCTCTCTCTCTCTCACCACCTAGACATTTTTTATTGCCCTAGTCATTATTTAAAATAACCTTGTTTATTTGTTTTCTCATTTATTACTTATCTCTCCCTTCTAGAATATAAGCTTTGTGAGCAGAAGGATTGAATTTGTCTGATCCAGAGCTATTTCCAGAGGTTGGAACTGTGCCTGGCATGTAGTGGGTGCTGAATAAATATTTGTTGAATGAATGAATGAACAAAGGAATGAACAAACAAATTGCTGGGATAACCATAGGCAAATCACTCTGAGGACTCAGTTTCTTTTTCTGCAAAATGGGAGCACTAATGTGGGTGTTGGTCATTGAAAGGTTTTGGGATAATGCATGTACAGTGTTCAGTGTGATGGCAGCTACATAGCAGGTGCTCAAAGTGGTAGCTTCTGCAATAATTGCTATTGTCTTAGCTTGGGGCTTTCTTGATGATCCATTCTAGCCTTGGGTTCTCTTGTCCCTTCAGAGCTCTTTCCTGGCTGGTCATGGCAGACCCCATCTCCCCACCCTCAAGGAGCTGGAAAGGTCAAGTACATGGCTGCAGCAATGAAGGGAAATGAGATTGAAAAGGATCCTTAATTCTAAAGGATTATCCCCAAACCCAGAAACGGCATGTTAAATCAGAGTCCTTCCCATAACTCATAGTCTATCTCCATGGAAATGGGCACCATATGGAGTTAATTAGTAGAACAACAAAACAATCAATTAGTTCGTTAATTAGTTTTACTAAGAAATGATAACAAACAAACACAAACACTTTATTCCAACTAATGCCCGAGCTGCAGTGATAGTTTAATGGCCTTGGAAAGCCAGCTCAGGCATTGGGCCGCTGTGAGCAGAGATTTATTCCCATGATATTGACAGGTTTCCTGGTCTCTGTCCAGGCTGTGTGTTTCATCTTTATGATCAATTATTTACAATATCTGAACACAGCTGAGGGGTCATCTCAGAGCTTTTCTTTATAGATAGAAAAAAAATGCAATAACTCAAATCCTATGAAGCCACCAGCTCTAGAATGATTATTCACTGAATCATTTATTTGACAAACATTTACTGAGCGTTTTCTATGTGCCAAGCACGGCACTGGGCATGGGGTAGACAGGGGAATGAGGAGTGATTGACTGTGGGGCTCACATTTAGAGAAGCGTGGCAGATCAGACAAGCCAGTAGACAGTTTCCATCTGTGTGGTTAAGCTCTGGGGTTAGGGAGCACAGGGCACATGGTGGGGCTAGTGTGCTGTTGGAGTAGAGAGGAGGGATCTGTGAAGTGTTTGGAAGGGGTAGTGGCTGAGCCTACATGGTTGAGTCAAATGCAGAGCTGGCTCCACTGGTAGCCTCATCAAGTGAAAGGAGCACAGGAATGGGAATTGGAAGACCTAGACTCTCCAGTCTTGTGGTTGAATCGGAATCTACCTGTCCTCTCATCTGTAAGATGGAAGAATGACACCCACATTTCTCCTCCCAAAGGATTGGTATAGGGATCAAATAGGGTTGGTATAGGTTTACAAATCTTTTGTAAACCACAAAAGGCTTTACATAAGCAGATGTAAGATCTGAGCAGAAGACGAGGTGAGACCAGGGGTCCCAGAGATGCTTGACCTTCCCAAGGGATCTATAAGGAAAAGGGACATTCCGGGAAAACTTGGGGTATATCTCTGTCTCTATCTAGCTTTATCTACATCTGTCTATATCTACATCATCTACATGTGTGTATATACTCACATGTGTGTATGCATTTATAGGCCTACATGAATATACCTTTATCATCTATCTATTAGAAAATTTACTTTTAAGAGAGATACATGTTAACAATAAAAAATTGAAGCAGTGAAAATAAGCTTCTCACCCTAACCCCCTGTTGCAAAATCTCCAGAAGCAACTTCTGTGAGTTGTTTCTTCTGCATCCTTCTGGGGAACCCTGTTCAAACAACACATTTTTATAAGTTCTTTCTTTCCTCTGAAACATACTGCTGTGTACTTTTGCTTTTCACATATTGCACCCTGGAAAATGGTCCAAGTGCATACCTTGGGATTTACCACCTTATTTTTAATGGCTGGACGATATTTTATCATGTAGACATATCTTATTTAACCACCTCCCTCAAACCTTTTTTTTTTTTTGAGACAGGGACTCACTTTGTCACCCAGGCTGGAGTGCAGTGATGCGATCTTGGCTCACTGCAGCCTTGACTTGCCGGGTTCAAGTAATTCTCCTGCCTCAGCCTTCCAAGTAGCTAGGACTACAGGTGTGCACTGTCATGCCCAGCTAATTTTTGTATTTTTTGTAGGGACAGGGTTTCACCATGTTGCCCAGGCTAATCTCAAACTCTTGGACTCAGGCAATCCACCCACCTCGGCTTCCCAAAGTGCTGGGGCTACCGATGTGAGCCACTGCGCCTGGCCTCCAACCATTCCCTTTTTAATGAACATTATGTTGTTTCCCATGTCTTGCTACCATAAGCAATGAGTTCTCCTGTTGGTTACCTATAAACTTTTTCATAATAGATCAAATTTTCTGTTTCTTAAGCTAGGATCTGTTGACATACTGGATCTTTACTGGTAGTTTGAGGAGTAATTGATAACCCCCCTTATTTTTATGTTATTTTTTTCTGTATTTATTGCCAATGAGGACTTAAAATGATCAGAAATAATTGATTAAAAAATACACCATCAAATCTAGGGTCAGTGTTACAGGTATCCTCACTTGACTCACTACTATTGCGGGAGAGAAGCAAGTATTAACACTCCTGAACATACACATTAAATATCAGCCAATTAAAGGGTGCACACAGGGTCTTTCCCCTTCCATCCCTCACCCCTAACCAAGCCTTCACAGGTGTTTGGATCATAATTACGGTCTTACGATCCTTGAGGTGGCTTACCTATGACAACTCTTTCTTGAGACAAATTGAACAAAGAGAACCAGTGGTGGGCACTATGGGATGAATCTTATAAGACGTGGAGCTGCCAGTCATGTTGGATCCTGGGAAACAGAGGAACTTGGCTGAGAGAGAGCAGGCACAGGGAGAAGCAGAAACCATGTGGCCAGGAGGGGCTGGTGACCTTGGTTCCTGGTACCTTCCTGCCCCAGATCCCTGCAGCCTGCTGAACACTCTCTTCCTCTGAGCTAAATCAGGGAACACATGTGTTCCTTTGCCACCAAATAGCCCCTAAGTCCAACAGTAGATAAAGATGATATTTCTCTACCAAAAGATTTAAAGAGACTAGAATCACATCTAGATACAATGTGTTAATTTTGTCAATAGTCCTTAAATATTGTTAGTTATTTCTTAATTAAATCCTGATTTCCTCCACAGGCTTGGGTAATACATATCTTTCTATCTCCATTTGATGCCTTTAGCTGAAGACATTTTTTTTTCCTGAAGTTTATCCAAATATAGGGTTTTTATGCTTATATGGCCTGAAAATCTTGGAAAGGCAGGTAGATATAGAGGTGAGAGTGTAGATTCTGGTGTCAGGCTGCCTGGATTCAAATCCCAGCTCTGCACTTACCAGTTGTGCGACCTCGAACAACTTGTTTAATCCTTCTCAGTTTCCTTGTCTGTAAAATGGGAATATTAATAATAATAACTTCATGGGTTATTGTGAGGCTAAATGGGCTAACCCAGGGAATTACTTAGAAAAATGCTGTCTTGTGTAGAAAGTAGTATGTGATCATTTCTGCTCTAATTAGTTTCTCCTATGTGCTGGTTTCAGGACTGTTGGAAAACCATTAGTTTTCTTAGTAAGCACTACAAATTTCCCTTCTCTGTGTATTCATTTCTCCCAGTTTCAGTGAATGTAAGGGAGAGACTATTAAAGAGAATATAAAGCAAGCATCTTTTCTTCCATTCTTAGCATCTCCAATTAAACAAAGAAAAACAGTACAATCACACCACAAGTCTCTTCCCACCCTGGGACCTTAGTCAGACCCTCAGTTTTTCTCTAGTTTGAAGAAAATAATTTTACCCTCTCACATCCAATCAATATCTTTGCTGGGTCTATTGTGAGCTGATAATTTAAATACAATTGTTTCCTTAGCAACCATCCTTTCACTGTCTGCCTTCTTGCCTTTAAAAGAGTTTGCAGTTACAAAATTCACAGTTTCAGCCAGAAACTTTGTTTTTTTTCTACAGGAGCCAGATTCTCTCCCAAAACAAACTCTTCAAAAAAAAAAAGTGGAAAAACGGAACAGGATTTCTAAAGTAAAAAAATTTATTTTTCTAATTATAAAGGTAATTGGACAGGATTTTACACAGAGATGGAAGAGGTTTTATTGCCTTCACTCTTTCCTTATAGGATGGTTTATATGGGGCGGGTAGAATCCAATTAGAATGACAAGATGTTGGAGCTGAAAGAAAGTGTAGGGATACCTGTTCACTCTGATGGTAGTTTCTTTTGCTGTGCAGAAGCTTTTTTAGTTTAATTAGATCCCATTTGTCAATTTTGGCTTTTGTTGCCATTGCTTTTGGTGTTTTAGACATGAAGTCCTTGCCCAGCAAACTTCAAAATGGGAGAAAATTTTCGCAACCTACTCATCTGACAAAGGGCTAATATCCAGAATCTACAATGAACTCAAACAAATTTACAAGAAAAAAACAAACAACCCCATCAAAAGGTGGGCAAAGGACATGAACAGACACTTCTCAAAAGAAGACATTTATGCAGCCAAAAAACACGTGAAAAAATGCTCACCATCACTGGCCATCAGAGAAATGCAAATCAAAACCACAATGAGATACCATCTCACACCAGTTAGAATGGCGATCATTAAAAAGTCAGGAAACAACAGGTGCTGGAGAGGATGTGGAGAAATAGGAACACTTTTACACTGTTGGTGGGACTGTAAACTAGTTCAACCACTGTGGAAGTCAGTGTGGCGATTCCTCAGGGATCTAGAACTAGAAATACCATTTGACCCAGCCATCCCATTACTGGGTATATACCCAAAGGACTATAAATCATACTGCTATAAAGACACATGCACACGTATGTTTATTGCAGCATTATTCACAATAGCAAAGACTTGGAACCCACCCAAATGTCCAACAATGATAGACTGGATTAAGAAAATGTGGCACATATACACCATGGAATACTATGCAGCCATAAAAAAATGATGAGTTCATGTCCTTTGTAGGGACATGGATGAAATTGGAAATCATCATTCTCAGTAAACGATCGCAAGAACAAAAAACCAAACACCACATATTCTCACTCATAGGTGGGAATTGAACAATGAGAACACATGGACGCAGGAAGGGGAACATCACACTCTGGGGACTGTTGTGGGGTGGGGGAAGTGGGGAGGGATAGCTTTAGGAGATATACCTAATGTTAAATGACGAGTTAACGGGTGCAGCACACCAGCATGGCACATGTATACATATGTAACTAACCTGCACATTGTGCACATGTACCCTAAAACTTAAAGTATAATAATAATAAAAAAAAATAAAAAAATAAAAAAAAAGAAAGTGTAGGGATAATTTAGTCTAATCTCCACTTTCTCCCTCCTCTGTTTTGTAGTTGAAGAAACAGAAAGCTTGATATTCAACTGCCTCACCCAGGGGCATACAGCTTCCAGGATTAGAGGCCATGCTTAAATCCAAACCCTATCCTTTATCTCCAATCTGGAAGAGTTCTTGCCTCCAGAATGTTGCCTCTGAGCTTTCCTAGGGAAGGTCATGTACATGTATAAAAAGCACAGGGCTTTGAAATCACGTAAACCCACGTTAGAATTGCTGGGTATGGTGACCAGTTGTCCCCATGGCCTGGGGGGTAATGGGGTTTTCTAGAACATGGGACTTTCGAAGCCCAAACTGGGAAAGACTTGGGCAAATATTCACAGGTAGGCCACCCTCCTGGAAAGCCAGTCTCTAGCTGATTTGGGGGAAATTCCAGCCTCACTTTCCTCATCTGTCATCTTAATTATAGTTCTTTTCTTGGACTGTAGTGGGAATAAAAGAAAATAACAGGAGGAATATTAATTTCCCTCCTTCCTGGTCCTGATTTCTTCTGTCTAATAAGAAGCTCTGGAATTTCTTTATCTGGGAAAAGCTTTACCCAGCTTAAAAGAGATAATGATGATCCTTTCCCAGGTTGGCCCAGATTGGGGAAGACAGAGGAATGAGATCTTCATTCTACAAGGTCCAATACTCAGAGAAAAGTCCTCACGGATTCCCTCAAATGCCACCCACAACGTGAGAAATCAAAATTAGCTTCTTGGCTGCTTTTGGCAGCAGTGATTAATCATTTCATAACAAGACAGTTGAAGCACATCTATTTATTTGCATTGGATCAGGAAGATTATGGAATATAACATTTTCATAAATTTGTTAGGATTCTAGATATACGTTAGTGTGATGAATAGTTTAGGCTGCGATAGATATTTTCATTTCAATAAAGTTATTTTGGGATATATTTACATGATGAAATAACCTATTATTTATCCAACTGCATTTTTATGAACTAATTTTTCTTTTTGTGCCAACTTGCAATGGTGACTCATTACTTTCTGCCCTTCAATGTTTCTTTCCTTATAAATGGTTTCTTCTTTATCTTTTTTTAAAGAGTATGTCTCCCTTCAGTTCCATTGACCGGTTTCACACAGGATCTTCACTGTAGAACACACTGCTTCCAAGCATCTGGGGAATTAAAATAAAATGACTCATTTTATTGTAGTTATTTCTGGACTCTGCAGTCTTGAGTAAGTCGCTTTCTTTCTCTGAGACTCATTTTCCTGACTCAAGAGGACCTTGGCTTACATTATGCACGCAATTAATGCTTGTTGAAAGATTAAATGAATGACTAAAGGAGGTGAGAGTAAAGACATTTGTTTGGCTGTGGGAAATGTTTTAGGTTGGAGGGTCCTATGAAGGAGTTCTTTAGAGGGACATTGTCTGTTACCTCACAGAGAGAGGTAGACAGAAACATTTCTTTTTGTACCAGTTTTCTCACCTGCCACTTCATCAACAATAAGAAGAGGCTATGGATTCTTGAAGGCTTTGGACCTGGCACTCTACTGAGTTTGGGGAATTAAATTCCTCAGGAAAATAGTTGCTTTTGGTGGGGAGATTTTATATCTACTTCCTTCAAACAAACCAAGCCAACCTGGAGAAAACGAAGTAGAAGATAGAGAATTTTATCAAAGAATGTTATTAGGTGGATAGCCAACCTGAAGAAAATGAAGTAGAAGATTGATAATTTTATCAAAGAATATGATTAGATAGATAGTGACAAAGGTTCTTTGTCTGACCAAATTTTGTCAGGCTCCTAAACTTTTCCCAAGGCACATCTGTGTACTTCCTTGTAAAATACAGTTTTAGCAAGAATTCTGCTAAGTCAACGTAGCAAGAATATCCTCCCCTTGATACCTGGTTGCCCTTAATATCTGATCAGGTTTCTCACCCTCCATCATCCCTCAGATGACGTGTGATCACCCTGGCCTGTCTTCAGCAAGAATTCTGCTAGGTCAGTTGAGCCAGAATCCCCCTTTATCCCTGATGCTTCCTCGTAGTAATTATCCATCCACTGATTCCCACCTTGTTCCTCAGCCATACATTCCCACTCGCCTGTGCTGTATTAGGAGTTCAGCCCAATTTTCTCCTTCACTGCAAAATCCCATTGCAATGTTACCCATACCTACTGCAATGGTCCTGAATAAAGTCCTCCTTATCATGCTTTAACAAGTGTCATTGAATAATTTCCTCTTTAACAATAGCTATCAAGATAATTCAAGGTAGAAAGTAGATTCAAGAAGAACGAAGAGCCAGAAGTTCCAGGTCCCAGTCTGCATTGCTGTGTGACCTGGAGCAAGCCACATCCCCCTCTGGGTCTCAGTTACCTCATCTGTATGACAAGGAAGTCGGACCAGGTGGCCTTAGGTTATTTATAGTGTTTCTCAAACTGGAGTCGTGAAACTTTGGGCTCTAAAAATATGTTCTTGAGGCTCCTTGAGTTACGAGAACTTATTTATTTTTTGGTTTTAATTTTCTTTTCTTTTTACAGGTTTTATAGACAAAGCTTCTTTAGCAGTGGTAATTTACCATTGAAAGACATTTGCATAGAATGGTATTTGATTTTCTTAAATAAAGTTAATGTTTTCAAAGCCCAGATCTGAAGATATGGGAGAATTGGGATGGTCGTGAGAATCACTTTCCCTTAAAGGGAATTTATATATTATTCAAATTCTGGAAATACTGGTTAGCTTATATATACATCAATACAAAATTTTCAAATACCGTCGTGGAGACCACAGGAGGTAAAGCATTCAAAAGAGATGCGTAAAGTGCTCTGTTTTTCTGGGAAAGGAGAGGTGGGAGGTGATATGGTTTGGCTGTGTCCCACCCAAATCTCATCTTGAATTGTAATCATCCCCACGTGTCAAGGGTGGGGCCAGGTGGAGATAATTGAATCAAGGGGGTGGTTTCCTCCATACTGTTCTCATCATAGTGAATACAACTCACGACATCTGATGGTTTTATAAATGGGAGATCGCCTGCACAAGCTCTCTTGCCTGCTGACATGTAAGACATGCCTTTGCTTCTCCTTCACCTTCTGCCATGATTGTGAGGCCTCCCCAGCCATGTGGAAATGTGAGTCCTAAATTTTTTTCCTTTATAAAGTACTCAGTCTTGTGTATGTTTTTATTAGCAGCATGAGAACAGATTGATACAGAGGGAAGAGGAGAGGAAAAGAGAGAAGGTGGGAGAGGAAGGGAGGGAAGTAAGGAGAAGGGGAAGTGAGCAGGGACAGAGCTTGAGGTGGTGAGAGGAATTGGAGATTACAAGAAGTGGTTGGTGAAAATTCTTTGATGGTGGCAGGACCTGAGGACACACTAAAAATAGTGATGTCTAATGTTTGTTATGAAATTGTTTATATTCGTATGATGTAAATTCCTTCTCTGATCAGTAAAGTTGACGATGTCTAAGAAAAATTTGTGTGCATGAAGTATTTCTGGAGACAACTGTGGAAGGATTTGAGTTTCCCATTGGGCCTAAGTGGTGTGGAATAGAAGTAGAACATGAGCAGAAGGGAGATGCCCCATTAACAGAGAAAATTCTACAGAAGCCAAAGGCCAGAATTAGGATGACTCTAGAGGGCTTTGTGCTTTCACAGACGTGGAATGGAAGATCAAGCTGATTATCATCTTCATTCATTCAATCATTCATTCATTCACTCGAATTCAACACCTATTTATTGACCTCCTACTATGTGCCAATAACTGTCATAGGTACTGAGCATACAGCTGTGAGCAAAACAAAGTTCCTGCCCTCAGAGAGCTTGCATCCTTATTGAGAAGACTGACTAAAAATAGAGAAATGTGTGATACCATGTCAGGTAAGGATAAGAGTTGTTAACAAAAATAAAGCAGGGTGGCTGGGCATGGTGGCTCACACCTGTAATCCCAGCACTTTGGAAGGCCGAGGTGGGCAGATCGCCTGAAGTCAGAAGTTCGAGACTAGCCTGGCCAACATGGTGAAACCCCTGTCTCTATTAAAAATACAAAAATAGCTGGGCATGGTAGTGCATGCCTCTAGTCCCAGCTACTTGGGAGGCTGAGGCAGGAGAATCGCTTGAACTTGGGAGGTGGAGGTTGCAGCGAGCTGTGATTGCACCACTGCACTCCAGCCTGGGTGACAGAGCAAGACTCCATTAAAAAAAAAAAAAAAAAAGGGTGAGGGAAAGACACAGGGGTGGCAATTTAGGGAGGGTGATTCAGGAGTCTTTGAGGAGGCGGTCTTTGAGCAGAGACTTGAATTAAGTGATAGGAAAAGATATTGGGAGATACCAGGAAAAAAAAGTTAGAGCTTTCTCCGTCTTGCTTGTGAGCTCAGGCAAGAGGCAACCTTCTGACGTTCAGTATGTTCCTCTGAGATTAGAGTTGAAAGGTCCACCCTTGGGGTAGAGATAAGGGTTTCAAGAGATCATGGAGGTTATTTGGAAATAGAGAATGCAGAAGGAATGCAAGGGATTGTGGAAGACCCTGCCAAGAAACAGAGCAAACTCTACCTTTTGCTGTGGCATTTGGTTTGGACCATTGCCTAAGGTGAACTGTGTGAGCACTCTTAGGGGATTTGCCAGATATGGGGACTCTGCTTAAAGGTGGGCTGTGTATTAAAATGTGAATGTCCAAACTCTGCTGAAGTGACTTGGGAGAAGTGACTTAGTACAGACTATTTGCAGAAGCTCATGAATTCTGTATCACAGCGAGTCATCCCATAATTCTGCAATTGTCTTGCTGATAATGCAGTCTCTGATGGGTTCATCATCACAACTCAAGCAGAAAGACCTGATAAATCTTGTCTGCATAAGGACTTGGCTACTTCCTTCTTGTTCCCCACCTAATCCTTCACCCACTGGCCAGTCCCTTTTGAAGAATGACCTAGAAGCATTTGGCATTGTCTTTGCCTTTTCCTGGCCTTGTGGATATTTGTCATTCCTCTTGGTTGTTGTGGTAGACTTTGTTGGTTGCCTATTCAGTAGCTATTATTCTTTCTCATTATTGAGGCTGAAAAGATCAGATATTGTTTTCCCAGCCTTCCTTGCAGCATGGCATGTGTATAATATGCCAATTATCTATTGCCATAATAATGCTCTGTAAAAAACCTTAGTGGCTTCATGCAACAAACATTTATTTAGCTCATGAGTCAGTGATTGTTGATTTAGCCGGAGCTCAGCTGCGTGGTTCTTCTGGCCTGGTTTCTCTAGGCACACTCACATGTCTGAGGTTGGCTGGCTTTCATGAGGAGATACTGGGGTGATGGAGCCACATGTCTCTCATACTCCATCAGGGAAAGCCCAGGCATGTTCTTATGATAATTGCAGAGGTTGAAAAGTAGAGATACACGTTCTCTTTTGAGGCCATGCCTTAGAGCTAGCACATTGTTACTTTGTGTATATTTAACTGGCCAAGGTAGGTCATAAGTCCAGCCTTGATTTGAGAGGTGAGGAAATACACTCTGCCCCTTAGGTGACAGAAAAAAAAAAATACAAAGTCTCATGGTAAAGAGAGAAAATGCAGAAAGAAATGAAGAATTTGGGCAATTATACCATCAATCAATCATAGTAAATGACATGATCCTAGACAACATGATGCTTTGCATGTGGTGACTGCCTTGCAACCATGAAGGGTCAAGCCTAATGATCAAGCCAATATAATGGGAAAAACAAAGCAGAAAGTTGGAAGTCAAGTTCTTGATGATATAATTGACCCTCTAGACCAAACCTGGAGTCATTTACCTGTGGATATCTTGTTATGTGAGACAATTTACTTTTCTCTCTGTTTAAGTCACTTTAGAAAGATTGGATATTCAGTGACTTGCTGTTGAAAGCATGTCCTTCTGCTAGGCTGGGCATGGTGGCTGATGCCTGTAATCCCAGCACTTTGGGAGGCCAAGGCAGGAGGATCACCTGAGGTCAGGAGTTCAAGACCAGCCTGGCCAACATGGTGAAGCCCAGTTTCTACTAAAAAATACAAAAAATTAGCTGGGTGTGGTGGCAGGCACCTGTAATCCCAGCTACTCGGGAGGCTGAGGCAGGAGAATTGCTTGAACTCAGGAGCTGGAGGTTGTAGTGAACTGAGATCCTGCCATTGCACTCCAGCCTGGGCAACACAGTAATACTCTGTCTTAAAAAAAAAAAGAAAAGAAAAGAAAAGAAAAAAAAGCATGTTCTACTGCTATGGCAACCCATGGATTGAGGCTTCTCTCTTCTCTGTTTTGTGAGTCCCCCACTGTATGAGCAGAGGTCCAGTGCTATGACAGATGCTGGACTTGCTTGCTTTCCCAGGCTCCCTTTCATCAAAGTTATGGGCCTATGACTCAAGTGCTCACATTCACTCCAGAATTTTTTTTTTTTTTTTTTGGTTTTACTCAAATGGCCATAGCATCACTTTATTTTTTTATTTTTTATTTTTTCCCTTTTTTTTTTATTATACTTTAAGTTTTAGGGTACATGTGCACATTGTGCAGGTTAGTTACATATGTATACATGTGCCATGCTGGTGCGCTGCACCCACTAACTCGTCATCTAGCATTAGGTATATCTCCCAATGCTACCCCTCCCCCCTCCCCCCACCCCACCACAGTCCCCAGAGTGTGATATTCCCCTTCCTGTGACCATGTGATCTCATTGTTCAATTCCCACCTATGAGTGAGAATATGCGGTGTTTGGTTTTTTGTTCTTGCGATAGTTTACTGAGAATGATGGTTTCCAGTTTCATCCATGTCCCTACAAAGGACATGAACTCATCATTTTTTATGGCTGCATAGTATTCCATGGTGTATATGTGCCACATTTTCTTAATCCAGTCTATCATTGTTGGACATTTGGGTTGGTTCCAAGTCTTTGCTATTGTGAATAATGCCGCAATAAACATACGTGTGCATGTGTCTTTATAGCAGCATGATTTATAGTCCTTTGGGTATATACCCAGTAATGGGATGGCTGGGTCAAATGGTATTTCTAGTTCTAGATCCCTGAGGAATCGCCACAATGACTTCCACAATGGTTGAACTAGTTTACAGTCCCACCAACAGTGTAAAAGTGTTCCTATTTCTCCACATCCTCTCCAGCACCTGTTGTTTCCTGACTTTTTAATGATTGCCATTCTAACTGGTGTGAGATGGTATCTCATAGTGGTTTTGATTTGCATTTCTCTGATGGCCAGTGATGATGAGCATTTTTTCATGTATTTTTTGGCTGCATAAATGTCTTCTTTTGAGAAGTGTCTGTTCATGTCCTTCGCCCACTTTTTGATGGGGTTGTTTGTTTTTTTCTTGTAAATTTGTTTGAGTTCATTGTAGATTCTGGATATTAGCCCTTTGTCAGATGAGTAGGTTGCGAAAATTTTCTCCCATGTTGTAGGTTGCCTGTTCACTCTGATGGTAGTTTCTTTTGCTGTGCAGAAGCTCTTTAGTTTAATTAGATCCCATTTGTCAATTTTGGCTTTTGTTGCCATTGCTTTTGGTGTTTTGGACATGAAGTCCTTGCCCACGCCTATGTCCTGAATGGTAATGCCTAGGTTTTCTTCTAGGGTTTTTATGGTTTTATGTCTAACGTTTAAATCTTTAATCCATCTTGAATTGATTTTTGTATAAGGTGTAAGGAAGGGATCCAGTTTCAGCTTTCTACATGTGGCTAGCCAGTTTTCCCAGCACCATTTATTAAATAGGGAATCCTTTCCCCATTGCTTGTTTTTCTCAGGTTTGTCAAAGATCAGATAGTTGTAGGTATGCGGCGTTATTTCTGAGGGCTCTGTTCTGTTCCATTGATCTATATCTCTGTTTTGGTACCAGTACCATGCTGTTTTGGTTACTGTAGCCTTGTAGTATAGTTTGAAGTCAGGTAGTGTGATGCCTCCAGCTTTGTTCTTTTGGCTTAGGATTGACTTGGCGATGTGGGCTCTTTTTTGGTTCCATATGAACTTTCAAGTAGTTTTTCCAATTCTGTGAAGAAAGTCATTGGTAGCTTGATGGGGATGGCATTGAATCTGTAAATTACCTTGGGCAGTATGGCCATTTTCACAATATTGATTCTTCCTACCCATGAGCATGGAATGTTCTTCCATTTGTTTGTATCCTCTCTTATTTCCTTGAGCAGTGGTTTGTAGTTCTCCTTGAAGAGGTCCTTCACATCCCTTGTAAGTTGGATTCCTAGGTATTTTATTCTCTTTGAAGCAATTGTGAATGGGAGTTCACTCATGATTTGGCTCTCTGTTTGTCTGTTGTTGGTGTATAAGAATGCTTGTGATTTTTGTACATTGATTTTGTATCCTGAGACTTTGCTGAAGTTGCTTATCAGCTTAAGGAGATTTTGGGCTGAGACGATGGGGTTTTCTAGATAAACAATCATGTCGTCTGCAAACAGGGACAATTTGACTTCCTCTTTTCCTAATTGAATACCCTTTATTTCCTTCTCCTGCCTGATTGCCCTGGCCAGAACTTCCAACACTATGTTGAATAGGAGCGGTGAGAGAGGGCATCCCTGTCTTGTGCCAGTTTTCAAAGGGAATGCTTCCAGTTTTTGCCCATTCAGTATGATATTGGCTGTGGGTTTGTCATAGATAGCTCTTATTATTTTGAAATACGTCCCATCAATACCTAATTTATTGAGAGTTTTTAGCATGAAGGGTTGTTGAATTTTGTCAAAGGCTTTTTCTGCATCTATTGAGATAATCATGCGGTTTTTGTCTTTGGCTCTGTTTATATGCTGGATTACATTTATTGATTTGCGTATATTGAACCAGCCTTGCATCCCAGGGATGAAGCCCACTTGATCATGGTGTATAAGCTTTTTGATGTGCTGCTGGATTCGGTTTGCCAGTATTTTATTGAGGATTTTTGCATCAATGTTCATCAAGGATATTGGTCTAAAATTCTCTTTTTTGGTTGTGTCTCTGCCCGGCTTTGGTATCAGAATGATGCTGGCCTCATAAAATGAGTTAGGGAGGATTCCCTCTTTTTCTATTGATTGGAATAGTTTCAGAAGGAATGGTACCAGTTCCTCCTTGTACTTCTGGTAGAATTCGGCTGTGAATCCATCTGGTCCTGGACTCTTTTTGGTTGGTAAACTATTGATTATTGCCACAATTTCAGCTCCTGTTATTGGTCTATTCAGAGATTCAACTTCTTCCTGGTTTAGTCTTGGGAGAGTGTATGTGTCAAGGAATGTATCCATTTCTTCTAGATTTTCTAGTTTATTTGCGTAGAGGTGTTTGTAGTATTCTCTGATGGTAGTTTGTATTTCTGTGGGATCGGTGGTGATATCCCCTTTATCATTTTTTATTGTGTCTATTTGATTCTCCTCTCTTTTTTTCTTTATTAGTCTTGCTAGCGGTCTATCAATTTTGTTGATCCTTTCAAAAAACCAGCTCCTGGATTCATTGATTTTTTGAAGGGTTTTTTGTGTCTCTATTTCCTTCAGTTCTGCTCTGATTTTAGTTATTTCTTGCCTTCTGCTAGCTTTTGAATGTGTTTGCTCTTGCTTTTCTAGTTCTTTTAATTGTGATGTTAGGGTGTCAATTTTGGATCTTTCCTGCTTTCTCTTGTGGGCATTTAGTGCTATAAATTTCCCTCTACACACTGCTTTGAATGCGTCCCAGAGATTCTGGTATGTTGTGTCTTTGTTCTCGTTGCTTTCAAAGAACATCTTTATTTCTGCCTTCATTTCGTTATGTACCCAGTAGTCATTCAGGAGCAGGTTGTTCAGTTTCCATGTAGTTGAGCGGCTTTGAGTGAGATTCTTAATCCTGAGTTCTAGTTTGATTGCACTGTAGTCTGAGAGATAGTTTGTTATAATTTCTGTTCTTTTACATTTGCTGAGGAGAGCTTTACTTCCAACTATGTGGTCAATTTTGGAATAGGTGTGGTGTGGTGCTGAAAAAAACGTATATTCTGTTGATTTGGGGTGGAGAGTTCTGTAGATGTCTATTAGGTCCGCTTGGTGCAGAGATGAGTTCAATTCCTGGGTATCCTTGTTGACTTTCTGTCTCGTTGATCTGTCTAATGTTGACAGTGGGGTGTTAAAGTCTCCCATTATTAATGTGTGGGAGTCTAAGTCTCTTTGTAGGTCACTCAGGACTTCCTTTATGAATCTGGGTGCTCCTGTATTGGGTGCATATATATTTAGGATAGTTAGCTCCTCTTGTTGAATTGATCCCTTTACCATTATGTAATGGCCTTCTTTGTCTCTTTTGATCTTTGTTGGTTTAAAGTCTGTTTTATCAGAGACTAGGATTGCAACCCCTGCCTTTTTTTGTTTTCCATTTGCTTGGTAGATCTTCCTCCATCCTTTTATTTTGAGCCTATGTGTGTCTCTGCACGTGAGATGGGTTTCCTGAATACAGCACACTGATGGGTCTTGACTCTTTATCCAACTTGCCAGTCTGTGTCTTTTAATTGGAGAATTTAGTCCATTTACATTTAAAGTTAATATTGTTATGTGTGAATTTGATCCTGTCATTATGATGTTAGCTGGTGATTTTGCTCGTTAGTTGATGCAGTTTCTTCCTAGTCTTGATGGTCTTTACATTTTGGCATGATTTTGCAGCGGCTGGTACCGGTTGTTCCTTTCCATGTTTAGCGCTTCCTTCAGGAGCTCTTTTAGGGCAGGCCTGGTGGTGACAAAATCTCTCAGCATTTGCTTGTCTGTAAAGTATTTTATTTCTCCTTCACTTATGAAGCTTAGTTTGGCTGGATATGAAATTCTGGGTTGAAAATTCTTTTCTTTAAGAATGTTGAATATTGGCCCCCACTCTCTTCTGGCTTGTAGGGTTTCTGCCGAGAGATCCGCTGTTAGTCTGATGGGCTTCCCTTTGAGGGTAACCCGACCTTTCTCTCTGGCTGCCCTTAACATTTTTTCCTTCATTTCAACTTTGGTGAATCTGACAATTATGTGTCTTGGAGTTGCTCTTCTCGAGGAGTATCTTTGTGGCGTTCTCTGTATTTCCTGAATCTGAACGTTGGCCTGCCTTGCTAGATTGGGGAAGTTCTCCTGGATAATATCCTGCAGAGTGTTTTCCAACTTGGTTCCATTCTCCGCATCACTTTCAGGTACACCAATCAGACGTATATTTGGTCTTTTCACATAGTCCCATATTTCTTGGAGGCTTTGCTCATTTCTTTTTATTCTTTTTTCTCTAAACTTCCCTTCTCGCTTCATTTCATTCATTTCATCTTCCATTGCTGATACCCTTTCTTCCAGTTGATCGCATCGGCTCCTGAGGCTTCTGCATTCTTCACGTAGTTCTCGAGCCTTGGTTTTCAGCTCCATCAGCTCCTTTAAGCACTTCTCTGTATTGGTTATTCTAGTTATACATTCTTCTAAATTTTTTTCAAAGTTTTCAACTTCTTTGCCTTTGGTTTGAATGTCCTCCCGTAGCTCAGAGTAATTTGATTGTCTGAAACCTTCTCCTCTCAGCTCGTCAAAGTCATTCTCCATCCAGCTTTGTTCTGTTGCTGGTGAGGAACTGCGTTCCTTTGGAGGAGGAGAGGCGCTCTGTGTTTTAGAGTTTCCAGTTTTTCTGTTCTGTTTTTTCCCCATCTTTGTGGTTTTATCTACTTTTGGTCTTTGATGATGGTGATGTACAGATGGGTTTTTGGTGTGGATGTCCTTTCTGTTTGTTAGTTTTCCTTGTAACAGACAGGACCCTCAGCTGCAGGTCTGTTGGAATACCCTGCAGTGTGAGGTGTCAGTGTGCCCCTGCTGGGGGTTGCCTCCCAGTTAGGCTGCTCGGGGGTCAGGGGTCAGGGACCCACTTGAGGAGGTAGTCTGCCCGTTCTCAGATCTCCAGCTGCGTGCTGGGAGAACCACTGCTCTCTTCAAAGCTGTCAGACAGGGACATTTAAGTCTGCAGAGGTTACTGCTGTCTTTTTGTTTGTCTGTGTCCTGCCCCCAGAGGTGGGGCCTACAGAGGCAGGCAGGCCTCCTTGAGCTGTGGTGGGCTCCACCCAGTTCGAGCTTCCTGGCTGCTTTGTTTACCTAAGCAAGCCTGGGCAATGGCGGGCGCCCCTCCCCCAGCCTCGCTGCCGCCTTGCAGTTTGATCTCAGACTGCTGTGCTAGCAATCAGCGAGATTCCGTGGGCGTAGGACCCTCCGAGCCAGGTGTGGGATATAGTCTCGTGGTGCGCCGTTTTTTAAACCGGTCTGAAAAGCGCAGTATTCGGGTGGGAGTGACCCGATTTTCCAGGTGCCGTCCGTCACCCCTTTCTTTGACTCGGAAAGGGAACTCCCTGACCCCTTGCGCTTCCCAGGTGAGGCAATGCCTCGCCCTGCTTCGGCTCGCGCACGGTGCGCACACCCACTGGCCTGCGCCCACTGTCTGGCACTCCCTAGTGAGATGAACCCGGTACCTCAGATGGAAATGCAGAAATCACCCGTCTTCTGCGACGCTCACGCTGGGAGCTGTAGACCGGAGCTGTTCCTATTCGGCCATCTTGGCTCCTCCCCCCTCACTCCAGATTTTAACTTAGAAGGTGGCAATATGAAGAAGCAGCACTTGATCACCTGTGAAGGCCTTGATGGCAATGACCTCTGATTTCTTGATGTGTCATCTCCACTTGTTGAAAATGTGATGTCTGGAAATCCACTGATACATGGATGAAACCTCAGGGAGAGAGATGAATTTGAGCCAGAAAAAGTTTTAGCAGAACCCATAGGGCTGCCTTGATGCTGAGCCAGCACCTTTCCCCACATCTGGCAGCAATTACATACCCATGGAAGACAAAGAAGACCTCTCCTGGTTGAACCTCATCATAAGACTCATATTGCAGGGCAGAAATACCTTGCAGAGACTGGCTCCAAGAATCCCATTCCTAGTACCCTTCTGACTCTGCTTGGCTTGCTCCCACAAGCTATTTTGATCTTTGGAATCTAGTCCCTACCTCTGGACTCAGACTGCCTCTAGCGTGGACCTCCTGGCATTTCAAAGCAGATGCGCTCCTGATGCTAGCTGACTCTTGCTCTGCCCTTCTTTTCCTCCTTAAAATGGCAGATTGAAGTGGAAAAAGTCCTCAGCCCCACTCTTCTGAGAGTCACCCTTCTCAGACACACCTGCCTAAGACACTGACTGACCTCTGTCCTGGCTGTGGCTTCTTGTTCATGTTACAATATTTTCCACAGAACTCTGGGCCACCGTGTTCTGCTACCATGACCCCACATTGACAAGTAAAGATTTTATCTGCTGCACTCTTGTGATTGCCTGAAGACCTGTCTTCACCTGCCACTAGCCTCTACAACCTTCCAGGGCAGACACCAATCTTCATCTTATTGCAGTCTCAGTGCCTTTGATACATAGTAGTTGTTTCACCCAAGCAAGAATTCAGACCAAGCCTCAATAAAGGAAAACTAGAAAATGAAGTGGTGATCATTCAGAGCCATGGCAGGTTCATTAAAAATTAACCCAGTTTCTTTTTCTTTCTTTCTTTCTTTTTTTGATAGAGAAATTAACCATTTTGGGGATTTCTTCCTGTTAATCTGAGGCTTTAGGTATGAAGCAAGGCAAACAAATACAGAGCCATCCTGTTCAGAGAGATTTTCCTAAACATTAGCCTATTATCCATCACTCTTAGCTGGTGCCCTCTTCAGTGCCTTCCTCACTAGACTGTGAGTTCTATCTACAAAGGCAGGAAAGTTATTACTGACTGTCTTCTCAGACTCTGGTGCAGTGAGCTTGGTGCACAGTGAGTATGGCACACAACAGGTGCTTAATAAAGAATGAAATAATGAATTGACATAATCCCACCTGTAGTGGCATAATAATTATCCCCCAAAGATGTCATATCCTAATTCCTGGAATTTGTGAATATGTTACATTACATGGCAAAGGGGAATTAAGGTGGCAGGTGGAGTTAAGGATGCTAATTGGCTGACTTTAACATAGAAAGATAATCCAAGATTATCCTGGTGGACTCCATGTAATCACAAGCATTCTTAGAAGTGGAAGATAGAGGAAGAAGAGGAGGTCAGCGTGATGCAAAGTGAGAAGATCTCGACCTGACATTGTTGGCTTTGAGTATGGAGGAACATGGCCATGATACAAGCAATGGAGGTGGCCTCTAGAAGCTTTGGGAGGAATATCTATACACCAGGTGTTGTTTGAAGCACCAAGGATACAACAAAGTAAGCAGGTAGCCCCTAGAAGCAAGGACGCAGATCTCTCCTGGAGCCCCCAGAAAGGAATGCAGCCTCAACAACACCTTGGTTGTAGCCCAGTGAGATCCATGTGGGACTTTTAACCTACAGAACTTTAAGACAAATAGACTCGGCATGGTGGCTCACTTCTGTAATCCCAACACTTTGGGAGGCTGAGGTGGGTGGATCACCTGAGGTCAGGAGTACTAGAATAGCCTGGCCAACATGGTGAGACTCTGTCTCTACTAAAACTACAAAAATTATCCAGGTGTGGTGTTGGGTGCCTATAATCCCAGCTACTTGGGAGGCTGAGGCAGGAAAATCGCTTGAACCCAGGAGGCAGAGGTTGCTGTGAGCTGAGATTGTGCCCCTGTACTCCAGCCTGGGCTACAGAGCGAGACACTGTCTCCAAACAAACAAACAAACAAACAAAAAACCCAAAAAACAAAACAAAACAAAACTTTAAGACAAATAAATTTGTGTTGCATAAAGCCACTGAGTTGGTGGTAATTTCTTACATGAGCCATAGATAACTAATACACCTCCTCTGACCTCATGCTTCAGAAGGGTGCCTTGCTTACCTTAAAGGCGCATTCTCTGATTTATATCAGACATGCTCATCTGGAGGAAAGCCCCTTGTCTTTGGGCCTGCCCTGCCTATTATTTGTATTAATGACTGATGAGGTTATTGACAGTATTATCGTCCAATGTAGGGGTGCTGTGAGACCTGAAGGAAGAACAGGCTGTTGGATCATGGTCAGACTAAAACCATGGGTTTGAATTTTTTAAATACGAAAGGAACAGGAGCAATTGTAAAGTCCCATGCCTGTGTCAAATAAAATGCACAGGGAGATTGTGACTTTGTCGGTAGTAGCGTGGTGAGGATGGTTTTGTGAATAAATGGCCATTTGGTGGGTGGGCCAGAAAGGACAGAAGCATCAGTTGGGTGACCTAGACCCAGTCTTTTTAATCTCACATATCATCTCCTGGAGGTCTTTACTTTTTAAGGAATCTAGACAAGGACTGAGACTCTGGGAAATTGGTTAATGACCTTCTAGTTTGCAACCAATAAGAACTCCTCTGGGTCTTAGTTTCCTATGTGTGAAATAAGGACCCTTTCAGTTATGACATCTCTGGATCTGTCTGGAGTACGCCCCCCACCTTGCTAGCCTTCTGTCCTCCAAGCCTAGTTCAAATGTCATTGTCTGCTAGTGGCTTTTAGTTACATCTCCACCCTCCTTCAAGCACAGCCTGTTGCTCTTTGTGATTGATTGATTCATTTATTGATTTGCTTTTTGCTATATTTATTATAGTCATTTATCTTCAAGCTTATATTCTAAATGCCTGGATTTATTTAACTCTGTAGCCCCAATGCCTGACAATTAGTAGGTTTTTCTTTTTTAAATAAACCTTTGTTGACTAAAATGGAACTCAAGTTGCAAGTTGTTATTTAGAATCATTTAATTTTAAACACTGGAGCTAGACTTCGGCAATTGCCTAATCAAATATCTCATTTGACCACTGAATAAACTGAGACCCAAAGGGTGAACAGGGACTTGCCCAGGGCACCGCACAGCATGTTTGAGGCAGAGACTAGAACTCAGGGGTCTTGATTTGTGATCCAAATTTCTTCCTACCCATGTGGGCTTTTATTTATCTATCTAGGTTACGGTGTCACTACCTGCTGTAACAGAGAAGTCCTGAGACCTCAGTGGATTCACATCATAGAAGTTTATTTTGTGTTCACATAAAGTCCACTGGCAGTGGGGTTGGCAAAGACACTGCCATCTTCAACACATGACCTCCAAGGTTGCCTTGAGCATCAATGTCCAGCTGGCAGGTGGACAAAGAGAGAACAGAGGAGCACATGGGGGATTTTTATAGGCCAGGCCTGGAAGGGGCATTCCCTGCTTTTGGCCATAGTCCATTGGCTGAAACACAGCCTAGGAGATGTAGTCCAGCTGTGAGCTGAGGAGGAAAGGGAAGCTGGTTTAATGGACAGATAGCCAGTCTCTGCTGCTGCATGCTAGCTCCTTGTATGGGTTTCTACTTCTATCATTGTATTTTAATTTTTTATATACCTACACAGAAGAGTCCCATAGGCCATAAAAGAGCTAAAATTATATCAAGCAATGTTGATACTATTACTGTTGTTGTTACTTACACTAATAATAGAGGGGGAGTAGCAGACAGGAACCAGTGTGAACTACTTCCCAGTGTTTAACCCAAAACACGTTTTGCCAGGCAATTTCCCCTTAATCTTTAGACCTGTGTGTATTTCAAGGGAAATTTAATCCTTGTGTTTCTGATTCATTTGCACTTAACTCATCAAAATGTTGCTTTGTAAGGCACGTTTGATGTACAAGAAGGCTCATAAGCCTTTTCATAAGCCTTTCAAATGCCTTTTCTCTTTGAAGCCAAAGTTTGTGCTCTTCCAGCACTAAACAGAGCTAAAACCTGGAAAGTCTTCCATTACCTTCCACCCCAGAGGCCACAAATTAAGGTGGTTTGAACAGGTAAGCAGTGGAGGCTGCTCCCGTTTCCTGAGTGGAAAGAAAACAACACCATATGGTTAAATGCCCATGGAGAGTGAGGACATAACCACTGTATTATTCCCTCTTGCCTCCAGGTGTTGGCTCCTGCTGGCCCATTGCCTGCAAAGCCAGAGCTCTCCCGCATTGCTTACTTATAGAAAAGGCCATCTCTTTCAATACTCAGATTTCTTCACCTCTCTAAAATCCTATTTTATTTTATTTTATTTTATTTTATTTTATTTTGAGATGGAGTTTCGCTCTTTTGCCCAGGCTGTAGTGAAGTGGGTGATCTCGGCTCACTGCAACCTCTGCCCCCTGAGGTTCAAGCGATTCTCCTCCTCCAGCCTCCCAAATAGCTGGGATTACAGATGCATGCCACCACACCTGGTTAATTTTTGTATTTTTAGTAGAGATGGGGTTTTGCCATGTTGGCCAGGCTGGTCTTGAACTCCTGACCTCAGGTGATCCACCCGCTTTGTCCTCCCAAAGTGCTAGGATTACAGTTGTGAGCCTCTGCGCCTGGCCTCTAAAGTCCTCTTGACTGCTCTCAAGAGCAATGAGTATTTATTCCTTTCTTTGTACCTCCCTATATCCTACCATAATAATAATAGTTAATAGTTAACATTAACTGAGTACTAATTACATGCAAGGTACTCTTCTAAGTCCCTTACTTGTGTTAGCTCACTTAACCCTCCCAACAGCTCCATAAGGTAGGCATTATTTTCAGTGTTCTTTTACAGATGAGGAAACCAAAGAACAGAGTAAGTAAGACCTTGCCCAAGGTCCCACAGTAGGAGAGCCAGCAAAGGACCTATAATGTTTAACTACATTTAACCACAGAATCTGCTAAGCTGTCTGAAGGGAGCTGCTTATTCCTGTGTCTTATTATCAGAGATCCTGGCCCTTAAAAACCCCATGAGAGGCTGGATAGTGTGGCATGGAAGAACATGGAGCCAAATCCTGCCCCTGATGCTTTATTTTTTGAGATGTTAGACAAGATGTTTAACCACTGGATGCTTCGTTTTCTTCGTTGTCAAATAGGGATGATGAAAGAACCTATCTTGCAGGGTTGTTGTGAGGATTAAATGAGCTAATCCGTGTAAAGCTCTTAAAACACTGCCTGACCCATGGAATGTGCTTAGTGAGTGTTAGATATTATAACCGAATGGAGAAAAGGAGATGTGGATGGCATGGATATCTAGTTTTCCAGGGACAAGATTCTGGAAGGGTCAGGGAATGTTTTGGAAGACAGGCTCAGGATGCACAAAAGATCTCAGCATTATGATTTCAGATTGAATCCTACAAGATAAAACATCATGGGGATAACTGAGAATCCTGTGCTGATGTCTAAACACCAGCAGCACAGGCTTTGTATGGCAGGGAAATACAGCTAAGACTCTGTACCTGTCAATGACACACAGATATTTGCACCGATAGTGTCCCCAACTCCGTTATATGCTACTGGCCACCTTAAGCTGCGCTATTAGGAATGTGTTGCCTAGAATAAGGAGAAGGCTGCCTTGTCCTTTTATGTACTTGATGCATGCCAGGAGAAATTCAGTTATTTGTGAAATTCCACTTTGTGATTTTTACTTCTAATACATTTCTTCTGATTATAAAATATAGTTGCTGTTGCCAATTTAGAAAACTTAGAGAAAAACGAGGACAAAAAAGGAGATAATCCATAATTGTACAACCACCTCTTGTTTGGCATATTTCCTTCTCTGTAGTCTTTTATATACATACACATATTGCAGATGTGAGCTGAGATTTCTTGATCCCTTGATATGTAGATACATTTGGCTTAGATTCTCATTCCACACTTTACAGGAGTTCAAACATCTCCTCAAGATTGTGCAGATATCTCAGGAACTTATATTTTTGCCACCACCTCTGGCTTAGATTTCTTGTCTCCCACAAATTCTTGTTCTTGGAGTTCTTTTTGTTTTTTTTATATTTAAGAAGTGTCCCGAGGCTGGGTGCGGTGGCTCACGCCTGTAATCCCAGCACTTTGGGAGGTCGAGGCGGGCGAATCATGAGGTCAGGAGATCGAAACCATCCTGGCTAACACGGTGAAACCCCGTCTCTACTAAAAAAATACAAAAAATTAGCCAGGCGCCGTGGCGGGCGCCTGTAATCCCAGCTACTTGGGAGGCTGAGGCGGAATGGCCTGAACCCAGGAGGCAGAGCTTGCAGTGAGCTGAGATCACGCCACTGCACTCCAGCCTGGGTGACAGAGCAAGACTCTGTCTCAAAGAAAAAAAAAAAAAAAAAAAAGAAGTGTCCCTGTCATGCATGGAGATGATGGCTCTTTCTTCTTAGTTGCCTTTGCCAGTGGAAACATACACATAAGACTGTGGCATGCAGAACTTTTCCTGAAGGATTGTGGGTAGCAGGGAGGAGCCTCATTGCACTGCAACCAGCAAACAACCCAAGCAAACAACTGGAAAGCATACTTCAAATCCATTTGTTCTTATTAAATGCTTTTGGCCACTGTCTTAGTCTGCTATTCTGTTGTACTGCTACAACAGAATACCTGAGACTGGGTAATTTATAAAAAAATTTAATTTATAAAAAAACAGACATTTATTTCTCACAGCTCTGGGGGCTGGGAAGTCCAAGATCAAGGCACTGGCATTAGATGTGGTGAGGGCCTTCTTGCTGTGCTCTCACATGGCAGAAGGTGGAAGGGCAAGCTAGCGAGTTACCTGCATGCAGCATGAAGCCTCTTCTATTATGTAAGGGCCTTAATCTCATTAACAAGGGAGAACTCGTGACTTAATTACCTCTTAAAGGCTCCACTTCTTAATGCCTTCACATTGGCAACACCTGAATTTTGGACGAAAAACATTCAAACCTTAGCAGCCACTCTCATATCTCTATCTCACAATCCATGTTTCATCAGTACATCCTATTAGCTCTACTTTTAAAACACAGTCATGCACTACATAACGGTGTTTTGATTAACAATGGAGGTAGCCATCATGTTGTAGTGCAATGCATTACTCACAGGTGTGTGGGGATGATGGTGTAAGCAAATCTATATAAAAGTATAGCACATGCAATTACATACAGCACGTAATACTTGATAATGAAAATAAATGACTGTAACTGGTTGATGTGTTCACTATGCTATCTTTTGATTGTTATTTTAGATTGTACCCCTTCTACTTATTAAAATAAAGTTAACTGTAAAACAGCCTCAGGCAGGTCCTTCAGGAGGTATTTCAGAAGAAGGCATTGTTATCATAGGAGATGACGGCTCTATGCATGTTACTCCCCCTAAAGACCTTCCAGTGGGATATGGAGGTGGAAGATAGTGAGGCTAATGATCCTGACCCTGTGTAGGCTTAGGCTAATGTGTGTGTTTGCATCTTAGTTTTTAACAGAAAAGTGTAAAGAGTAAAAATAAATAAATTTTAAAAGTAGAAAAAAGTTTAGAGAATCAGGGTATAAAGAAAGAAAATATTTTTTATACAGCTGTGCGAAGTATTTTTGTTTTAAGCTAAGTGTTATTACAAAAGAGTCAAAAAGTTAAAAAAATTAAAATGTGTATAGACTAATAAAGGTAACCTTAGAAAATATATTTTCTAAGAAAAAAATGTATTTTCTTAGAAAGAAAAAGATTTTTTTTATAAATTTAGCATAGCTTAAGTGTATAGTGTTTATAAAGTCTACAGTAGTGTACAGTAATGTCCTAGGCCTTCACGTTCAATCACCACTGACTTACTGATTCACTCAGAGCAACTTCCAGTCCTGTAAGCTTCATTCATGTTAAGTGCACTAGACAGGTATACCATTTTTTTATCTTTCATACCATATTTTTTACTGTACATTTTCTATGTTTAGATATACAAATGCTTACCATTTTGTCATAATTGCCTACAGTATTCAGCACAGTAACGTGGTGTACAGGTTTACAGCCTAGGAGCAATAGGCCAAGCCACGTAGCCTGGGTGTGTAGTAGGTTATACCATCTAGGCTTGTGTGAGTTCCCTCTATGATGTTCACAGCACTATGAAATCACCTAATGACGTATTTCTCATTTCCAGGATTCAACAGCACAGTAGGATGGCTGCAGTTAACAACGATGTACTGTATATTTAAAAATAGCTAGAAAAGAAGATTTGAAATGCCCTCAAAACAAAGAAATGATAAATGTTAGAGGTGATGGATATCCTAAATACTCTGATTTGATCATTACACATTCTATACATGTATCAAAGTATCAAATGTGTCCCATACATTTCTACAAATATTATGTATCAATAAAAAATGTAAATTAGGTACCAACACTTCTCCCCTCAATTCACCCGCCATGGGTTTCCATTCCTGAGGACTGCCTCTAAGACCATTTGTGATCTGGCCTCTTGCTTGCCTCTGCCTCATCTGCTGCTGCTTCCTGCCTATGTATTACATTCCAGATGCAAAGAAATGCTTTTCTCTTCCTTCCTGTGACCTTTGCGCTGCTGTTCCTTCTGCCTAGAAGGATTTTTCCTAGATACTTTCCTGATGCACACTGTGTGTCTTAAGTCCAATGCAAGACCAGTGTACCTTTGGTTCTGAGGTCATGCCATGCCTAGAGGAGGAGGTGACACTACTGAGGCAAGATTCCATTTTAACTCTCAAAGGTTGAATTATGGTTAGGATTGCCTAATGAATGAGATGCAGAATTGAATCAACAGTTCCCTTTCTTCTATCCCTCAGGCACCATATATTAGATGCTCAATAAACTTCAGCACCTTTGACTTATGATGGTGGTGATTATGATGAAAATGAACATGAATCAAGCATGTGCAAAGTGTAGATGCTGTTCTGAGCACTTTGCATGCATTCATTGAGAAAAAAACTGTTATCTCCATCTTACAATGAGGAAACTGAGGAACAGGGAGGTTAGGCAATGAACTCAATGACACTCAATTATTATTATTTTTGAGACGGAGTTTCACTCTTGTTGCCCAGGCTGGAGTGCAATGGCGTGATCTTGGCTCACCGCAACCTCCACCTCCCGGGTTCAAGCGATTCTCCTGCCTTAGCCTCCCTAGTAGCTGGGATTATAGGCATGTACCACCACGCCCGGCTAATTTTGTATTTTTAGTAGAGACGGGGTTTCTCCATATTGGTCAGGCTGGTCTTGAACTCTCGACCTCAGGTGATCTGCCCGCCTTGGCCTCCCAGAGTGCTGGCATTACAGGCATGAGCCACTGCGCCTGGCTGACACTCAGTTACTAAATATTGGAGGCAGGATCCAAACCCAAGCCTAATAATGACATTTATTAAATAAAGTGTACATTATTAGCTGAGTGTTTTTATATAACTTATTAAATCCTTAGTTCAGCCCTGGGGTGTATGTGTCATTGTCTCAATTTTACCGATGAGGACATGGACATTTCCAGACTTAAGTAATTGACCCAAGGTCACCTAGTGTGTAAGTGCAGGGTCAGGCTTTGAACTAGATCTGTTCTGCCTTCAAGTGCAGTCTGGCTCTGCACTTCAGGGCTGCATGCTATCACTCAGATTCAGAAAGAGATCATTGAGCACATAGCCTCTCCCTGTACCCACATCCAAGCATTGTACGCACTGGGAAACAGTGCTTCATTTATTACATGTGGCGGGTGAAGTTATACATAAAAAACCGTGACACTAATGCCATTATATTAAAAGTGCAAAGATTCCAATAAGTTTCTGAGCACACGCGTTACAGTAGTCTTCTCTCTCTCCCCAAGCGAGTGTACAGCTTTCTGTTGATTTGCTTCGCCTCACACAGTTATTACAGCATGATTTCCCCCAGTGTCCCAGCCTCCCTTCAGCTCTCATTTAGATTTCCTTCTTAGACGCAGCCATTTAAATGCATATCAGCAGCAATTGAACCCACCAGATTTCTTTCCCGATTAGCTGGGAAGATGGTCCTGTTAGTTATCTGTGAGCAGAGTAAAAAATCTCGAGGGTTGGGCAAAATTGCTTTGTGACATGACCTGGTTTTGACTGCACTGGCAGAAGGATGACTTGCAGTGAGCTCCAAGGGGGATAGGCTTGTTGGGGAGGGCATGGGAAGGTAGGTAGGGAAGGGAATGTAGAGAGAGGTGTGTGGGCTTGGGTGCATGGAGGTTGGCAGACGTATGTATCGGCATGAGGCTAAATAAGTGGGATGGATTGTTCATGACAGTAGGTTTTAGATGACAAAGGAGATATGTGTGTGTGTAAGGTGGTGGAGGGGCATAAATTGTTTGGATGGATGGATGGATGTGTATGTTGTTGGGGTCTCAGAGGCAACTCAATGGTGGCGCGGGGGACATGCCTTTCAACATGGCAGCCCACTCAGGCAGGATTTTGGGCAAGAAGGTGCACAGGAGAACTGCACTCTCAGCTTAAGCTTGTTCTCAAGAAGGAAGGCTGAGCTGATCTGAGCTGATATGAGTGTGCTCAGTGTCTCTTCTCCAATTCACAAATCAGCTATCAAGAGTCTCTGCAGGTCCCCTGGGCAGACAGAGACAAGGAATAGAGAAGCCAGGAGTTACACTAATTGCACCCTTATCACCGGGAGGAAACATCAGGGGCCGAGAAGAAGTGCTCCCTGTTTTCATATGAGCAGACTGTGAGCTCCATCACTGCTGTCCTCCCAGCATGGCACCTGAGCCCCTGCAGGTGCTCCATTATGTGTGGTGCAAGAGAATGATGGGGTGTAGATAGACCAGTGCTCCCAAAGTGGTCAGGTAATTGAGTGATGTGTGGGTTTGGTGATATCTGGGGCAAGAGTGTGAATATTTGGAGAAATCAAGGAGTGTTTAAGAGACTGTGCCTGTAAGCATGAGGGCTGTGCACTTGGGTGTACAAAGGAGACTGTGTGCTGGGTGGATGTGAAGGTGAGTGTGTGTGTGTGTGTGTGAGAGAGAGGGTGGTGGGGAGGAGAGAGAGACAGAGATGGAGACAGACATAGAGACAGAGAGACAGAAAAATAGTAAGAGAGAGACAGAAAGAAAGAGGGCAGGAGGGTGAGAGAGAGATGGAGAGACAAAGAGACATAGAGAAAGAGACAAACAGGAAGAAGAGACAGGGAGAGAGATTCAAAGACAAAGAAATAGAAAAGGGTGGGGCGAGAAAGACAAACACATGAACACACACACACAGGGTCAGGCAGAGAGGCGCAAAGAGTTGGCGGATGTTTTCCATTTCTTTTCCTGTCACTCTCTCAACTTTCCCTTTTCTCTTCCTAGTCCCCCTTGTACTTTTTCTTTTTTGCCCTCAGGCATTGTGAGGGTAGATGACACATTCACCTCAACACACGTGAGGGCAATGGCGTCCCACGCTCACACACAATGCTCAGACTCCTACGCACTGCACACACACAGCTCCTTGAGGGGAGTGCTCTCACGGAGGCAGTGATGGCATGCTGCCATGGAGGACAGCTGACAATGACTGAGTGCCGTCTGTCTACTAGGCTCTGTGCAGAGCACCGGGCACCAACTCATTTAATGCTGATGAGACAGCTATTGTGAACACCTGGTGTAAGAAGAGGAACATGAGGCTCAGAGAGGGGAAGAGACTCAGTTTGCTGGCCCCCTTCCCATGGGTCTCTAAAGGTTACATTCACTGACTGTCCCTTTTCCCCTCTCCTCTTTAGGCAACAGGAGCCCCTTTCTCTTTCCTGCCTGGCCCCTTTGTCCTCACCTCCACCCTGAACACCCCTTTCCTGGCCTGTCTGCAGGCATCCAAGACAGCAGGTATCTGCCTCAGAATTGGGTTCCCACCCTGGGGTCCTGAAGACAGCTGGCTTGGTGGCCCAAAAGGTCATGAGACAGAGTGTGGAGAAGGCTAGGATTTAGAGTCGGGTAGACTTGGGTTTGAACCATGGTGTTATGGTCTAATGATGTCGTCTCAGCAGAACGCTCCTCTTTGCTGATGTTTACTTGCCTCATTTGCAAAATGGAGATGATTAAACCTGCTTCCTATGGCTGCTGAGGGGATTGAGTGTCCAATAGTACCTTCCACAGAATGCTCAGCTCAGAGTAAGCATCTAGTGAAAGCCGGCTCCTTACTTGTACGCAGCTTCTTTCCTCCTTCCCTGCATTTGGCCACAGTCAGAGGCCAATGTCTTGGCCATCAGAAAGGAAAGCCGAGGACATCACCCATCAATTTGCCTCATTTCCCTCTCTCAATTTCCTTCAGAGCTACCATTTTATTGTTTTATTTGTTTATTTAAGATAGAGTTTCACTCTGTGGCCCAGGCTGGAGTGCAGTGGCGCCATCTTGGCTCACTGCAACCTCCACCTCCTGGGTTCAACAATTCTCCTGCGTCAGCCTCCTGAATAGCTGGGACTACAAGCGCGCATCACCATGCCTGGCTAATTTTTGTATTTTCAGTAGAGACAGGGTTTCACCATGTTGCCCATGCTGGTCTTGAACTCCCAGGCTCAAGTGATCCACCCGCCTTGGCCTCCCAAAGTGCTGGGATTATAGGCATGAGCCACCGTGCCCAGTCTTTTTATAAATTTTAATTGCTTTTTGTTTTGTTTTGTTTTGTTTTTTTTTGAGACAGAGTTTCAGTATTGTTGCCCATGTCGGAGTGCAATGGCGCGATCTCGGTTCACTGCAACCTCTGCCTCCCGGGTTCAAGTGATTCTCCTGCCTTAGCCTCCCGAGTAGCTGGGATTACAGGCATGCGCCACCATGCCCAGCTTATTTTGTATTTTTAGTAGAGACAGGGTTTGTCCATGTTGGTCAGACTGGTCTTGAACTCCCCACTTCAGGTGATCCTCGGCCTCCCAAAGTGCTGAGATTATAGGCGTGAGCCACAGCGCCCAGCCTCTCTACATCTCTACCAACCAACTAGACTCAAGATGGCTGAAATCAAACTCAAATCTTTGTTCATAAACCCACTTGTGTTTTGTAAGAGCCTTATATGGTAGGTACCATGATTAGTCTTGCATTACAGAGGAGAAAACCAAAGCTTAGAGAAGGCAAGCCACTTGCCTAAGGTTACACAGCTAGTAAAGTGTCAAAGTTGGGATTAGATTTGGGCCTCTTAGAGCTTAAGCTTAGGTCCGTTGCCAATACCAGGCTGCCTCCCTTATGTGAGAGTGCCAATTGCAAAATGGTACAGGTGAGAGAAGGTCACCCAGACCTCCACCTCATCCCCTACTGGAGGGCCCAGCCCATGCCTGGCCTAGGGTGAAAGTTCCTGGTAGAGGTTTGGAGGTTGAGTTGAGGTGCTTCCTCACTGTCTTTTTGGTCACACCAGCTGCAGAATCAGCCCATTAGCAAGTCGCCCCCAGTGCAGAAAAGACTTTCCTGACAAACTGTCAGAGGCTGGCTCAGAGGCAGGCAAGGAGGCCAGAGTGTGGCAGGGGGAGGAGGGGACCGCCAGCCCTGCTGGATCCATAATCTAATGCCAAGGCCATGTCTTCAATCAGTTTCATCTCTGCTAAACATTCAGTGAAGTTTTTTCTTTTTTACTTTCCAAATAACCGAGCATTACAAGGAGAGGCAGGTGGAGGTCATGGCTGAGCCCAGGCACTGGGGTCAGCCAGACGGCTCCGCCTCCAGCAGGGACACACGGGAGTTGTGTCGTGTGGTTCTAAGTTGGCCCTTCACCTCTCTGGGCTCCAGAGGCCCTGGTTGTAAGGCAGTGATAATCCCTACCATTTCAGGCCTGGCATGAAGAAAGTACGTTCAAGCAGAAAGCTAGAGCAGAGTGTCTGAGCTGAGGTTTGTTTCCAAAGCTGGGCTTGACATGTCCCTCCCTAGCCAAGTGACCCAGGGCAAGTCACTGGTTCCCACAGGGCCTCAGTAATCTTGCCATGTAAAACAAAGACAAAGGGATCTCCCTCATGAGGTGAGGCAGGGATTAAATGAGTGAATACATTTGATCCTTTGGCATACTGCCTCGCACATGATAAGCAAGCAGAAAGTTAAAAATAGAAACAAAACCCCCGCCAACAACTAACCAACCTGTGGTTTTCAATCCTTACAAAAAGCCTGTTTTGTGGGGTTTGTTATCTCCATTGTGCAGAGGAGGGGACTGAGCTTCGGAGAGTTTCATGAACTTGCTCAAAGTCATACAGAACAGGGGTGAGATCTAACCCTGGGTGGTCGGACTCCAAAAGGCCTTTTTTCATTTCTACAATCCACAGAGGCAAAGCTGGAGGCAGCCGGGATTTACCCAGCCAGGAGGCCTCAGTCCTGCCCATCGTTCCCCTGAGAGGAGGAGCTGGCTATTCTGCTTGGACATCGGGCTGTGGGGAGGGCCCATCCTGAGGGCATATCTTCAGAAGAAGGATTCCTCCCAGGACTTTCAGGGCATCCTGAGGGAGTTGGGAAATGAAATAATGCAAAAGCCACAACTTAGGGACCAATTAATATGCACCAGGAGCAGAGCTGAGCACCTAAGGCATAAGGAAAGTGAGGCTGGAGAGGTGAATGCATTTGACCTCTTATCCTCATTATGTAACTGCTGGATATCAACCTTGCACGGAGTCTTGGTTTCCGTCTGCACACCTCCCCAGACAGGCTGCAATGGCAAAAGCCCATAGGTGTGTCTTAGGCATTCTTTCCACCTGAATTTTCCTATCTGAGTGCAGAGGCCTCTGACCCTGGCCCACCCATGTGGGAGTGAAGATCACAGCAGCCCAAAGCAAGAGCCAGAGTGGAGAAGACATCCTTGGCTGCCGCTGGGGTCCCATAAGCCAGCTTCTACCATGTGTGCTCCTGAAAAATCTCCTGAAATTCTAGTGATCCCCTCAAACAAATCTCCCAAGGATGCTCATTGGCTGTTAAACTCCTGAAGTTACTGTAAGATGCTGAGGACACTTGCAGCACATTTGGATTTGTCTCTCCAGCTTTCCCTATTGACAACCATCCCTCTTGAATCAGAGAATGCAGAAGAGAAACCACCAGGCTTCCCTGAGACTTCCCAGAGGGGAGTGTCTCTTTTACTGGCAGTGGAGGCATTCAGTTTACAAGGCATCTGCCTTGCCCAAGCCTCCTCTCTGGTCCTCTTCCATCTGGAGCCCGGGTCTCTCCTCTCTTAGTTATCGACACTTAAATTCACAGCAAGTTGACCAGGAATGAGGGGAAGGGGTCATGGAGATTTTCTTGTCCATCTCCCTCACTTGCGGTGGGAAAACTAGGGAGGTGGGAGGGTTTGTCCAAGTTCGTGGAATAAGTCCATGGTATAGCCAAGACCACAACCTGTGTACCTGTGTCTTTTTTTATTTTATTTTTTTAACTTAGTGGGAGTAAGGGCTGTGCGAAAAGACCATTTGCAGTCAGGCTGTGGTGCCAAATAACCATCATTGTCTTTTCCCTTCCCCTCTCCCTCTTCCCCCTCCTCTTCTTCCTCCCCTTCACCCTCCTATCATTCTCATCCAACAACAATAGCATCATCAAAAGCAGACAAAGCAGTTGTTCAGTGAAAACTTTCCATGTGTCAGGCATTGCACCAACTTTAAAAAATTGTTTACTTTAACCCCCATAATGACCTCATGAGATTGACATTATTTTTCCCATCTCAGAGATGAGCAAAGTGAGGTTTAACAAGGTTAAAAGAAGTTTCCCAACCAGCGAACCCAGGTAAGCCTAGCCAGGCTTTAAACCACTACATTATTCTGCCAGTGTCTCTGATGTGAGACAAATTTGAGAAGATCTGCTATCTACCTACTGTGTGGCTTTAGGTAAGTCATTTTACCTCTTTGAGTCTCAGTTTCCTCATCTATAAAATGAGGCTTTTAATAATATTATCCCCGCCTTGCCTCAGAGAATTATTGGAGGCTTTAGTTAGGAGATAGCAGAAAGGGCTTTGCAAATTGTGAAATGCAGTGGGCCCAGTGGTTTGATGAGAATGGGCACACAGTGGGGTTCCTCTGTTAAAGCCCAGCACCTGGCATATGTATAGCAGGCGAATAAGAAATACTTAAAGAATAAATGAATGATTGTCAATCTGCATGGCCCCTTCCCCTCCCCAGCAATTCTATTCCCTAAAGACATGGGATTCTGACCCACTGAATTCTCCAGTACTTCTGTCTAACTGGAGGGAGATATAGTACAACTTCTTGCCTAAAACCTTTGTGTCTCTATGTTCTGTCACCTATGGAAAGCCTAGGGTCTAAAAAATGTGTGGTTCCGTCCTCACAGCCTCCAGGGCTCAGTGTCCCCTGGAGGTTATCAGTATGGGCTTAGGAAAGAGGCCTGGAACTGTGGGCGAGGGACAGAGGCGGGCTGTCCCTTCAAAGCTTCTCCTTCTTCCTTTTTTATTTTTAATTTCATTTTTTTCTTTATCCAAAGGCTGCAGAGCTGAAATAATTTATTTTGGATTTGAATAGGATGTGATAAGCCGAAGAAGGGGCAGCCTGGGTGGACATGGTGGAAGCATTAAGTTTTAAATTAGTCGCTTGATGCTGGTTTGGGGACCAGAGCAAGGGCTCTGGCTGACAAAGAGGCGCCTGAGTCCTCCTGGCTGGCTGCAGTGGTGGGTGGTGTGGGAAGGAAGAGCATGCTGCCAAATGGGCTGTTGCAATAGATTAGGGGTCAGGCATCCTGGATGCCTGCCTGGTTTTACCTTAGGACCATTACAGGCTTCCTCGTCCATTTCACTGCTTCTACTTTTAAGCTGTGTGATCTTGGACAAGTCACTTCCCCTCTGAAAGCCTCAGTTTTCTCATGCATTGAATGGGGATAGTAGTTCCCTCTAACAAAGGTATTGCAAAAACTTTTTCCATACAGGGCCAGTTCATAAATATTTTAGGATTTACAGGCCAGATAGTCTTTGTTGCAATTGTTCAGCTCTGCTGTTGTAGTATGAATGTAATCATAGACACTATATAAACAAATGGATGGTGGGTATAGTTTTAAAAATTATTATTTACAAAAGCAGACAGCAGGCAGCATTTGGCCCACGGGCCATACTTTGTGCACTCCTGTTCTAATATCATTGGGAAAGCTCAGTGGGGTCACAGGTGTGAAGTACTGGGTTTGTTACCTCCGCTGTAAGAGGTGCCCCCAAAGTTAATTTTCCTCTTAATATCAGCCTCCTCAAGTCAATCTCCATGGACTGAGCTTTCTAAATCCCAGCTGTGATAATGTCACCTATCTGCTTAAAAATCCCAAATGGCTCCCTGCTGTGTGCAGAATGAAGTCCAAATGCCTTTTCTTGGCACTAGAAACCCTTCAAAATTGCCCACCATTTCTACAGCCCTAATCATTTTATTTTCTCTCTGGACTAGCCAGTTTCTTTATCCACTTGGGGATAAGCCGAAAACTCTCATGTTTCTGGTCCTTTGCATTTGCTGCTTTGGGGCTCTCTGTTCTTCCCCATTTTCCTGTGAACTTTCCTCATCCTTTAAAGGCCCATGCCAATGGTCCGTTATCCACAGAGACTTCTCTGAGCCTCAGGAAGAACTAGCTACACCTCTGCTTATGAAAAGCATCCCAGGTTAGGGGTCTGTTTTATTCATGCTCACACTGAGGAGAAAGGGGACTCACATGTCCTGAAATTGGGCACTGAGTGGCCTCCCTGGGGACAGAGGATAAAGGAGAAGGGAGCAAAGACTGTCAGCATCTCTGCCCTCCATTGGCCACTTCCTGGGAGCTCTTTTCTGCCTTTGCCTTAGAGAGGATTTGGCTTGTTCCAGTAAATACCACTTCCTTTATGCTTGTCTATTCCATTGAGAGAGAGGTGGGTGGTAACACGGTGGACAGAGAAGGGACTTCGCTGGCAGAGAAAGTTCAAACCTTATTGTTAATGATTATTTTTCTCATTGGGTGATTTCTTTACCTCTAAAGGTTTATTTTCTTAGCTTTTAATGAGGCATATGCCCATTTTCCAGAATTGTCGTGAGGATAATAGAAATAATAGTCATAATAATGGTGACAGACATTTATTGAGTCCTCTCTTGAACCAGAAACTGTTCTAAGTGCTTTACAAATATAAATGCATTTAATCCCCACAGTGACTTTTGAGGTGGGGATACTATGTTTACCTTGAGCTTCAGATGAGAAAACTGAGGCTCAGAGGCATCCTTCGTGAGCAGCCTGGATAGGTGAACTGACTCCAGAGCCCAGGCACTATGACCTTGCTTAATGGAATGACTGGCAGTATAGGTGCAGTGCTTAGCACATAGTAGTTACTCAAGAAACATTGTGTTCTTCCTGCCCTCTGGGAAGACATCTAGGGTGAGATATTTTGAGATAGATTTGACTCATTTGGGGCCTATGCTGGTCTCTAAAAGTCTCTCATTTCATTTCCGTGTTCTTGCCAGGGGAGTAGGGAACATCTGGGTGTGCTGTGGGTGGGGGCAAAGTTGGGGGCATGGTGGGGAGGGTATGCAGTTCCTTGCTCAATCTCACCTGCACCCATTAACCAGATGGAACTTAAAATGAATCTGAAAGTGCAATGGGGACAACTGGGGAAGGAGATAAACACCTGGTGAGAAAGATCTCTATTTTCTCTTTAGAGCCCATTAAGTTTACAGAAACTCATGAACTTAGCGCAAACCTAATTAAGCTCAAATAGGGATGCCTAAGTGAAGGGAATGAGTACAGGGACGATCGTGGTCGTGGTGAGAAAAGCAAGCTCTGGAATAAAGCGACGCTTGATATTAAGGTGATAAGCCTCTATGAAAGGTGGAAAAAAGGGTAAGCTTTTAGTCTTCACAACTGGGTTCAATCTTTAATCTTCCCATTGATTCCTAGTAGTGTGAAAGGTAGTGGGAGGTGGCCGAAGTTTTGTGTCTGTCAGGCTAGGTTTCTTCTTTTTTCTTTTCTTTTCTTCCTTCCTTCCTTCTTTCTTTCTTTTTTTTTTTCCGAGTCTCTCCGTTGCCCAGGCTGAAGTGCAGTGATGTGATCTTGGCTCGCTGCAACCTCTGCTTCCTGGGCTCAAGCAATACTCCCACCTCAGCCTCCCAAGCAGCTGGGACTACACACAGCTAATTTTTGTATTTTTTTGTAGACTGGGTCCCTACAAAAAATGCTCAGGCTGGTCTTGAACTCCTAGGCTCAAGGGACCCGCCCACCTTGACCTCCCAAACTGCTGGGATTACAGGCATGAACCACTGTGCCAGGCAGGCCAGGGTTTCAATCCTGACTCTTCCATTCCTTAAGCTTGCAATTTATTTTGTCTGTACCTTTATTTCTCATCTGTGAAATGGGAATATTTACTTGTAGGGTATTGTGTAGCTGAAATGAGATAATGTTTCTGGGTGTCTGGCGCCATGCTTGGAACACTATTGATGCTCAGGAAATGGCCACTATTATGTTGGTTGATGTGTGCTCTGGTTGAGATAGGAGAGAAGAGCTCTTTCTCCCTACCCTCATTTCTCATTCAGCCTTCTCTGGCTGTTCTCTTGATTCCTCCTGTGCAGACTGATTTTATTGACAGCCTACATTCTTTTCCTTTCCCTGTGCTCTGCAACTTTGCAGGGTCTTCTCTTTTGATGCTGGGCTTGGCCACATAATTTTGGATGGCAACAGGATATTAGCAAATGTGACACAAGCAGAGTCTTGAAAAATGCTTGCACATTGCAGCTTGCTGTCACTTTTGCTCCTCTGTGATTCCCTGGAGACCATCTCCACATGATCCTGCTGGAGGTTGAAAAGCAGGTGGATAAGTGTTGTGTTACTCGGAACATCCCAGTCAAGGCCATCCTAGACTGTCTGACTGCCAGCCAACATCAAGACATATGAAAATGACAGCCAAGATCAATGGAGCCACCCAATCAAGGTACAGATTTATGAGCAAAGATACATGCTTATTTTTTTTAAGCCACTGAGTTTTGGACTGGCTTGTTACACAGCACAGCACTATATGTGGCATAAATAACTGATATAGCACACTTCCAAGTTCTAGCTAGCTTTCAAAGCTCAGTTCAAATTCCCACTCCTAGCCAAGATATGGAATCAACATAAGTGTCTAGCAATGATGGATGAATGGATAAAGAAAATGTGAAAGTGTGAAATATATATAACGGCCTTTAAAAAGAAGGCAATCCTGTCATTTGCAACAACATGTATAAACCTGGAAGACATTATGCTAAACAAAATAGGCCAGACACAGAAAGACAAATATGATCTCACTTATATGTGGAATCTAAAAAAGTCAAACTCCTAGAAGCAGAGAGTTGAGTGATGGTTTCCAGGGTCTGGAGGTGGAGGAAAATGGGGAGATATTGATAGCAAGACACAAATTTTCAGTTAGACAGGATGAATACATTCTGGAGATCTGTATGGTACCTATAGTTAATATAGTCACCATGTATTATATACTTGAAAATAGAGAATCAGTCTTTTTTTAAAAAAAATTTATTTTACTTTAAGTTCCTGGATACATGTGTAGAATGTGCAGGTTTGTTACATAGGTAAATGTGTGCCATGGTGGTTTGCTGCACCTATCAACCCATCACCTAGGTATTAAGCCCTGCATGCATTAGCTATTTGTCCCGATGCTCTCCCTCCCCTCGCCCCCACCCAAAGCCCCAGTGTGTGTTGTTTCCCTCCCTGTGTCCATGTGTTTTTGTTGTTCAGCTCCCACTTATGAGTGAGAACATGCAGTGTGTGTTTCTTTGTTCCTGCATTAGTTTGCTCAGGATGACAGCTTCTGGCTTCATTCACATCCCTGCAAAGGACATGATCTCATTCCTTTTGATGGCTGTATAGTATTTCATGGTGTATGAGTGCCACATATTCTCTTTTTTGAGACCGAGTCTTGCTCTGTCACCCAGGCTGGTGTGCGGTGGCATGATCTTGGCTCACTGCAACCTCTGCCTCCTAGATTGAAGTGATTCTCCTGCCTCAGCCTCCCAAGTAGCTGGGATTACAGGCGTCTGCCATCAAAACTGGCTAAATTTTGTATTTTTAGTAGAGACAGCGTTTCACCATGTTGGTCAGGCTGGTCTTGAACTCCTGACGTCAGGTGATCCGCCTGCCTCGGCCTCCCAAAGTGCTGGGATTACAGGCATGAGCCACCACGCCTGACCCACATTGTCTTTATCCGAAAATAGAGAATAGATCTTAAATGTTCTCAACACACACACACACACACACACACACACACACACACACACACACACAAATATGTGAGGTGATGGATATGTTAATTAGGTTGATTGTGGTAATCATTTCACAATGTATACATGCATCAAAACATCACAGTGTAACAGTGTACACTATAAATAAGTACAATTTTCATTTGTTTGTTATACCTCAGTAAATCTGGAAAAAAAAAATCCTCCAGGGAATATTCCAGGGACTACTATCTGTAAGTGATTTTCCTCCTGAGACTCTTGAAGGCCTATTCTTTTTTGTTGTTGTTGTTGTTGTTGTTGTTGTTGAGACAGAGTCTCACTCTGTCACCCAGGCTGGAGTGCAGTGGCATGATCTCAGCTCACTGCAACCTCTGCCGCCCAGGTTCAAGCAATTCTCCTGCCTCAGCCTCCCGAGTAGCTAGGATTACAGGCACCTGCCACTGTGCCTGGCTAATTTTCCTAGTTTTAGCAGAGACAGGGTTTCGTCATCTTGGCCAGGCTGCTTTTGAACTCCTGACCTCGTGATCCACCCGCCTCGGCCTTCCAAAGTGCTGGGATTACAGGCATGAGCCACCATGCCCGGCCAGGCCTATTCTATATGA
Organism: Homo sapiens; assembly: GCF_000001405.40. Lineage (NCBI taxonomy): Eukaryota > Metazoa > Chordata > Mammalia > Primates > Hominidae > Homo > Homo sapiens. Next base: position 120,033,405 of record NC_000009.12, on the reverse strand, counting down.
TACACACTGGAGTCTTTGCCAGGTCTGTGGGTTCTGTAAGAATCTGTGAAGATCTAACCTCTGTGGCTTCAGGTCCTAGCAGAGTTTGAAGTAGAGTGAACAGTTAAAAAAAAATCATTTGATAAATGAGTTAACATGTTCTACAAATGACAGTGCGTGAGCACAGGAATGCATGCTGTGGTTCTCTTTGGCGACCCCTCCCCCAGCAAGGTGGATGGTAAAGGATGGAGTTTGGGTCCTGTATTTCCTCTTGCTTTTCTTTTCTTTTTTTTTTTATCGAGACAGAGTCTCACTCTGTCACCCAGGCTGGAGTGCAGTCGCGCGATCTCGGCTTGCTGCAAACTCCGCCTCCTGGGTTCAAGCGATTCTCCTCGCTCAGCCTCCCGAATAGCTGGAATTAAAGGCGCACACCACCAAGCCTGGCTAATTTTTGTATTTTTAGTAGAGATGGGATTTCACCATGTTGGCCAGGCTGGTCTCGAACCCCTGACCTCAGTCATCCGCTTGCCTTGGCCTCCCAAAGTGCTGGGATTACAGGCTTGAGCCGCCGCCGCGCCTGGCCTTCCTCCTGCATTTTTCAGAGCAGCCACCAGGAGGAGTCCCACAGAGTAGGCAAAACTCTTTGTGTATTGAATTATGATGTTTTTACTAATTCCATGTGGCAGTAACACAGGCAACCACTGTTATGAAATTACTACCATATGCCTGGCTAAATGCTTCACACAGGTTAGCTCAGTGAATTGGCATAACCCTCATGAAGGAGGGACCAACATCACCGCATTTTACAGATGAGGAAGTGGACACTCAGAAAAGAAGAGTAATTTGCCCAAGAAGACGTGATGAGTCAGTGGCAAGGGCTGGGATTTGAACTGAGCTTTGCTGGGATAAGAAGCCCATGGTGGTGCTGATTGTTTTTGACTTCTTGTCTTGTATGGCAACTGAGAGCCCAGCTGGGAAGAGTGGACGGATTGGAATGGAAGCAGATTTTGGCTCAATAAAGGAAGGTGTAAGACAATCACAGAAGGTGGAACTTCATCCTCCCTTACTGTGCTACTTACTCTGACACGCGTAACGGGAAGTCTCCGAAGTTTAGATGAAAAAGCTTCTGCCCGGCTCTAGCCTGTTGCTGGCTCCAAACTTTAGGAAGAGGAGTGATGGCCGGGCATGGTGGCTCACGCCTGTAATTCCAGCACTTTGGGAGGCTGAGGTGGGTGGATCGCCAGGTCAGGAGATCGAGACCATCCTGGCTAACATGGTGAAACCCCATCTCTACTAAAAATACAAAAAATTAGCCAAGCGTGGTGGCATGCGCTTGTAGTCCCAGCTCCTCAGGAGGCTGAGGCTGATTCTCCAGGAGAATCGCTTGAACCTGGGAGGCAGAGGTTGCAGTGAGTCGAGATTGTACCACTGCACTCCACCCTGGGTGACAGAGCGAGACTCCATCGCAAAAAAAAAAAAAAAGGAAGAGGAATGATTTATCCCATTGGTGGATGGTGAGAATGTGACATCTGTTGGTCCCTGCATGTCAGGTGGGATAAGTGGCCACATGCCACTTGCTCACAAGGCAGCACAGTGCTGCATTCCTGTGCCCTCTGGGCCCAAGTGGGGTATGAGGCAACCACCAAGGGGCTGGGCACATAGGAGGCTGCCCTGAAAATCTACCTCTCACTTGTAAGCTGGTCTTAGACTTGGGGAGGCATAGAAAGCCCATTCTGGTCTCATGTCTAATTTGCCTACTCCATTTCCCCTTTTACCAGCAAGAAAGCTCATATATTATCCCCTGCTGACTCTGCTGTCTCTTTTGTAATTGATTTAAAATAGGAGGAGACAAGGTGTGATTATTTATCACCCTCAACATCCTAAAGAAAGAACTTTGGAGGAAGAGGGTAGTGAGCTTACTGTCAGTAGAGATGTGCAAGTAGAGACTGAATTAGTGTATACTGGCTTTTTAAAAAAAATGATGGATTAAATGGCATTGAGTTTCCATAAAATGCTAACATTCTATAATTTTTCTATGAGACCACCAATAGAAAAATCTTAGATAGTACACAGTATTTAAACTGGCACAAATACAGTAGCAGTTTTAGTCAGAGAATGATTTTCATGATTATATATACCCTGCAGCCCACATATTATAATAAATAGCACATCAACATGTTTTTTTTTTTCCTTCTGATTCTGGCAGGACCATTATCAAGAGAAGAAAGGCTCTAATGACAATTCCCTGTATTTCTCTAAAAAGGCCTTTCATGTCTAGCCTCAAAGCAGACAGGGAGGAGGCAGGTCTGGCTGTGGATCTTTGTGTGGCCATCCTCTGGTGTGCTGTTCATCGTCTCTGCTCTGCGTGGTCCAAGGCTGCAAAAATGCCTTGCTGCCATGAGCCTTGGCTGGAAGCAGAGGCGGGGTGCAGGGGGAGATTTCACAGAGATAAAAGACAGACAGCGAGAGATGTGTGTCAAGTCACAATGACAAGGATCCCCTGAATGGTAGCAGGAAGGAAGCCCCGGGTCACCAATGTCCTTTGTGGGAAGATAAGAAAGAAAGAGCACTACATCCAGGGAAAGCAGAGTAATATTTTTTCTACTGGGCGTTTGGCCCTTTAAATACACATTCATTTTTATCCTCACAGCAACCCTGCGAAATAGGATGGTGACCCCATTTTACAGATGGACTAGCTGAGATACAGAAAAGATGAAATGATGAGTCACGGGTCCCCCAACAAAGAAATGTCTGAACTGGAGTTTGAACACGAGTCTGTGAGGTACTAAAGCCAGTCCTCTTTTCACTGACTCAGGCTTGGTGTGAGAAGATTTTAAAGCAAATGTGCTTTCCATACTGTGGTAGGTTGAATGATGGCCAGCCCAAAGACATCCACGTCTTAATCTCTGGACCTGTGAATTTTACCTTATGTAGCAAAAGGGACATTGATGATGACCAAGTTAAAGATTTTAAGATGGGGATATTACATGGTAGGCCCTAATTATAATCAAAAGGGTCCTTGTAAAAGGGAGCCAAGAAGGTTAAAGGCTGGAGAAAGTCATGAGATGTTGGAAGCAGAGCTTGGGAGTGATGTGGCCGGAAACCAAGGAATGCTGCAACCTCTAGAAGCTGAAAGGGGGAGGCAAGGAATGGATTCTTTCCTGGAGCTTCAAGAAGAAATCAGCTCTACTAGCACCTTGATTTTAGCCCCTTGAGACCAAAATGATTTTGGACTTCTGACTTCCAGAACTGGAAGGAAATTAATTTGTGTTGTTTTAAGCCACTGAGTTTGTGTTTATTTGTCACAGTACCCATAGAAATCTAATACATATACCATCTTGCATAGGATATGCACCTGGATCATCACATATTGTTGGCTTGCCTTAGGGAATAAGCCTATCTTCTGTCTTGGCCTTTATTGGGTTGAGGGATTAATTAAGTCAAATGCTTCACTCTTGCGAAGTAGGGGTGAGACTAAGTGACTGTTAGACGATCACTTTGACCTGTGGTGGTCAAGGACAGTGTTAGGCAAAGTATGGTCCACAGCCTGGTGCTGGTCTGTGAACTGAAAGCCTCTGCCCCACCCTACCCCATCACTAACTCTACTTCTTGGGAGGAGTAGTAAGTTCAGAAAATGAGCTGCAGTAGGTGTTCAAAATCTTTTATAGAAATTTGGCATTGCTGAGACATCCAATCATGCTTATTCAAGGACTGTCCTTGTTGAACAGGGTACAGACAAGTTTGGGTGCTGTTGAAAGTGAGTGATGAGTTTCAGGTGGCGTGAACCATGTCGTAGTCACATGCAGTCATCCATGCAATGGTCCATGATGAATTGGGAATTAATAACAACAGTGTCACCACTGACAACTCTTCCTTCACTATAGAAAGTTTGAGAATCGCTGGTCTAGGGCTCTAACATTGTGAGGGTACAGACTTTTTTTGTGAAATCCAAATGTCTCAAGTATTTTACCAGCCTATAGCTATCAACAGAATCATATTAATATTTATATTCATATTTTGTGGATTTGAATCCTTCAGATAGATTCTCTCCCCTGGCTTATAGATGCTCATAAAAATTCTGCCCTTGTTTATCTGCTCTGGCTTCCACTACAAAAGTCTTTCCTACTGTTTTCCATGTTCTTTTGAGATTTCAGCTCTCTTGTCATGCCCTTACCTTCTGGCAACCCTGCACAAACAGAACAGCAGAGGAACATGGCAGCCTTTGGTGGAGTTGGGGAATGAAGATTCTCTCCTGATTCTGTGCCACTGCAATGACCAGGATAACAAAGCAAGACTGCTTGGACCCTAATTTCCACACAGCCTGAGCATCTTCTTTGGCTTCTCTCCTATGTTCTTGCTCTTCTGGGACATCACACTTATCCAAGGCACTGGTGGGGAAGGGGACAGAGGCCATGCCATCTCCTCTATGTTTCCCATCACTTCCATTGCTTTCATCTGCACAGCCTCCTGCTGATCTGGGCAGTTAAAATCCAAAGAGGACAACAAAACCTCTAGAAGTTTGAGTTTAATCTCGAGGCAGAATCAACAGGATTGGTGATGGGATTAAACATAGAAGGTAAGGGAGGGGAAATGGGCTAGGATAATGCCTAGCTATCTCACCTGGGTTCTCATGTGGATGGTGACATCATTGATCAAGGTGGGGGGAGCATTGGAGAAGGAATAAGTTTCAGGAGAAGACAACAAAGTTGGCATTGAACATTCTGAGTCAGCGTCCATAGGTAGTAAAGTAATAAAACTGCTTTTCTTGTATGACGGTGGGACAGAGAAAAGCAACCTCTGATATCTGGGATCTGGCCTGGCATTCACAGTCAGACCTTGTCAGTGTTCTTAGAACATAACCTATGGTGTTCTCCTGTCGGACATAAACAACCTCAGAAGACACCAGCATCAGACAAGGTCTGATGTTGTTGTGTGTGATGGTGATGAGGTCATAAGACCCCTTCATAGTCTTGTCTGGACATAGACAAAAACAAGGTCACTGTGCAAATCACAAAAGGGCCAACCCCCTCTTCCAGCTAATATGAGTGACTGTTCTTCTTTACCTATTCCAGTTTCAGACTTGCTATATTCCCCATCCCTTTACATAAGATTTATCAAGGTACCCAGTTGTAGCATTACCCCCACTTCCTGACAGTATCCAATGCAGTAAACCCCACTTCCTGGAACTCTCCATAAATCACCTAACAGAGGTTCAAATCCCATAATAATTCATTCCCAGCACTCTCTCATTGAGACTCCTTATGGTTCCCCATGGTATGCATTTTCCTTTGTTATGAACGCTGAAGTCAACTTTGTTTGACTACAAGTATGTTCCTGGTGACTTTTTGGCTGAGGAACATTGACAAGTGAAACAACACAAGCTATCAAGGGATGGCCAGAAATTGCATCCCTAGATAGCATGAAATTATCTCTTTCCAAGTAGGTTCCTATTGGCCCTCACTTTGGGTCTTGCCAAAACAATTCTGCTGGAATCTAAATCTCTCCAGATAGTTTGTCTTTTTGCAAAGGGACTCAGGGGTTTCCCTTTGCCCCAACGCTGTGAACAAGCTTTGCCTAACACGTCAGTACTGCAGAAGAAGAAAAGCAAACCCTTTGTCCAAATCCTTGTTAGAGGAGAGAACCAGGCAGCAGAGAGTCCAGGCTCTAAACCTCACCCCGCAGCTCTGGCTGCCCTGAGGATGCAGCTCACATCCCTGGGACATGGATTGCCATTGATCCTTTCCCAAAGTCTGCAGTTCTATTTGGCTATTAAAAAGAGCCTGCCATGTTGATGAATTATTTAAACCTTAGCAGCACCCAATTATGCAAATCCGATTATCTGTTTAAGGGCAGCTTGGCTTGGAGCAGCTTGTAGTTGTGCTACTTATTATTATTATTATTATTATTATTATTATTATTTTTTGGCTGAAAAACTGGCAAATTCAGTTGAAAGCAGAGTTAATTTCACCCGAGGACTGCTTAGCCCAGAGCTACCTCCTTGATGGGGGTGGAAGGCCCCCTTGATTCGCCACTGGAAGGCTTTCCTCCCTGTTGTTTCCATAAAAGTGACACCTGAGAAGGACCTTTGAGACAAGCTGGTTCTTCCTATGCAAAAGAAGAGACTAAAACTCAGAGAGAAACAATGACCTGCCTGGGGGGCAATGCAGGTTTTTGGTGGAGTAAGGAATTAAATCCTTGCTCCAAGCCGAGGATGGTCTCTCCCTATGCCTGACTGCTTCTGTGCTATGTGTGGGTGAAGACAGACAGCAAGCTCAGTGCTTGGCATGTCATAGGCTTTCCACCTGTGTCTGCTGTAGTTTGATGGGTGAAAGACAGCTTTAAGGGCAGCACAGAAGAATAAAGAGCCCTTCATCTGGATAAATAAACTCATCCCTGACCCGCTCTAGGATCTTGGCCAAGGTTTTCTCCTTCTCTGACCCAGCTCTCCCAGTGAACAGTATGGGAGCTAGATTTGGACTAGATGATCTCTATCAACATTTTGAGTTCCAGCCATCTGATAAATGTTTGTTGATCTAAGCACAATAGCCAGGGTGTGCAGTCATTTAGGGCCCCACGCTTAGAAAGTCCCCATGTATGTAACACTCTGCTGTTGTCAATTTAAAATTCTTAAGTTTGAACAAGGGGCCCTGCATTTTCGTTTTGCACTGGGCTCTACAAATTATGTGGCTGATTTTGACAACACTATTCTTCGGGGGTTAAAGCTGAAGAAGTTGAAGGGCAAACTTGCTTTATGCTGCATCTTCCCAGCCAAATAGTGGCCCAAGAGGAAAGCACTGGGCTGACCTCTATCCTCCCCATGACCCCAGAGGAACTGGGAGCCCTTTGCTGTACTTGCTCATTTCATTCTTCAAGTCATTTCCTAGTGGGTTCTTTTTTCCTTGGAACTTCCCACTTCACTGGCTCTTTGTGACTGACCTGCTCACCCCACTTAAGCCTGATAGAAGAGCCTTTTCTGTCCCCCCAAACAACAGACCAAAGTTCGTCCCAGCCCAACCTCCTTGGCCATTGCATTGAACAGGTCACACAACAAACAAGCAACAAGACAGAGGATCAATCACAGCCCCTTCTTGGGGGTTGTGTGCAAGTACCAGAGAGTGGCAGCAAGGAGCTGAGGGCAATCCCCACTGATGGCCAACACAAAAATGGAGACCTCAGTCCTATGTTTGCAACGAACTGAATTCAGCCAACAACCATTCAACTTGGAAGAGGACTGCAGCCTCAGAGGATAGAAGACCCAGCCCAAACTTTGATTTCAGCCTGTGAGACCTGTGCATAGAATCCAGCTGACCTGTACTAAGACTTCTAACCAATGGTAACTGTGAGATGATAGATGTGTATCATTTTAAGCCACTAAGATTGTGCTAACTTGTTGCAGCAACAGTGGAGAACAAATCCATCTTTGGTATCAGATAAAGATCAGGTGTTTCTAGTTCTGACCCTTGCTGAATTAGTCATCTATCATTTAGTGCAATGGTTTTCTAACTTTTTGGTATCAGAATTCCCTTACAGTCTTAAAAAATTACTGTGGCCCTAAAGGGATTTTGTTTATAGGGTTATATTGGTTGAGATTTATCATATTATAAATTTAAACTGAGAATTTACTAAAAGCAACAACAACAACGATAAAACAGTCCTTCCTTCCATCTGTATTCTAAATGTGTCCCTCTGCAAGGTTCTAAACATGTTACTATAATTTGCTGCTTTTTATTGGTAGGTTATTTGCAGTTTCCTGTTCTCCCTTGAATTACCTAGCACAATAATGGGTACATAGTCACTCCTTACGTGTGCTGGGGACCCCATTGGCTTTGTGCAGTTCTCTCTTTGTTTTGTCATCTTTCTGGCCTAAGGGGAGATGGAAGTGATAGCTTTGGTCCATGATGGATGGAGACCACAGCCACACCTAGTTGGTTTTTGCTCCCAACTAGGCCTGCTCTTTCCCACCTCTTATATAGACATTAGAAAGAAGCCTTGAGTGTGGAAAGGAAGTATGGATGTTGTTCAGTCAACAAGTCCTCTAGGTTTGCTTCCAAACATCTCTGGACTTCAAACTCTTTGCAGCATCTCTCACCTGAGCCATTACAACAGCTCCTTGACAGTCTTCCTACGTAGCATCTCTCCTTCCCTCATCCCTCCTCCTGTGCCACAAGAGGCACCCTGATCATGTTATTCTCTGGATAAAAAATTCCCGTAGCTTCTCAGTGCCCTAAAGATAAAAATAACAAACGCCTCAGCTTGGACTCAGGATCATCCATGGCCCAGGCCTTGCTGATTTTCTCAGACCCATCTCTTGTCACTGTTGTTCTTGCCTGCTGTGTTCCAGCCCTGCTTTGGTGATTGAAGGGCTTCTCCCTCATCGTGCCTTTCTTTTGTCCCCCAGGTTCTAGAACATTGTGCTTCCCCAAGTGACTCTCCCTTGTCCTTCCAACATCTCCTCTTCTTGGGAAGTTTTCCCAGATTAGTAATGTTCCTGCTCCATCTCATGGCACACTGAACTTCCTCCTTCCACAGCTTTCATCTTGCTGAATTATAAGTTCTGCTTTCTCCCTCTTCCACAAAGACTGGGTGCTTCTTGGTGGCTTGTGTTAGGTCTTGGGACTTAACACAGTGCCTGGAATTGAGTAGCGGCTCAGTGAGTATTTGAATGGCTGAACTGGAGATTTTGGGATGGAAGGATGGACTTAATAACTTTGGATTTAGAAAAATCACTCTTGGTGACTGGGGTGAGGATGGGATGGAAGGGATAGGACTGGAGGCAGGGAGAAGAGTCAAGAAATGTTCCCAATATTTCTAATAAGAAATGATGGCACTGAATTGTAGTGGAAGCAAGACTGGAATTTATTGTACAGGCAAAATTATGACAGTGAATAGCAAATGCTCATTAAAATGGCATCTGGCTTACAGGCCCTGATGTATCCTCTTTAAATTCTCTGCTAACTATCTGTGAAGCATGAGACAAAAACTCACAAAATCATCCGAACCTCCAATTGGTAACCTGCTGAATACAGGGTCAGAGAGAGATTTCCATGAACTCTAAAGTAGATAGAGTTGGACTGAGAGAAACCTGTTTTACCTTTGTCTTATGAAACTGAGACTGCCTGAAGAAAAGTGAGAAGGGACTTTGAACTGCTTTCCTTGACTCTGATATCCTGGAACCATAGTCATCAGAAAACAGGGCAGCCATCCTTCTGCTGTGAGGCACCCAGAGCATTGCTCCTTTCCCTTCCCCAATTTACTCCTACTTGGTTTTCTCCTCCTCCCATCCCCTCCCAGCCTGCTGCCTGTATTCAATCAGAGACAGTAACTCTTAGAATCCACAAGGACAGAAAGTGTGTGTGTGTGTGTGTGTGTGTGTGTGTGTGTGTGTATGCATGCACATTAATAGCACCATATTACACTGTTATGTTCAAGCCCCACAAATGAGATGCTGTAGGTAGAAGACCAAACACAGGATGAATTACAATACCACTGCATGCTGGGAATTGTAGTTTTTCCATGTACCTTACCTGTTCAGAGGGTTGGAGAAGTAGTCATCAGTGTAGGAGAAGAGGTCCTCTTCATCAAGCTGAGTTATCTGGTAGAAACTGAGCTGTTAGCTGTACACTTAAGTCTATCCTCCTTAAGAAGATCTGAAAAGACTTAGCCATTACTCATGAGAACAGAGAGTGAGGTAGTACATTCTTACATTCTGTATTTTTATAGAGTTTGGATAGACTCTGACTTTCTTGAAGATAAAGAATAGGAAAGAAAAGCAAATAAAAAGTCTATGAAAAAGTATTATTGATCAAGAGAAAAGACCTATCATGAAGTTGCATCTCTTTAGTGTCCAGAAAAAAATCAGGAAACTATTTTGTATCCTTGGAAAATATTAAGAAGACATGGTGTGTTTGAAAAAAAAAAAAAAAAAGCATAAAGCCAAAAGGAACCAAGTTGAGCTGAGAAGGATATTGGATGAAATAAGGAAGAATTTCAATTACTCTTTAGTCAAGATTGAATCAAAACAAACTATAATTATAGGCTGTGTAGAATACTGTAACAGTGAGAATACAACTTGTCAACACTGATGGAAGTTGAGTTGCTAGAGATATACCCAAAGAAGTATTTACAGCCTTTAACAACTTTATCAGCAAGAAAAAGAAAAAATATACAAATAGGCATTCAACTTAAGAAGTGAGAGAAAGAACCACAAAGTTAGCCCAAGGTAAGTAGAAAGAAGAATAAAATCCATTTAAGATCAGAAATCAATAAATTAGAAAAGAGTAGTAGAATTGGTAAATAAATTTAAGATTCACTTTAAAAAAGGATACAGAACAATCTTTGAATATCTTAATAATTAAAAGGGATAAAACATAAGCATTCAGCATTGGATAAGACAAAGGGAATCTAAACATAAAGTAGAAATTAAAGGCTGGGCATGGTGGCTCATGCCTGTAATACCAGCACTTTGGGAGGCCAAGACAGGAGGATCACGAGGTCAGGAGTTCAAAACCAGCCCGACCAACATGGTGAAACCCTGTCTCTACTAAAAATACAAAAAATTAGCTGGGCATGGTGGCAGGTGCCTGTAATCCCAGGTACTCAGGAGGCCGAGGCAGGAGAATCACTTGAACCCAGGAGGTGGAGGTTGCCACCACTACACTCCAGCCTGGGTGACAGAGCGAGACTCCGTCTAAAAAAAAAAAAAAAAAAAAAAAAAAAAAGTAAAATACTATGTAAAACTTCCAGTTAATAAATTTGGAAATCTACATAAATGGAATTATTTTTTAGCAAACATAAAAATAATCTAAGTGGACACAACACAATATATCAATAAGTATCAGAGAGATTGGTGGAAATCTCAAAGAACTACCTCCAAAAATTGTGAAATCTTACGTGGTTAGTAGGCAAATTCTTCTAAATTTCATAAAATAAATAACTCCTTTTCTATGTAAAATTGTTCAAGGTATAGAAAATATGGAAAGTAAAACTATATATTAAAAGATAATGTAGGAATTTCTACAGAATATTGGAAGACAAAATTGCGATTCAAGATTTTTTTTTTTTTTTTAGACGGAGTCTTGCTCTGTCGCCCAGGCTGGAGTGCAGTGGTGATCTCAGCCCACTGCAAGTTCCACCTCCTGGGTTCACGCCATTCTCCCACCTCAGCCTCCCGAGTAGCTGGGACTACAGAAACCTCCAGCCAGCATGCCTGGCTAATTTTGTTTTTGTATTTTTAGTAGAGATGGGGTTTCACCATGTTAGCCAGGATGGTCTCAATCTCCTGACCTCGTGATCCGTCTCAGCCTCCCAAAGTGCTGGTATTACAGACATGAGCCACCACGCCCGGCCGTGATTCAAGATTTTTATACCCAGCCAATTGCTTCATAAAAAGACCTTCTTGGCTATGTAGACTCTATGCCATAATAAAGGCAACATTTTTCATTAGTGAAAAACAATGGATCAGTCAGTAACTGGTGTTGGGATGATTGACTATTCGTAGAATACATGTATTTAGATCACTATCTTATATAAATTACTCAATTCTAGGTGGAGTAAAGAAAATTTTTTAAAAAGAAAGTGTATTAAGATGAAAACAAGTAACACATAGTTACACAATTGCAAAATGAGAAAAACCTAAGTATTAAAACATCATAAAGGAAAATATTGATAGATTTAATAAAATAAAAATAAAGTATCATGCTTTAAAAACCCCATAAAAGTGTTATCCCAGTGTGGTGGTGTGTTCCTGTAACCTCAGCTACTTAGGAAGCTGAAGTAGAAGGATCACTTGAGCCCAGGAGATTGAGACCAGCCTGGGCAACATAGGGAGACCTTATCTCAAAAACAAAACAAAACAAGACAAAAAAACAAAAAAAAATTTAAACATTAAATATAATCCAAGGGAATATTTACAGCATATATGGCAAACAAGTGGTTAAAATGTAAGTCCACAAGGAAAAAAAAGAAGCTCCAATAAGAAAATGAGCAAAGGATATGAGTATGTAATTAATAAAAGATGAAATACAAAGGTCCAATACTTGATAAACAAGAGAATATTATCTCACTGGTGATCAAAGAAATAAAAAAACAACACTGATATGCCATCACCCATTAAACTGGCAGAAATGAAAGAAAATTACCATCCCAAATGCTAAGTAAGTGTGTGGGGAAAATGGGCATTTTCTTGCACGACTGGTGGTGTGTAAAATATGTACAATATGGTGAAAGGAAGGGGTCCAGTTTCATAAGTGGGAGCTAAACATTGAGTACACATAGACACAAAGAAGAGAACAATAGACACTGGTACCTACTTGAAGGTGGAGCATGGGAGAAGGGTAAGAATAAATAAACTACCTGTCAGGTACTATGTTTCTTACCTGAGTGACAAAACAATCTTTATACCAAACCCCTGCAATACACAATTTACCCACATAGCGAACCTGCACATGTACCTCCTGAACCTAAAAGTTGGAAAGAAGATAATATGTACAATATGTATGGAAGGTAACTTGGCTAAATGTGACAAAAGTCTTAAATGTGTGCATATCTTCGACCCAGCAGCTCTATTTCTAGAGATGGAATCTGAAGAAATAACCATGTACATACTTAAAGGTTTATGTGTAAGAATGTACACTGGGGCATTATTTAGAATAGTGAGTTCCAAAATCAGGAGACTCGTTAAATTTTGTACTCCAATGATGTATTAGTCCATTTGCATGCTGCTGATAAAGACATACCTGAGACTGGGAAGAAAAAGAAGTTTAATTGGACATATAGTTCCACGTGGCTGGGGAGGCCTTAGAATCATGGCGGGAGGCAAAAGGCACTTCTTACATGGCGGCAGAAGAGAAAAATGAGGAGGATGCACAGCAGAAACCCCTGATAAAACCATCAGATCTCATGAGACTTATTCACTACCATGAGAACAGTATGGGGGAAACCACCCCCATGATTCAAATTGTCTCCCTCTGGGTCCCTCCCACAACACATGGGAATTATGGAAGTACAATTCAAGATGAGACTTGGGTGGGGACACAGAGACAAACCATATCACATGGTATGGAATACTATACAGCCATTTAAAAAGATATGGAAAAAGAAATTCAGTGGCGTGTGAAATGCCCATGTTGAGTGATTGAGTAAAAAAAGTGGAGGTCAGACAAACTGAGGGATGTGATCTCATATGTGCAAATGTGAGTGGCATGAAAATAGCATGCCAGCATGTACACATGTGGAAAGAGCACTCAAGGGATGTGTACTAACCAAAACACTAATAGTGGTTTCTTCCTCAAACTGTTCTATATTTTTTCAAATTTTTCACAATGCACTTGTTTGACTTTGTAATCAGAAAAAGGTACTTAGCAAACCAACCACAATATTTCCATCATAATATATTACCCATTTTCATCTTTTTCTTTACAGCTCTCTTCATGTGTAAAAATGTAACCCAGGCTGGGCACAATGGCTCATGCCTGTAATCCCAGCATTTTGGGAGGCCGAGGCGGGCAGATCACTTGAGGTCAGGAGTTTGAGACCAGCCTGACCAACATGGCAAAACCCCATCTCTACAAAAATACAAAAATTAGCCATGCATGGTGGCTCACACCTGTAGTCCCAGCTACTCAGGATGTTGAGGTGGGAGAATTGCTTGAACCTGGGAGATGTAGGCTGCAGTGAGCTGAGATCACGCCACTGTACTCCAGCCCAGGTGACAGAGCAAGACTCTGTCTCCAAAAAATATATGAAGAAGGAAAAAAATGTAACTCAGATGAGGCCCCTGATTTTCTGACTCTTTGCTGCAAGAGTGTATAGATTTCTTGTCACAATTTCTGAGAGTTTCTGAGGTCCACCACTCCTATGCTTTTCCCTGGTTCTTGATCCTCTGTCTCTCTGTATTATTTTTATTTTTCTTCGCATTGGTCTGAGAACAAAGGACAGTCACTTCCCTCCATGCCCTAGCAGGTTCCTCACCACCAATTGTGCATGAGTTAATAACTTGACTGAAGGGTGAGGTCTCATAGATGGTCCTAGGCATTCTACAGCATGGGATCTTCTGCCTTTTTTTTTCCTGCTCCATCTGCCTTTCCTTCTCTCCTCAATTTCTCCTCCATGACCATCCTTTTCTGGAGTCACAAGAAAAAGTCTCCGCCTTCTGTCACTCAGATTAGTTTCCATATTTAGTGCTCTTCTTCCCCAAGAACATACCCAAACAAATGCCATTCTCTTACCAAAAGGAATTTGGGGAGTGGGAGGTAAGGGGAGGGGAGGTAAGGTAAAAATCTCTCCATGTTGTTAGATTGACACATATTCTATAAAGGCACATGCATATGCACTGTTATTCACTGCCTTTTCCCTTACATCAGAACATTTTTCATATTGCTATCCAGTTTTCAAAATTATCTTTTTTATTGGAAGAATAGGTGATCTACTTATTAAGACCACTTTTCTCTAAAAATAGCTACATTTCCCTCATTCATTCTGGCCTCTGCATTCTCTCCACATTGAATTAGATGGAATCACTGAGATTTTCTTTAGGAAGGAAGGCTGGCATTGATTGAGGACCTATTACATGCTAAACAGTATGCTAAGGGCTGTATCTAGATTATCCCATAGGTGTGTCAAATCCTTTCTGGAACAAGGTGGGTGTATAAATACCTTCTAAAAATACATGATCTCATTCAATCCTCACAGCCACCTGGGCAGCATCCCAGTCACAGGTAAGGAAAGTGAGGCTGACAAGGGAAGGCATTGCTGGAGATTTCATGATGGGTAATTGCAGGTTTAGGGTAAAATCTCAGGCTAGCCAGCTAGACCATCCTGAATGAATGCATACTCTAGGCACCAGGCAGTCTTTCTGCATCTTTCCCAACCCATTCTCCATCTGAGCTCACCTGCGTGCATCTGTCTTGGCGTTTATAGAAGGTGGGAGTAAATTTGCCACCTCTATATCCAAATCTCTCTAATTCATACTTTCTCCTTCATCTTCTTTTTGGAACCACACAGACTGTCATCTGGAAGAGGCTAAGTGGAACCCTGGAGCTGTCATTATCTCTGCTGACCCGGACTAAATCCAGGCTCACTTGAGCTGGTAACATCTTTGACATTCTCAAGCCCTGGAAATGACAACTTCCTTCCTTCAGCAATGGGCAGAGGCAAGAATCAGAACCAGTGCGTCTTGGCTAGAAAAGTTTGGATAAATGCCATAGGAGACCACTTTCTTCTTTCCAGTTCAAGAGCAGGGGTATGACTCATTTCCAGGCTCCCTGATAGGAGGCAGAATAGTCTGGAAGCTGAGCAAAACCTGCGTGGTGTCTCCTGGCCAGGGCTAGCACTCAGCTCTGCCCCTAGAAACCCCAGCACCAGTTCAGGGGCATCGGTAGCATTGAGAAACCCAAATCCTGCCTGTCTCATTCTCTTTGAGTCATTGGCTCTGTTACCTCAGGGGCCTGATGTTTAGCCATGTGGACACACACCTGTTTTTGCAAGGCAGTGTGGTGAGGTGGAAAGAGAACCAACATGGGGTCAGGTCAACATGGCTTCCAGGTCCGCTTGATATGCTGCACTCCCTTCTCTCTGGGCCTGTTTCTTCACCTATAGGTAGCAGTACAGGTTTTCATCCTCTCTCCATATATTTCCTGCATCTGTACTCCTTGTAGTGAAGTTAGCAGAAAATATCCTGTGATGAGGTCACTCAAAGTCAGGTAGGAGAAAGTATAGTTTAGCATTATTAGGTACTGCAGACATTCTAGCAAAGCTTAATTTTTATGGTGCAAACGGCCTGATTTTGTTTTATATGTGTGTCTCCAAAGGCTCTTGCCTCTTGTACTATGTTAAATATGTGTCCCTCAAAATACATATCTACCTGGAACTTTAGAATGTGATTTTATTTAGAAAGTATTTGCAGATGTAATTAGTTAGATGTAGTATAAACTTAAGATAGGTTTATATTAGATTAGGGTGGACACTAAATCTAATGACTGGTTTCCTTATAAGTAGAGGAGAGGGGACATACAAACGCACACACAGACACACACACACAGACACACACAGGCACACATACACACACACACACACACACTCACAGAGGGAAGATGTTATGTGAAGACCAAGGCAGAGATGGGAGTGATGTAGCTATAAGCCAAGAAACACCAAGGATTGCCAGGAGCCACCGGAAGCTAGGGAGAGGCAAGGGAGGATGCTTCCCTAGAACCTTCAGAGGGTGCATAGCCCTGCTGACATTTTGATTTCAGACATCTAGGCTTCTGAGTTGTGACAGAATACATTTCTATTGTTTTAAGTCACCCAGTTTGTGGTAATCTGTTATGGCAGCCCTAGAAAACAAATACACCGTTTCTCTTCTGCTCTCGTGATCCAGATACCATATCCTGCAAAAGAACCAGATGTGTTTGAAAATTAAGTGACACTTCGTAGTCACAAAGATGAAGCAGAAATTATTTGGGGTTGGGAGGGGGCATTGAGGAAAGGAGCTTAAAAAGACCAAGGGAAAAGAGTGGTGCAAAAATTGAGTATGTGCAAAGCGAGGGAGGTGGCCACATGGAGTTCTCGGAGCTGGTAGGACCATGGCCTCATACCCAAGAACAGAGTTGGGGGCATAGCTTGAAGATGTTATGGAGGCACATACAGACTCCTGGAATCCTGTAAGCTCTCTATGAGTTATTATTCCACTGATTAAGCCCTAAGGATAAGACCACATTCAATAGTTTCCAGATTTCACTCTCTCTCTCTCTATCTCTCTCTGTCTATCTCCATACTAGCAAACAATAAAATGGCTTTGTTGCAGAAAATGTTACCCATTCCTTCCCCCATGGAGGGTTTTGTGCTGAGGCTACATGTGAAGTGAGGTGGGGGATGTTAAACACAGTTTGGAGGATGAAGCCTGCTTCCTCCTTTGGGCTGTCACTGGAGAATCCACATTGGTGGCTAGCATGGTTTGGCTCTGTGTCCTCACCCAAATCTCATGTGGAATTGTAATCCCTATGTGTTGAGGGAGGGGCTGGGTGGGAGGTAATTGAATCACGAGGGCAGACTTCCCCCTTGCTGTCTTCATGATAGTGAGTGAGTTCTCATGAGATCTGGCTGTTTGAAAGGGTGTAGCACTTCCCCCTGTGCTCTCTCTCTCTCCTGCTCTGCCATAGTAAGGCATGCTTGCTTCCCCTTTGCCTTCCGCCATGGTTGTAAGTTTCTGGAGGCTTCCCAGTCTTGCTTCCTGTTAAGTCTGTGAAACTGTGAGTCAATTAAACCTCTTTTCTTCATAAGTTACCCGGTTTCAGGTAGTTATTTATAGCAGTGTGAAAACAGACTAATACAGTGGCTCTGTACACAAAAACCAAGGAATGCTGTCTTTACAGTGTGAGTTGGAATTGACTGGAAGCTACTGCCTGTAATCCACGTGTGGACCTGCAGTTAGAAGATCTAGATTTTAGGTATAATCTTCATGTTTAGCAGCTTGCGGCCCGTCTGAGCTTGGACTTGCTCATCTCTAATATGGGCAGGTGGACATTAAACATTATTACAGAGTGGTTGCATTTACTGGTTTTTCCTACAGCTCGGTTGAATCCAGCAGCGTTTTGAGTATAGAGTTTGCTGAACAAACAGCTGTCTTCTTTTATTCTGTCTAAAAAGGTTCAGTCCATTGCTCAGGTATGAGTAAGATTGGTTTTGTGTTTTGCTTTACCGGTTTGAGGGTGCCGGCACCCAGCACGTGGCACCCTGGTGGGTGGGAGGCAGGTGGGAGATGTCTTGGCCTTGGGTGGCGAGCATGGTTCATAGAAGGTGAAGTAAGAAGCTGCTAATCAAGTACCTCTGAGGTGCCCAGGGACCTGGGGAATGGGCAGTGCTGCTTCCTGGTCCCTGTCTTCCCTCATGTGGCTTCTGCTGTACCTTGCCTGACTGGTGTTTCTTCTTCCACCTGTGTCTCCCCCTACAATTTCTTCTCCTCTCCCCATGCAGAGTACTTAGTTTACAGCTTAAGTCAGATCACTCCCTGTTAAAACTCTTCACTGCCTTTCCGTTATACTTGGAATAAATTCCAAACACCTTCTGAGGTCCACCAGGCCCAACCTGGCCTGCGTCCCGGCCCCTACCCCAATGCACTTCATGCCACTTTCTCTACGCATCATGGAACTCCAGCCCCCATCTGCTGCCTTGCCCTTTAGGCTCTAGAACATGCCACGGTCTTTCTTGCCTCAGACCTCACTGTGATTGTCCCACTCACTTCTGTGTCCTCTCGGCACCTGGCACAATGCGCCCAGCAGGCACGCCGTAAGTCATGGCAGCCAATGCTTACTGGGCACTCAGCATGGGCCAGGTGCTCCTTCAAGTTCTTTACATATATGAACTCATTTAATATCCGCCCCGTGGCAACCTTTGAGATGATGTCATTCTTATTTCCATTTCACAAAGGAGGTTAAGTAAACACAAGGAAACACAACTAGGAAGTAACAGAGCCAAGATTCAAACCCAGGCCATCTGGCTTCATGGGCAGCACTCCTAACTGCTGCATTCTCCTGCCTCTCTGTAAGTAAGTGTCGAATGAATATGTGCAGTGCCTGGGGTGCCTGCTTAGCCCAGTGGATGTTAAGGCTTGGCATGGTGCTGAGATGCTTCAGATAATGGAATCTGGACAACTGCAGCTTCTTCTTTTGCCATCTTGGCTAATGCTCAGTGACAGCCACAGCCTGTGGCAGCTTCATCTCTATTCCCTCAAGTGGTCTTCAAGGTGGTGAGTGGAGGCAGCTGGCTTTGGGATAAAACCAGCCTGGGTTGCAAACTGGGCAAATGTCTCTGTTCCTGTGAGATGATTTGGGCATGCCAGCCAAACTCTCAGAATCTTGGTATATTAACAAGTAGAATAGGGATAATGTTTTCCATCTTGCAAGATTGTTGGGGATATTTAGAGTTGTAATTGATGATACTGATTTGCAAGATGTTCACAAAGGGGTGATGCTTTTCCCTTTTCTCTGAGGGTTTTGTCGTGAGCTCCAAGGTTAGCACTGACCTCTTCTGTGTCCTGCAGGGTGTGATTCCTCATGGAAGACTCCAGCATGGCTGCTTAGCCAATCTAGGGCCTGTGTGGTGTGTAGGGGCCTAATCAGCACTGCTGTGTGTTATGTTCTGGGAGAAATTCAATAGGACAGAAGTCCCAGCTATGAAACCCACGTGCCTCTGTCCTCACCACCCTCCACTGTCACTTCTATTCAGGACCCCACCTTGCTGGGATAGTACCTCTGCCAAAGGGGAGGAAATCATTGTGTTATTACTTAAGCTTGTGGAGACGGAGTAAAAGTAGACAGGAATGCATTCTCAGCCTCACCTCTCTCGGGCACTCAGAGACCCAGAAAATGTTGGAAGCAGAGATTGGTTGTGCCTCCTTTCTTTCCCCAGTCCTAACAACCATTCTCCAGACTGGACCCAGAGTCATCTGCCTAAAACACAATTCTGAGAATGGCCTCCCCTTCCCCAAGCCTTCCCGTGACTCCCTATTACCTTGGGGTCAAAGCCAAAGCTCCTTGTCCTGTTTCCCACCTTGCTCTCTGAGTGCTTATCTTCCTCC
This sequence comes from Homo sapiens, assembly GCF_000001405.40. Taxonomy (NCBI): domain Eukaryota; kingdom Metazoa; phylum Chordata; class Mammalia; order Primates; family Hominidae; genus Homo; species Homo sapiens. The sequence continues at coordinate 120,013,856 of NC_000009.12, read as the reverse complement.
TTGTATTAGTCAGGGTTCTTTAGAGGGACAGGACTAATAGGATAGATGTATATATGAAGGGGAGTTTATTAAGGAATATTGACTCACACGATCCCAAGGTGAAGTCCCACAATAGGCCACCTGGGAGCTGAGGAGCAAGGAAGCCAGTGTGAGTCCCAAAACCTCAAAAGTAGGGAAGCTGACAGTACAGCCTTCAGTTTGTGGTCAAAGGCCTGAGATCCCCTGGCAAACCACTGGTGTAGGTCCAAGAGTCCAAAAGCTGAAGAACCTGGAGTCTGATGTTTGAGGGCAGGAAGCATCCAGCATGGCAGAAAGATGGAGGCCAGAAGACTCAGCAAGCCTAAGTCCTTCCACATTCCTCTGCCTGCTTTTTTCTCCTAGCTGCACTGGCAGATGATTGGATGGTGCCCATCCAGATTGAGGGTTGGTCTGTGTCTCCCAGTTCACTGCCTAGAATGTTCATATCCTTTGGCAACACCCTCACAGACATAACCAGGAACAATACTTTGCATACTTCAATGAAGTTGACACTCAATATTAACCATTGTTCTCCTAAACTTCCCCCAGCTGCTTGCACCTGATCTAGCCATCTTGAACTCTTTGCAGTCTCTCAAAGCACCAAGCTCTCTATTCTCTGCCTGGAATAATCTCTGCTCATTTCTTTCCCAGCAAAGTCCTCTTCATCATACAAGACTAACTTCCCCTTTCTTGGGACATCTCCTCACCTCCTCTTTTCCTTTCCTTTTACTGGATCCTGTACACACTTCTTTTTCTAATTTCAACTTTTATTTTAGAGACAGAGGCTACATGTGCAGATTTGTCACATGGGAATGCTGTGTGATGCTGAGGAAGTCCTGCACGCACTCCTATGTGGCACTTATGACTCAGAATGGCAAGTGCTTCCCTTGCACCCCTGTCTTCCCCATAAGTGGGAGGTTCATAGAGGACAGAGATGATACTTTTTCTTTTCTGGAGCCTCACAATTTATTTTTTTGATTTTTTTTTTTTTTGAGACAGAGTCTCGCTGTCACCCAGGCTGGAGTGCAGTGGCACGATCTTGGCTCACTGTTACCTCTGTCTCCTGGGTTCAAGCGATTCTCGTGCCTCAGCCTCCTGAGTAGCTGGGATTCCAGGCACACACCACCACATCCAACTACTTTTCGCATTTTTAGTAGAGACAGGGTTTCACTATGTTAGCCAGGCTGGTCTCCAACTCCTGGGCTCAAGTGATCCGCCCGCCTCTGCCTCCCAAAGTGCTGGGATTACAGGCATGAGCCATGCACCCAGACAGCCTCACAGTTTAGTACAGCTCTCTGTCCTTAAGTGTTTCTCAAATGTGTGTTGAATGAATGAATAAATCATTTAATCTCAGAATTTGAGACATAGAAAAGATCAGCTGAGTCAATCCTCTCATTACTTACTAATAATGAAGAGTCTTAACTGGTTGGGATGTAAACATGAAATCCTTAATTTCTTTTCCTCTCATACCTGCTACCAGCTGTGCCTGCTGCACTGCCTTTCTTGCTGAGTGGAGGGTTCTCTTAACCATAGCTCAGGCTCATTCTGGGACTGTCAGTTACTTTGGGTTATTAAAACAGTCTTATTTTGGTTATTAGGAGTCGAGTCTGTTTATTTCTAAAACTCCAATCTCATATTAGATTCAAAGGTCCCTTTACCACTCCGCTAAGTCTAGGGTTGATGTCAGTGGCAGAGTGGGGCTTGGGAGAAGAGTTCTACCCTCTTGCGTAAACCTACACCCTCTTCTCTGCATGGTCCTCTCTGGCATTGTGGGGTGGGAGGACAAAAGAGGGAAGAACATGTTTTCTCAAGTGATTGTCCACAAAAATCAAGTTTTCTTCACTTCAGTTGGTTATTAGTGACCTGGTTTGTGGGTTGTAAGCTCAGAGTGGACTCAGGTAACCCGAGTAGTACCTGAGGTACCACTGTTGAGTAACTCAATCCCAATCACATCCTCTAGGCTTTGGAAGTTCCCTGTGTGGCAAGGCTAAATCCTGCAGCTGACCTTCTTCAGGCAGTTTAGTGCCAGAGCCCTCAGAAGCTCCTCTTAGTGCCTCCCCATGGTGGTCCCAGACCCTAATCTCTTTCCGTTCCAGGATCCCAATGCTACGTACTCATGATCACCCAGCTCTGCCCACCCAGCTGGTAAGTCTTGGTGCTGGGATTAAACCCCTGATCTCAAATTCTGATCTCAAATTCTGATCTCAAGTTCTTTTCATTAAATCACCCTCTCTTCTAAGATAGTGAGTCAAAATCAAGGAATGACCACAGTTAATAAATGTATAGAAGTATGCATTTATTAACAGAAGGAAAACCAATGAAAATAACAACAGAAAGAGAATTCCAGTTTTCACTGAAGATTAAGGTGGTTCCTAACAAGCAGTCCTGTTGAGTTTGTGGAAATGGGCAGTCACATACGCTGTGCGTAGAAACTCATATTGACATCACTTTGGCAATTTGGAATATCTATTGTGAAAGTTGTCAGAATCAAAACAGAGTCACTTGTGTCAAACCCCGACAAATGGAGCTGGGGAAGGCTGTGAAGGGAGGAATCTCATGCGTTTGCCTGATAACAAGAACTATCACAAAAGATTCAGCAAAAACCACAGACTTGCATAAAGGACACCACAACCTTAAAAAAAAAATTACTTTTGTGAGCACATCTGCCCACCAACTGCCTGTCCAGCCTTGGACTGATGCTACTCTTGTTTTTGATACTTGTAGCCAAGGATAATTGCCTCAAAACAACTTTCGCAGCCTTCCTTCCTAAAGGGTTTCCTTTAAAAACCCTTGTTTTCCTTGACCTCCCTGAACACACCCACATGTATTCCCATCGGAATGCCCATTCCCAAACAGACGTCACTTTCTTTTTTTTTTTCTGAGACAGAATCTCGCTCTGTCACCCAGGCTGGAGTGCAGTGGCATGATCTCGGCTCACTGCAAGCTCCGCCTCCTGGGTTGATGCCACTCTCCTGCCTTAGCCTCCCAAGGAGCTGGGACTACATGTGCCCACCACCACACCCGGCTAATTTTTTTGTATTTTTAGTAGAGACGGGGTTTCACAGTGTTAGCCAGGATGGTCTCGATCTCCTGACTTCGTGATCCGCCTGCATCGGCCTCCCAAAGTGCTGGGATTACAGGCATGAACCAGCGTGCCCAGCCCAGATGTCACTTTCTGTTAGAGTCTCCCTCTCTGTCTGTTATTTAGGTTTGACACCATCAAAATAACAAATGCAAATGCAGTTTGCCTCTGTAATTCCACTTTTAGGAATTTATCTTACAGATATTGTTGCCCCATTCCAGTTGGACCAGAACGTTTGCTGTTTGTAATCATGAAACACTAGAAGTGATCCAAATTTCCATCAACCAGGAAATGGTTAAAGTATGATACAATGTATCATAGAATATTATAAGCCCTGTTAGTTTTCTTTACCTAGTACTTACCATATGCATTTGTTGTATGTTCCCCCTGCTCATACCTCCCAGACTGTGAACTCATGAAGACAAGATGCATGAGGCATTGTGGGTTTGCATAAGAACCTTGACTCTGGAGTCAGACTACCTGGGTTCAAATCCCAGGCCCACCGAGACCTAAAGAGGGTGATTTTGTGCAAGTTGCTGAACTTCTTTACATCTCTATTTCTTATTCTGAAAATAGAGTTGTTAATGGTACCTATGCCATAGGCTGTTCTAACAATAAGAGAAGGTCTGTGTAGAAGGCTCTGTGTTCCTGGCACATGATGTGCCCTCAGTACACATCAGAATGAAGGTGATGAAAGTGGCACCTCATATAACTCCTGGCACAGTGCGGTGCTCAACAAATATTTGAGGAATGACTGAATGCAGTGTATGCATTGGCATAGAAGGACGTCTAAGATATACTGTTGGAGGAAAAAAAGCAAGCTGCAGAACAGTTTATCTAGCCTTATCCCATTTATATAAAATATATTAAAAATTCTGTTAGGGGTTAAGACATAAATAATATGGAGTGTTTATCTCTGAGAAAGGGGTTTGGGAGGCAGATGGAAAGAGGGGACGTGTTCACTTTTCACTTCTTTCGCTCCTGTACCAATTGATAGTGTATTACTTTTAAAATTAAAAATCTATCAGGTTCAGAGGGACACAGGATTAATTCTTCACAGGAATAATTATTTTGATCATTTCAGGATTTTACCTTTTTACTTCAGTCTTCAGTGAGATTAAAAATAAACATGAGGCTGGGCATGGTGACTCATGCCTGTGATCCCAGCACTTTGGGAGGCCAAGATAGGAGGATCACTTGAGGCCAAGAGCTCAAGAACAGCCTGGGCAACATAGTGAGACCCTATCTCTAAAAACAAAAAAATTCACTGGACATAGTGGCGTGCGCCTGTAGTCCTGGTTACTCAGGAGGCTGAGGTGGGAGGATCTTTAAGCCTAGGAGTCCCAGGTATAGGGAGCTATGATCGTGCCACTGCACTCTAGCCCGGGTGGCAGAGCAAGACTCTGTTTCAAAAAAAGGAAATGAGCATAACAGAAGGGATGTGGCAAGCGAGTGGGAAAGGCATGGTCTTCCAGGTGATTCTTGCAAATGGTTTGATCCAACATGCTGCAGCATCAGAGAGTGTCTGAGAATGAATTAGTGCTGCCTATTTCATGGCAGAGGCTATGCATGACAAAAAGAGGGACAATACAGTGGCCTTGTCCAGTAGGAATTACTGTGGCAACACAGAAAGGGGCTGTGCTTTGGAGCCACTTGAGCCTGTGCTCAAGTGGACTCATTTCCCCTTGAACTAAGGCCCAGTCTCCTCATCTGTGAAATGGAAATATGAAGTTTGAATATGCTATAGGGCTGTTGAGGATTAAATGAGATGATATATATTGGTCAGCACATTGCTCAGGAGTCAGCATTCCATGGGAGGCAAATTTTGTTAATAATGATAAAAACTGCATGACCTTAGGAAAACAAGCATGTCACAGCCTCTTAGCTTCAATTTTCTCATCTACAAATTAGGATAACAATACCTATTTAACAGGTAGATACGTAAACATAGAAATGTTGTACAGTAAGATACATATATATATTTATGAAATATTTGAGCCATTTAATATACAGTGTCCAAACATTAATACAGTTGCCATCCTTTTTGTCTGAAAAGCCCTTATTGAACACTGACATTGTTATCACCTTCTCAATAAGGGCAGCACATGCCTCCAATTGTTCCAGGTAAACCATAAGAATGTGACAGGAACTGAAAGCAGAGGCCATAAGTTCAAATACGGGTTTTGAGTTAACTGGCTGGGAGATGCTCTTTAGTAGCAGGGAAGCTCCAGGGAAATGATAGCTGATCTCTGTTTTTGATCAACTTCTATATTGGTAATTCAATTCCATCTATCATAGTGGGTTTGCAGAACTGGTGTCTAAGTCAGGTTCTAGACAGGAAAAAGAAGTCCCTTTAATGAATTCTGGATGGTCTAGCTAAAGAGTATTTAACTAAAGGACCACTTACAATGCGGTGAGCAGGGATAATAGAGTAAACAAGGGAGGTGGAAGCACGAGAGTACAGCATCAGTGGGACATTGTTTTACCATCTCTAGGGCTGAAGGAACAAGGAGAGGACAAAGGGTTCTTGTGGGGGCTCTATGAGAGGGAATCATGGAGACTGGGCCACCCAGCTCCGGGTGGGAGCTGGGATTGTGAAGGGTGAGGCCATCGCCGGTGAAGTGGTGCTGGGCAGGACTGCAGCGTGGGCAGCAGAAATGCCCATGCTCCTCTCTCTTCCCACTTGCTGACCTCCTGCTGGGCCTCCCATTGGCCAGAGGAGGAAGGCTGGTGATATCATCCTCAGCTGTGAGCTTCCTGGGCTATAGAGGAGCACAGAGAAGGGCTGAAAATGGATCTGGAGAAAGGGACAGGAGGCAGAGGGAGAATGACCTGAACATTGGGCTTCCCGTCTCCATTTTCCTCCCGCTCTTTCCCTCCCTAAACCCCCCTTGGCTGCTGGCCAGCCTTCCTTTCTCCCTTCCTTCCTCCCTTTCTCCTTCCTTGCCTTTTTGACTTCTCACTTTCCTTCCTTTATTCACTAAATACCTAACTGCAGTCCCAGTCCTGTCACTAACCTTCTGGTGCTTCAGTGAGCTCATCTGTAAAATGGGAAGAAATTCTCCTCCCTTGAATTGCATGAATTAGTTGAGACAACGATGAAAGTGCTTTGTAAACTCTATCACGCTGTAGAAATGTAATAAATTTTTATTAATATTTTATCCTAGAAGTATTAATGTGACTGGGGTGGGTAATTAGGACAATTTTGCATAAACTTCTTGCTTTGAAATTGCCACCAGAGATTCAGCAGGATTAAAGGGACAGCTCTCTGCTCCAATTTAGCAGTGATATTAAGGTGATGATAAAGTTCTTTCTTCATTTGCATCTTTTTTTTTTAATTGCTGCTGAAGGGTGAAGAAATGTTTTTTTCCCCTTTGCTTGGAAACCACAATAATATTTCATCACCACTGCTTACCCTAAAAAATAGATTTCCTTTTCATCCTCAGCTGGTGATTTGGTTTGCATTAATGCCTTTCATAACTCATACATTTTGCTATTAAAAATTAATGCTTGGCACTGACATAAACAAATGAAATTTGTATTATTAATGTTTTACATAGGTAAAGCTGTGTAATAACAGATTCATCATAGCAGACTGTTTTAATTAAAAGACTCACTGGTTCTTTGAACACATATGGGAGACTGGTTTTGGAAGAACCAGGGATGCAAAAAAAAAAAAAAAAAATGACAGGTAGAGAGAGGACATCTCTGAATCCTGAGACATTAGTATTTTGAAGCTCTCGATATTAAGAATGATATCACTTGTAGATATTGTGAGCAGAATGCTTAGCATGGGGCTTGCATTATAATAGGTGCTCAGTTAATAGCAGGACTTATTACGAAGGAGAAAATAAATAGAATGAATATTTATTCCATGAATAATATTGCCCATTCATTTGTTAATTCAAGTATTTAGTAAGCACTAATTATGTACCAGGAATGGTTTCAGGTATTGGGGATAACTCAGTAAAACAAAGATTGCTGCTCTCATGAAGCCAACATTATAGTGAGAAGGACAGATGATATGTATCATGTCAGATGGCAATAAGGGTTACAGAGAAAAATACAGCAGCTTCAGGGGTTGGAGAGGGGTTGGCAGGTAAGGTCACAGGAAAAGGTGATGTTTAAGCAAAGGACTGGAGGAGATGAGGGAGTGAGCAAGGAGCCATCTGGAGGAAGTTTGCCCAGGAAGAGAGAAGAGTAAGTGCAAAGACCCTGGGGCAGGGGCATGCGGGCTGAGCAGAGTGAGTGAGAATAAGCCTCCAAGGAGGTGGGTTCTGGGAGATGGGGTGGGTGGGTTGTAGGACCTCAAAGGCCAATATGAGGACTTTGGCTTTCATCCTTACAAGTAAGGTTGTATATATTTTCTCCACCTCACAGATGGAGAAACTGAGGCACACGGCAGCTCACCCACCAGGGAGAAGCCATGTCTTCCAACCCAGGCCTGTCTGATTCTCTCCAGTGTACTGCATTGCACTGTTTTCAAGTGGACCTTAAGGGAGGCAGATCAGTCATCTCTGTCCAAACATGTCCCCATACTTCTAACATCTTAGTCTAAGAAGTTTACATGAAAAAAAAAAAAAGCTTTGTATATCACCTAATTCAACATGCTAATTTGACATATGGGAAACACAAGGTTCCAAGTGTGATTTTGTCGAGTTAGTCAGAGAGTTAGAACCAATGTCACAGAACAACAGGGCCACCTGCTCCCCTGGAGCTAACCTCATCTCATTCTGCCTTGCCCAAGATGCAGGATAGCCTGGTGGTTAAGATCCTGGGTTGGAATCTTTGTTCTGCCACTTAAATGCTGGTTATCTCAGGATGCTTATTTGTCTCTCTAAGCCTCCATTTTCTCATCTGAATAAAGAGATGATAATAATCTAATTTTAATAGAATTATTGGGAAGACATGGTAATGAAGCCAAGTACTTAACACAATTTGTGACACATAATAAACCCTCCATCACTGGTAGCCATGATTGGCATTATTATTTTTAATGGTATCTTATGCAACCATCACAGTTGAATGAGTTGAGTGTTATCTTCTGCATTTTACAGATAGACAAACCAAGCCCAGAAAGGGGAACATTTTACGTAAGGGCAATCAGCAAGTTGGGGGACTGCAGCTTGGGCTCCCAGTCTCCCAGGACAGTGCTCCTATCAGATCACTTGGGCTTTAAAGAACGCTTTTGCTTTCTTCCTTGATGATCAAGCCTGGCGGTGGACTGCGTTCTTTCTGTCCTGTCTGCCGTAAGTGCTGGGGAACCAGGAACGGAGTTTGAGCATGACTGACCATCACAGTGGTATTGGTGAGTGCAGCATGGTGAGAAAGCAATTTACCAGCTCAACTCCTAATTTTCAGGGGATGGCACTAATGGACTTTTCTTGTCCATATGAAAATATCAGTGACACAGCACACATCGCATCAGCTGTGCTTCAAGAGTCCTCATTTTCATGTGGGCAGAGGTGTCATGGGTGTGAGGGAGTGGGGGACAGCCTTTAACCGTAAATTCATTAGATGATAATCATAATAGCTCCTGTTTATTAAGTACCTATTATGTGGCAGGCACTAAGCAAAGTGCTTTATATACTTTATGTCTCCTAACAACTCTGCAAAGTAGATATGATAGTTGCCATTTTGCAAGGGGGAAATGAGGGACCAGAAAGTATATTTCCCAATCTCACACAGCTAATGAGAGCTATTTATTTGGTCATTTGTCTATTCATTCATTCAGTTGGCTGATCAGTTCTCATTAAACACCTCTGTGGGTCCAGCACTCTTCTAGGTACTGAAGATATATTGGTAAAAAAAAAAAAAAAAATCAATGCAATCATGAAGCTCATGGTCTAATGCAGAAGGCAGAAAATAAACAATAATCACAGCCATGAACATATCATTATGATTTGGGGGCTATGAAAGGTTCTTTGAGTGAGAACAAGAGGGGCCTAGTTAAGTGACTTGCAGGAGGACTCCCAGTATTGGAGCTGTCAGAGTTGGAAAATGAAGCCTCCTCTGAAACACTCAGAGCTGGGAAAGCCTTGGCTTTTCCCATTTCCCAGCAGAGAGAGACAAGCTTCAGAGGAGACTTGGTTTGAATCCCAGCCCTACAACTTCCTAGTTGACTATTCTTGGGCCAGCCGCTTCACCATTTTGAGCCTCTGTTCCTATTTTGAAAAATGGGAAGAATATTCATCTCACTGAGCTAGCATGAGAATCAGACGAGATAGCTCAGGAGAAAAGCTTGAAAAGTCAAAAGTGCTTTGCATATTGTATTAATAGCTATGATTACACAAATGAGGGTCTTGCACTGCTTGGGTCAAATGATAGTGTTATGCTGGAATTTCAATACTGTTACAGTTTGGCTAGGGAAACAACTCTGGGCAGGGCCAACTTCTTGTTTTGCTTCAGGTTTCATAAAATCTGAAGGTCGAAGTCTTAGGTCTTGTCTCTTGAATGCCAACAGCCCTGCAGAGAGGACACAGAGAAGGAGCTTGCTCAGGTGAGGAGTGTGTGGGGCAAGAGCATCAGAAACTTAAGTGTCTGTATCCCAAGTTTTCTCCCCAACAAGATAAGGCAAGTTTCATGATGGTAACACTTAGAAGGGAAGTAGGGAGTATCTTGACCTTCTCTCTTCCCCTCTCCTCTGTCCACCATCAGTGTGTCTGGAATAGTCAAAAAGGAAAAAATAAAAGCATCCTCGGATACCCACTGTCTTAGTCTGTTTGTGCTGCTATAAAAAAGCAGCTGTGCTTACCAGCCACCGACTAGGTAATTTATAAAGAACAGAAATTTGTTTTTGACAGTTCTGGAGGCTGGGAAGCCCAAGATCAAGGAAACAGCAGGTTCAGTGTCTGGTGAGGGCTGCTTTCTGCTTGCAAGATGGTATCTTGTTGCTGCATCCTCTGGAGAAGATAAACTCTCTGTCCTCACGTGTTGGAAAGGATAGAAGGCAAAAAGGGGCCTCTCTAGTTCTCTCCAGACCTTTGTAAGGGACTAATCCTATCCAGGAGAGTGAAGCCCTCATGGCCTAATGACCTCTGAAATGCCTTACCTCTTTATACTGTTGCATTGGGTATTAAGTTTCAACATGAATTTTGGAGGGAACATGAACATTCAAACTATAGCACCCACCCTCATATTTCTTCCAAGAAAGTCAGTATATTTCTCTGAGTGGTAGGACATCCTCAGTAGGTGACTCTGGATTAGGAAGTGGGAAGGGGCTATAATTATGGAGGACACTGCCTCATAAATGCATATTGTTCACTGACTGCAACAATTACAGTGTAATTACATTAGTAAATGTACTGTACTCCGCTTGGTAAAGGAATGAAATTTTAATTGCATATGACTTGTCCAGCCCTGCCTTGGTTCCAGGCTCTGCAGGGATGTGTGACCAGTCAGTGGCATTTCTAGGGGGAAGGACCAGGAAAGAAAGGAAATGAGTTGATGAAAGTCCTACTATGTGCCAGTCACTGTGGTTCATGCTGTATAGTCAGCACAATGGTCCCAGGAGACAGCCCCGTTTGTAGATGAATACTTGGGGTCAGAAAAAGAAGCGACTCAGCTGAGTCCTCAAAAGTAAGATTAAACCAAGCTGTTAGGCTCCAGTTTGAGACTTCTTTATTTTACATTATGAGGCCAGGAAACTAAGAAACAGGAGCTTGATCCAGTTTCTGTTGAAGGTTTAGTTTACCACAAAAGAAAAGGAAATGGGTTCTCAGAGTATTACCCATTTGAGATCAGCAGGGCTGAATTCATAGGAGGGGAAAGAATGGTCATTTCTTCTCAAGGAGATGCCAAACGATGTGGCAGTAGAGACTTGATAGGAGAGAATCCGAGGATATTAGGGTAATCTGGGAAGGCTTTCTGGAGGAGGTGGTGTTGAGGGGTGATGCCATAAGGGATGAATGACTATCTCTATCAGAATATGTTACTCTGAATCATGTCCTTGTCTGGTGCCCAGTGGGCAGGGGCTGTCTTATATATCTTTATAGGTGGCTATCACAGAGCTTGGCACACAGTAAGTGTTTAATAAATGCTGTTAAATAAAATTCAAATCTCATATGAACTCTAGTCACTGCTCCATAACCATGGGAGCCTGGACATTCTGAGGGTTATATGGAAAGAACACCCAGACTTTGGTCGATATCTCTGCTAGCAGCTCTCTCTTTGACAGGAGCAGGATGCACACTGAATTAATAAGAATGATTAATACTACTATCATTACTACTAATGATTATAACAATATAGATAGTGTAATATAGCCAGTGATGGTAGCTAATATTTATGGAGTACTTACTATATGCCAGGCACCCTGCTAAATATTTTACATATCATTTTCTCATTTAATCTTCACTACAACGTATGAGGCAGGTATTGTTATTATTTACATCTTACAGATGGAAAAACTGAGGCCCAGAAATGTTAGGATATTTGCCTTGGATCCCATAACTAAAAAGAGAACAAAGGCCTGAATTCAGGTCTGCTCTACGCTAAACTTCATAGGATTTCATGACCCTGTACTGTTTGCTCTGCTAGGAGGGCACAAGGAATGGTCAGACCAGCCTATGTTAACCTTCAAAGTCATTGAGGATAAGGGAAAGGTGTTCTAAGAGAAAAAGTGAATGGAGGTTATCACCAAAGTGCACTGATTTTGCTTAATTCCAAATAACCGAAGAAAGCCACATTAACCGAAGTGATTTGATCCAGAACCCCCGCTGCTGAAATGTAAAGCCCAGAATAGTTACCTAAACTTATTTGAGTCCTTTCTCAACCTGCCAAGATGTGAAATGAAGTCTGGTTCCATACAGTCCTTTGTTCAGTATTTACAGACAGATTACTGGCACGCCTTCAAGAGGCTACAAGAAGATAAAAGGAGACCTCTGGGACTGAAATTGGGAGCACACACCACATTGGAGGGCTTGCTGCTTCAACATCTCCCAAGAATGCTGTAACCACACTTGCCAGGGGACACCGGGGCTGTTACAGTGATGGGAGAAGAAGCCCAAACCATGAGGAAATTGAGCAAAGCTGAGCCGAGGCTTAGACAAGCGGTACCAAAATGAGGCTCAAACCTAGACTGCTAGGCGCCAACGTGACTGCTCTTTCTTTTATGGGTTTATAGATTGGAGAACTAATAAGCAAACGTGGAACCCAATTTTTTTTTCCCTCAAAGTCTCATTTATCACAAATGCTAAGGAAAATGATTCATAAAGCATCAACTCTCTTGGGATTAGCGGAGTTGGGGAGCTCGGGAATGTAAGAATTTATCAGCTGTCTCCTCTAGGAGATGCTGAACCATGTGACAGGCCTCATGCAGGGGAGTTCAGGATGAGCTAGGCTAATCAGGAATGCTTCCTGGAGGAGGTGATATTTGCAAAATATCTTCCATTGAGACTGTGAGCCTGGGGTGACCACAGTTTGTTTTTGCAGTGATGTTGGGGTCAAAATCTGGTCACCCAAATCTTAAGATCCTGCTTGATAAATTAGTATTTCTTTTTATTATCCAGAAACCTGAAGGAACAAGATTATCAGTGACAGAGTCAGGGCACCTTGGTAATAGAAACAGAAAGAGCATGGTCTGGGAGCTGAGATGCTGGCTGCACTCTTCATCGTGTGTCACTGTGGGGTTGTGGGTTCTTCTCTGGGGCTCTCAGGCCCTATGTGTGTGAAATAAAGGCAGTGGACCAGATTGTCTCTCAGGTCCCTCCTTGGAACTCAGACATTTTGAATGTTTCCCATTGTGTGATGTGTCCTCATAAGACACAGGTATCAACAACCAAGCAGTAAGTGTTTTGTTCAGTCAATGATTCAGTCAGTCGGGAGGAAAGAAGCTTGGTGAAGGGAGCAACTGGCTGGGGTGAGCTGGCCAAGGCAGGCTTCCTGGGAGGTGGATCCTGAACAAGGAGCAAGGTTTTGTTAGATAAAAGATGATTGTAGGAGAGTAAGTGGTCCAGCAAAGGCTAAAGGAAAGAAAGTGCACCAGGTTTTCTGGAAACAGTGAAGAGTCAGCAGGAGTGTGAGTAAGGCCACTGGGTGTTCTGGGCCACTGCTTTATATGAGCATCACTTTGCCTGGCTACTGGGCTCAGAGCTCCTCTAGGGAACAGGGGCCACATTGTTCTTTCTGCATTCCCAGATCCTGGCACAGAGACAGCCATGGAGTAGCACATAACAAATACTCATTTAATGACAGAAGGATTTCTCTGAGTCCCCAATATCTAGCTGCATTTCACCAGATAACTTTGAATGAACAAATGGACAAAAGCTGAATTCTGCTAACATTTCACAACATCTACTCGAGAGACTCAAAGGGCATATCCTTTGGAAGTTTGTGGTTCCTGGATATCCTACATGATTTTGGGAACCAATTTCTTGTTGTGAGCCTTCAAGCCATTTTTGGATCCTGAGAGCTCTAAGACCGAGTGCTTTATATAGAATATATATATATATATATGCATGTATGAATTATTTTATTATATATTTCTTCTCTGGTTTTAATTGTTGCTGAGCTCATGCTTTATTTTAATTAATGTTTTAATTTAGTGCATGCACCATGAGGCACTTTCTTGGAGGGTATAATTAAGTCAGAAAAAAATTGGCTACTCCAGCATTAGGGGCTGGGAAACCAAGGCTCAACAAGGGTGTGTTTTGTCATTAAGAAAATTAGGGATGAATCTGGGAGATGAATATGGAGCACCTACTATGTGTCAAGCAGTCAAGCACAGCTACATGTGATGTGTTCTACAATGTTATGTAGTTCTATTTTAGACTCTCAGCAACCCCGCAAAGCATAGATGAAGAAAAAGACTCAGACGTTTAGTAACCTCTTCAGATTCTAGCAAACTGTAAAAGGAAGCGTCAAAATGTGAGTCCACATCAGTTTGTTCTTTAATCTTTGGTTTGTTTTACCAGACTGTGCTTTGTTATTTAAGGTTACACAGAACTCTCTCTCTCTATATATATACATATATAAAATATATATATACACACACACATCCATATATGGAGATATATATATATATATATATATATATATATATATAGAGAGAGAGAGAGAGAGAGAGAGAGAGAGAGAGAGAGAGAGAGCGAGTGAGAGAGAGACAGGGTTTGACTCTGTTGTCCAGGCTGGAGTGTAGTAGCACAATCATGGCTCACTGCAGGCTTAACCTCCTGGGCTCAAGCGATCCTCCCACCTCAGCCTCTCAAAGTGCTGGAATTACAGTTGTGAGTCACCATGCCCGGCCAATATTTGCTGAATGGATGAATGAATGAATGAACAAATAAATGCTCAGGAAATGCTATTTCCAACCCTCATTCCTTTTTGTAAACTGTAAAGTGCAACTGATTGTCTATTACAGCAGAAACAACAGATACTCTACCCACTTGACAAATGAAGAGCCTGAGAACTAGAGTGAAATACTCATCTCCTATATTGTACAGTTTTTTCAGTTGACCGAGAACTTCCATGGTGTTTCATTCATTCAAGACATGTGCTGAGTGTCTACTGTGTACTTGGCCTTTCACAGTTGAATCTTGTGGCCTGCCTGATGGGTAGAAAGCACATGTTGCATTATGCCCATTTCTCAGGAGTGGGGGAATGCCACAGGAAATTATATGGCCAAACTCATTGAGTCTCTAATGCTGCATTTCTACTTGTCTCCCTCAAGTGACCTGCTTCAGGTTCTGTTCCTTCATATTGGTCTGCCTGGAGAATCTTAGAATTTTCATAGGCTTGATGTTTGCCTGGAAGGCAGGGGAGAAACTGTTAGAGGGGGAGGAGACTGGAACTATAAATGCCTTGCTTCCTGCAGCATTCTGAGCACGGGCATGGTGTCTGTGACATTGAGTGTGTTTAATAAATACATTCCCTGCTTAATCTTCCCCTTCCTCCAGTGGCTGCCGTCTACTCAGGATAATGTCCAAACACTTGGCATGGCTTATAAGGCAAGGAATGCAAGTGTACAGCTGAGAGGGTATCCTCACTTCTTGCATTCCATTTGCCCTCCAGGCCTTCCCTGGTACTCTCAGACCAGGCTGTCCTGTAAAAACACCAAGTAAAAACAAGTCATGGTCTGTTTTTTCCTCCATGTTCCCAGGAGATTTGGGGTTTCTTAAGGGCAAGGCCATCTCTTTCACCTCTTTACCTCCAATACCTGCAACAGGGCCAGGTGCGTAATAGAATTGTAATAAATGTCTGTGAAAGAAGTCGTTGAATGAAACTTGTTCACTCCAGGAGGCGGTGTGGACTGGAGTGTGTTCTTGTTTCTCATTTGCATTGTCTGGTGCTGGGCCCTCCCCGGGGCAGTGACTGACCTTTGCTGCATCTTCCAAAGTGCGTTGTGCTGCGGGTCTGCAGCTGTGTGTCTGGCATGAGCTCGCATCTATTGCTGCAATTTGTGAGCACCAAAGCCATTTAATTAAACGGGATGGAATTGAATCTGCGAGGTTGTTACCACCGATACTGTTTTCCATGCATGGCCGTTCTGCAAGGGAATCCACGGGAGGCCTGGGTGTGAGCTCCTTGCTCATTCTGGGCCTACTCCCCACCCCCAGCCCAGATGGCATGTGGGGGCGGCTGAGATTCTGGGCACAGATCTGAAGTCAGAGGTTCAAAGCCCCTGCATGTGCGTGTCCCTGTGGGTGGGTCGCGAGCCGCTGACAGACGTGTGCCTCTCCCCAGGAAGCAGCCAGAGCTGCTTAAGCTAATTTTGCTGAGGGGAACCTTGCCAAGCCAGAGGGAGCTTTCATTTGCCTAAGTTTGCATCAATAATTAATCCAACCTGGTTTTACACAAGACTCAACATAAAGTTATTAGCTCTGAGAGCTTTTCTTGAGCTGGTCCCAGAAGAGGGCTATCATGAGCCCAGGAACTGATGACCCAGTGAGGCTGCATAGGTGGCTTAGAAAGTTGTTTTCTCCTTCCCCGTTTCAAGCTTCCTCCATGGTTCCATCTAGGCCTCTGCCATTGATGGCCGTAACCTTCTGAAGTTCAAGGTCATTTCTCTGCTCAGAAACCTTCCATGGCTTTCCACTGTGTCCCTAATTCAACACCAATTCCCCCTGGATTTTCCTATATTTCCTACTTTCCCTCTCATAATTCCCCTCCATTCTGTCAATATTGCCAGACTGCCTCAACTCCCTGTCCGTCATTGCCTTGGCTCATGCTCTCCGCACCATATTTTTGTGGGTTGAACACTTACTCATTCCTCAAGGCTGAAATCCAATGCCATCTCCTCTAGGAAGCCTTTTATGATTTCTTCAACAAGGATCATCTTCTTTTTTCCACCTTCCAGAGATCTCTATTTTGAAAGGTACCAGTTTATCGTATATGACAATATTTATATACATGTCTTCATCCCCAAGCGGGTGTATGTTTCTTGTGGGTAGGTAGTAATAATTAATAAAGAAATGTCCACTAGACGTTGGGCAAGGGAAGGGGAGAAAATTGCAAAGGAAAGCTCTAACGAAGGGACGGGGGCAGTTCTGTACTTGCTGTTTCTTTCCCTGGATTGGATTTTTAATCTTATTTCCAAATTTAGCTAACAGCACCATTAGCTTCTGTTATGTGAGCTGGAAACCTCATCTTTTGTGAGCGTGTTTTTTCCTCCACCCAAATGGCTATTAAGTGTTGTCATTTATCTTCAGGAATATCTCCCAAATCTACCTGCAGTCCCTTTGTTATAGCAGCGGACCTCAAAATCTCTTGGAGGAAACAGCTTCTGATCTGCGGTTTCTGCCTGGGGTCTCCACCAACCCAGTCTTTTCCGAATACTCCCACAAGAGCCTTGCTCCCCTTCTCACAAACCTCCCTAAGTTGGGCCTAAGGTCAGAGCCTCACCTCTCCAACCAGGCATTCACAGCCTCATTCCTCACCACTGTCCAACCTACACCAGCTCCACTGAACTTCCCCTTGTGGCTCAAACATGCCCTGCTCTTCAAGGCCTTGCTACAGTTTCTTTTGTTGAGAAGGTTCTTCCAGCTCCCTTACCCTTTCAACCCTCAAGGCCCAACTCAAAAGTCCCCTGTCCTATGAAGTCAACCCTGTCTTCTCTTGCAGAGTTAGGGGAACTCCTCTTTGCTCCGATAGCACTTTGCTTGCACCTTGATGATAGCAGTAGTCCTATTGTATGATATACAGCTGACCCTGGAACAACGCAGGTCTGAACTGCATGGGTCCACTTTGACACAGATTTTCTTTTATCTCTGCCACCTCTGAGACAGCAAGATCAACCCCTTCTCTTCCTCATCCTCCTCAGCCCACTTAAAATGAAGATGATGAGGATGAAGATCTTTATGATGATCTACTTCTACTCAATGAATAGTAAATATATTTTCTCTTCCTTTTGATTTTCTTAATACCATTTTCTCTCTGGCTTACTTTATTGTAAGAGTACAGTATGTAATACACATAACATACAAAATAGGCCAGGCATGGTGGCTCACGCCGGTAATCCGAGCACTTTGGGAGGCTGAGGCGGGTGGATCACCTGAGGTCAGGAGTTGTAACCAGCCTAACCAACATGGTGAAAGCCTGTCTCTACTAAAAATACAAAAATTTTCTGGGCATGGTGGCAGGCGCCTGTAGTCTCAGCTACTTGGCAGGCCGAGGTTGCAGTGAGCTGAGATCATGCCATTGCACTCCAGCCTGGGCAACAAGAGTGAAACTCTGTCTCAAAAAAAAAAAAAAAAAAAAAGTGTTAATTGATTGTTTATGTTGTTGGTAAGAATTCCGTTTAACAGTAGAATATTAGTAGTTAAGTTTTGGGGGATTCAAAAGTTATATCTGAATTTTCAACTGCACAGGGGTCAGTGATTGTTTAAGGGTTGACTGCATTGCTTACCTCTGCATTGTTTAAGGGTTGACTGCATCTTTTATTCATGCATTTGCCCCCTGAAATCTGATCCCTTTGAAGGCAGTGATCATATTTTCTTTGTTTCTATATTCCCTTCTGCAAAGGTTTAGCCCACAGCAGATGCTCATGAAATATTTGTTGAATTGCTACATGAATATTAGAGAAGTTGGACATTAGAGAAGGCAGTCTTATGATCTATTGGGTGAGGAGATATCTGCTATGGTTATCGTCATTGTCTTAGTTGCTATTATTTCTCACCTGTCAAATAACACGTATACTATGCCCACCTGGCTTAGGTGTTCAGGCAAGTTTATATTTCAGATATCCTGATTTTCTGTCTCCTTGAAGAACATTTAGACTTCTCAGATCAGATGCCCTAGTATTTTGTTTTTAATGAAAATTTCTTCAAAAATACATTAAATGCCAAATCTATCCTCAGCCCTGGTCAGGTGCTGGGCAGAGTATCTGAAGCCGCATGGTTCCTGCATGGGAAAACATTCACCATCTGCTTATGGGATAGGACAAACAGACTAGTGTAAAGCAGGCTGTGCCTAATAATGACATTTCTGATCATAAAGTTGATCACCAAAAGAAAACCTCTATAGTAATAGAGCTACAACTGTGCTCTTCTCTTTTAGCAGTCAGTGCTAGCAAAGAGTCTTTTTTTGTTTTGTTTTGAGACAAAGTCATATTTCCAAGTTTTACTCCAGATATAAAATGTTGAAAGTGATGTGGAGTGAGGAGGGAGGTGGAGAGGGAAGGTATACGTATTTTAAAAGGTCTTTCCAGGGATCTGATACACCACCTTGTTGCCCAGGCTGGAGTGCAGTGGCATGATCTTGGCTCACTGCAGCCTCCGTGTCCCGGGTTCAAGCAATTCTCCTGCCTCAGCCTCCCGAGTAGTTGGGACTACTGGCACATGCCACCATACCCGGCTAATTTTTTGTATTTTTGTAGAGATGGGGTTTCACCATGTTGCCCAGGTTGGTTTGGAACTCCTGAGCTCAGGCAATCCGCCCACCTTGGCCTCCCAAAGTGCTAGGATTACAGGTGTGAGCCACTGCGCCCGGCCTGCAAGGAGGCTTTAAAGTGGGAGAATTAAATCATTCTGTTTAGAAAGGCATCACTGAGGTGTAGTTTGTTGAGCAAGATGGATCGAAAGTGTCTGTGTTTTGTTTGCCGGTTGACCAGCATACATTTCACCAGAACCGTTTTCTTTTTCTTTTTTTTTTTTTGCTCCCACTTCTCATACGATACCAACTGCCTTCTCTTTTCTTCCCAATAAATCTCCTTTTGTTTCTCTTGAGACTCTCCTGCCAGCCTGTCAGGAACTCTGCACAAAATAGTGTATTTCTGTCAAGAGTTCCATGTGAAGTGTTAACTGTCTTTTGAACACAGGAGGCAGCTGAGACGGTGTGGAGGGACACCCTTGTCCCAATGCCTGTTTACTTCCTTTCTGGCAAGCTCTGAGCCTGCCAATTCAGCTGCAGACACGGAGAGGGGTCCCATGGTCCTGCTCAGTTCCCAAAGGCTCTCTTGGAAAGAGCCTTGGAGAGGAGAGGATGCCTGAGGTCTTGTAGCTGATGGGGAAGCAGGACCTTCTGTGACCCCTGTGAATAATATTCCTAACTCAGAGCCACAGAACAGCACCATGCAAATGGGTCAAGGTGAAATGCTTCAGCTAGCCTGCTGTATGTCTTCAGGTCAGGTGCCGTACCTCTGTGTTTTCAGTTTCCCCATCTATATGAAAGGGAGAGTCCATGGTCCGTAGGGTGCCTTCCAGCTCTGTCATTCTATCATTTCACAAATCTGCAGCAGCTAAACCTCGTTGAAATGTGATTCTCTCTTGGGGATCCAAAGTCAATAGAAAAAGAATGGTCTAGGAGGTAATTCAAAGACCCAGGAGGGACATTCGTTCAAGGCTGTAGAAATAAAAATAATAATAAAATCTAGGATCAAAGTGCTTTTCCATCTCTCATCTCATTTGATCTTCCCAACAGTCCTATGGGAAGAGTCAGATACACAGGACTTTTCAGTGGACCATCAGAGCCACTATGTGCAGATGTTCAGGTTGTGCACTGGACAAGTGTGGCACATATGAGGAAACACCTTTCAAATTAGAAATATAGACTAACTTACATGAGATAGTGAACACAGTCAGAGAATCCAAGCCTTCTAGCTGGCATACAGGGCTGTGCATACACCCAGGGGAATCAATTGTACAACACGCTCACTGGTGAACACACATGTGCATGGCTGCCCCAGTCCCAAACACACTTTGGATGACTCCTGAGCTCACCTGCCTGTTGCTCTTGGAGACCCAATTCCATTTTTCCTCTCTCACAATCTGACACCATTGCTTCATCTGAGGGGTAAGACTGGAGTCTCAGAGAGTGTGTTCTGCAAATGGTGTGTGTGCCTGTGCTGGGCGAATGTGGGAGTAGACAAGATGTAGGGTCAATGGGGTTTGCCCACTGACCTCTGAAAACTTCCCCTGGGGCACAGTCAGGCCAATCCAAGGGGGCATATCCACACAGCAGCAGCACCACATAATTCCTATGGCACACACACTCTGGCCACCATTTTGAAAAGAAGCTGGAGATGCTGAATGTCTGTGCTTGTGAATTTTAGCTGATGGAACAGATTAAAGTGAGGGCTAGATCTTCCCCCTCTGCCCTATCCCCTCACTTCTCTTCCTCCACCTCCCCCTTTACATGAGGGCCATGCCAGGGGCGCTATCATAGCCGGAGGGGCCATCTGCCCACATCCCTGCTCTGCCAAAGCCAGACCGCTTAGGGGTATGCTGGTTAATACACCCACTTTAAAAAATGTTGCTGGAGCTACGGCATCTTTTCTTGATTTGCACAAAGATGCATTATAGGCTAGCTGTGGACATGTGGACTAAGGTGCATGCTTGGGGCTCTCTGTGGGCTATCATTTGCTGCACATATCACAGGTAACTTCCAAGATACTTTTGATACAGGTTGGATCATGCCACTTCCTCCTCAAACACCTTCGATGGCTCCCCATTTCTGTGACAGAGCTTTGCAATGGTAGAGGATAAAGGGCAAATGCCAGAATTACACAGGGCACATGATCAAAGTCATATTTCTAAGTTTTACCCGAGCTATAAAATGTTGGAAGTGATGTGGAGTGAGGAGAGAGGTGGAGAGGGAAGGTATATGTCTTTTAAAAGGTCTTTCTGGGGATCCGATACACCAGCCTGGCTAAGAAACACCATGTTGAAGGATACTACTTAGACCTTGCCATGGTTTTCTAGGACTGGCCCTAACCTAATTTTCTAGCTTCCTGTCCTGCCAGGCTCCTCCGCACACCCATGTTTCAGGCCACTCAGTAGAAAACCTGAGTGTCCATTATCTGGACACTATAGTCTAGATGCCATCTCCTCTGTGAAGCCCTCTGTGATTCTTTGGTGCAAATGGC
This sequence comes from Homo sapiens, assembly GCF_000001405.40. NCBI lineage: Eukaryota > Metazoa > Chordata > Mammalia > Primates > Hominidae > Homo > Homo sapiens. The sequence continues at coordinate 119,992,458 of NC_000009.12, read as the reverse complement.
TCCCTTCTTCCTTTGTGCTCCCACATCCTAACTGGGTGGGGGCTGAGATGTGGGTATGTCAGGGGCGTAGTCAATATCATCACACTGTTACACACACTGCTCCATCCAGTCAACCCATGGCTTTAGTAGGTTTTTCTCTTAGGAAGGAAAAGGAAAGAGATGATGGATATGCACGTGTGCTTGTGTGTTTGCATTGCTGTGTTTGTGTGTGTGTGTGTGTGTTTGTATGTGTGTGACTGGGTGTCTGACTGGGAGGGAGGAGGAGGGAAGAGAAGAATGACAGGATTTGGTGGCCTCTGTGCCCTGCTGTCAGCAGAAGCAATGGATTTTGAGCATTGACAGAGGGATGACAGTTGGAGCTGAGAGGCTGGATCCCTCCCATGTGAGACCTCAGGGCAGATGCAGCCCTGTACAGGGCACAGTGCGACCTAGAGGTATGTAAGGGATGTCTCCTGCCCTTACCCTCTCAGCCCCAGACCCCCGGTGCACCGTGGCTGCCGAGCAGAGTTGGATGCTGCTGCTGGAGCAGTGACTGCTGGAGGCACCAGCAGTGGTGGTGAGGTGCCTCAAGGAGAGAAGTCCAGAGTAAAGAATCCACCAGAATTCTTCCCAAGTGGTAGTATTTGAGAGGGGCCAGAGCACCTGCAGGAGAGCTGTGGCTGAGAGCCAGGGTGCTTCTGGCTTTTCTGCTGGGGAGCTCCTGGCTGGAGAGGCCAGGAGTTTAGAGTGTCAGAGGTATCTGAGGGTGCCCACAGTAGCTTCCTAGGGCTTCCATAGCAAACTACCACAAGCTGGATGGCTTAAAACAACAGGAATTTACTCTTTCACAGCTCTAGAGGCAGGAAGTCTGAAATCTAGGTGATGGCGGCACCACACCCTCTGGAAGGTTCTAGGGGAGAATCTGTTCCATGCCCTTCTCTTAGCTTCGGATGTCACCACCAACCCTTGGTGTTTTATGGCTTGCAGCTGCCTCAGAGCTCTGCCTCCATTGCCACGTGGCATTCTTCTCCCTGGGTGTCTCTGTCCACACACAACACTCCCTTCCCTGTGCCTCTCTCACCTCTTCTTATAAGGACACAATCATATTGAGTTAAGGGCCCACCTTACTCCAGCATGACCTTAACTAATTATGTGGATAACAATGGTAACAACTCTATTTCCAAATAAGGTCACATTTTGAGGTACCAGAGATTAGGAATTCAACATATCTCTTTGAGAGTACAATTTACCCCATAACAGGGCTGCAATAGTGCTGCCAAGGCCTGGACTTGAGGAGCCTGGATTCAGGTCACTATATCAGTGGCTGTCCTCTAGTTCTACCATCATTGCTCTTTCTCCTGCTACTATTACTAATACTTCTAGGTAATACAACAGTAGTCTGTCATTATCTGTGGGGCATATGTTCCAAGATGCCCAGCAGGTGTCTGAAACTATGAATAGTACCCTATATATCCTATGTTTTTTTCCTAGGTATACATACCTATGAGAAAGCTTAATTTATAAGTTAGGCACAGTAAGAGATTAACAACAATTACTAATAATAAAATAGAAAATTATAACAATATACTGTAACGCAAGTTAGGTGAATGTGATCTCTCTTTAAACATCTTATTTTACTTTACAGTGGGTAATAACTGCAGAAAGTGAAACTGCAAATAAGGGGAGGACTGTTGTAAATGAGCATTTACTATAAGCCAAACACTGTTCTAATCGCTTTGCTGTGCTGCTAATTTGTTCTAAACTTCATAACAATCCTATTGAATAGGTGCTCTTATTATCCTCATTTCATAGATGAGTAGACTGAGGCATGGAGTGGGGAAGCAACGTGTTCAAAGCCACACAGCTTGTATGTGGCAGTGTCAGGAGTAGAATCCAAGTAGTCTGGATCCAGAGGCTATGTGCCTAATACATATGCTAAACCTCTCAAGTTAGTTTGTGGACACATTCAATAATCTAAGGCAAAATTTTAGAGATGCTGAGGGCAGGAGCTGAAGTGGTCTGGGCCTTGTCTGTAAATCTCAACCCTATCAAGACTTAGGTAATAGTGGCAGCATCCCCACATCGAACAGGCTGGTTACTATCTGGTCACCACCAATATATTATCATTCCTGGTAAACCCAAATGTCATTATGTAATAGGTCCTTTGCCCACCTTAACCTTCAAATCCTTATTGCATACCTGGTAGGAAAGCCAGTCTTCCTTTTCCTACCTCTAGAGATTTTAAGGGGCTTTATTCCCTCTGTGCCACTTCTGGTTCCATTTTGCTTCTGTGGTTATCTTGGTCCTCTCATCTTCTCCCATTTTGCGCATCTTACCTAAGCTGAGCAGATCCTCATGGGACAAACCTCAGTGTTTTCACTTCCCCCAAAGAGCCAGCAACCAAGACCATGCATGGCAGCATGAAGCTTAGGGGATGAGGATCAGGGGGATAATGTTGCAGGATGACATGAACATTCACTTAAAGTGAACACTAGGTACCCAGTTTCTAGAAAATCTCCCTGCAGGAGGACTAGCCACTACCTAGACCTTACTGTCATCATGTTGATCAGCTTCTTCTCGGTCTCTTCCCACCCAAGCTCCCCTCACCCCTCATACTTTCTGTTCATTCTTTTGCAGATCTTTCTTATATCCAGGGATCATTTAAAATAATTATTTATTGTACATTTCTTACACAATGTAGAACACTGCAATGCAAGATCAATGCATGTGCCCTTGATGACCTCTTACTGTGCTGTGTTTCACCTTCTTTTCCCAGACATACACTAGGTGGATATGTTGGGGTTACTTTTCCTACCCAAAAAGTACCTTTCCAGGTATTTCATTTTCTTAAAAAAAAAAAAAAAAGCTATCCATGCTAGAGGAAATTATGCCCCTTTTTAGAGGCAGAGTGGCTGCTGCAGTCAGTTAATAGTATTACTTTCCCTTTGTTATCTATGTTGGAATTGGTTGTTTACACGTTCTTCTTTCCTGATGGATTGTAAGCACCTTAAGGGAATAATTCCTGTCAGTCACTTCTTTTTATCTTTCTTTGCACTTAACGCATACCAAAGGCTCTGTCAATGGTGACTAATTGATGAAACCAAATTGAAATCAGCTCTCCAAGATGGCTGATGGAGATGTAAACCAACATTTATTGATTCTCTACTATGTGCTATTTGTTACACTTAATACACATTGCCTTATTTGATTTTCAAAATGATCCGATAAGATCGATCTCTTACGTATCAGATTAAACCCTTACATATAAAAGGATTGCAGCTCACAGGCATGGAGACCTTCTCTAGGACCATAGGATTGTAACTGGGATCTGTAATAGGTGTGTGAGTAAGAAATGCAGGAGTCTCCTGGGTTACCTGCCACTAGGAAAATTACCAAAAAGTCTCCTTCCAAGTCCATCAGCATTCCTAGGTATCTCATCTGCCATGGTCTCCAGCCTTCTGCCTTGTGACAGCTGCCCTGTGTCTCCTGGTACTCCCACCCGAAGTCATCCTCTAGTTCTGGCTACAGTGCCGATGGCTGATTACATCTGTATGCTCCATCAAGTTTGTGTAAACCCCAAGCTCCCAGGATACTAGCGCAATAGTTTTTGGTTCTGTTTTTCCAGCCTAACCCTTGGTGACTATGCTGTTATGAATGGAACACTGGCCCTTTCCCCACTGATGTTGTACTCCAAGATATGTCACAGACTGTAGTGAGAAGGCCTTCTTGGCAACTTTCTGATCACTTAGACAATGGTTATGCTCCAAATAGAACTCATGCTCTTGCTTCCCTCTCAAATGTAATGCTCATCTGTCCCTCCTCATCTCAGTGAAGAGGAACATTATCTGTCTGGTTATGCAAGCCACAAGTCCCAAACTTACTTTTTATAGTATCCTTCTTCTTATCTTGCACTCCAATCCATCTCTAAAACCTGACAGTTTTACCTCCTCAGTGTCTCTCCTCTCAATACTTCTCCAGGCTCTATCCTCACCACTAGTCTGAAAAACCATAGTCTCCTGCCTGGATGACTTCAGTAGCTTCCTGCTTGGTTCACCCAAATCCACTTGATATACTCTAAACAGTCCTCCATATTATAGCATGAGAAACCTTTTAAATGCACAGAGTTGATTACTGTCCAAAACGCTTCAATGAATTTCCACTGCTCTTTGAATAAATATCATGTAGTTTAGAAGCTAGTTGAGTCAAGGACAGAGCAGGGACTAACAGGTGAAAAGAAAGGCAAGTGGGGAGATCAAAACCCCTGGCCAATGCCAGTTGATCTATAGGTGGATGGGTATCCTCCTGGCGTGAAAGTGAGTAGAGAGATTTGAATTCATGTTTGTTTTTAGAACTTAAGGGTATTCTGTGATAGGTGTTCCTATTTCACAGGTGTTGCATTGCCTGTGGCAATGGGGAGGATGTAAGAGGTCCTTGATCTCACAATTTGTGGTACTTCTTAATCTTAAAAACCTGTTTGTTAGGCCGGGTGCGGTGGCTCATGCCTGTAATCCCAGCACTTTGGGAGGCCAAAGTGGGCGGATCACCTGAGGTCAGGAGTTCAAGGCAGCCTGGCCAACACAGTGAAACCTCATCTCTACTAAAAATACAAAAATTAGCCGGGTGTGGTGGCTGGTGCCTGTAATCCCAGCTACTCGGGAAGCTGAGGCAGGAGAATTGCATGAATCCAGGAGGCGGAGGTTGCAGTGAGCTGAGATTGTGCCGCTGCACTACAGCCTGGGTGACAAGAGCAAGACTCCATCTCAAACAACAACAACAATCTGTTTGTCATCTCAATTTACTCATCTATTATTCATTCTATATGCTCCTTGTTTACTCCTACCCAGAGAAATGATAATAAGGGCTAATATTTACTAAACATCTACTATGTACTCATCCTTTATATAGATTGCCCTATTTAACGTTCATAATAATTCTGCAGTTTAGTTCTTATTCAGCCCATTTTACAGAGGAGGAAAACAGGGACCAGAAACTCAGTAACTTCTGTGGTGGTCATACTGTTACCAAGTGGAGGGAGTAACATCTAAGCTCAAGTCTGTTGGACTCCAAGGTATGCAGTATTTCTTGCATGCTAAATAGGCAGCTGATCTCTTCAGCCTCTAGTGTTATTTCTGCGTTCTTACCCTGCAGCTACTTATTCAAGGTGGAGCTCAGGTCCAGGCCCAGGTTTATTAGGCTCCATGCACTTGCAGCCTGGTGGTTAATAATTCAGATCCTGCAGCCAGACACACCTGAGATGCATCCCGTATTAGCTAAGTAATCTTGGACAAGTAGCTCAGCTTTTCTGAGCCTATTTCCTCATAGAGTTGTGATGCGGATTAAATAAGAAAGTATATTTAAGAATTTTGCAGTGTCTGGCCTATAGCAGGTGTTCAATGAGTGGTTGCTAATGAAGTTATCTGTCCATTCAATAAGCATTAATGGAGGACACACTATGTGTTAGGTGCACTATCCACTCCCTGTATCGAGGTTATGCGCCGTAATGAATTAAACTGTGCCCTTCCCTTCTTCCTAGTCTTTGCTGGAGCCTGTGCTGCATATGGAGTGGAGACCTTTCCCTCCCCCGAGACCTGCAGGGCGCTGCTGCTCTTATTTATCATTTAGGAAGCATCTGCTCTTTGGTGAAATATCACCCTCGTGAACAAACACAGTACGGGTGTTTGACCTTTTTCGATGAGCGTTGGCTTCTTTGCTTACCGCGAGGAATGAAGCAGATTTGAGAAGGAGACATGTGTCAAAGGACCTTTCAAAGGAGTCACCAGATGGGTGCCTGGGTGCTGACCCTGGGGCTGAGAGTAGCAGTCAAGAGGAATTTGAAGCTGCAAATTAATAACCCTGATCCTGTTATTCTGAGAGGCCAAGAAATCTCCTCAACATCTGCAGGTGCAAAATCTGAAAATGAAGTCAGCCTGGCAGATGCCAAGAATGCAAGGCAGGCATCAGCTGCTGTGGCCCTTGCTGTCTTGCTCTGGTCTCCCTCTCATGCCCTCTGCAGCAGCAGGTGGCATCTGTCAGGCAGAACCCAGAAGGCACAGCTGGCCATGCCCTCTCAGGTGAGCCTGCAGATGGCATCAATGAGCCCTCGGGTTTGCAGTGGCATCAGTTCAAAGTCTCTAAATCCTCCCACGGCCTGTGACTGGGAGTGGTCTGGGCCGGAGGCTGGGATCACTGGGAGGGGCAAAAGCAATTTTGTAAACTAAAAATCACTAGACATCGCACTTGTACAGGAGAGCAAAGTTGCAGTACTAATCTCACTGCAGAGGGGCTGTGCCACTTAGACCAAACTGATCTGCCTCTCAGGGCCTTACCTTGTTCCTCTGCTCATGGGGCAGGCAATCTCTCCACCTGGGGGTCTTACAGGACTCTACTTAGGAATAGAACATTCATGCAAACTGCTATTCTAATGTAAGGGACTATTATTAATTGTCTTCATTCATAAGCATTTACTGATACCTACTGTGTTCCAAGTTCTTTCTGGAGTTTGCGGGGACAGAGACATGAACTAAACAAGGTCATTGCCTTTGCAGAGCTTAGTATTTAGTGGGGTCAGGATTGGGGTAGAGATGGGGAGAGGAGGCAGAGTAGGTGAGGCAAAGATAAAGTCGCTGGCACAAAATAGGAGGCACATGGTTCTTAACACTGTCCATGTGAGATGACGCTGCAGTGGGTTTAGGACCTGCAGAAGAGGAAGGGTTGGAAATTGGGAACACGGAGAATGAAGCAGGCTTGGGGCAGGAAATCACTGCAAGTTTACAGCAAATGGGATAGGCTCACACTCCTAGGTAGGAGAATAAATGAGGTTGTGGGATCTAAGATTTGAAAAGGAGCTTGTGGCTGAACCACACACACTATGGGGACTTTCTTCTGAAGGCAGTAAGGAGCCACTGGAGATTTTCAGGCTGTGCTTTGGGGCATTTAATATTGTAACATTTTATATGCTGTGTTGGTGTTGGAAGAGGCGGTGAGACTAGAGGCAGGAAGATTAGTTAAGTGGCTATTACACTAGGGCAGGAGGGCTAGAAATTAATATCTCAGAATCTACCAATTTCTGTGGTCACCTTCATGACCTATCACCAGCCAGGGGTCTGCAAATGGATGGGCTGGAGATATGTCTGGAACATTATCGTGGAGGAAGTAAGGAGGCAACAAATAAGAGAGTGGAGACAGCATGAAATATTTTCAATACTGGAGATGCTGAAAGGAGTCCGCCTCTCTCATTCTCTTGACTTCTCTTTTTATCTGCCTTATTTTCAGCTGGGATCTCAGATTCTGCAAATGCATCCAGAACAAACAAACACACGAAAATCAATGCAAACTAGACAAAGACCTTTCTGGGCTGAAAAGTAAAGATGGCAGGAGGTCTCCATTAATCCCCTTTCCCATAGGGTGGATGCACGGGGTAGGAGGCAGGGTACAGTGAGCCATGGTGGAGCCAACTCTGTCCTCTGCCACTCAGTAGTTGGACAACCTTGATCGAATTCATTAATACCTCTGAGTCATCATTTCCTTGTCTGAAAATGGAGTGATTGTCATCTCATGGTGTTGTGAGTGTTATGATGCTCTGAGAAAAATATTGCCCAATCAATGCTGGCTTCTCTTCCCTGTCACTGATGAACATGATGACCAGTTGTTTATTGTAGCTAAAATACTACAATAAGAGTTTTCTTTTTTTTAGTCAGCTTTAACTCAAGATAGTGATTTTGGCTAGGTTACAATTCTCTTGACAGAGGTTGTCAGTAGTCATTTACACCTCAGTATGAACAAATTTTAATTTACAAGGTGTCCAAGCTGGAGATGTCTGTATAGGTGACCCAGAACAACCCACTTGCTTTAGTACTGGGGACCCTTTAGTCTAGATAGGGGAGCAAAGTTTCTCAAAGTCTTAAAAAGAGTTAGAGAAAGAACCAGGATCAGAACTCGAGTCTTCTGCCTGCTAATAAATTGCTACCTTTTCAATTGTTCATGGCAAGAATTTATTCATTTTATTTATTATTTTTAAAGCAGGCAGGTGCTAGAGCCTGAGACAGGAAGATGGCTGGGAAGAGAAAAACGTAGTAAAGTATGCTACCACCACTTTTCAGGCTTTCTTGCATTTTGGGAACTGTGAAGATAGGTATGTCCTATATGATTGCAGGATTGAAGCCAGGCTCTTCACTGGAAGAGCAAATGAGATGCTCTTGAGTCCATGGAATAGCTAGTTGAGAGGTGGATGGTGGCAGATGCAGGACCCTGGGCAAATTACTTAATCACTCTGAGCCTCAGTGACTTCATCAGTAAAATAGGAACATTCTTATAATCCACTTATCCAGGACTCATCAAGTGATGGTGAAGAGATCTTGACAGCTCCAAGGCTTCACTGACGAGGCATTAGGACTTCAGCCCCAAGAGAATCTTCCCCAGCTTGGAGGAGCCCTCAAATTGGGAATGTCCCCTACAGCCTCATAAATAAGCGTGTGTGTGTGTGTGTGTGTGTGTGTGTGTGTTGCCTCAGAAATAAGCATATGGGTGTGTGTTTTGCTCTTGGACTCTGAGTCTCGCCACTGTGTCTGCACTGAAACTCCAGTATCTGACCAGGGATGCTGCAGCCCAGCATCCCAAAAGCCACCACCCATGTATGCAGGGCAAGGATGCCCTCTTCCCAATTCTTTACCTCATCTTGTCACCTGAACCCCAGTACAATATTCCTTGTGCCCCACACTTCATCCAGTCCCTCGGAGAACAGCTCAGGTGGTAGCTGGGTCTGCCCTTCTCCCCACTGGGGCCCTAATCTTTCCGAAGATGTGGTGGGTGCTGGACATCATGCTATCCTCTGCTGCCTTATCTTTCCCCACCCTCTTAGGTTCTGCCCACACAGAGTCCCTCTTTTCTCAGACAATTACAATGAGGTCTCCAGCAGTATGGTGTGCTGGAGAGTGTGGCTCAGGAGCCAGGCTGCTTGGGTTTGAGACTCACCCATGTCTGCCACACACTAGCTTTGTGATCTTGGGCAGGCCGTGTAACCTCTCTCTGACTCAGCTCCTTTATCTATAAAAAGGAGATGACAGTAATACCTGTCTGGTTCAGATTAAATGAGTGAGTAGAATCTAGCATGCAGTGAGTGGTCAATAAATGTGCATAAACATACAAATATATGCATTCTGTAAAGAAGTGTGCCTTTCACTCTACCTACCAGGAACCTCTGAATTTGGCTATGATTATTTGTTCAGTGTCCTATACTCTGCAAGTCTTGGGACAATATTACCATCTCTCGTCAGTGGATGTAAAACTAGTAGGCTGAAGGGCTCTTCTTAACACTGGGCAGTGAAGCATTTAGCTATTTCCCAAAGGTTATGAGATAGACTCGGGAAGAGGGGTGCAATGTTCTGGCAAATGAAAGTACAAGGATCATGTCTTAGGTTGACTTTCCTGTGAAGTAGATTCTGGGATAGAGATTGGCTTGCAGAATATTTACTGGTAAATGCTATGGGGGAGGAAAAAGGAGCGGGCAAAGGGAGAAGCTGAACTGTGTTGCAAGCCAAGTGAAAGCCTCATCTGACCCACAGAGCACTCTAGATCTTGGTGGCCCTTTAGAGTTGTCCTGAGTTACGGTGAGGGCGATAGGTCTTCCTTCCCCAGTCATTGGATGCAGACTGTCCCTGGGAAGGGGCCATGACCTAGGACAAGACAAGCCCTCTTCAGCAGAAGGCGGTTTCAGAAAGAACTGCCAGCTAAGTGCCATCTTCCACCAACACATCCAACAGCTGATGGAATAAGTCCTTCCTTCCTGAGGAGGATCAGTGTGGCTCAGCGTGGCCCCCATGACAGACCAGGACAAAGAAATTACAACAGGATCATATCTGGGGGCCTCTTACTAACCATCCTTGCAAGCTGACTAGACTCAAATTCCTCAGCAGGGCATATGCCTATCTTTATAATTGACTTTGGCCTGTTCATATCCTGCCACATCATTCCTTCTTCCTTAGGCACTCATTCTTTCACCCTCCAAGAACTTCTTATGGATCCTATCATGTCCTTCCCTCTTTCTGTGTCATTGCATATGTTGCTCCCTCTTCCTGGAATACCCTTCGATCCCTTCTTTTCATTACTGGGAAACATCCTCATTCTTCAGATCCAGATCAAATATTACCTCTTCTTGTGTTCCATCCCATTTTGTATGTATCTTTAACGTTCATCCATTCGTCCATTCAATCATTCAACATATATTTGTTGTATATCTAGAACGTGCCAGGCTCTGTGCTACCACTTCCCATGGTCCTGCTAGTAAAGGCAAGGGCCATTTTGATTCATCTTTGTGCTGTGAACATCTAGTCTAATGGCTATCACAGAATAGGTGCTTTCAAATTCTTGTCTAATAAATTCTTGTCCAATAAAAGAAACGCAGTGGATTCAGAGTTAGGTCAGATGAACCCCCAGTGTCCTTTCCAGCTAGAATCATGTGTGGATTTGCAATTCTTAGACTGACAGGGGATATAGGGATCATGCTTCATGTGACATTATTGAGCACCTCCCAAGTTCCAGGCACTCTGCAATGCCCTGGAGATGCAGCGATATCCCTGATCTCAGACAGTTTAGATTTTGATGGGACACAGACATATTCATGCATAGAGTATCACCTGAATACCAGATAGGATGTGCTCAGTGCCTAAGGAGAGGGGCAGAGAGAATGCCTGTGATTTGGGGGAAGGGCAAAGCCACATCCTCCTGGTGAAGGAGGAATCAGAGAAGGTCCCATGGATGAGAGGTAAGTGAGCTGATGCTTGAAGCATGGGCAGGATATGGAGATGGAGGCATAAAGTCCCCGGGAATCAGTTGTGGGAAGGGGAAATAATCTACTTTGGTAATAATAACATTTAAATTCATTTTCCCCTTTCACATAAAACTGACCTTTGCCTTTAATATAATCTGGCAACACCTCTTGAAATATATTTTCATGGCATATGGTTTTGGGAGGCCATTAATATGTGATATTCTTCAAAAAATAAAAAGTTCTATGGACAAGTAGGACTTTGGGCTAAAAAAAGTTGAGCAAGTCTCTCCACTGCAGGCCTTTTCATAGCCTTTAATGTCGCTGATGGGGAGACAGGGCAGGGAAGCATTCCCTAAACTTATGGACATCACAATCATTCTGTTCTCAGCCTAGCATTTCTGAAAGAGTGTTCCAAGGAGCAATCTGGCCTCCCTTTCTGCAGTGTCAGCTGAGGGGCTGCTGAGAATCAGGGAGAAGGCCATTTGTAGGGAGAAGGGCACAGGCTCCAGGTCTTATTCCCCCAGGCTGACACTGTAAGGAGGGTGAAGGAAGTCGACATTTGAATTCCTGCTTTGTGCTTCGTGCCATGTCTCTTGCAGATGATGGTGTGTCACTTAACTCCCTGACGCAGATATTCTATTTCATGGAATACAAGATTCAGAGAGGCAAATGGACTTTCCCAAGGTCACACAGGTTGGAAACGGCAGGGTTGGGGTTTGGACCAGGCCCATACACCTCCGGTGTCCATGCTTTTGCCTTTAGTATACACCCACATGACAACTCAAGGTTTCTTCTGACAAAAACTTCCAAGACCTTTGAAGCAAACCTTTGCTGAGCTCTCTGTATGGCCCCAGGGTCCCAATTCCTTTCCCCACTGATGGGAGCCCAGCTTCCAAGGGTCTTCTTTAGTTTAGCTTTCAAGACTCTTCCAATCCCATGGACTCAGAATGACTGTGCAGGACAAAGGAATTTGTACCCCAAACTGCCCTTGACTCCCTCTGCCCCTCCATCATGCCTCATCCCCCACCACCAAGGAGGAGAAATGCCTTCATTACGGAAGGGCCATCCCAGCCTCACCTTATTACCCATGCCTAGGGTGGAGGGTTCCTATTTCGGGGGAAGGGAGAGCAGACACACTGAATTACTAGGTGGAATAAAGCTCCTTTTGGCTAGAAACGGAGTTTTTTTTTTTTTTTTTTTGCAGAAGTCCTTCCTTGATTTTTGCACTGTCAGAGGCTGTTTTCATATTTTATGTTTTCTGGTCTTTTAGCATTCTGCCTGGTTTGCTCTCACACTTTAGTGGGCAATTTTCAAACATTACACCTCAGTCGTGGCAGACTTTGGGGGCTAGGGAGGTCAAGACTTCCAGGCTGTGATGGATGTAGAATTGAAGGAATGGGTGCTAGGGCTAAGGAGAGCTTGGGAGCTGCACAACCCCACCTGCTTCAAGAAGCCTTCCCTGATTGCATCCGAAGCTGGAATTCAGCTCTCTCTGCTCTGCAACCTACAGAACTCCTCTCAGGGAGGCAGTCTGGTCCAGTGGTTAGGTTCATGACTCCATAGCCTCACTGCAGGCCACTTACTTGCTGTGAGACCTTGGCCAAGGCCCTTAACCCCTCTGTGCTTTCATTCCTTTATCCTGTAATGAGGGAAGTAAGTGTACTCACATTAATATTAGGGTTGCTGTGAGCCGTGAGTTGTTACATGTAAAGCACCAAGAACATGCTCAGCACATAGTAAGTGCTCAGTAAATGTCAGTTAACACAATCCTAACAGCTTCTATTTATTGAGCACTTGCTATGTTTTATGGATCTCAACTTGTTTAATTCCTGTAAACAATACTGAGTCTTGGTGTTGACCTCATTTGACAGATGAGGAAAGTGAGTCTCAAGGAAGTTGAGTGACTTCCTTGACATCACACAGCAGGGCAGAGGGGACTGGGGACTGAACATAGTTCTGTTGAACTTCAGTGTCAAAGCACCTTGCACTTCCTAGTTTGTATTAAAGATATTTGAGCAAATGCTTTCTGTCCCCTATGACAATTTCAGTCTCTAAAGAGAAGAATCCTATGCCAGTTCACATTTGTAACCCCCATAGCATGTAGCACAGAGCATTGCTCTATAGATATTTGTAGAATAAGTGAATGATATCAGGGAAAAAATGAAGATCGCATATATTGAGTCCCTACTGTGTGCTAGATATGTTGCCATGCATCTCTTTAAAGTCTCACAGGAAGGTATTATCTTTGTTTTACAGCTGAGAAAGCACCAGAGGACTTTCTTAGTTCCAAAGTTAAGAAAGGAGATTTGATGCCAGATGACCTTTTTAATGGCCTTTGCAAAGATACACTTAGAATAAAATGGAATTTTAATGCTGAAAGGAACTGCAGAGAGGCAAAGCTAATGCACTTCACCACCACTGTCTAGTGGAAGGCAGTGCAAAGGCAAGAACAGAGGCGTGGGAATTGAACAAAACTTTTCCCAACCTTGGCTCTAACACTTTCTGATAAATGACATTGAGCTAGCTCCTTGACAGCTTTGAGCTGCCATAAAAAGCTGTGGGATGAGAGTATTCTGAGAAGAACGCACAGCCCATGAAAGGGCCTGGGGATGGGAGAACCTGATACTGGAAAGACAGGCAGGTCAGGGAGGCTGCAATGGGAGAAAATGGGAGTGAGTGGAAAGAGTGAGATTGCACAGGGGCATGGGCCAGGTTGTTTAGCACCCTGTGGACCTCAGCAAGGCATGCAGATTTCATTCAGGATGCTACAGTTAAGTCATTCAAGAGTTCTAAGGCAAGTCAGGAAATTGTGATAATTTTCCAGGTAAGGGCTGGTTGTGGCTTGGAAAAGAGAAATAATGACAAATGGTTGGATTCAGCCAATATGGTGGGGATAGAGCCAAGAAAACTACTCTTGGGTTGGATATGGAGTCTAAGGACAAGAAAACAATTTAAGATAACTTCAAGGTGTTGGGCTTGGGAAACTGAGTGGACAGTGCTACCTTTATTAATATGGGAACAACTTGGGGTGGCGGGAGTGTGTAGGAATTGAGTTCTGATCTAAGCATGTTACATTTTAGATGCCTATTAGATATCTAGTTGGAGACGCTGGAAGGGCAGTGAATTAGGAAAACATCCTGTAATGTACATGAGAGTCATTAACATATACAAAGATCAGGTGAAGACATGGGAGTGGTGGAGATTCCAGAGAGTGGGGCTCACAAAAAGGGTGGGGAAGAATCCTAGGGCCAGGCAGCATTCTGAGGTTGGGCCGAGTGTGGGAGCCAGCAGAGGAGGCTGAGCATGTACGGCCAGGGAGGTGAGAGGAACACAGTGAGGGTGAGGTGCCAAGGATTTCTAGAGAAGAAAATATCTCAAGCAATGGGAGTGAACCTACAAAATATCAAGAGGAAGACAGATAACTCACTACTGGTTTGGCTGGAGGTGGGCCAGAGATGACTTTGATAAGAGTCATCTCAATGGAGGCGGGGGTATAAGCCTGATTGGAGTGGGGTAAAATTAGAGAGGGAGGTAAGAAAGTGGGCATAACAAGGATAGGCTGGGCTTCCAGGTAACTTACTGAGAAATGGGATAATAGCAGGAAGTGGCTATGGAGTCATAGGATTTTATGAAGCTAGGTGGTATTATGACACATGTATGCCATTGTAGGAAGAATGAATCCATATTCAGTAAAAACAATTACCACCCAGTGCACAAAACAGTAAGTGCTTGAAAAATGAGGGTTATTATTACCATTCAACATATCTCGATTAAGCATCATTGTGCTCTGGAAGTTGCCATTGTGGTAATCATTAGTGCTGTTCACCAATACTTGAAAGTCTGCACTTTTTGGCTCCCTGGTGCAGTCATGAGACCAGCCAAAAGAGTTGTGCATGGAAGCAATGTGTGACATGCTCCCACTGGAATATTTTATTGCCAGCATGTGATCCTCCAGAACTCTGCTCTCCTGGTGTGTGATTGTGGAAGCACACATCAAAGCAGAACTTTCATCAGCTTGGGCTACAACGAGCAGTCTCCTGATGACAGAGCCATGCACTATGAATGAGACATAAACCATTTTTTCTGTTAAACCCTTGCATTTTTGGTGATGCTTGTCTCTGTGGCATATCCTTGACTCTCCTGACTGAATCGGCAGTGATAATCAGTGAGCCAGACGGAGACATCTTTTCAGTAATGCTCACTGCCCAACTTCAGGCATTATTAGTGTTACTGAGGGGAGGTGAGGACCTGTGGGAATGGAAGGCAGGGGCCTTAATCCCCACTGAGGATCCAGGTGACTTAGACCCAGAACTGAACCCAGGTCTATTGGACTCAAATGTCTGACCCCTGAGGAGGGGATATTTAGGCTGAGACTTGAGGGGTGAGTGGCAGTTAGCCAGGTGAGGGAGAAGCTGAGCTGAGAGAGAAGCTGGACAGAGGGAATCCATGTGTTTGAAACTTAAGAGACAAAGCTCCATTCAGAGATGGAAAGAAGTCTGGACCAAAGTCTGGTTCAATTCAGAGATGAAAAGAAGACTATGTCTGCAGTGTGTAAAGAGTGAGAGAGGAACATGAGGCGAGTGTGTAGACACAGGCAGGACTAAGGTAGTAGAGGGCTTTGCCATTTTATGCATTTTAGACTTTATCCTCATGTCAGAACTGGGTCTAGGATCTCATTTTCTTCACTCCCAGTGTTATGGGCCAAATTGTGTCCTCCCAAAATTTATATGTTGAAGTTCTCTTTCCCAGTACCTAGAAGGTGACCATGTTTGGAGATAGGTTCTTTAAAGAGGTTAAGTTAAAATGCGGTCATTAGGGTGGGTTCTAATCTAATTTGACTAGTGTCCTTATACAAAGAGGAGATTCTTCTTAACTGCCACTTACCCTACAAGTCTCAGCCTAAACAGGGGTTGGACACTGGAGTCCAATAGTCTTGTGTTCAGTTCTGGGTCTAAGTCATCTGAATCTTCAGTGTAGATTAGGACCCCTACCATTCATCACACACAGCAGGAAGACCACATGAAGACACAGGGAGAGGATAACCATCTATAAACCAAGGAGAAAGGCCTCAGAATGAAACCAATTATGCCAACGCCTTGATTTTGTACTTTTAGCCCCAAAACTGTGAAAAAGTAAATTTATGTTGCTTAAGACACTCAGCCTACGGTACTTTTTCATGGCAGCCATAGCAAACTAAGGCACACAGCCTCTGCTACCTTTCTAAGTTAAATCAAGGAGCTATCTGGAGCTGAGACCTTCAATAGGAAGCACTCTCAGAGCCAACCCACAAAAGGCTTCAAGGTCTCTGGCATGGGGAGGAGAAGGAGCCTTAGAACTTTATGGCAACTGAAAGAATGCTGATGTTTCACCTTCATGGGCTGTTTAGAACCTACGCTCATGTTCTTAGGAGTTGCCACCAAAACTATGGTGGTAGAAAGTCAGACATTGTCATGCCCAGTCTAGTCTGGCAGTGCATGGCAAGCATTTGAAATTCACCCTCCTTCTCTCTGGAATTCTGAGGGAAGTTAGTACAAAGATCAATAGACAAATGAGAAGTCGAGTTTGACTTTTTTTAAAGTGAAGTGATTCTTCATAACCTGGTGCAAAGCACTGGTAAAAACTGAAGAACGTGGAAGAGGTCCTCACACAGGAGGCTTGAGGAAGCTTTTCTCCAGTTGCCCTGGATCTCTATTTCTGTCATACTTCATTATCTGCATCCAGAAAATTGATGACTGGGGTTAGGGTTAGGGAAGAAAGACCAGTTGGAAGCATAAGACACATGAGCACATTTCCCCTAAAGTGTGGATGTGCTAAGCTGGTCCAACTGCCTAGCCCTTGCCTGGGGCAGTAACCCTGGCCAGGCTGCCAACATGGAAGAAAAGGCCACAGTAAGGAGGTGACTGGGGATTGAGTGCTTTTCAGAGCCTTGGTGCTTTCAGCAGTTCATGAAGCAGGAAATAAGATTAAATAGGAAATAGGCCTTCTGCATGTGAATGCAAGTGAAATATTGGAGAAGAGGGCAGGCTTTTCACATGCTGGGACCTATGCCAGTCATTAGTGAAACATGGTCCAGAACTTCAGGTCCTGCCACTCAGATGAATGCGTCAGTCCTCCTTTGGGTTGAGTTAGCAAAGGGTGGCAGGGAGCCTATTCATGCTCCTTCATTACGGGCCATGGCAGCCTAGGCTGATGTCCTGTCCATGACATAACTGACCTGTCAAGGTTACAGAGAGAATGTGACATCCCCCTTTCTGAATAAACATGCTCAAGATCCACTCTCCTACTGACCCCCTCTTTTCTATCTCTATTGCCATTAACTTCCATGCCCAAGTCCAAAATGATGGTGGGAAGATGGGCCCTGGGCTGTGAGGGCTGGTTAGGTAACTGCTCCACTTACATGTTGTGCTCCCACCTCAAGGCCTGGATGAGAGAGGTGTGAAATCTAGCAGCGCATTTCAAGCCCACATGATTCAAAATATGTTTCCTATTTTTAAATTGGGTTTATTTATATATTCAACAGTTACTTTTTATAAATAGAAATAGAATAGCAATGAAAATCTTCTTCTCTTTTTATATCTTCACAGATTCCTTAAAGTTATGGCCCTGGATTCTCCCATTTCAATGGCATTGCTCTGGCCAACGGGTCAGATGGGGCAGTGCATTTGCCTTTTCCTAGGCCTATGGCACAGTTGCTAGTTATACTTTCAGCCCATGGAGATCATGTTGGCTTTGAGAAATTTCTCTTGTGAAAAGTCGTACTAAGTTTATATTCTTTGAACTTGAGAAGGTGAGGAGTGAGGACTTGGATCGGATCAGCATTCTACTCACTCACGGTTAATGCAATGTCCCATTCAATGTCAATTGCAGCATCACTGCTAAAGTCTCTCAGGGAGGCCAGGTGTGGTAACTCACACCTGTAATCCCAACACTTTGGGAGGCCGAGGCGGGCAGATCACTTGAGCCTGGGAGTTCATGACCAGCGTGGCCAACATGGTGAAACCCCATCACTACTAAAAATACAAAAATTAGCTGGACATGGTGGTGGGCTCCTGTAATCCCAGCCACTCAGGAGGCTGAGGCAGGAGAATCGCTTGAACCCAGGAGGTGGAGGTTGCAGTGAGCCAAGATCACACCATTGCATTCCAGCCTGGGAGGCAGAGTGAGACTCCGTTTCAAAAAAAAAAAAAGGTCTCTCAGGGAATTTCATGCACTGAGCTCCCACAGGGCCCAATGTTACCAAGGCAGGCCAGATCCAGACTCCATGGGCCTTACATTCTGTGTATCACGGATCTACCCAGGAATGTGGACTCAGCCATTCAATGTCATTAAAGTCAAAGACATTCTATCCTATCCTGTTACTGTGAAAGAAATTGAAGACACACAATAAGAGCATTTGACTTGGTGCATATCAGGGATTTATTCAACAAGTCCGAACTCTGTGCCAGGAGAGCAGTACAGTGTGGAACTAGAGTTGAGGCTTTGGAATCGGTCCTGTGTTTGGAGACTGGACTCACCACAAATGGGTTGAGTAAACATTGGCAAGCTGTTTCACTTCTTTGAACTCCAGTTTGCTCATCTCTGAAAGGGGACACAAAAATGCTAGCTTTGTTGCATTGTTTCTAATATGAAATAAGGAAGTATAAGCAGGGTGGCTTGTGCTCAATAAATGTTGGCCTTGTCTCCTTGTACTTCCATCAGCACCATGCTGGGAAGTGCATTAGAACAACTATCTTGAAGGAGCTCACAGTGTGGACATAAGTTGTGGGAGGTCAGGTACAAGTTTTCTCTAGTTCTCTGTTGTATCCTTAGGTCTCAGCACTATATGTGTCCCACAGTCCACACTTGACAAGTATTTGTTGCTTACCAACTCAATATACATGGATTTCAGGAACATAAATCTGAGGCAGAACATGATCCACCTCTTGGGAGTAGTCAGGACAGCAAATGGCAGTGACTGCATTCGTACTGGAGTTTTGATGATGACCAGGATCTAGGAAGAGGGAACAGCATTACAAAGACGCAGATGGCAAGGAACAGCACACTGAGTGATAATGTTGGGGCATAAAGTAAAAGGTGACAGAGAAGGGGTGATGGGAGATGAGGCTGGAGCAGTAGGCAGGGGCCAGGGCATCGAGGACTTTGAACTTGACTCTGTGCATTTCAAGCCCACATGATTGAAATCATTCAGTGGTTCTGTGGGAACCACTGAAGGGCTTTGTTCAGAGGTGTAGCGTGGTCATACTTGCATTTTGGAAAGATCACCTGGGATGAATGGGGAGACACAAAAGTAGAGGCAAGGAAACCAGTTAGGAGACTGTTGCCATGAGCTTGGGAGGCAGTAACCATTAAGATCATGACGATGTGCAAGGAAGGGAATATCTAAGGGTAGTTGAAGCTGTGCAGATTATAGGACTCAGTTGTCACTTGGTGGCTGGTGCAAGTCCTGGGGCCTACAACCTACTTGGAAACAAAAGGGTAACCTTTGGATTCTATCCCCACTCAGTAGGATGGGAGGCCTCTTGCATTTCCTAATGAGGGCGGGGTAACGCACTGCCCTGCTGGAGGTTCCTTCCCAGAGGTGTCTGTTAAGGGCAGAGGGATCGCTGTGCCATCTCTTTATTCACCAGGGCTGTCAATCTGGAAAACAAAGGTGTTGTCAAACTGCCTTATTGAGAAGTAGTTTAAATTAACCTTGACAGGTAGATTAATAAATAATAAGGCCTGAATAGCTTATAAAAAAATCAATTACACTATAAATTTTAGAAGAGCACGTGCTCAGCTCCAACCTAGTGAAGCTGCAGCATTCTTGAACCAAATGTGCCCAAACTCAATTCCAGGCAATTTTATTTTTTGGGAGATTAGACAGGATGCATTCAGTGGGGCAGATTACTGTACATTCTGGAATGGCTAAGGGATATTTAGTGGGTGAGGATGATTTGTAGAAAACAAGATAATTTACTCTCATTCGCCTACCTGTAATGTGTAGCACGTGATTCTGGCATGTCTCTCTTTGCATAATAATTCTGCTTTGCCTGGGCTGGAAGGAACCCAAGGGTCATGTGACCTAGTAATTCTCAAACCTTCCAGACTAATATTTTGTGATGCTACCTTTATTATCCTGAAATGGGATTCATAAATTATATAACCCACCTAGACATCTCATTTTAAAAATCTATATAATGCCCAAACTGCAAAGTCAATGAAAAATAAAAAGCAAAGTAATTTATAATAAAATAATATGTATGTTGATAAGTGAATGAGTGGATGTGACTAGACTGGAAGACATAATAGCAGACAGATGATTGCTTGATAGTTACTGAAATGGATGTGTGGAATTGGCCACCCAAATACACGAACAGCATGGCCTTTCGAGTTGTAATTTTCTGAAACAGTAGCTATCTGAACAAACAAGCACAATTTCTTCTGGATTTGCATGATACCGGCATCCAGGAAAATTCAGTGTATATACATGTATGTTACAATCATGCAAAAATGCTTTCTCTATGTGTGAAATGGAACTAGGATCTAGACCCAGATAATTACAACGTAGACTTTTCATTTATATGTCAGGTGAAACATCCCAAAATTGAGTGGGGTGTGGTCGAGTTCTTCATTGGCTCGGTCTTCTCTTTTGCCGCAGGCTGTCTAGCATCCAAACTCCAGTGGAATCCCTTCTATCTGTTGTGACAACCAAAACTGCCCTGGAACTATCTAAATCATTCTTTAGAGGTACAGTTGCCCATACTGAGATCAATAGTTCTTATTTAACCTCCTCATGGTTTGGATGGAGATACAAAAAGCCACGAAGGGGAAGAACTTGTTCCTGGTAAAGGGAGGTTGGAACCCAGGTCTCATGTCTGCTGGCTCAGTGCTGTCCCACTGGCCTGACTCTCCTGCAAAGTTGGTCCTCCTGCAAATGTCTTCGAAAGCTGGTCTATAGAGAGATCCTTTTGTTCAATGGAGGTTCAGCCCTTAACCTGGCCAGTGTGAATTCTGGGCTTCTGTACTGTGTGTATATTCTTAAAGTGAGATGCATCTGCAGTTTAACATTTTTTGTGCCTATTTTCTAATCATTCTCAGCAAAGGTGTGTAAAGGACTGAGGATAACACTGTATGCCTTGTGATCTACAGAGCATTGGAAACACTTTCTGCATCAACATTTCTTCCCACCGACTGGCTAGGATGCCTAGAATTTCCCCATACCTTTGAGTAAAGCCATTTAAAGTTTCCTTTAAAATGCAAACACTTTTGATTTACTCACATGAATTCTTCAGTGACCTCTTAGGTCCTCAGTTGCTTTATCTATATAATAGGGATAACACACCTACTTCATAACTGTTATGAAGATTAAATGTGATTAATGAATAAAATTAAAACACTTGTGATAGAGTAAGTGGCAAAACCTTGTTTATCTTCCGACCTCTTCACAAAGAGGTCTGGTGGGTATAAGGCGCACATACTGCTACTCATTCCCACCAATCTCAAGGCAGACATCACCAATTTATTTCAGCACTCTTATGCATGGACACCAACACGGCCTTGGGTAACTTCTCGGATTAGAACTCCAGGCAGCCAAGACTAATTGGAATCAGCACAGGAATTGAAAGCTTTCTTTATCTTTGCTTTAGCTAATTGCTGGACATTAACTCCCTTTATGTTAATGAGAGATGAGATAATCCCTCAGCTACCAGAGCCTGGAGGGACAGAGAAAGTTTTATGGAGAAGCAAAAGATGACAGAGAAAGAAGAAGGGAAGGTACATCAGAATGTCCAAGAACAGGGCACTGAGCTGCTGGCACACAGCATAAGCCCTGCCTTCAGAAGTTAATAAGCCACACGCAAGGCACCTAGCATGCGCCTGTCACACATGGGTGCTCAATATCCAATGGTCCTCTTCCTGCTTGTTTGCTTCCCTCACTGTTTGGTCAGGTCTCCGAACTAAGGCACCTTGCTGCCATATTGCCCATAGAGTTCAACCCAACTTTAATGATAATCAAGAACCATTGGGCTGAGCGCGGTGGCTGGGTGTAATCCCAGCAC
The DNA here is from genome assembly GCF_000001405.40 of Homo sapiens. NCBI lineage: Eukaryota > Metazoa > Chordata > Mammalia > Primates > Hominidae > Homo > Homo sapiens. The sequence continues at coordinate 119,970,675 of NC_000009.12, read as the reverse complement.
TTTGGGAGGCCAAGGCGGGCGGATCACGAGGTCAGGAGATGGAGACCATCCTGGCTAACATGGTGAAACCCCTTCTCAACTAAAAAAAAAAAAAAAAAGCCAGGGGTGGTGGCGGGTGCTTGTAGTCCTAGCTACTCGGGAGGCTGAGGCAGGAGAATGGCATGAACCCGGGAGGTGGAGCTTGCATTGAGCCGAGATTGTGCCACTGCACTCCAGCCTGGGCGACAGAGTGGAGACTCTGTCTCAAAAAACAAAAAAAACAAAACAAAAAAAAACAAAAACAGAATCATTGGCCAGGTGTGGTGGCTCACACTTGTAATCCCAGCACTTTGGGAGGCCGAGGTGGGTGGGTCACAAGGTCAGGAGATCGAGACCATCCTGGTCAACATGGTGAAACCCCATCTCTACTAAAAATACAAAAAATTAGATGGGCGTGGTGGCGTGTGCCTGTAATCCCAGCTACTCGGGAGGCCGAGGCAGGAGAATCGCTTGAACTAGGGAGTCGGAGGTTCCAGTGAGCCGAGATCGTGCCACTGCACTCCAGCCTGGCAACAGAGTGAGACTCCATCTAAAAAAATAAAATAAAATAAAATAAAATAAACCATTAACATTTACCAAGCATTTATCACGAGCATTTATCACGTATCAGAAATCCTTCTCAGTACTTTCTATAGATTATGTTAACTTAGCCTCCTAATATCCTCGTGAGGTGGATACTATGATATTTCCCATTTTACAGATAAATAACAAAGGGCCCAGAGAAGTTAAGTTATGCTCCAGCTAGCCAGTAGTGGAGCTGGGATCTGAACCTATAGGCTTCTGCTGTTGAGGACAGTGGGATCATGCTGCCTTCCTGCACCACTGTGAGCCTGGCCCTGTGCCGGTGATAGGAGGTGAAGGGCATAGTCCTTGACATCAAGGGGCTTTTGTTCTGGCAGTAGAGGCTGGTGGTGAGCCATCCTTGGAAGGTTTCTGGGGGTGACTGGTCAGAAAAGGAGGAGCTGCGGTCAAGCAGGTGAGGTGTTGGAGGCTGAGATCCGGGTGTCAATGTTCAAAGTTTGAATTTGTACTCTATTGAGGCAAGGGGTAACCCAGGGGTATAAGAACTGAAGACACTAGAAATACTGCATTCTCTATTTCTAAAAGTCAAAGACTGTGTGATTCTAAGACTCCACCCCTATAGCTTAGAGAGTTAATTTTTCTATAATTTCATAATTCCTACATGCTAGAATTAAAAGGTTCTATGATCTCACATTTCATTTTATTATAGAATCCACCCACAGAGCCAGAAGCAGGCTTCCCCGCATCCCCTTTGGTTATGTTTGGGAATCACTGCGGCTTTCCTTGCCTTCTGGCTGTTGCCGCTGTTGCCCTCTAGATGGCGCCCAGCCTTCTGAGCAATAGTGCAGGACACCGGCCCGGAGACTGCACAGCTCCAGAGAGCTTCGAGGGCCAAGTCTGCAGTTTGGTTGCTTCCTCCTGAAATCAACGTGGGAGTCTTAAAAGCACGGGGAGAATAGTCTACTCAGCAGGGAGCATTTCGGGATGATGCAGCCATTCATAGGAAGCATGGAGAGGCTTGGTAAGTGTCATGCCAAACAAGCACCCTGAAAGAGGATTGTCATCACTGCTTTGCAAATGAGGAAGCTGAGGCGCGGAGCGGTGAGGTAACTTGGTTCAGGCCCCAGAGTTAGTAAATGGTAGAGCAGGTCTCAAGCCCACCTCTCTTCTAGTCCGGCTTTTCACTGCAGAGGCTGCCTCCAGAAGGACACTAGGAAAGGAGTGGGGAACATAACATGGCCCCTGGCAGCCAGTGCTGTGGTGCGGAGGGCCCATGGGTCCTAAGGGCCCAGAGGAGGCAGCCCCCCTGTGGCCCCAGCTCACCAGGGGGGCTCACTAGGACCACTGCAACTTCTTCTCCAGGAGTCTTCCTGCCTTCTGGCAGTTCCTCCTCTGCACCAGTTGGCGACCTCTTTGTGATGCAATCTGACCACTTCACTCGTTCCTTAGAATCCTTCAGCAGCTTCCCATTGCCTATGCATTTCAAAATGTCTGCCTTGAAATTTAAGCCTCTATGGTCATGGACCCCCCCATATCTGCAACCTCTTTTCATACACTTTATCTACTCTTCAACCATGATCAGCTTTTGGCTTCCTCCTTTGCTTTAAGGACCCTTGTGATTATATATTAGACCCACCTGAATAATTGAGGCTAATCTGCCCATTTCAGAGCCAGCTGACTGGCAACCCTGATTCCATCTGCAACCTTAATCCCCACTTCCTGTGGAAGGCAATGTATTCACAGCTTCTGGTGATTAAGACTTGGACATCTCTAGGAGGACATTATTATGCCTAGCACCTGTTCCATGTTCTCTCTGGCCTGCATACTTTTGCCTAAAATGCCATTTCCCCCTTCCACAACTGGAAAACTCCTATTCTTTCTTAAGGATTTAGCTCCAGTGTTGCCTCCCTTGTGAATTCTCTCCTGAGAGCAGTTAGATGCTCCTCCCTCTTTTGGGTTCCTACATTACCTTGTGTGTGCGTGTGCACGTGTGCGTGCATGTGTATAACACTTCTCAGACTGTAATTTTACTATTTGTTCTCTTGATCGTGAGCTCCCGACAAGAGTAACCTGATTTACTCAGCTCTGTTTACTCAGTACCTGTTTACTGCCTGATACAGTGTTTGTGTTCAAGAAAAGTTTATTGAGTAGGAGAATGAATATAGTGAAAGCTGGAAGTTGGGAAGCCTGCTATATTTTAATTTAATTTTTCAATTTTAATTACGAATTTTGGACATCCCCTTTCTGGGACTCAGTTCTCCCACCCTGTAGAATTCATGTCAGGAATTAGAGGAACTTGGTCTCAGTTATGATTAGGCACAGCTGAGAGTGCTTACAGAGTAGCTTAAATGGGGTGAAAGCTTATTTCTTGTTCACTTGAAAGTCCACGGCTGCTAGTGGCTGGACTTGTTGCCCATGAAAGAAACCAGGAAGAGCAATTCTAAAGAGATGTCCAATAACAAAGTATCATTCTTCTAGCATTGAAGTCATCAGCCTGGTGGCTGAGATCTTTCCAAGTTTCCAGATCTTTTACCTGAGGTGGTGTGGAGGCAAGGGATGATTAGATTGACAACTAATCTCAACCCTTACCTGCCACTTACCTCCCAATCAAGTGGTGGTCATACCATTGGTCATGTGATAGCACCCAGCTCTTTCCAATTCATCCCTCCACCATCTCTATGATGTGCCCTTTGACTTCAAGGTCCAAGGAGAAACTCTAGCCATCATATCCATGTTTGTCACAGAATTATGGAGGAAGGCAGGGAGGAAAGGGCAGACGATACCCAACAAACAACTGTATCTTCAGAGAGGTTTGTGAAAGTTTCCACTCAACACCTGTGTTTGCGTCCATTCACTAGAATTAAGTCACATGGCCACACCTAGCTGCAAGGGAAGCTGAAGAATGTACCCTCTATTCTGGGCAGCTAGATTCTGTTGTTATGAAACAAGGGGAGCATGGATATTAGGGGGCCCTCTAGCAGCCTCTGCCGTAAGCTGTAATTTTCCAAGGATTAAGAAGGTGAAGAGGGGCATGCTGGCATCTTTGATGTATCATGACTCATCCTAAAGAAGTTTAGTAGTAACAGGAATGCAGTGAATCTGGAGGAAGGCAAAGGCCTTTACCTTAAGGCTGGGTGACTTTGATTGGACAGCTATTTGCATATCTACCTTTCTTCCATCCTCTCCATCTTAGCTAATTGATCTGGGATACAGCACTTGCATTAAAAAACTGAGTTTACCGATCTCGGAGCTAGTTACAGCCTGTAAATTGGGTCACTTTACACTCTGGCTTGTCTGGGACCATCCTGGTTTATGCCTGTTGTCCTGTGTAATGATCCAGAATGCCTCTCCCCTTCTCAGAAGTGTCCCAGTTTGAATGAAAAATTATATAGTCACTTGCCTATAAACAGTGTAGCATACTGGAAGAGAAGGGAAATAGTGATTTATATTTGACTCCCAGGAATATGAAATCTAGAATTCAGGCTTTTTTTAAGGTTTGGGCCAGTGGAAAGGTAGAGGACATGGAATCAAGATATAAGATATTGGGAATATCAGTCCTCACAGGATGAAGAGCCTCATGAGTAATAGCATCCACTGACTTTCAGAAATATATATAAGGTTCTATCCACCTGTCTCAAAAACTCTTCTTCAGCATAGCTTTTTATGACCATCCAACTGAAAGTGGCCTCCCCCACCTCCATTCCTTCTTGTTCTCTTACCTGGTTTTGCTTAATATGTAGCACTTTTCAATATTTGAACTTGTTTCTTCATCAGATTACATGTTTATTTTATGTTTCTTCCCATAGCTTCTGCCACTAAGAATCTAAACTTCCTATGATCACAGGACTTGTTATCACCTTCACTTTTGTGTCCTACTGTGTAGGACATATTATATTAATATATGATTAACCTATGGGTGGATGATTGGGTGAATGTGGGTGGTTAAGATAGTTTTTTGGAAGGTGGAAAGGTGAAAAAATCAGGAAGAGATTGGAAAGGTGGAAGGTGGCAGGTGGAAAAATCGGGAAGAGATTTAGAAGTCACTCAAAATTGGGAAGAGATTTAGAAGTCGCTAAAATTAATACTTATACAATGTTTACATAAACTTTTTCTGCATTGGACTGGGATGAGCCTTGGTGTGATCTCTAAGACACGGGATAGACCACATTGGCAACAAAATCCACAAAGGCTTTGCCAGTCAGAAGGGCCAGAGCATCATGGGGAGGTGGATTCTGGTGGTTGTAACACATGCCACTCATTTTCTGTTCTGCCAATGCTATTGCATTAGTTTCCTGGGGCTGCTATAAATAAAGTACAAACTGGGTGGCTCAAAACAACAGAAATTAATTCTTATAGTTCTGAAGGTTAGAAGTCCAAAATCAAGGTGCCTGTGGGGCCATTCTCCTCCTGAGGGCTCTAGGGGACAATCTTTCCTTGCCTCTTTCTAGCTTTGGTGGTTGCTGGCAATACTTGCTCTTCCTTGGTTGAAAACACATCACTGTAATCTCTGCCTCCATCATCATATGGCATTCTTTCTGCACATATCTCTGTGACCAAATTTTCCTCTTTTTATAAGGACACCAGTCACTGGAGTAGGGTCTACCCTACTGCAGTATAACCTCATCTTATATTGATTGCATTTGCAAAAATCCTATTTCCAAATAAGATCACATTCACAAATATCAGGGGTTAGGACTTCAACATATCTTTTTTGGGAATGCAGTTCAAGCCACAACAGCTATGGCACTGATGGGATTAAAGAGGTGTGAATCTTCCTTCTTTTTCTTGCTCATCCGCCATCCTAGTAAAGGGATCCTAAGCATTTTCAAAATCAGGCTCAATCCATTTGGCCCTGAGCAAGTGCACAGACTTTTCATTTTCTCACAGGCCCCCTCTCTGGGTTATCAATAAAAAGTAATCCTATGCTGCAAACTCTTTGCCCATAAGAGAAACCAGGAAAAGCAATTCCAAAGAGATGTCCAATAACAAAGTATCCTCATAGCATTAAAGTCATCAGTCTGGTAGCTGAGATCTCTCTAAGTTTCCAGGTCTTTTACCTGAGGTGGTGTGGAGACAGGGGGATGATTGACCTCTAAGAATCTCAGCCTTGCCTGGTGCAGTGGCTCATGCCTGTAATCCCAGCACTTTGGGAGGCTGAGGCGGGCAGATCATGAGGTCAGGAGTTCAAGACCAGCCTGGCCAACATGGTGAAACCCTGTCTCTACTAAAAATTAAAAAAAAATTAGCTGGGTATGGTGGTGCATGCCTGTAATCCCAGCAACTTGGGAGGCAGAGGCAGGAGAATTGCTTGAACTGGGGCGGTGGAGGTTGCAGTGAGCTGAGATTGTACTACTGCACTCTAGCCTGGGCGACAGAGTGAGACTTTGTCTTGGGGAAAAAAAAAAAAAAAAAAAAAAGAAAAGAAAAAAGAATCTCAGCCTTTGCGCTGCAAATTAAGTGTTGTTCATACCATTATGCATGTTATGGTCCAGAAAGAGTCTTCTTTCAGGGGAGAGAGGCAAAGACGTTGAAGAATATGGTGAGATGTCAGGTGACCCAGTTCTTCTACTGACAGAGGGGGACTGTCTCTCTGAGCCTGGATTTTCTAATCTCTAAAGTGTGCAAATGAACTTCTGTTATTTTACTCCCAAGTTTGCTCTGAAGATTGATTATGAGAATAGATATAGATAAGCTTTAATAACTTCAAAATTCTTCTCTGTATGTCAGTTGTAAATGTTAAGACAGCAGGAAAATGGCCAATGGCTTTTAAATTCTTTTTGAAGTATATTCTTGCACAATTTGTTTTTTTAGGATCTGAGGCTCAGAGAGGTTAAGTCATTATACAGAGGTAGCACAGCACTTAGTTGGCACAGGAGAATCACGCTGCCTCCTGTTTCTTCTTGGGTTTTTGGTCTTGGCTGTTTGTCCCCTCCAAGTATGACAATTGAGCTGGCATTGTGCTCTCCCCTTTAGCCCTTGTCTCCCCCACCTGCCTTCTCCCATACTCCCCTGGGAAAGTGCTGAGGACTAGCAGGAGGCTTTGCTTTCCAGGCAGCAAGGCTTTCATGAGTTAATGGGAAATCTGTTTGTGGTTTTCTTCGTCACAGCATGAGGGAGGAAGTGGCACGTCTGGAATGTGAAGCAGCCTGAGGCTGTGAGCAGGGATCCAAATGCTGCCCAGCCCGAGGGGAGGCAGCCAGGGTCTGAAGCTGCAGCCAGCAGCCCGGACCAAGGTGAATGTTCTTGGGGTCACACACCCAAGGAAGAAGATCTCAAGTCACTGACTGTGTGTGTGTTCACTGCCTTGTCTGGTTTCATCCTGACTCCTGTGATGCTTGTCTGCTTCTCCATGTGCCCACAGGTTTTAGAGTTTTCAAAACATTTTCACACTCTGTATTTCATGTAATCCTCACAATAAGCCCACAAAGAAGTTGGATTAATTCTCCCCATTTTGTAGATGGAGAAACTGAGACCCCACATGAAAAGAGACTTGCTTAGGTCACATAGGAGAGCTGGGAGCATCCAGAGCTTTCTTTGCCACACCACACCACAGATTATGCTACAGCTCCCATGGCTTTTCCGTGGGTGTCCTGCAAGCCAATCAAGAACAGGCTTCCTTGTCCTCTCACATCACCCAGCCTCGTGGCCCAGGAGCCCTGCTCTCTGGTTGGTCGCTTCACCTCTCTATCAAGATCAGTGTCCTGAGTTTCCCAGTCTGCGTTAGCCACCTCTCCCCTTCTCTCAACCAGGCACCAGCAATCTTAATTAGTTACAGATACAGAATTCTTCTCAACTTGTGTTATTCCTGCTTTTGAAACTAGAGATTAAATTGCTTGAGAACAAATTCTTATCTAATCATGTGATGAGGCATTTTCCCAATGCGCCTAGTTTAGGTCTGAGAACATGGTAGATGATCAGTAAAGATCTGGAGATGGGCAATAATAGTAATGGCTTTTTATTAAATACTTATAACAGCATGGGAGGGAGATGCTAAGATGCAAGAAAGAATCCAGCGGAGGGTGCAATGGTTAAAGGAAAGCAAAGAACTGCCTTCTTGTTGTAAATAACCTCACAAAGGTCTAAGAAAGAGCATTCAGGAAAAGCCAGGTGCCTCACTTAGGCTGTCATATTTAATCCTTAGAAGCATGTAATGAAAATGCTATTGTTCCCATTTTAGAGGGGGAAAAACTGAGTTTCAAAGAGGCTAAGCAACTTGCCCAAGGCCTTATGGGTTGAGCAGGCAGGATCAGAAGTTAGACTCAGTTCTGTTGGATTTCAAAGCATTTCCCAGAAAAATTTCCTAGGTATCAGTTTAGGAACAATGCCTTGCACATAGTAGGTGCTTAATCAATGCCTATTAACCAATGTTGACCTTTATAGTCATTCTTAGAGAGACTTGACAGCTGGTGGAACCAGGTTTATTCGTGTTTATACTCCCAGCTCCTGACACATACTGAGCCCTCCATAAACTCAAGCTGTAGCTGAGGAAGCCTAGACTCCAGGAAAAAGCTACAGATGGTGTGGCCCAGGCTTGGACCCAATGCCCACCCTCTTTGTCCTGCAGGGTGCTGCCACAGATTTATAGAAAGAGATGGAGCTGAGAAGATGGTACCTGTGGACACAGGGGGTTGGGAGGCAGGACTGTATTTCATCTCAGCATTTATATTTCCCCAGAGTGGATCCCACTGCATTTCAGGACCAGTGCAAAGTACTTAATTGAAATCCGTAATTCCAGCCCTCATTAATAACCAATCTCGGCAAGCAGAGAGCTCCACGACCATTAATGATGAGCACGATGCAGACGCAGGTCTTTAGAGGGGAACAGCAAGTCCCCAGTTCATTTTACAGTTGATTAGAGTGAGTTAAACTTTGCCCTGCTTGTAAGTTGTATATTAAAATTAAGAAGTTGGCAATATGTGAAGTTATCAAAATACCACAGGTGCATTGGCGGGCCTCCAGCCGGCATCGCTCATCCTAAACAGCGTGGTGACCCCTCAGAAATGGGTCTGGGACACCATGGCACAAGATGGATAATTCAATTGAACCTAATCAGTCCCAGGGAAACGAGAGACCTTCATCAACTGTCTGCAGATGCACAAGGATCCTAGTCCGCAGGCGCGCTGGCCACAGCGGCCCCTGCTGGCAGAATCCTCCCCTTCCGTGGGTGTGATGGGAAGGATCTCTGGACTCAAATCTTGGGATCCTGGATTCTCTATTACCGACGTGCAGTGTGGCCTAGGGCAAGGTTTCCTCTTTCTCCGGTCCTCTGTTTTGCCATCTGTACAATGAGATAACTAGGCTCCATGATGTCAGACTGTCTGTAATCGGACATATTGCTCCCCAATCCATTTTTGTGGGAGTGCTGTTCCTGAGACCTTGCGGGAGATCATTGACAGCAAGTGGACAGTTCTTTGCTTTCCCTCAATCATCGCCCACCCTGTGGACTCTTTTCTTCTTTCCCATCCCCCTTCCCAGCTGTCATATTCTAGAATCTCTTCACACCCGACGATTTGCATTTCAAAAATATGTTCACATCTTGGACACTTTGTTCTTGCTCATTTAACCATCTTTGGATACCTCTTTCATTCTTTAGACATCAACTCTACCTGGGAGGCTTCTATTCACCCTTCAATACCCTTCATAAATATGCTGTCTGGTTACTTTAATGCTCCTGGGACAGTGAAAAGAGTGTGCAGTGTGGAGTCCAGGTTTGAGTTCTGCTCCTAACACTTATCTGTGACTTTGAGCCAGTCATCAAGCCTTATAGAACCTCAAATTCATTAATACGTGTTCACTGATTTAATTAATTTTAAATCGGCACATAAAAATTGTATGTGTTTATCACATACATGTATCACGTACATGATGTTTTAAAATATGTATACATTGTGGAATAGTTAAATTGAACTAATTATCACATACATTAGCTCATATACTTAACATTCTTTGTGATGAGACCACTTAAAATCTATTCTGAGCGATTTTCAAGACTACAATATATTGTTATTAACAATAGTTGCTATGGTATACAATAGATCTCAAACATATTTCTCTTGTCTAACTGAAATTTTGTATCATTTGACCAACATCTTCCCAATCAATCTCCTTACCCTCCAGCCATTTTCACCTATTAGAGAACTCGATACACATTAGAAGATCAAAAATTATCTCCTTTCTTGGCATCTAAGACAGAGTTAACTTCTTCTTCTATACCTAGGGTTGGCAAAACTTTCCTGTAAGGAGCCAGGTGATAAACACTTAGGCATCATGGGCTATAAGGTCTTGTTACAACAACACAAGTCTACATTTGTAGTGTGAAAGCTGCCATAGACAATATATAAATGAATGGGTGTGGCTGTGTTCCAGTAAAACTTTATTTATAAAAAGAGATAGTGGGCTGTATTTGGCCAGTGGGCTGTAATTTGCCAGCCTCTGCTCTATGACATCTTGGGCAAAGACTCAGCACACTGAATAGCACCTGATAGCTTATGTGTCAGTCTCTCCTGCTAGACTGTGCCTTCCTTAATGAGGGATTGCTTTATTGTTCTTTGCTTCTCTCGGACCAGACCCATGCATTATACCATTTAATTCTCTCAGCAATACTGTAAGTTAGAAACAAGTATATCCCTACTTTCTAGATGAGAATACAGAGGCAGAGAGAGTTAAATAATTTCGTTGGTAAATGGTGAAAGCAGGCTAGCCCCACAGTTCAAATCTCAACCATGACTCCACAGTAACTGGGACATGAAGATCTGACTGTCATTGGCTAACTGAGCATTGACGCCAGTAATGGCATAATTCTCCTGCCCTGCGTTTATGGGCCTGGTTTTCAGGACCTAGAAACAGGATTTACCATTGTCCCAAAGCAGCATTTATTGTGCATCTGTCCCTGTTAAATTCCACCCTGTTAGATTTGGCTTGTTTCTCAGACCTGCTCCGATCTTTTTGGATCTTGATACTTTTGTCTAATGTGCTCGTTCCCTCTATCTTTTGCTTTGGAACTGACCACCCTTTTTTTCTGGAGCTGCCCCAGCCAGAGATGACTGTTAAATTAATTTTGCATCAGTGAATAAAGGCCTGGACAGAAATTGGGTTAGAAGTTGTGTTGGTTCTTATGGTGCCTTGCCAAACCCATTTCCTGTGGATTAAGTCCTAAATCCCTATAGTTTAAAAACAAAAATCTGTTAACTTGGCACCTGGAAGACTGCAAGTCCTTGAAATTCTGGTCTAGTCTCTAAACACTCATGGTCCGAGTCAATGGAAGTGGTTGGTTTGATTTTACTGAATTATAAAATGCGGGCAACAGAAACGGATGTGAATGCTGTTCATTTTAGTTTTCATGTACCTAGCACTTCTTATGGACGAGGTTCTGTGCTAAATGCATTATACACTCAGTCTCTTTTAATGTGTACTGGGACCCTCTGGGGTATGTGACATCAGTCTCATTTCACAGATAAGGAAACTGAGGCTCAGCAATTTATCCAAGGTCACAAAGGCATTAAGAAGGGAAGCTGGACTTGTACCTAAAGCTCTCACTTCAACATCAGTCTGCTAGTACTTGACCTGTTTAGCTTGACTTATAGGAGTAAAAGACCAAGTAGCCTGTACTAATACAATTACTGTAAGAGTGGAAGGGGGCTTGGTTTACTGAATGTCTATTACATGTCCTGTGCTCTGCCAGCCTAAGGAAGTTAGGTTTTCTAACGTCTCTACAACCCAAGATTTTTTTCTTTTTTTTTTTTGAGTTGAAGTCTTGCTCTGTTGCCTAGGCTGGAGTGCAGTGGCACAGTCTCAGCTCACTGCAAGCTCCGCCTCCTGGGTTCCCGCCATTCTCCTGCCTAAGCCTCCCCAGTAGCTGGGACTACAGGCGCCTGCCACCACGCCTAGCTAATTTTTTTTTTTGCATTTTTAGTAGAGACGGGGTTTCACCATGTTAGCCAGGATGGTCTCAAACTCCTGACCTCGTGATCCGCCCACGTCGGCCTCCCAAAGTGCTGGGATTACAGGCGTGAGCCACCGCACCCGGCAAGAATTTTTTTCTTCTCATTTCATAGATTGGGAAATGGCTACTCAGAGAGGTCACACATTTCCCTCAAGGTCACAGGACTGATAAACAGTGGGGGTAACAATGAGTCCAAGGATAACTGACTTCGAAGGTTGACTCTCATCCTTGGAGTAGAGAACTCTTGCCCTTTGAAGGCACAGGGGACTCTTTAAAATAGAGATATCTGACCCTGACCCCAGCAAATTTCTGATTTAGTTGGGGGAGGGGGTCAGGGATGGAGCCCACACATCTGTATTTTTAAAAACACCCAGCAGATCTTGATATATAACCAGGGAAGGAGCCGTGCTTGTTGAGTAAGGATGGAGTTGATGAGGGTAACTGCCAAGTCCTTTTCCACTTCCCAGGAGTCTGTTATTACAGGGAATTAGAGCAATAATTATTATGTTTAGGGTCAAGAATAAGGATGAAAAAATATTAATGCTTACATCAGAGATTCAGATCACAAAGTTATAATGAGACACAAAGTCTGAAACCAAGGAGGCATGGGGGCCTGGGATTCCTAAAGTCCTGGAGGGGAGGGGAATGAGGGGGCAACCCTGCAAGGGGCAGCTGAGCATGGCACTATGAGCTTTGACCTAGACCCACCCATGCGGGTTCAAACCCTCACAAGCCATGCAGCTGCAATCAAAGCCTGCAACCACTCAGCTTTCAGTTCCCACATCTGCAGAGTGAGGATGGAGATGATGTTAGGGAGATGGAGGGGGTGTGGCGCACGCAGAGAATGCTGTATGTAGCAGGCTTGCAGTCCACATTAGCAGTTGTTGTATGTGATTGCAGGCCTAAGTTTTCTCTGATATGATGATATCCAAAGGCAAGGCTTTTCCACTCTCTGGCCAAAAGAAATCCAATGCACTTACTTATCCAAGGCAAGGTTGAGCACAAGCTAAGCCCCCAAATGTGACTGTGTTCCTACTACGTGTCTCACCTGGATCTGTTCCCACATTCCTACAAGTGTCAAAGAGAGAGGGATGGAAAGGGCTGTGGGTTTCAAGGACAAGGTACCCAACGCTTCCTGGGGCCACCTAGCAGAGGGGACGAGAGAGTGGGGATGCTGCAAGGAGGGTAATAGCCAGCAAGTGTCCAGTCTCACTGCAGGAACAACAAGCATCGTGCTAACAGCTTCCCGTGCGTTATTTCATTTAACTCTTTCCCCATACCCTGACCATCTGTGTTTGAGGAAGTCGCCTCCCTTTTCTGGGCTTTGGTGTTTCTCCCTGTACAACAACATTTTAAGACTGGGTGATTCCATTTAAGGCAAGCATGGGTACAAGCCTCTTTCATTTTTATGACCCTGTGTACCTTCCTGAATTAAAAAATAAAAATAAAAAATAAATGCAAAAGGAAACATATATCAGCTGATTTCTGAGGCCCCAGCTGGTCTAAGATGGACAGTGACTACTGTAAAGAAGAGCATTCATGAATTCTTCCCTGAAAATATTTATTGAGTGAGAATTCTGTAACAAGCACTGTGATGAGCATTGGCTAAACAATGGTAAGTAATGACAGGAGCTGGCATTTATTGTCTACTTGCTGTGTGCCAGACTCAGTCATGAGCTTTTTGCATGTATGTATTAATATTTAATTCATTCTAAATTCCTATGTTATCATCCCAAGTTTCCAGATAAGGAAACAGATTCAGAGAGGTTAAATGACTTTCTTGAGGTCACACAGCTGTAAGTGGCAGAATGTGGGTGAATGAGGCAGCAGTCATCCCTGCCCTCAGGGGACTTAGAGTCTATCAAGGGAGACAGAGGAACAGATGGTTAGGACAGCAGGTTGATAGGCCTATAGATGTGTTGATGGGCCCAGAGGAGGTGCCTCACCCAGACTTAGGGGCATCAGGGAAGACATTCTGGAGAGAGTGACAGATCAGTAGAAAATAATTATGAATTACTAGTATAATTTTGAGGGCTGGGGGGGTGGAGCAGGTGGATTGGATGTGTCTGCCAGTCAGAGGGCACAGGATATGAAGCCTTGGCGATGAGAAAATTCATGGACCATTAAAAATAGAATGAAAGTTTTCAATGTGTCCTGAGATGTTGGGTCAGGGTTACAGATTACAGTGAGCACTTCATTACCTGGGGGCAGGGTCTTTCGTCTCTGCCTGATCCCCCTGCTGGGGCAGGAGTAAAACCTTAAGGTCCCCTAATTCTCCAAGGGCTCTTGGGTTTTCATTTGGTTTCAGAAGCCCCTTCCAATTACATTAACTCACTTCGATATTGGTTCTGGGCCATTCATGAAACATCAGACCAAAAAAAAAAAAAAAAAAAAAAAAGAAAGAAACCAATTCCAATAAAGAATCAAATTAGATGTGATTCAGAAGAGGGAATCATCAAAGACAACTGGATTTTATTTCACAAGGATAAAATAAATTGGCTTCTATAACAGAACAATCCAGAGCCATTACTGAGTACAAGCCCCTTTTGTAGGAACATTGAGCTATTGGGCTATAAACCTTGATTGCCTGGAAAAGGCCAAGAAGGAGACTTTCTGGATAGATGAATTATCTATATAACTGAGGTATTAAGCACTTTGCACTTAACAAAATTGTTTATCCAATGGTCTAGTCTATCCTATACCATTAATCTGAGAGCAATGACTATAATTCAGCATTAAAAAAAAGGACACACACTGTTCTTGCAATAGAAACTGCACTATGATCTATTTTGGTTTGGAATGAATTCTTACGTTCTTGGCTCCCATGAAAAACACTCCACCTCTTCCTCTATAAAACACTACTTTTTGTCTGTCTTGTTTTATAGTTGTATACTTCATCTGTTTCCTTTAGGAGACTGTATGTTCCTCAAAAACAAGGATTGTGTCTTATTTTTCTTTATATCCTCTGAAGCCCAAAGCATCCTCAGAGACCGCTTAGTCAAACTTTTCACTTCCCTGCTGAAAACCCAAGTGTTGTGAGTTAGTGGACTGGCCAGAAGGAAAACCCAGATCTCATCTCCAGTCCTGTGATTGCTCTTTCGGTTAAGTTCTCATCGTGCTTGTGTCTGCACCCTCCTGCAAGCCTTGTGCCTTCTAGAAGACAATGCAGGTTAGACTTCTGTGGTGAAGTCAGTGTAAAGAAACTCCAAGCAAGAATAGGAGGTACTTGCCTTGACATTAGACACCTGGGCTGGTAATGATCTCTTTGGTTGTGCAGCTGTGGTTGTTTTCTTTGTTTTCCATCTAACATAGTGATTAAGATCATGGATCTGGGGTAGACGGATCAGCTCTGCCACTTACTAGCTGTGTCTCCTTAAGCAAGTTACTCAGGCTATGTGAGCTTCTGTTTCCTTCTTGGCAAAAAAGATTGGTTGTGAGGATTTAATGCGATGAAGCATTTAAGTGCTTGGGTGGGTCTCTCTCTTTGGAGGTAGCGTTACTGCACTATTCAGATCATGTTCTGAACAGGTGAGATTGTGAGATTACCTAATTCCCAAATAGGTGAGGAGTCACCATATCAAAATATATGTTGGGAGTCTTGGGACATTATCTAATAATGACTATCCTCTTACACCAAGCTCTCTGCCCTGGCTTTTCCCCACAGGATGTTGGGCTGAGCTGCAGCAGTGATTTCACACAAACAGGACCCAGGATGACAACTTTTATTATCTAAACATATAACCGGAGGCTTTGGAATTGGGCCAGAGTCAGGGAATTTAAAAGTAAGAAAATATTTTTGAAAAAAAGAAGTGATTGTTGCTTACGGGTTTTTACACAGATTCCACGGCTTTAACCATTCCAATTCACTCTGCAACCTGTAGTAAAGATGTCCCTATTGCTCAGATGTCCCCCTGGTAGTAAAGATGCCCCTATTGCTCAGATGTCCCCCAAATCACATTGCCCTGACCTCCTCTAGACCCATGACCCATCCATTTGGAGTCACTATTTCTTGCTGATTAAAAGCATAGAGTTGGGTCCCAACTCCGCTACTTGCTTGCTGTATGATCTTGGAAGAGTTACTTAACATCTCTAAGACTCAATTTCTTGATCTATAATGCAGGAGTGATAATGTATATGGCATATAGTATATGGAAGAATCAGGATAAACCTTCTTTTTTATTTCTGATAGAGGTTAGTTCAGTTTATATTAGTTTACATTAGCTAAAAAAGAGATGAAAAGGTCCCTCAAAGAAAAACACAATTGCAAGTTTCCAAAAAATTATAGATCATTACAAGTTTTGTGGACAGAATACATTTGCATTATCCAAATGTGGCATTAGGGTAGCAAACTGATCTTTTGTAAAGAGAAAATTTGTACTTTTAGATCTAAAAATAAGAATGCAATGTGGCTAACATGTTTATTTATATGCATTGGCCCCCTCTTTAAGGAACTTAAAAAACACTATAGATACAATGAAATACTCTCTCATAACATGTAGGCAGGTCTGTGCATCACTGTCATCATTTTATAGTCATTAAGGTCTAGAGACGTTAAATGACTTGCTCAAGGTCACACAGTAAGTTTAGCTTAAACCTCAGGCCCACTGACTTAGGGATGGCCCATTAAAACACTATACCCTGTCCACCAAATAAAGAACCCCAAGCAAAACACTGATTGTTGAAGAAGGAAAATAGCTATTGAGCTATGGAAGTTGACATTTAGCCAGCCAGAAATCATTAATGTGGCCAGGTTTAAGGAGAGCTCTATTAAACTGTCCATCAAACATTTTACTCTTAAATGAATTTATTGAGAAAGAGAAAAGAACATGGTAGAGAGAACGTATTAGAAGTGGCTTTTTCTTTGTCTGCTGGAAGTTCAGGGTGAGTGGCAGGGAAAGAGGATGCCCCTGGAGGAGAAGATTTTTTTAGAGTAAAAGGAGGAATTTCTTAGGGCTTTGGAGCCAGGGAGAACCAGGTTGGAGTGTTGGTAATTAAAAGTATTAATGTGCCATCAGACACATTTCTTTTCTTCTCTGAGCATCAGAACAATGTTGCGAGGATCCACTTTCATGATGCAGGTAAAAGGTGGATCCTGGCTCACTGTCACTGTATTGTGTGTAGTTATTTGATATGATTGCTGTTATAGTTGGTGAAAAATAAAAGAAGAAAAGGAGTTGAGCTCCAGAAGCTAAACAGGGGAAGACCCAGAGTAACCAAGCAAGTCAAGCATGTTAACAGGAGAGGAAAGAGAAGGGTGAAAGAGCATAGGCCAGGTTCAGTGTCATCATCAGCGAGGTCCAGAAATAGAAAATGTGCGTCTCCTCAGGGAGGAGCAGCCCAGAGATTCAGGAGGGGTGGAAAGAAGTGGATAGCCATAGGTAGAGAGAGGCACGTAAAACTTTATTTTCAAATGGGGATACAAATTCTAGCCCCCTTCCTGCACAGAGTGGCTAGAGGATTAAGTTGGATCTCTCACCCTGCATGCTAGCCCCTGTGATATGTGCTGGCAACCCATAAAAACAAAGCTGCAGCCCAAATTGCCATCGTGGTTTTCGTTCCAAGCCACTAGCCATAACCCACTCCTTGATAGAGACATCTATTCTGAATCCAGCCCTCTTGGCTGTTACCCTTCATTTCTTCATTCATCAAACCTGCCTGAGCACTGGCACTCACTACCCTTAAAGGTGCACAGGTAAGACAAATGGCTGAGGTGGGGACTGTGGGCACACAGGGGAATCCTTAACCTTGTTTGGTATCCAGAAGAAGGCGATGTCTGGGCTTGCTCACAGAGAATGAGTAGGGGCCAAGCAGGATAAAAGGAAGGAGGAGGTCATTCCAGGAAGAGGAAATAGTGAAGCAGGGCCCAGGGGAAATAAATCACTTGGCTACTGTAGAGATTCGAGCCATTTCAGGTGATTAAGATGTAAAGAATGGGTTGGAGACAGTCAAGAGAAGGCTTTGGAGAAGACATCTGGGCTCAGATTATGGGAGACCCTGTGTGCCATGTTCTAAAACTTGGGCTTTTTTCCTGGGGGCAGTGGGGAGCCCTCAAAGGGTTTGTTTTAGAGAGAGAGAGAGTGAGAGAGAGAGAGAGAGAGAGAGAGTGTGTGTGTGTGTGTGTGTGTGTGTGGTGTGACCAAATATTTGGGAAAGAGCAACCTAGGGTTGTCTGTAGGAGAAGGGGAGGAATGGACATAGGGTAGAGACCAGTGAGAAGGCTGCCCCATCCATCCATTATTCTCTGGCCTGGCCCTTTGGATCTGACACTTGGCACCATGTTTCCTGGATGAGGACTTAACTCTGTTGGTCAAAAGTTCTGGGTCTCAACTCTGTGTGTTTCCTTGGGTGGCCACAGCTAATTATGTCATATTTGAATGGATTCCTGGATCTTCCTGTCTGGGCAAGGAGAGAAATGAGACAAAAATGTCTTGTGCCCTGGAAAATCCTCTTGAGGATGGTGGAAACACCTGCAAGAGACCAGTTGAGTTCCTGAGAGGACTAAAAAATCAACAACCTATCCCTGAGGATCTCAGGTCCTGGGCCGGCTTGCCTGCCTGCCTGCCTGCCTGCCTGCCTGCCTTCCTTCCTTCCTTCCTTCCTTCCTTCCTTCCTTCCTTCCTTCCTTCCTTCCTTCCTTCCTTCTTTCCTTCCTTCCTTGTATAGAAGAATCAATAATGCTTAGTCTCTTACATCAAGAGGAGCTTTAAAGGTTAGAGTCCGGTAGCATGTTGTGACATTGGAGGAGGGGGGTCACAAAAAAGGATGAGGCTAGTTGTATCAAGATTTGAAAGGGTTTTCTAGTGGAAATGATACCTGTGTTTCTGATTCTCTGAAGATAAGCAGATACCCTCCAGTCGGAAAGGACAACAGGCATTCTGAGAAAAGGGGGTTGTGTAAGCAAAACCTCAGAGGATGGAAAAGTATAATAAGGACAAAAGAGCTGTAGGACATGGTGGCTTGTTGGAGAAATTGAAACTCCAGGACCTTACCTTATGATATAGCTGGACTTGCATTCCATTTCTACCATCCCAGCCATGTGAGCTTGTGCAAGTTACCTGATCTCTCTGAACCCTAGTTTTCTCATTCACGAAATGGGGGAAAATTATGTTTAATTTGTAATGTTATGAAAAGGAATAAATGAGATGGTAATTGAAAAGCATCTAGCACAGTGCTTGTTCAATAAACAATGGCTATTATTATACTTTTTAAAAAATTCTCTGTGCCTAAAGGTTGAAAACAGAACCTAAGTCAGGTATGCCAAAGCCGTTTCACCTTAAATGTCAATTCTCATTGATCAGTACTGGCTGCCTGGGGCAGAGAATTGTGCTGAGATGTCATGTGAGGTTGTGTATGAGATCAGCAGGAAGAAGTGCTGTGATCAATTAATAATGCCTGAACAGGGGAGGCAATGGGAGTGTCGGTATCAATGCCAAGTATTGTCAATCCTAAAATAAATATTGTTTAAGTGCTATGAATTCTGAGTATAGATCGATGTGTTATGAGAGAATACATGGACAAGGTGTGAGACTTGAATTAGCCCTTAAGGATGGGACAGGGGACAGGTAGAGAGGAGGGAGAGATAATCTAACACAGATGAATTTGAGTTTCATTTTGTTGGTAACATAATATTCTATTTTGGGGCCCCAGCATCACAAGCCAAAGTTTTAAAAACTCATGCCTTATTGACTGACTGCAAAACAAACATATGTCCTCTTCCTTGGCAATGGAGGGACTGCTTGAGCAAGATCTGAGTGAGGGGGCAAAAGGTATGTGCTTCATTTACCAAACCCCCAGGTCTCTGGTAACTTTCCGGAATGCTAAGCTGTTTATTTTGGGAGTCTTTAAGCTTAGTCAGTTGGTATTTAGAGACAGCTAGGAATTTTGGATTTCACTCTCATTCCAATAGAAAAAAGAAAAACTTAAATGCCTTCCAAATACTGGTAAGTCAAATAAGGACAGCCTGGCTCCAATCTGGTCTCCTCCCCCACTCCCTACCCCCTCTCATAAACTCAGAGAGAAACACAGAATGAAAAGAAAAAAAATGACATAATAAATGCACTAAGCCACAAGTTAAAACTTCCTCTGGAGAACGCTAGACAACGAGACTCCCTTGACATTAGCTGATGCAAAAAAGCATCCATCAGTATTTGTCAATGTCCAAGCAAGAGGAGGGGGCTGAGAGAGCCAGCAGGGTCAATGCCTAGCTGGAAATTCCATAAGGGTGTCTTCTCTGTCTTTCATGTGGGGCTCTGATACAAGCCTTTAAAAAGCTTCCATTAGCAATGTAATTGATCTTCTGATGTGAAGCAATAAGAAATCCAGCAAAATAAATATGTGATTACAATGTACAAAAGTAGACACATATTAAGTAGCAGGTTTAATGTTTACTGCCACAACCATCTATAAACCATGCTTAGATATAAGTTTCATTATTCCTTTGTACCTGTCCTCAGCTCATGAATTCCTATCTCTGCCAGGGGCAGGAAACTTAATCCTGTACATTCAAATAACTCAGCAACTTTCAGCTTTAAATGTGATTGATTTGGGATTTAAATGTAGGCAGGCTAAAATTCTATTTCCCTCCTTTTGCTCTTCTCCCCAAAATGGAAGGGGTGAACTAATTTCCAGCGGTCTTGGCTTTGTCAACCTGGTATTGGCAGAAGGGCATTTGGTGCTTGTGCAGCTCCATGAGGTTACCTGTCCCTTCACAGGTCATTGGCCTCTCTCCAGATGCATTGATTGCTGTTGGTGGCTTCTCCCTGGCTGATGGTTGTCAGATCCTCACACCTCCTTTCCTGAATCCTGACTTAAAATCTCTTCAGCTCTGTACATCTTCTGCTCTTCTACTCCACCAGCACATCTCAGCATCTCCTGGAGGTGTATGAGGTTTATGAGTCTGTCCTTGGCTCATCCATCTGGACATCTCCCTGAGCCATGGCTGCTGACTTGTGCAGGGACATCAGTTACCAGGCAACAGTCCCCCTCCTCTGTAATCTCTCAAGCTCACTTGGGTTCCAGTCATCCTACCCTGAGTAGATTGTGTGACTGGCCCCAAGGTTTTGACCCTGCTGATATACATGTAATTTGCATGAGACTTTGAGGTTCTTTCTATAAAGGCAGGACATATCCCCTCCTCACTGCTACCTACCCTCACCCTGCTTGACTTTGAGCACAGCCATGTGATTTGTTTTGGCCAACAGAGTGAGGCAAAAGTAATGGCAGATCATTTTCAAGCTTAGGTCTTCATAGGCTTTCACCATTTTCTTTTGCTCTCTGTGTCTCTGCCATCACCAAGAAAACATTCCTTAGCTTGCCTTCTGGTCCAAGGAGGAAAAGAGATACACAGAGAAGAACCACCCCAGCCAAGTCCAGACTAAACAAATGGACTCCCAGCTGACTTGTAGATGGATGAGAATAAAAGCTTATCATAGTATATGTCATTAAGACTTTGAGTTTGTTATGCAGCATTTTTATGGCAAAAAGTAACTGATATACTCCCATACCCAGAACTTAGCTTCAGACACTGGAAACCTGGGGGCCCTAAGATCCAGTATTTCTTTTCTGGTGTTCCTTCTCTTATCTTATCAAATTTTGATCTCCTTTCTCAATGGAGGGAAAACTTCTCTTTAAGTGCCGTCTATTTTTCTTTCCTTGACTATGATTTATGCTTTCAATTTGATGTTCTGGGTCCTTCATGTTGTAGGTTTTGAGGAGTAAAGTGATGTTTATGGAAGTCAAAAAGTCATTTTCCCTCTCTCAAGAAGCCTAGTTTTTGTGCACGTTGGCTTTTGAATCTACAGTCTCAGTTTTGTGGTAAAAACAAATCCATTGAGAGAGGCTAATGACTCTGTATTCTTGGCTGTATCTGCTTTTCTTTGGAGGTCATTGTATCCAGAGAAGTACAGTATCTACTTTTCCAAATAGTCTAAACGATGGGAGAGGTAAGAGGCATGTGATGAGTATGAGAAAGTTGCAAGGAGAATTGGCCACTTGCTTTTTCAGACCAGTATCCTACCACGAATGTGAGTGCGTGCAGAGCCAGCATTATCATCTCCACTGCTTCCATTCATTGAGCACTTACTGCATGAATATTATGTGGTAGACACTTATTTTTGCTGCTGTAAAATACACACAACATAGAATTTGCCATTTCAACCATTTTTAACTGTATGTTCTGTGGCAATAAGTACATTCACTTGGGAATGTGAACAATGGGAAGCGTTTTTAGACATTTTTCCATTTACCACAATGCCCCTACGTGGTATTATTATTCTTCCTAGGATACAGGTAAGATACAGGGGCTGAGAGAAGTTAAGTGATATGCCAAGGTCACACAGCTATTGTCTGGCAAGTCAAAAACTCATATCTGCCTCATAGCATTTCTGGACTATGAAGGAATCTTAGGCAACATCTAGTTCAGTTGTTTTCAAACTTATTTTTGTGAACTGCTCAGTTCTTTTCATAAATACAATTTCACATAGAAGCTTGTGGTCACAAGCATTCCTGGTCTCATTCTTTACTCCTCTGCATACCTGGGCCCTTGGCTCATGCACCTGTGCGGTGCCCTTCCACTATGGGCAACTGGTTCCATCCCTTGATGCTGAGTTGGCCAGAGTCACACGATTTGCCAATAGGATGTTAGCAGAAGTGACACAAGCGGAGGCTTGAAAAAAGCGCTTGCACAATTGGGCTTGCACTTTTGTGCTTCTGTCATTGCCGTGGGAAGGATGGTGCCTGCACTTTTCCACTGGTTCCAGGAGGAGGATGGGAGACACATGAAGCAGGGACAAACTGCTCCAGCGAAACCCGACTCAGGCCCGTCCACTCCATCCTACCAGCCTTACCCCGTGATGCTGAGTGTACATGGCGAAGATATAAACTGCCCAGTCCAGGTCAGCTGACCATGCAGACATGAGAGACAAGTGTTCATTGTTGAAGTCACTGAGTTTGTGGGATTTTATAAAATAACAGCTTCATGGCAATAGTTAACTGATACAAACCTCTATCCCAAAAAAACAATGAAAATGGAGCTTTTCTTACTGAAGCAGTGGGAGGGAAGCCTGGAGTCTGAGCCATTTGTCTTCCCTCATCCTCTGTGGCTGGCTGTGAGGCCATATGTTAGCACCAGGTTCCATGGAACACCCTTTGACAAACCATTGCTCAATTCCACACCATCTGCCTGGGACTCGTTTCATTCCCTTCTTCTTCTCCTGGATTAAATCTTTAAATTCTCTCTACAGCATCTCTGTCACGCTTTCTCAGCTTGAACACCTCTGTCACAGGGAGCTCCCTCTCTTCTAAGACAGTGAGTTCTACTTTGGAAAGCTCTGGTGATTGGACAGTGATTCCTTATTTGCTGGGGAGCTCAGGGCTATAGCAGAAGAATGGGGTAGAATATGGTGGGAAAGAGACGGTTTCTGGTCAAGCTTCTACCAAAGAAATAGCCGACATCTTTGCCCTCAGATTCTTCTCTTCCGGGATAAGTGGGTGATGGCACACACACACACTTCATAAGCAGGCCCAACCACCCACTTTTTATAATAATTATATTGAGCACATACTAGGAGTCAGGCACAGTGCTAAGGATGTCAGATGGGTAATCTTTAATTATTTGAGATAGGCATTATTATTAGTCTGATTTTGCTAATGGGAAAACTCAATCTGGAAGATGGTGAAAAACTTGGCCATGATCTTGCAGCTGGTCAGTGGTGTAGGTGGTCTTTGAACTCAGGTTTGTTTACTCTGAAACTGGTGTTCATAGGAACTGTGTATTAATAATAACAACAATAATAGAAGCAATAGCAACTATAATAACCATACCATGACTATTAATAACTAACTTTTATCAATTCCTTAAGGGTTAAGCCTTGTTCTAAGAGCTTTGTGGGCTAATTTATTTAATCTTCACAAAAAAACCTGGAAGGAAGGTAATTTCCCATTTTTAGAGATTAATAAACTGTAATCCCTCCCCAACCTCAGCATTTTTATCACTTAGAGTGAATTTCTTCCTTATTTGAAATAGTGAGTTCTCTATCATAGAAGGCATTTGAATCAGGGCTGGAAGAATGCTTTTTAGGGGTGTACTAATGCTTTTTATGGGTATACTGGGTAGTGGAACCTACTAGTGACCAGTATGGTATCTTTTCCACCCTGACATCCCTCCCCACCCCCTCCCCACCCCTTCCTGATTCCTCCCCAACTCCACCCCTCATTTCTACCCCCATCACTTCCATGTTTGTGAGCAAGAAAGAAGGAATCCCTTTCACTTACTGGGTTTCTACTACAAGCCAGATCCCGAACTAGGTCTTGTATATCATCACTTTATTTCGAGCTCACCCCAGCCTCCAGAGAATGCTGATATTGCTCTTATAGTGTTTGCTGCCATTTATTTGTTTGCTTGACAATTGTCTTGCCTCTAGACCACTATCTTGGGGATGGCAGGAACTATGCTTGTTTTATTTCTCTCTAGGACTACTGCACTTAGTAATTCCTCACTAAAGCAATGAATAGAACCCCGGCTCACAGAGGCATGACCAACTTCAAAGGTAGCCACACAATGGATAAGAGCAAGGCTCTGAAGCTGAACTTCCTGAGTTCAAATCCCAGCCCTGCTACTTACTAGCTCTGTGGATTTTGGCAAGTGATTAGCTTCTCTGTGCCTTAGGTTTCTGCATATTTAAAAGAAGAATAGCATTTTTACTGTACCGAGGAAGTCAAGCACAGTGGTAAAAGTAGGGATTCTGGAGACAGACTGCTCAGGTTCATATTCCAGCTCTGCCTCCATCTCCTAGGGCATCTGAGACAAAGCATGTCTATGCCTCTATTTCTCCCCTGAAAAGCTAGCAGAGGTAATAATAGCTTCTCTCTCACAGAGCTGTTGCAGGGTCTAAATGAGCCAAGACTTGTGAAGAGCTCAGAACAGGTTCTGGCACAGAGTAAATAAACATGGCAGACTCGAGGTCATCTGGCTAGTTAGCAAGCTAGACGAAATTTAAGCCCAAGTTCACCTCAAAGTTCATTGCTCTTTAGAACACCCCGAAGTTTTGAGATGTGCTCTTTGCTTGAGTTACTTTCTTTCAGTACCTCTAAGAGAGCAGACCCTTTCCTCACGCTATTTCTGCAATCGACATCCTGACATACATGAAACATTTTCTGCTTTGCTAGAGACAAACATATTTTCCACCCAGGGAGGAAGTGGAGCCTGCTTCTAGAAGGGAGTGAAAAGAGTCATCAAAAAACAGAGACCAGCAAAGGAAGATGCAAAAATAATTAAAGTATGAAACGTGCTGCTGTCTTCGCAGGATTTCAATTTTGCATTTGCCTAAGGGGAGAGGGGTGGCAGACGTTCACTTTCTCACACTGATACACATTTTGATAAAGTGTGATAAAGACTTAGAAAAATTGACAGATTAAATTGGAATAAGAGCTTTGGACGTTTGCATCCTGTAAGCAAGGAGAAGGGGTGAATGTACAGAGAAGCTCCCCGGGGTTTCCAGCCTCTCCCTGCATCACATGACAAAGCAGCTTGCGTGCTTTGGGTCCTTCCATGGGGCTCTTCCAGCTCTGTGGCAGGGTCCAGGTTTAGTGATGAAGACGTGGAGCCCAGAAGGAATAAAAACTTCCTGTGGTCAATGGGAAAGTTATTGGTTTGGCAAAGCTGGGATTAGAATTTGGGTCTTCTGATCCCTGGTCCCTTGTTCCTCCCAGCCATCATTCATTCATTCAGCCATTCGAGTATTCATTTATTTAATCAATATGTAGTAATGGTCCTGTACTGGGCATCAAGCATTCAGTGTGAAGGAAACAGGATCGAGACCAACAAACAGCAATGACAGCTCATGTTTGTTTTATTTTATTTTCACTTTCTCTTTTTCTACTGAGGACTGTTATTCTTTCCAGCCCTTTCCATTTCTCTGTCTCATGTGAGCATCAGGCCAGGTAGGTAGAGATTGGTTGGGATTTTCACCCTGTGTCCTCATCTGCCAATCAAGCCTTAGTAGAGTCCTTTGCCCATGACTTGATGACATATTTTTCCCTTCCTGAGTGCTGGGAGAAGGCAAGACGGCACCACCACCCTCAGGGACTTCAGGCCACTTGTCTCAGATTCAGGGAGTATAGCATCCCCTGGTATTAATTAACTCCTTGAGTTAAATTGGGCATTTGTAAAAGCTCAGAGGGCCAAGTTCAGAGGAGAAGTGGATGTGGACATCTTTGACCATTGCATCATTTATTTGAACAACACATATTTATTGGGCAGCTACTATATGCCAGGGCCTGTACTAGGTGGCCGAGGTGTAATCTTTAGAAGCTCCCGGACTATCAGGAGAGGTGTTTCAACAGACAATACTAAACGGGTCTCAAGAAGACAAAGATGGTCTTATCTCAGGGGTCAGTTCAGAGCTAACAGGGTAATATTTTTAGAGTCAGCTGGATTTGAGTCTAAAACCCTCTTCCTCTAAGAAAGACCTGTGCATCACTCACTCTTTATGAATCCCAGTTTCCTGCTCTATAAAATGAGGTGATAATACCTAACTCACTGGGTGGTTGTGAGAAATCACATGACATAATGTTTGTGAAGCATCTGGAACACAGTTGGCTCTGTCAATATCGATTTCTTTTCCCTTTCCTCCTGGTACATGCACTTGTTTCATGCCTGTGAACTGAACCAGGCCTCTTGCCAATCAGATGGCCAGATCCTCAGGGACAGGGGGAAGTATCGTTGCTGGCCATGTGACCTGGGCACCTGATCCACAGAGTGAGGATAATCAGGCCTCCTTTCCAGGATTATTGTGAGTATGGCCAGGACTCCAAAGAGGCAAGGGAGGTGCCAGGGTCCACAGTGTAAGGAGGTACTCATGGTTAGGGGTGCACCCATGAGTGCAGAGTTGGTACTTGCCTTGATGGTGAGCACCAAATATATCCACCAATGCAAAGTGGGGATCCCAGAACCAGGCACTAAGTGGGCATAGCTTTTGGCTGGGGTTTTGTGCATGAAAGAAGTGGAAACTCACTCAAGCTATTTCAAAGAAGAGGAGTTTATTTTAAAAACATATGTTCCCCCCTATAAAATGGGGGAACAGGGTCTCATGGGAATCATCAAAGAACCAGGACCCAAGAATGGAGCCAGGTTGCAGGGAGCCCAGAGTGGAGGGCCAGTGGAGGATGTGTGGTAGTTTCTGGAAGTCCTGCAGGAGTTCAGGGCTCCCTTAGTGTGGCTTTCAAGGTCCTGCAGAACATGTTCCTCTCCTGCCTGCTTCCCCAGCCTCAAATCTGACCCCTGTTTTTCATCAGATTCTGCCCCTGCCCACAGCTGCCCTGCAGTCCCTGAGTGCCCAGTTCTTTTGCCTCTGTTTCCTGCATTTGTGCCCCTGTCTGGACACTCTTGTCTCCTCTTGTCACCAGGAAAACTCCTGCCCTTTTTTCAAGAGCTGGTTTCATTCAAGAGGTCTCCCTGGGCCCCTAGTACAATTTATTCAAGAGGTCTCCCTGGCCCCCTAGTACAATTTAAGTAGCCTGTGATTCTCTCTCTTGAGGCACTCTTTCTGTAGCTACATATTTACTGGCATAACTATTTGTTCAACATCTGTCATTTCCCACTAGACTGCCAATTATGTGATGACAAGGACTGATCTGTTTTGCTGTTTACTGTACCCCAGTGCCTGGCACAGTGCTTGGCAATGGGAGGCGCTCCATAAATATTTATTGAATGAATGAAGGAAGGGCCATTTCTTTACTCCAATAACCTGCCATTCATGTGCGTCAAGCTGCACTCCATTTATGAGCTGCATTCTGCCACCATTTGCTTTTCCCTGCTTCTGGAGCTTCTGGGTTATTTTCTTCCATACTGAAATTTGTTCCTGGCCCTTCACAGCCTTGAAAAACCCCATCCTCACCTTTCAGCTGCAGCTTTTAACACCAACTGGCAGTCTTTTTATGTTTCTTAGTTAAAATTGCCTAGAGAAAAAATGTGACTGGTCCAGCTCACCTTGTCAGATGAGATCATAGGGTTGATTCCATGATGGACAGCCGGTCTATGGATCAGTTGCCTTTGGGGCAGGTGTCCACATAACCCTGTATGGTCCACATAGTCACTGGCCACATGGGGCTATTAAACACTTGAAATGTAGCCAGTGTCACAGGCAGAAGTGATACCATTTCTACATAGTGGCTCAATAAAATATGTTATTCAAATTAATTTTCCTTGTCTTTTTACCTGTTTAATGTGTCTAATGGAAAATCTAAGATCACATATGTGGCTCGTGTTATATTTTCACTGGACAGCGTCGAGGCAGTTGTTGCTGGAGAGTGGGGGTAGGGAACCAGATTACATGGTGTAAAACAGGGGCCACCTGAATGGCAGGAGCTGTGTTTAGGAAAGCTTCCTTTAGAAGGGGGCACTGGATAACATCTGTTATATTTTGACTACTGCAATTGTTATTAGAGTCCATTCACATGTATTTATTGTGTATTTTCTCAGTAGCATTCATCATTTTATCCTATTGTATTAGTTATCTATTGCTGTATAACAGTATCAGGATAAATTTGGTGTCCTAAAGCAACAGACATTTATTAATTCACAGTTTCTGTGGGCCAGGAGTTCAGGCATGGCTTATCTGGGTCCTTTGCTGTAGGGGCTCAGAAGGCTGAAATCAAGGTGTTGATTGGGGCTGTCCTCTCGTCTTGCTTCTTGACTGAGTAGTTGTGGGTTGTTGTGAGCTTACTTGATTTTGGCAGGATTTAGTTCCTTGAAGCTGTGATACAGAGGACAGTTTTTTGCTGGCTGCTGACTGGTGTCTTGCCACACGGGCCTCCCAACATGGCCACTTGTTTTATCAAAGGCAGCAAGGGGGAGAGTCTTCTGGCAAGACTGATGTTACAATCTCATGGAACAAATCGCAGAAATTACATCCCATCATCTTTGTCCTGTTGGCTAAAAGCAAGTAACAGGCCCTGCCTGCATGCAAAGGGAGGGAACCACATGAGGGAGTGAACGCCAGGTATCATGGGGGGCTCCTGAGCATCCAGCAACCACATTGTAAAATGCTTACTTTGGAGCTGGGACTACAGACATAGGCCACCATATGTTCCAGATATAAGCCATTATATTAGGAATCATTGGCTCCAGTTACCCTACAAGGAAACTGAGGCCCAGTGTCTTAGTCCATTCGAGTGGCTATAACAAAATACCATACATAGACTGGTGATTTATAAGCAACAGTCATTTATGTCTCATAGCTCTGGAGGCTGTGAAGTCAATATCAAGGTATTGATAGATTCTGTGTCTAGTGAGGGTCCATTTTTTTGGCTCATAGATGGCTCCTTCCAGCTGTGATTTCACATAGTGGAAGGGTGAATGAGCTCCCTTGGGTATATCTTATAAGGGCACTAATCCCATTCATGAGGGATCTCCCTTCCTGATCTAATGGCCTCCCTCAAAGCCCCACCTAATACCATCACCTTGGGGGATAGGATTTCAACATATGAATTTGTGTGGGAGGGTACAAACATTCAGACCATAGCACCCAGAGGAGGGAATGCGGCTGCAAAGATGCCACAGGGGGTGTCAGCAGTGGGGTCAGAATGTGAAACTCCCCACTCTACATCCCACCAGCTCCAACAGCAAGTGGTGGAATTGAGGCAATGAACTTTGTTCTTAGCAGAGAAAAGGTCATAAAATTCTGCAGATTGGGAGAAAAGGCTGATGGCAGCTCACCCCTCCTTAGAGGTGCAATGGCTTTGAATGGGCCTCTCTCATTGGTCAAGCATCTTGTGTCCTGGTCACTGCAAGAAGACAGGCAGAAAATGTCCTGCTGTTTGTGGCCATTAATGACCTGGGGCCTTCCCAGGCAAGTTGGAGGCTGACGTGCAGAGGCCCAGCAGGATCTCTAGTTAGCCACAATTGGTTCTGCTTCCAATTTCTAGGCTGACCAGCTGGAGACATGGCATCTTTCTTGCTTCTGGAACACTGTGAGGCAATATTCAACCACATGCAGAAGCTTGTCAGTTGGGAGTGTGTGTACACACAGCTCTAAAAGGTGCAGAATATCATCCTTGAATTTAAGAGTGTAGGAAGTCCTTTAGAGCTAACAGAAATGTTATCTATCTATTTATTCATTTATTTATTTATAAACATAGTAATATAGTATTGACGGCCAAGCAAAATTCAATTTATGCTTTTCGAAGAGGTATGGGGCTTAACAATTTTCTGTATTACTATACTTTTTCTGCTAAAATGCAATTTATTTGTAATATAGAATTGTCTTTGTAGAAAAACTTCACTGGTTAAAAAACATCTTTATTGAACTATAATTGATAAGTAAAACTGTACAAATTTCTTGCATATAATTTGATGAATTTAAGTATATATATATATATATATATTTATACACCCATACAACAATCACTATGATCAAGACAATAGATATATCCATCACCTCCAGAAGTTTCCTTATGCCATCTTTTTTCTGTTCATTTGTTTTTGTTTCATGCATAGTAAGAGCACTTAACATGGGATCTACCCTCTTAAATATTTTTGGTGCGCAATACACTATTATTGACTCTAGGCATTATTTTGTATGGCAGATCCCTAGAACTTATTAATCTTGTATAACTGAGACTTCATACCCACTGAATGCTACTCCTCATTTCCACTGATGAGAGGTGACAACTGATATTGACCTCATGTTTACAGAGCACTTGGCAGTCACACACCTTACAAGCCCTGTATTTTGAATGACAAAGCTAGGCCTTAGGAATAAGCTAAGTGATTTGCGGAAGTAGGTCTCAAATCCATAGTTTTAGGGTCAACCTTCTCCATCTCGCCATCTTTTGCAGGACAAGAGAACATCTGAATATCTAGTAATAAAGATAGTGGGAGCTTATATTGCATGTTTGTTGTGGAGCACCCACTGTTTTATGCACTTCCCATGGACTAGCTCATTTAATCCTCACCATAATCCTGACAGGTAGAATTGATCATGACTGCCACTTCACAGAAAGGAAACTGAGGCTCAGGAAGGTTAAGACACTTGTCAAGGTCACACAGCTTATAGGTGGGAGAGGAGAAGTTTGAGCAGACCCCATAGACTTAACCACTCTGCATACTTGCTCAGTGTGGGGCAATCTCTATAGTGACCTGACCTTTCTATTTTCCATATGGAGAAACTGAGGCCTGGAAAAGTGATTTTCCAGTGGATTTTCCCTTTGCCAGTGGATTTTCCCTTTGCCAGCTTCAGCTTTCAGAGCTAATGGCCTTTAAATGTTCCTGGGTGTCCTGCCCTTCCACAGGAAGAATGCAGGATAATTAAAATCTATCTTTCCCACCCTTGTCTCTCTTTCAACATGTTGTAAACTATTTTTTTTCCTATCATTTTGGTCATTTCCAGCTGCTCATTTGGATAAGATCTGGTACCCTGGAGTTCCTCTGATGAGCAACATCACAACCCAGTCCCCTCCCATGGGAAGCCAAGGAAGGGGACAGGGAGGACAGGGAACATTTTCCATTAAATTGGCCTCCTGCAATCTCTAGAGTTTAATCTTAACTTGAAAGTGTTTTTGATCAGATGGCAGGCTGCTCCCTCCTTCCGGCCCACCCCTGTTTTTGGGCCCAGCACCTTTTCTCTCCCCTGCATTCAAAGTTATGTGTGATTGGAGGTAGGGGGTGGGGTGGAATGAGTGGCCGTTCTTTTATCTCCATCTTCCAGCTGCCTTTCTGACCAGACAGAAGTGCTAACTTCAGTACCTTTTGTAGAAGCTTGGGATCAGCTGCTATATTGAGATCTGACCTGGTGTCTGCATTTCAAAAGCATCCTGTGCCCAGTGCTCACAACGGCAGCCTCCTCCTTCCTTCCTCCTTCCTCATGTCTCCTCCTTCTTCTGTCCCCTCCTTCCCCTCTACCCCTGACCTTGCCTTCTCTTCTCTGCTCTTACACCTTTTTCCGTGACTGTTTCTGTATTGTCCTTTTATGCTTTGGAATGAATCACTAACATAGTTTTCCTGCCAAGCAAAGCAAGGTCTGATATCCTTCTAAATGGTCCAGGATTTGCAGGGAAAATAATGTCTCAATGTTCTGAAGGCCTCATTATGTATTCATTTGGCAAAATGCAGGTTTACGAGAGAGGGAGACTGTTTGCTTTCTCCATAAATGAATTCTTGGCAAGGCAATATCCATCCAGATTGAAAGTATCCCCAGGTCCTCTTTTCCCCAGGGGAGCTATGAGGCACTATTATTCCAAATAAACCAAATGTATACTCACAGCTATGGAATAGAAAAACTCTGGACTTGTAAGAGCTAGCCACATCCTTGGTGTTTGCCAGACCTAGGTGTGAGATCTGGTCCTGCTGCCTTCTTGCTCTGTGAGCTTGGGCAGGATCCTACCCTCTCTGAACCAGCATAGTGGGGATAATAATGGCACTTACTTCCTAGGTTTATTCTGGGGATTCTATTAGATGATACTTAAAAGTTTCACTGGACCAGGGAAAATGCTCAATGGATATCAGTTCTGTCTCCCTTTCCCTAGGATAATTTACAGGGAAGACATTTTTAGTTTTGGAGCCCAACGCTCTGCCCACTGACCCCCATTTTGAGAGATAACTGTACAATTTTGCGAAGAACAATGGCTTGGGCTACTTTTTTGAGCCTTTGTTTCATCATCTGTAAAATGAAGATAATCCTGGTTCTGATTGTGGTGAAAACTTCATTGCAATATAATTAATGCCCTCCAAGAACAAATCCATTTCAAATAGTCATATCATGTTAAAGAAAACATATCTATAGTGCTTCCAGTTTTTAAAACATTTTCATAAACTCATCCTTTTTTATCTAAGTATCAGAAGAAGACCCATTTTCAAGGCTTCTGCTAATTATAAACCATTCTATGTATTTATTAGAGCAGGCCCCATAGACATTCTGTTCTACCATGCTACTGTATACTTTAAAAAGTAACCCACCATATTTCCCTATATTGCTTTATTGTGCAAAAGTTTCACTCATTTAGACCTTCTCTATACACACATATACATACACATATAGAAAGATGCACATTGAAATTTAAAATTTTTTGCTGGAGAAAAATAGGAAAGACTAGCTTATTTTTCATGCAAGCATCCTTAGAGGAGGAAAGATAGCTGAGGATATCTATAGCAATGGGAGGCCCTAATGACTCAAGTACCTCTTCATCCCCAGGTTGATGTTTGAAATTCTGCCATCAGAACTACATCATTTAGCTTATGGCTTGGATTCCCTATATGAACGCAGCTGTCCTTGGCAACCTACACCGTTATTAGTCATTCATACCTTATTTATGCATAGTCTAAAAAAAGATGAATTGCAATGAGGGATGTTGAGAGCGAGGGCATAGGGTATATTTGGG
Source organism: Homo sapiens (assembly GCF_000001405.40). Classification (NCBI taxonomy): domain Eukaryota; kingdom Metazoa; phylum Chordata; class Mammalia; order Primates; family Hominidae; genus Homo; species Homo sapiens. The sequence continues at coordinate 119,937,800 of NC_000009.12, read as the reverse complement.
AACAGAGGAGGAAACAGTACCAAGAACAGGAAAATGACTTCAGAAGCTTGATGTTTTTGAAGCTTCGTTGATGTTTGATTGGACCATCTTTCCTACTCACTCCGTCTTTTCTGCTTTAGTCCAGGACCTGCTGTTCTCTTTACCTGGATGGCTGAAGTGTCCTTCTTACTTCACTCCTTGCCTCCGGAATCAACAGTACTGTCAGAAGCATGGTCTTTCTAAAACCCACAACAGATTATGAGAGATTAGAAGAATTTTTATCTTTAATGCAGGCTAGACTGATGCATGATCTCTTTGGGCCCTCCATCTCTGATAAACTGGGAGTCTAGGTTCTGGATATCCCTTGGGAAAGCGCCATTCACCATGGTGTTTCTTCCCTTGTAAGAGAAGGAAGGAGAGATTTGAGCTGAATATTCCTCAGGCCCCAGCCATCAGCCACTGCTATGCCATCTCAATTTCCTGTGTTTCAGAGACTCCTACCTGCAGTTCTCCATAGCCACCTGGTGTTCTTCATCTCCTTCAGAGCCACTGACTCAGGTGTATGCCCTGTGTGAGCATGAATTTACTGGGAAATCTGTCTGCATCATCTCCTGTGACTGCTGAGTCCATTTGTGTGTGGGAGGGGTGAGGGCCTTTGCCTCTGCTATTCAGCACTGCATATTTTAAAGGGAAAAACAGGAACAGGTGGATGATTAAATAAACGTGTTGCTAGTGGTCAAGGTAACACAAACAAATATTTGGTATCTATTGGGACCTATTAAAGAGCTCTCAATTTGCTGTCAAGATTCTCATCTTGTCTCTATCCCTGAATTTTATAGGACAAATTACTGCCCCTTGCTGGACCTTGGTGTTGGTGTCCTGTTCTTTAAGATAGGGATGGGAGGATGCATTGATCTGATGAACTTTAAATCCTAACTGTGCTTTGCTAAATCCTCAGCACACCATATTTCACAGGTTGGCTTTTTTTCCCCTCACATTTTAGCATTTATGAAATTGATTTGCATCTCACAATCAATGACATGTCATAGTTTAATTGGCAACATTTTTTTCTTTGTTGGTGATGCATAAAATTATAGCATGTCATGCAGTTGATGGCATTCCAATCTGATGAACTGTGTTTCATTCATTATTCCTTCCTTCCTTCTTATGACCATGTGGGCCAAGGGAAGGAACCAGGTCTGATAGCAGATAGTGTCTTCTTTCTGCATCATTTCTCAAATTAAGCCATCTCATTGTAACCTTTAGGATTAGGCTTAGCTGCATAAAAAAGAAGCCCTGCAAATAATGTGGCTTTATAAAAATCATTTCTTTCTTTCTTATATATGAGAATTTCAGAAGAAGGCAAGCCAGGGTTGGTATGGCAGCCTTGAGATGCTCAGGAGCCCAGGCTCCCATTATATTTCATCTTCTTCATCCTAATGCACAGCTTTGTACTCAAGCTCACTGTTAGCCCACGATAGTGGATGGAGCTTTAGTTTTTCATCGGCAGGGAGCAGGAAGAAAAAAAAGAAGAAGGGAACAAATGATCCACCTTCATTAACTCAGGTTGCTTTAAAAGGACTTTATGGAATTCTCCCACAAAAGTACTCACTGTCTGTCCAGAACTTGGTTGCATGATCAACTCTAGTTGAAAGGGAGGCTTGGGAATATAATCTTTTTGCTTGATGCTTTGCTGCTTCAAATAAAACTAGGCTCTTCTATTAAGGGAACAAGGCTATTGGGTAGGCATCCAGTAGTCTCTGCCATATCAGTGAGGTATGGAGTCTATGAATCTGGGCATCAGGAGATAATGTTTCTAATTTCATCTTTCCTCACTTGGCCTCAGTTTTCTCATAGACATAATGTGGTTAATAATGTTTCTATCTAGTGGAAATAATTTTCTTGCAAGTAGGTGAGACATAGTTATGAAACAGCTTCTTTAATAAAAGATATACTCTAAAATTAAGGGACTTGGTTTTTTAAAAAAAATTATCAAGAAAATCTTTACAAAGATAAAGACCATCATGAATGGTCTGGCTTCTCACTCTGCAGATCTTCATTTCCTAACTTTTATTCTTTTCTTCAAACATGAAAAGTGGCTTTCAGGTCTTCTAATCTATGCCTCCAAGTCCAGCCTGGACCAGAATCAAACATTTTGAGCTATGGCCATCTGTGTCTTTAAGCATGAAGCTGTCCTTGTTTTGACTCTGCTGCCTAGAAACCTTCAGACCATTCTCTTTTTACTCCAGTTGTAATTCCTCATTCTGCAGATAAATTCCCTTTCATTCCTTCTGCTAGTGACAGACACTGGACACTGTATGGGCTCTTGTGACTGGCTGGGGTTTTTCATATGAATATGGAAATAATTTTGAGGCCAGGGGAGATGTGAGAATCAGGCCGCCTGGGTTTAAATCCATTGATGACTTTTATATCTACACAACTTCAGAAAGATTACACCCCGCCCCGGCCCACCAACACCTTGCATTTTCCTTGTAGGAAACATAGAACTGTTGGAAATATTAAAATCTAACCTGAGGAGATGTGAGGATAAAATAGATGCAGTATGTGTAAAGCCCCAATACAGTCTCTGCCCCAGAGTAGGTGCCTTTGTTGACACTGCAATAAAGAATCCTGGAAATGTAGATCCAGGAGAAGACTTAGAAATCATTGGTTCTTTCCCTTTCTTTTTATAAACAGAAACGAAGGCCAGAGAGTGGAGACTGACTTGCCTATGGTCACAGAGCTAGTATGAGTATCAGAACTCTAACTCAACTCTGAATCTTCTGACTCACAAATGCCAACTTTTACCCACATTCCAACTCAGAACACCATCACACATGTAGGTTTCTGTCTTTAAGTTTTACATTAAGAAACTAAATGCTTACATTAGAAAAGGGGATTAACTCCTTTTCAGCCCATGGAATGTGTCTGACGTGGGGAAGCAGGTCTTGGTGGCTGGTACCATTCATCTCTCTCACAGCATTTGAAGCAATCTTCAGTGATGACAGAAGCTACAGAACACCCATGACATCAGCCTGACCCCCTGGACTGGTGGGGTCAGGGTGGGGTTGTCCCCTGACAAGATTAGAAACAAAGCAGACGTTCCTTGGACTTGGCTGTCTACAGGATGCCAACAGCTGCCATTGTCGGGAAGTGCTGGGCTGACGGCTGATAATGGGGTGAAGCCCTGTGACAGCTGTGGCTCTCACTAGGGGCCTGGGTTTGGAAATGCCCATGAACATAATAAAATTTCCTGCAATACTGCTACATAGAGACAGTCATGTTCTGCTGGATGTCTGGCTAATGTCCATAAACTTATAGATAGCATTGGCTGATAGATGTCCAGCACTGACAAATGACCACTGTTGCTGATCAGATCCTCCTTCAAGAAAGAGCTCATGGTCCAGTGCAAGGACTGGGTTAAGGGATGGCATCCAGCTGCTAGATCTTTTGGGCTCACCTGAGCTTTCGAGATGAGGTCATGTTCTTCTTGGGGCAGCCCCTGTTTCTCAAATTATATTTTTCTCTTTCCTATTGCTGAATTGACCCAACGACATTTACTAGGTCCTTGTAAATAAAAAACAGCAAAGGTGGAGATCAAAGGTGCTCTTAGATCAGAGGAACAAACATGCAGTAAGCCAAGGAGTAAGGAGATGAAGATGCCAGAGCCCCACCCTCAAAGAGCCTAATGTGTGACAAAGAGGGGTGCCTGATCATGGTAGTGATGCAGATCCCTCATGGCTTGGGGCTGTCCTTGTGATAGTGAGTGAATTCTCATGAGAGCTGGTTGTTTAAAATGTGTGGCAGCCCCTCCCCTCTACTGTGTCTCTTGCTCCTGTTTCCACCATGTGACATGCCTGCTCCCCCTTTGCCTTCTGCCATGATTGTAGGCTTCCTGAGGCTTTCCCAAAAGCAGATGCTGGTGCTATGCTTCCTGTTCAACTTGCAGAACTCTGAGCCAATTAAACCTCTTTTCTTTATTAATTACCCAACTACAAGTATTTCCTTATTGCAAGGCAAGAATGGCCTAACACAGCAGGTTTTGCACAGGTATTGGCATTAGTTTTGGACTTTGAAGTAAAGACTGTGTACAGCAGAAGTGGGGATGACATGGTTGGCAATCAAGGACCTGAGGTGTATTAGCCTGTTTTTGCATTGTTATAAAGATATATCTGAGGCTGGGTAATTTATAAAGAAAAGAAGTTTATTTGGCTCCTGGTTCTATGGGCTGTACAGGAAACATGGCATCAGCATCTGCTTCTGGCAAGGACCTCAGGAAGCTTCTACTTATGGTGGAAGGCTAAGGGGGAGCAGTCGCGTCACACGGTGAGAGACGGAGCAAGAGCAAAAGGAGCAAGAGAGAGGGGAGGAGGTGCCCCACTCTTTTAAACAACCAGCTGTCATGTGAACTACCAGAGCAAGAATTCATTCATCACCAGGGGCATGGCGCTAAGCCATTTATGTGGGATCTGCCCTCATAACCCAGACACCTCCCAGCAGGCCCCACCTCCAATACAGGGGATCATATTCAACATGAGATTTGGAGGGGACAGATATTAAAACCAATCAGGGCATCTGCCTGCAGAAAAGCAAGAAGGCAGGAGATTATGCCCAGTACTTAATGAATGGTAAGCTTGTTCATTTTGCCACTTTGTCTGGAGCTAAGGGGACCCTGCCTATCTCTCCAGCTCACTCAGCCCTCTCATCCCTGCTGCTTACCTTTAGTCCCATTGGCTTTTCAGTTCCTAGATGTCCCAGGCTAATCTCCACTTTTGCATCTCTCTTATGCTGATTCTTATGCCTAGAACCTTCTCTTCTCATCAGAGAGGATATCTCTTGTGTTCACCACTGTTTCTACAGTGCCCAGCATGGATGCTGGAACATAGTAGGTACTCAATTATTATCCATTGAGTGAATGAACAACAAGAATAACATTGGACAGGCAGGTTGGTAACAATTCTTGAAGCTTCTTAAAAGCTGAGTTAAATAGGTTGAGTTTTATTGTTAGGCAATGGAAAAAACTCATACTTACTCATTAAAAAAAGTTCTCCAAACCTCCTTGGTAAGATTAATAGTATTTTATATATCTATGGCACATCTATATACATTATCACATTATACTTTTAGTGATTCCTTGAGAGATTTTAGGAAACTCATTTTATTCCCTTGAGGATAAGTCTGCAGCTCAGGGAGGTTGAATGGGGGGTAACAAGTTCACCTAGCTAGGCATGTGACAGAGTCAACTTAACTCCAGGTCTAATGACCTCACATTCTTACTCCTTTTTTTCCTATTGTGTTAATGTTCTTTGTTGGAAGAAAGAGCATTTTGTATATTTGAAATAATCAGAAACCATAAAATGCAGTGAATATGGATAAAAATATATGTGTATTCTCAGGGGCCCACAGCACAGGGCAGACCAAAATTACTAAGAGGAAAGCTGATGTCTTCATGGAAGGAGTTATTTCTTGTGCCAGTCAGTCCTAAGCCAAATACAGATTATCCTATTTGAATGCTTACTGATTTGAATAGTCAATGACACAAGGTGGCAATTTATGTCTTTACAAATAGTTTTAGGACAATTCTTCTTAGCTCCTTAACTGCTACATTTCTACTCCTCACTTCTTTGCTCATTCCGTTTTGTTTGAAATGCAAAAAAGAAACAGAGGCCCAACATTAGAGCTGCCCCTCCCTTGTGAAAATAAGAGGTCACTGTGTACAAATAGGAAGGCTGTTTTCTTTTTCTTTCATTTATTCATTTTTAAAATTTTTATGTATATATATTTTTACTTATTTATTTATTTTGTATTATAGTTTAAGTTCTAGGGTACATGTGCATAATGTGCAGGTTTTTTACATATGTATACATGCGCCATGTTGGTGTGCTGCACCCATTAACGGGTGATTTACATTAGGTATATCTCCTAATGGGATCCCTCCCCACTCCCCCCACCCCATGACAGGCCCAGGTGTGTGATGTTCCCCTTCCTGTGTCCAAGTGTTCTTATTGTTCAATTCCCACCTATGAGTGAGAAAATTCAGTGTTTGGTTTTTTTGTCCTTGTGATAGTTTGCTGAGAATGATGATTTCCTGCTTCATCCACGTCCCTACAAAGGACATGAATGCATCCTTTTTTATGGCTGCATAGTATTCCATGGTGTATATGTGCCACATTTTCTTAATCCAGTCTATCATTGATGGACATTTGGGTTGGTTCCAAGTCTTTGCTATTGTGAATAGTGCCGCAATAAACATGTGTGTACATGTGTCTTTATAGCAGCATGCTTTATAATCCTTTGGGTATATACCCAGTAATGGGATGGCAGGTTCAAATGGTATTTCTAGTTCTAGATCCTTGAGGAATCACCACACTGTCTTCCACTATGGTTGAACTAGTTTACAGTCCCACCAACAATGTAAAAGTGTTCCTATTTCTCCAAACTAATTCACAATAAAAGCTTTCAGCAAACTTTTATCCTTAACTTGATAAAAATCATCTATAAAAATCCTATAGCTAACATGATACTTAATGGTGAAAGATTAAATACTTTATTCCTAAGGTTGGGAATAAGGCAAGGATGCCCACTCTTATTCAACATGGTACTGGAAATGTTAGCTAGTGTACTAAGACAAGAAAAATAATAAAAGGTATATTTCAACAAAACCAAGAGAGTAACTTCCAAATGTCTCACTACAAAAAAATGATACATAAGTGAAGTGAAGGAGATGTTAATTAGCTGGGTTTAATCATTCAGCATTGTATACATATAGCAAAACATCACATTGTACCCTATAAATATATACAATTATAATTTGTCAATTAAAATAATAATCTACAAGGGGATTAAAAATATTAACAAAAACAAAGTAATAAAATATCTCCTATTTGCAGAAGACATGATTTTCTACTTAGGAAATCCAAAGTTTGGAATCTATAAAATCAAAACGACGACAACAACAACAACAAAACTCATGTTAATAAGTGTGTTTAGCAGGCTTACAAGTTCCAAGATTCAATTTTAACACAAAAATCAATTGCATTTCTATATACTAAAAATGAACTTGTAAATATCAAAATTAAAATGAAATATCATTTAGAATCATGCCGAAGAAAATGAAATACTACATATGCTTTTAAGAAAACATGTACAGGATCTCTATGCTGAAAAATATAAAACACTAATAAATCAAAGGAGACCAGAATAAATAGAGAATAATACTGTGCCATGGACTGGAAGAGTCAACATCATATAAATTCTCCCCCAAATTACAGGAGGGATCCTTGAAATCTTGGAAAAGCTCTGTGTATTGATGGAGGTGGTGGATACATGAAGCTATACAGGTAATAAAATAAGGAATTATATAAATACATCTTAACATGTACACACACACACAAGTAAAATGGGATAAATCAGTATAAGTTCAGTGGGTTGAATCAATGTCAGTATCCTGTTTGTGATGTTACACTGTAATTTTAGAAAACGTTACCATGGTGGAAAATGGGCAAAAGTGCAAGGTGTAAATGAATCTACAATTATTTTAATACATATTTCAATTAAAAACATAGAGTATTTGGTTTTTGTTTTCCTGACTGGACCCAGTCAATATACGTAGCCTTAGGATAAAGTCAACATTATAGAAAGTAGAGCATAAAGATGCAAAATAGTTCAGGTCCATTATGACCTTGCTGTGCCTTGGATCAAACCAACTCGAATGTTCGTTCTATGTCTGTACTTCCCAATCACATAAGCCAATACATTTTCTTATTGTTTAAGTCGTATGAATGATCAATAGATTTTCCTTTCCTATTACAGGGAAAGTTCTCATTCATGCCTCTGGGAGGCGAACTGAAGATAAATTTTACGAAATTCACTTGTGGGTGGCAGTGATAATGTAGCAGAAGTACACAGTACTTGGAAGTACTTAAGTTTGAAGCTCTTTAATAGCTGGGTGACCTTAAGCAAATTATTTATCTTCTCTGAAGAGGCTACTGAGTTCTAAAGCTTTTGTGGTAAGGCTCCATCCATGAAACAAATACTGAGTGTTTTGTCTGAGTTTTAGAACAGCAAGTTAAATAGACAAAGTCTCCACCTCATAGAGGTTTCATTCTAGCACATGAAGACATGCCTTAAATACATAACCAATTAAATAAACAATACATTGTATTGTATTATAAGAAATACAATACATTAAAAAACAATACTAAAAGAGAAAAAGCAAGTATTAGAGTGTTGTGGGGTAGGAGGATGGGGGCTGATACTTTATTGTGTGGTCAGGGAAGGTGTGAATTATAATATGGCATTTTAAAGTACTTTTATTTTAAGTTTAGGGGTACATGTGTTACACAGGTAAACGTGTGTCATGGGAGTTTGTTGTATATCATTCAGGACATAGGCACGGGCAAAGATTTCATGACGAAGATGCCAAAAGCAATTGCAAGAAAAGCAAAAAGTGGCAAATGAGATCTAATGAAACTAAAGAGCTTTTGCACAGCAAAATAAACTATCAACAAAGTAAACAGACAACCTACAGAGTGGGAGAAAATTTTTGCATACTATGCATCAGACAAAGGTCTAATATCCAGCACCTAGAAGGAACTTAAATACATTTACATGAAAAAAAAATCCATTAAAAAGTGGGCAAAGCACATGAACAGACACTTTTCTGAAAAGAAGACATACATGTGGCCAGTAATCATACAATACGCCATTTGAACAGAGATCTGAAGGAAGTGAGTGAATGAGCCATCTGGCTATCTGGACAAAGAGCACCCCCAAGCAAGAAGAGGAAACAGCTTGCCTCTTTGGGCATGTGTTTATAGAGCTGTTAAAAATGATCTGGTTAATCTCTTAGGGAATCTTTATTCTCTGGTTGTCCAAAATGTTATATTTACTAGATGTGTAGTAAGAAACTAAAATTTTTATTAAAATAGTCACTTTTCAGTTGCCTGAGTTGGTTTCCTATGAAAAAACCTGTATGTGACCTTTTGGCTCACATGGATGGAGAAAACATGTGTAATTCCCTATCAAGGGCAATCCCTATCAGATGTTAGTCTCTCTTCTTTTTCCATCTCAGTAGTGTGGCAGGCAGAATTAAAAAAGATAAGTGGGTGTTAGGGGACATGAGCTTGGAGATACCTCCAAGCCCGGTATTCTCATCTATCAAAAAGTCATACTTGTAAGGTTAATTTCATAAGGTTGTAGATGTGTGAATTAAGTGAGGAAATGGAGGAAAAGGCACTTTTATAAACTTTAATATCTTTAGTTTCAGGTCAGTGAGATCATTCCCATGACTTGGTGGCCCAAAACCTTTTCTTGTGGGTAGGGAAATAGGCATGAAAACCCTGGATCCTAACACGCTGAAAAAAATGCACATATAGGCAGTTTTGCATTCGATTTCAGAGTAAGCCTGAGAACCTCTGAAACCCATCTAATGAGGCTCAGGTAAAGACCCCTATTAAACTATTAGGTTGGCATTTTAAAAAATCAAATAAAACATGGGTTATTTTAAGAGTAAAATGGGAAAACGGACAGGAAAAGACCTTGTGTGTTGTAAGATGGTATATCGACTTGGGTTATTATTAAATGTTTATGAGGACGCATTTGTGTAGAGGCATGAGCGAATTAGTGCATTCATCTGATCCTGTGCTTGCTGTGATGGTGAAGGAGGATGATGTATTGCTTGTTTGTGAAAACATATGCAGGAGTCCATTTGTGGGCACTGATGGGCATAGTTCAAACATATGTGTAAGCATGTGCAGCTGTGGATGTGCCTCTGTGTCTGCGTGCCTCTGCTACAGTTTGTTGGAAGTGAAGCCCTCCCTTTTGGATCAATGCACCAAAAGATGAATCTTGTATAGAGCAGGAGCCGACATCCTGCAAGGTTTTCTGAAAAACTCTTTTGCAGGAAGATGCTAGCACAGTCTGAAAAACATTGACCATGTTCAGAATCATGTCTGCTGATTTTCTGCCACTTTTAAAGAGAAAAGGAAAACATAATCCTACCTTTGGTCTTCAGTTGTTTTCACTTATTTTGTTCCTTCTAGTGATGGAGATCCAAAAAGGAGAAAAAAGTTTTCATCAGGAAATAAATTCCTTCTGCTCCCTAGGTTTTCAGGAGGAGGGTACAGAGCATGGTGGCAAGAATTTGAATTTGGGAGTCAAAATATATGACTTCTAATTCCTTCTGTACCACTGGTGGCTGACACATCTTGGACAAGTTGTCGAAGCTTCCCAAGCTACAAATTGCTTATCATTAGGATGAGGATAATAGCTATTTCTACCACATTTTGGCATTGTTGAGAGTATTATAAGGGGTAACTCGTGCAATAATTTGCATAGAATAAACACATTTATTTTATAAAAGAGTTACATTTCATGTCTAGTCAACATATGTAAAATACTTGGGAGAATTAAATAGTGCTTTCTTTTCCGTAGTGGGCTTTCTAGATTAACTCTGAAAAGGAGCTGGGGAAGTTCTCATTATGTATTTATTTACAACAGATGTTTTCCCAGCACCTATTTTATGCCAGGCACTGTGTTAGGTGTTGAAGATACAGGGGAAAACAAATTCCTTTTATAGTAATAATCCCTACATAAATAAATTTACAGTCTACTGAGAGATATAGGCATTAAGCAAGCAGGCAAACAAATAAATGTATCATTAGAACTGTAGTAGAGTAAAAAAGGAATACCAACAGGAGCTGTGAGGGCCCATGATTAATGGGAATGATCTAATGTAGACTAAGTCATCAAGGAAGGCTTCTCCGAGGAAGTGACTTTCAACCTGAGATCAGAAAGGAATTGGTTGAATTGGTATGGAGCTAAAAAATTCTCTAAATTCTGCCTCTCAAGATCTGTTTTTTCCCCCTGTGATTCTGCGAAACAAACATGAAATTGAATTCCTATTCCACGCTTAAAAGTAAGAGAAAAGGGTGGAGGAATATATGTAAGGAGAATATTAAGAGATAAATCTTATTTTTATATTGTAGCCTCTTTCCTTCAAACTGTTCCTAATCCCCTGACTTTTGGCTCATAAATAGATAGAATTTTCCCTCACGTTACAGCCTTGCCTAAAGACAATGAGCGATTTCACAACAAATGATTTATGTACTGAAAACTGGAGAGATTTTACTCATAAAAATACTCCAGCCATTTGTCTTGATCACCCAATATATCAGAGCCTGGCTCAGATGCCTCTGAATTAACTGCAAATTAAATGATTCAAGCCAGTTGGTAAAGTATAATGGGGAGTGGGGTTTGTGGGGGGTACTGAAGGAGGATGATAACCATCATGATTGTATCCTCATCAACTTAGAAGGCACAAGGCTTCCACTGCTCATCGCAGGATTGAAAGCAAGAGAGGTGGATGTGAGAGCTGGGACCTTGGGGACTTGCTGGGTGGGTTAATGTCCAGCCATTAACTCTTTTATTGAGTACTTATCATGTGTTAAAACGGCGAGGATGCAATGGTGAGCACATCAGATACGAGTGCCGTTCTCTGAGAACTTTCAGTCTTATGGGAGGAGAAGATGATAAAACAAACAAGATGTCTACTAATAAATCTTGATGACAGTGTCATTTCAATTTAGCAAAAACTGAGCGTGGACCAGACCATGTTGCTGCCTTCCAGACACCACGAGTTCATTTCCTCTGCTAAGTAATTCTCGGTCTTCTCATATCCACGTATTCGATCATCCACTTGCTTATTCAACAAATATGTTTCCTGAGCTTCTGTTATACTTTTTATTCTGTGTAGGAGCCCCAGAAGATGAATCAGATGGGAACCCCACCTTTAGAAAAGCTCATAAGCTCATGGGGGCAAAAAGCCATTCTTGCAAATTATTATAGCACAAGGCAGAATTATGTAAATGTGTAAGAAGAGTTTTATTGGAGAAGTTGTTAAGTGTTCAGAGGGAACTGAGATCTTATTTAGTTGGGGTAATTGACTTCATGGAAGAAGCCAAGAAATCTACAAATATGTACTGAGTGCCTTGCTCTAATGTAGACTATCTGCAAGTTTTTGGGCTTACAGAGGTGATCAGACAGAGGCACTGCCTAATGGGAGTTTCCACTGTAGAAGACGGGACAGACATTTAGATAATTTCAGTACAATGAAGGCCATTTATCCATTTAACAAATATTTTCCGAAGTTCTACCATGTCTCAGCCTTTGTGCTATTTTATGTGGGTGTAAGGTGAGACCCCTTGTCCCTGTGGGACTTATACTCATGCTTACTGTCTGACAGATATATTTGATTATTTTACTAGGCATCACCAGTTTTAATTATTTTCAGATTGAGTAGCAATGGGGACACCCATGGGGAACTAACTTTCCTACTGGGGTCAATGCATTGAAAATCCAATGAGCAAAATTAAGCTGGGAGGGATTCAACGAGCAGCCTGCCCCCTAAAAATCCAAAAGGTGGACTAGAGTGGTCAAATCGGAAGATGGGAGAAACTTGAAGTCCAGGTAGTCTGCCAGCAGACAGAAGGTCTGTTGGAGGAGAGGGAAAGAAATTAGCATTTACTAGGCATGTACTACTAGGGAAGACATTATGCTAGTTGTTTTATATGCATTATTATTATTTTAGTCTTTACAACGGACAATTGCAAGAGAAAGTCAAGGCCCAGATATAGGTAGGACTTGGGATCCTGGTCATACCAGAAAAACACTGAGCTAAATTTCTAGGAACTCAGTCACACGGGGCTGGAGAAAAAGAACAGGGCTTTAGGAAAGAGAAAGGAGTGTGCTGATGAAAAATGTGCATTTATACACTCATAAAGGCTGGAAATGAGTGATATGATGGATGATCAGCGGAAGCTGCTGAGAGCCTTCCTGCCCTGCATCATGTTCATATTGACCCTAAAGCCCTCTGCAGGTGAGGGCCAGTGGTGCCTTCTACAAACAGAGGAGGGAGGCGAAGACTGGAAACCTATAGGGTTGGCATAGAGGAACACAGCCATACATTTGGCCCACCAGGCCACTGTTCTTGATTTCTACTCTGAATGTCCCCCATGTCCAGATGAGATCAGGTAACTCCGATGTATACTCTTGAAGCCCTGGTGGTTTTAATTCATGGCACTTGTATTAGAAATTGTTTAATTGCAAGTAGCTAAAACCCAATTTAAAACCAGCTTAAAGAATAAAGAAAATCTATTTATTTTTAAAGCTTTATTGGTATATAATTCACAACCATACAATTCACCCATTTAAAATATATATACAATTCAAGTAAATGGTTTTTAGTATATTCACAGATATGTGCAATCATCACCACAGTCAATTTTAGAAGATTTTCATCATTTCAGAAAGAAATCCCACACGTTTTAGCTATCAGTGCCTATCATCCCATCCCTCTCTCACCTAACCAACTGCTAATGAACTTTGTCTCTAGAGATTTTCCTGTTCTGGTTATCTCATATGAATGGAATCATACAATATGATTTTTAAAAAATGACTGGCTTCTTTTGCTTAGCATAATGCTTTTGAGGTTTATCCATGTTGTAGCATGAATACTTCATTTCTTTTTATAGCTGAATCATATTCTATTTTATGGATATATCACATTTTTCTTGCCCATTCAATCTGAGTTATTTCCATTTCTTGGCTATTATGAATAATGCTTCTGTAAAGATTAATTTACAAGTTTTGGTGTGACTGTGTTTTTATTTCTCTTCGATATGTGGCAAAGATGGAATTGGTAAGTCAAATGGTAACTCTATGTTTAATCATCTGAGGAACTACCAGACTATTTTCCAAAGTGGCTGCATCCTTTTTTATTCCCACCAACAGTGTATGTGGGTTGATTTCTTCACATGCTCACCAACAGTTGTTAGTATCTGACTTTTTGATTCTAGTCATCTTAGTAGGTGTGAAGTGGTATCTTATAATAGTTTTGATTTGCATTTCCCTGATGAATAATGATGTTGAGCATTTTTTCATGTGCTTATTTGCCATTTGCATATCTTCCCTGGAGAAATGTCTATTCAGATCATTTGCCGGATTTTAAAATTGGGTTGTCTATTTGTCTTTTTGTTATCGATTTTTGTGTGTGTGTGTAGATATTCCCAGGTATGGCAGGTTTTATGTAAAGCTAGATCCAATGGTTCAACCATATTGCCAAAACTTCATTTTCTTTATACATCTTATTCTTCCATCCACAGAGATTGACTTCCTTCTGTTTGGCTCTCTTGCTGGTTGAAAAATGGGCTGCTATCCACTTCTGGGTCAAATACTTTCGCTGCCACATCCACTGGCAGAGAAAGGGAGTTTCCCTTCCTACTATAAAAGTTCTAGGCTTCCCTTTGATAAAAATGATTTAGGTCACATAATCACAGTGGTGATGAGACAGAATTTACACAGATTATACTGAGCTGTTTAGACCACATTTAAAGAGCCGAGATTGGGCTCGGTTCCTGTCCCCAGCCCAAATGTGCATGGCTACTACACAATGGAAAGGCAGCAACATAATCTATTCTAGCACTTTTGTAACTATTGGTTTATATGACTATCTGATTAAAATCTATGCTTCCCATTAGAGTATGAAGGCAGGGAACCAAATTACTTTGGCTTACTTGCATTTAGAACACCATCCTCATTCTCATGATACTAATGAACAGCCATGGACCAGATACTGTGTATGTTGTCTACATGGATTTGTGTCATAAGTTTGGGATTATTATTACTATTCTCATTTTATACATGAAGAAATTCAGGCTCAGATAGGTTAAAAGACTTGTCTAACATTTCACAGTAAGTGAAAAGTGGTGGAGCTGGAATTTGAACCCAGGTTGTCTGAGTCCTAGTTACTCTTGACCATCTTTATCACGAATAATGAATAATTTTCATCTTAACAGCTCCTTGCACAATGTGTGGTACAAAATAGGCATAGGTACTCAATAAATATCTATCAAATTGCAGTGAAATCTAATTCTAATATTCTTCAATAAAGGCATAAATTTATCTTTTGTGGCAGGAAAGTAGTAGAGGTCAGAGACCAAATTGAAGAGTCAGATGCCTGGAAGAGTTTCTCAGCAGCTCCTTCCATCACACAGATGCTGCTGCCCCTAGCTTGGAGACAGAGGTCTGGGTCAGAATATCTGAGGGCCCACATGTCAGTCAGACACATCCTTCGACCTTCACTGAGCTGTCCTCTCAGGAGGTCATACCAACTTCTCGATGTGCATGAGTGAGTGTAGAAATCCAGAAATCAACTTTGAAACCAGGCCTTAAATGCCTTCTGTGATAAATAATTGAAAAGTCCTGTAGATTCTTTTTTTTTCCATCCTTCGAATCAAAAGAAAAATAATGTGAGATCAAAACCTCCAGAAGAATATGAAGAAAAATATTCAGAAAAGATATGGGTGCCTTGGAATAAAAACATTTTCTTTTCCCATGCATCAAAAGAAGCTCCCAGCTTATCAGACATTTTCACGTGGGTTGTAGCACGTTGGGATGAAAATAAAAGCATAGCAGTGAATTCTAGGTCATTAGACTGGAAAGTCAGCTGAAAGAAGCAGAATCTTGTCTTTCCTTTGAGACAGACACATTTGCAAAAGATGTTTTCAATTTATGACTATTTCTCAATTTTTCCTCCACATTTGGGATTGAGAGAATATCTTGTATGGTCTGAAAAATAAAATCTTTATGTGAATGGTAGTTTATACTTTTCTATATTTTTTAGATGCTTTCACTTGCATCATCTCATATGATCCTCATGACAAGGATTGTATATTCATTTTGATGCAGGAAGGTTAGTATTATTGTCCAATTTTACAGAAGATAAAATTGAGGCCCATGGTGGTGCACTGATGTCTTGAATGTCATACAGCTGGTGAGGGCAAACGCTGAAATTCTATTAAAATCTTTGTCCCTCTATGGTTTGAAGAATAAAAATATTAAGGCTTTCTGGGAAATGCAGACATGGGCTCAAATTGTCTATCATGTTTCTAGTTGGGTGGCTTTAATCAAGTTATTTTAACTTCATCTTCTTCATTTGTAAAGTTAGGTTAATACCTACATTGCAAAGCTGTGGTGAGGATTAAGTGAGACAATGCATGTAAAGTGCCAAATTGGGGGATTTGAGATGGCCGGATAACCAGCAATTCTCTTTTCTGAGTTTGAACTGAATGAGAAATAGAATTGCTAAAGTAGGCAGATGGGTGAAATGAAAATTATATTGGTGGAAACCAGAGTCCTTAATATTGAACTCTGAAAGCAGGAAGACTTATCATTCAGCCACATGCAACATCTGGTGATCCAAGGAAGGATGGCACTGTTCAACTCAGTGTTTGATTTAGCATCAAGGAAGTTTAAAATTCTGGGGGATATGATTATCAAATATTATTTTATTTAAAAGGGTCATAATGTGGCTAAAGAAATGGAGATCCAGAAATTGTATCTCACTTACCCAGAGTTATACAGTAGTCAGGTAGGGACAAAGCTGGAAATAAAATCTAGTCTTTTGACTCCCAAGATGAATCTCCTCCCAGTACACCATGCTGTCTCATTTCCCAGAAACTAGAATGATATTGCAAGAAGGGTCTTTGACACACTGATTTCAATTCTTTTGGATATATACCCAAAAGAGAGATATAGTCAACAGATCTATGAAAAAATGCTCAAACTCTCTAATCATCGGGGAAATGCAAGCTAAAACCACAATGAGATATCACTTCATGTATGTTAGAATGACTATTATAAAAAAGATGAATAATAACAAGTGTTGGTGAGGATGTGGAAGAAAGGGAACCCTTGTACATGGTTGGTGAGGATGTAAATTAGTGTAAAAATTGGTATGTCAAAGAGACATCTATACTCCCATGTTCATTGCAGCACTATTCCCAATGGTCAAGATATGGAATCAACCTAAGTGTCCATCAAGAGATGAATAGATAAAGGTGGTACAAATATATAATGGAATATTATATAGCCTTTAAAAGGGAAATTTTGTCATTTGTGACAACATGGATGGAACTGGATGACATTATGCTAAGTGAATAAGACAGGCACAGAAAGACAAATACTGTACAATTTCATTTATATATGGAATCCTAACAAGTTGATCTCACAAAAGCAGAGAGTGAAAAGGTGGTTACTAGAGGCTGAGGTAGTGGAGAGAGGGAGAAGAATGGGGAAAGGGAAGATGTTGATCAAAGGGTATGAAGTTTCAGTTACACTGGAGGAATACGTTTTAATAATCTATTGCACTGTATGATTACCACAGTTAATAATTATGCATTGTATATTTCATAATTAGTAAGATAGATTTTTAATGTTCTTACCACAGAACAACGATAAATTTGTGAGGTGATGGATAAGTTAATTAGCTTGACTGAATCTTTCTATAATGCATGCATATGTCAAAACATCACATTGTACCTTATAAATATACACAATTATTATTTGTCAATTAAGAAAAAGAAGAGTTTCTGGAGCAATCCCATTACTGGGTATATACCCAAAGGATTATAAATCATTCTACTATAAAGACACATGCACACGTATGTTTATTGTAGCATTGTTCACAATAGCAAAGACTTGAAAACAACCCAAATGCCCATCAATGATAAACTAGATAAAGAAAATGTGGCACATATACACCATAGAATACCATGCAGCCATAAAAAAGGATGAGTTTATGTCCTTTGCAGGGACATGGATGAAGCTGGAAACCATCATTCTCAGCAAACTAACACAAGAACAGAAAACCAAACACCGCATGTTCTCTCTCATAAGTGGGAGTTGAACAATGAGAACACATGGACCCAGGGAGGGGAACATCACACTCTGGGCCTGTCAGTGGGTGGGGGGCTAGGGGAGGGATAGCATTAGGAGAAATACCTAATGTAGATGATGGGTTGATGGGTGCAGCAAACCACCATGGCATGTGTATACCTATTTAACAAACCTGCATGTTCTGCACGTGTATCCCAGAACTTGAAGTATAATGAAAAAAAAAAAAAAGAAAAAGAAAAAGCAGGGTCTCTGAATATTTCTTTGGCCAAACATGACACATAGGTCTTGGTCACAAAGCCAATTAATAAATTAACTCATGCATGCATTCTTTTATTTATAAACATTCATTGAGCCTACTATGTGCAAGACATTACATGTGGGATACCACAACAAATAAAGCTTATGTTTTTCTTATGTTACTTGCTTCCTTTTCTCATGTTACTTGCTTTCTGATGGGGGCTTATGGAAAATAACAAGCAGGCAAACAAACAAAGAAACAAACAAACAGATATTTGCTATTTGAGACGGTAATGAATGCCATGTAGAAAAATAAAGCAGGGCAAAGGGATAGAGATAGAAGCAGGGTGCCATTTACATGTTATATTCAAGAAAGGTCATCCTGTGGAGGTGATATTTGAGCAGAGAGCTGAAAAATGTAAGAGGGTGATCCATGAAAATATCTGGGAGAAGAACATTCTGGGTGGAGGTAAAAAATCTTTTAGGCAAGTGCAAAGACCCTGAGGCAAGAAGATGCTTGGCATGTCTGGCAAGGAGGTCAATGGGTTAGAGTAGAGAGAGTGAGGGAGAAAGACAGTAAGGATTGGGGGTCAGACTGTCAAGCAGAGCCCAGGTCATATTGATCCTTTTGGGAAATTATAAAGACACGACTTTAACACAAAATGAGATGAGAAAGCATTTGAATTGTATTTTAAAACAGTCCCTCTGACTGCTATGTAGGAAGTGAAGGATAAAAACAGAAATTGGAGACTAGTTAGAGTGCCACTGCAATGATTTAGGCAGGCTGAGAAGCTGGAACAAAACTGTAGTAGTAGAGATAGAATGAAAGTGTCAGTCTCTGGATTCTGCCTGTGCATCGGACAGAATGTGTAGGTGCATCACTGCTTACTGGGTTAGAGAAGATGGTGAAGGAATATGCTCGGGAGAGGGACATCAGGAATTTGGTTTGGGACATGATAAGTTTGAGATACTTATCAGATATTCACGAGTTTTTGAACAGTAGAAATTTGGCTACCTGAAACTGGGGTGGGGAACACAAACATGGGATTCATTGGTCTATAGATAGTATTTACAGACATGATGCTGGATGAGATGACCTGGAGAGTGAGTGTAGCTGGAGAACTAAAGAAAACTGAGAACAGAACACTGGGATACTCGAAGGCTAAGAAGCCAAGAAAAGGCAAAGATTTGGCAAAAGAAAATGAAGAGGCAAAAGGAGAAACAATGGAGGGTGGTGTTTTTCATTCCAACCAAGAGAAGCATTTCAAGAGAGAGGGAGTTTAAGTAAGTTAAGTACTGAGGATTGACTATTTGGTTTAACAACATGAAGATCATTGTTGACCTTCACAAGAACAGTTTTGCTGAAATAATGAAGATTAAAAAGCATGATTCTAGTCTGGCTTAAGAGAGAAGGGGAGAAGATGACATGGAGACAGTGAATATGGTTAATGGCTAATTCTCTCAAGGAAATTTGCTGTAAACGGAAACTGTAAATGAATCAATAGTAGGAGCAGGGTGTGGGGTAGGAGGGGTAATTTTAAGAGAGAACATATTACAGCATGTTCGTTTGCTAATTAGAATGATCCAGCAGAGAGGGAAAATTTGGGAGTGCAGAAGAAAATGTGGAAACCTTTGTTGAGGTGATACCCTTGAGAATATTAGAGGGTGTAGGAACTTGTGCCTTGAGTGGGAACAGGAAGAGTATAATGGTATTAATGGTAGCAAGGATGAAGGTGGAATGTATGGTCAGGTACAGAAGACTTAGTAGATATGATGTTGATAAAACAAGTGGAAAGTTCTCTATGGGTATTTTCTCATTGAACTAGAAGACAGCCTGAAACTCACAGTGGAAAAGAAGGTGTTAGAGGTTTGAGGAGAGAGGAAAAGGTTATGAAATAATTACCGAGGACAGTGGAAGAGTGATTGAGCTAATGAACTGTCCTGGGAATTCCAAGCAGTCCATGAGCTTAGTGGCCAGGAAGTTACAGTAAGAACAAACCATTAAGGTTGCCTCTTCTTCTTCTACTCAATTAAATAGTGTAGGTGCAAGTAGGGGATGAGGACAAGTTGGGTTTAACTAGGGCTCTAATCTTGCCAAGCAAGTGTGATGGCATGTAAAAAGCAAGGGAGTTGAGGTATACATAAAGTACGGTTGTAACTATGGATCGTATAAGTGTAGATACAACAAAAAGTGAGAGTGTGAAAGAGTGAAAAAAAGTGAAAATCTGTAGGATCAATGAATTGTAAGTCACGGTGGGGCCAAATAATTTTAGGAGTCTGGGAGCTATATATTATGAACTAGAAAGGTAAATGGCAGTAATAGGAGGGTGGATTCCTGTAATTGAGATCATGGAGGTGTTGGAGTTGTTTTCGGTGGTTAGGTTAATATATGGCTGTGGGAATGAATCATGCAGGTGAGGCAGAGGACATTATCACTGAAGGAATTAAGGCCAAGGAACTTAGAGCTCAGCGTATGAAAAGATGACGTCAGTGGATAGCCCAATCAGGAACGATTATCCTAATGTGGTCAATTAGCACATGGTGATATTAAGATTGTTGTTAAACATCATTAGTTACCAGGAAAATGCAAATTAAAACCACAATGTGATACCAATAGGATGGCTGTAATGAAAAAGACATACGATAGCCAGTGTTGGAGAGGATGTGGAGAAATGCAACCCTCATTCATTGCTGGTGGGAATGTAAAATGATGCAGCCACTTAGGAAACCAGTTTGGCAGGTACTCAAATTGTTAAATATAGAGTTACTATTCTACTTCTAACATATATTCAAGAGAAATGAAAACATATGTCCACACAAAAACTTGTACAAAAATATGAATAGTAGAATTATTGATAATAGTGAAAAAGTGGACACAAGCTAAATGCCCATTAACTGATGAATGTATAAATATAGTGTGGTATATCCATACAGTGAAATATTATTCAGCAATAAAAATAAATGAGTTATGAATACAGGCTAGAACATGCATGAACTTTGAAAACGTTATGTTAAGTACAAGAAGGTAAGGACAAAAAGTCACATGTTGTCTGATTCCATATATATATAATGTCCAGAATAGGACAAATCTGTAGACACAGAAAGTAGATTAGTGGTTGCCTAGCACTGGGGACTGCTAATGGATACAGGGTTTCTTTTTGGGGTGATGAAAATGTG
This sequence comes from Homo sapiens, assembly GCF_000001405.40. Classification (NCBI taxonomy): domain Eukaryota; kingdom Metazoa; phylum Chordata; class Mammalia; order Primates; family Hominidae; genus Homo; species Homo sapiens. Next base: position 119,916,671 of record NC_000009.12, on the reverse strand, counting down.
CTAAAATTAAATTGTGATGGTTGTACATTTGTACAGCTCTATGAATATACTAAAAAACCTGTAAATCGTACATTCTAGTTGGGTAATTTTATGGTCCGTGAATACCATCTCAATAAAGGTGTGATTTTTTTTTTAAACAGAGCTATACTGGAAATACTGTTGAAAAGAGTGAAAGCAATCCAGGAGTTCAGAACTTCAAGGAATAAGGGGTGGTGACCAGGGGGTTTGCAGATGACAGGAACAAGGAGAGGGCATAGTCTAATGGTATAAGCTTCACTTCTAGCGTGTGTGTTTGTAGGAGAAAAGAAGAATGATCTAGAAAAGGTGATGAGAAAAAAGGAGACCTTTTCTCTTTATAATAAACCCATGAAGTAGGTACTGTTATACCCATTACATCTGCCAGGAGCTTCAAAGCAGTTTAAAAATCCTTGCTGGTTTATCTTTTTTTTTTTTTTTTTTTCAGTAGTGGAGGAGTGAAGACTCAAATCTAAGCAATTTTACTCCAGTGTCCACCACAAATATAACTCTGCATCATAATCGAGGCCATCAGTATCTCTCTCAATTCAGTTCGATTCTGCAAGTTCAATCCTTAGCTTCTTCAAGCACAGGGAAAGAGAGGGCTTTTGGAGAAGAAATTACCTCAGGAATCAGCTAGATTTCAGGTAGAGCAATGTCATGGAAGGAACCTTGAGGGTAATGGTTGAAGACACAGGGATCTTGCTGATGAAAGTGCTGATTTGCAGAGGGCACTGTGGAAAGACTGGGGAGTTGGGAAGAGGAGTAGAATTTGGTGATATCCAGAGCAATGTAGGGATGAGAGTCTGGTTATGAGAGATGACTTCAAAGTTTTGGGCTTTTTAGTGATTGATAGAAACAGAGATGTAGCACGTGACAGGATTCCTCCTGAAGGTCTTCAAGGCAGACTTGATGATGAGGCTGTGAGTGTTGCAGGAAAGAGGTCTTGCCCCTTCTTCCCTTTTGCTGAGCATACTGTCAAGGCAGAGGAAACTGTTCTTACCAGGAAGTGAAGTTATAATATTTCCTTTTTTTTTTTTTTTTTTTTTTAGCGGTATATACGTACTTTGATGGAAGGAAGTGACAGAGGTAGGGTTGCTTGGTGCATCACTCTAGGGGCATCATTTACTTTGTATTCTTTGTAAATGCCCCCAGGAGTTGTGTATCACAGTGGTCCTCCATGGAGAAAGCATTCCACTCCTTGTGCGACCTTGGGAAAGTCACTCACTGTAAAATGGATGGGGTTGGGTGGTTTCTAAGGGGTTTGGGATTCTCTCTGCTTAGCTCTGCTATGCATTTCTCTCTTGCTGAGTATACACATGGCTTTTTCTGTTAGTGTCTTTACTTCTTACTTTGGGAGCCCCTACAGCAGTAAGATGGAAATACCGAGGAGATGTGAATGCTGTCTAGTTCCCTTGAGTCCAGTTGAACATATGGCCTTCCTCTCACAGAAGCTGCTTCCATCCTTGGATCCATTTCATGCCCATGGATGGGATTTCTGTAGAATCTGGGGTCAACTGCAGGCCTTAGCAACACTGATTACTGATATCCAAAGCAACAGCAGAGATAGAAGCAATTGCTTAGAAACTGGAGACAACCTCCAACCGTACTCACACCCTCTGATGCTACAGGATACTTTTGGCAGATGTGTTGATGATGGGGATGGAACTATTAGATTAGATTGCATGACCATTCCACAGCTCTCAAAGGCAGTCATCTGAACAAGAGGAAAAGGAGGAAGAGAAGGAGGAGGAGAAGGAGGAGGATGAGGAGAAGGAGGAGAACAGCCTCAACAGTCCTGATGGACACTAATTGATTGTGTGTGTCATTCTGTGCACTTTTGCATGTTTTTTGTCTTTATAATAAATCCATGAGGTAGGCACTGAGTTCAAATCCTAGTTTTTCCTGTGTGGCTTTAGGTAGGTTATTTACCATTTTTGACCTCTGGTTTTTACTTACAAAATAAGATTGCTTTGGAACCTACCTTATTAAGTTATTGAAAGAGTATAAGGAAATAATATGTGCACTTATTAACACTGAGCCTTACCTATAGTAAGTACTCAGTAAATGTTTGCTGCCATTATGTTATATAACCAGCCAGACGTGTCCCACCACTGTAAATGCAGGCAAAGTAGTAGTTTGTGCCTTAAGTACTTTTCAGAAAAAGGCAAGGGAGGAAAAAAAGAAAATAGGAAAGAGTCGGATGGATGGAAGAATAAAAGGAAGAAGAGGGCATGGATAGTCTCCTTGAATATGTTAAAGAGACTAAAAGTTTTGGAATCAAACAGGCCTGGGTTTCAATCATGAAGCAAGCCATTTAATCTCTTAGAGCCTCATTCTCCTCATGGATAAAATGGAAATAAAAATCCCTTCTCCTAGAATTTGAACAAATCATACGTCTGATCTCTTTTTCACTCCTGACATAGGAAAATATTGAACAGGGTTGGAAAAAAGGAAGTAACAATTATTAAGGGTTTACTGTGTACCTGTTGTGAAGTTTGATAGAGATAATGCATGTAAAATACCTGGCACATTGTAGGTGCTTAGGACAAGGTATTGGTGTGTTGGGATTTCAGCAAGAGACCCAGAAATTCCTAGAACAACTATGCTTTTCATCTTCCTTTCCTCCATAGTTTCCAACTAAGGGGGCTATATACACGGCGCAATAAGACTAGAGCTCAAGGTATCACTCTATTAATAACTTTATTAATAAGAATCTGCTCTCCGAAGAACAGGCTTTCTCATAAAAGTTAGATTTGAGCACATGGCTGGAGGCCTAACTAAAGCTCCTGATTGCTCTACTCAACCTGAATCTGACCTACCATTGGTGCCAGTGTGCTGAGGGGAGAGAGGGAGGGCCAGGTACCTTGCCTCAGCTTATAAATTTCTCTGGATGGTGTAGAAGCTGGGGCTACCAGAGAATAGCTGGCTTACCCCAAAGGACAGCTTACCTAGGTGTGAGGTAGGAGGTGCAAATGATGAGGAGGACAAGGGGTCTGACTTGGAGGCTTGATAACCTCCCTCCATAGTAAAATGTGGCCCAAGTAGTGCTTTGAACTCTGACTTACCTGATAACTATTCTTCCTACCTGTGGGGGCTGCCAGAAAGGGATCTGATGTGGAAAGGGAGGTGTACCCTGTCTCCACACTCCATATATTCCTAGGGGAATTCTTTAGGCTTGTTTTTGGATATTATTTTCTCTTTCAAGGTGGTCCTTGTGTGTGGATTTCATCTTCCCTCTCATCCAACTCCACGTTGAGCCTCTACACTGGGCTCTGGTTATCTCTCCCTGAATCCGATGCCACAGTTTCTGACCTCCAGCTTCTCTGACTTTCTCCAGTTCACTCTTCTCGTAGCTACCTGTGGCTTTCCTAAAATACACTCCCCAGATCAAAAACTTCACTGGCTGCAGACTAAAGGTCACATCTCTTAGCATGATGCTCTAGACCAGGGGACCCTAACCCTTGGATACTGCTCCATGGCCTGTTAGGAACTGAGCTGCACAGCAGGAGGTGAGCAGTGGGCAAGCCAGCAAGGCTTCATCTGTATTTGCAGCAACTCCCCATTGCTCACATTACTGCCTGAGCTCCGCCTCCTCTCAGATCAGCTGCAGCTTTAGATTCTCATAGGAGCACAAACCCTACTGTGAACTGCATACACGAGGGATCTAGGTTGCATGGTTCTTATGAGAATCTAATGCCCAATGATCTGTCACTGTCTGCCATAACCCCCAGATGGGACTGTCTAGTTGCAGGAAAAGAAGCTCAAGGCTGCCACTGCTTTTACGTTATGGTAAGTTGTATAATTATTTTATTATATATTACAGTGTAATAATAATAGAAGTAAAGTGCACAATAAATGTGCTTGAATCATCCTGAAACCATTCCCTCACCCTGCACCGGTCCGTGGAAAAATTGTCTTCCACAAAACTGGTCCCTGGTGGCAAAAAGTTTGGGGACCGCTGCTCTAGACCACCACACACTGACTTCACCTATCCTTTCTGTTCACAGAACTTTCAATTCAATCAATTCCCCTCCTGCACAGTGCCCTTATGTAACTGAGTGTATGTTTCTGTCAGTTGACTTTCAACCCCTTAAGGCAGGAACTATAGTTCATCAATCTTTATAGCTGATATGCAATGTTTGGTACATAGTAGATACTCAAAATATTGGAGTGGGCTTTTGGAAGTAGACTTCCAGTTTAGATCTGCTGTCCACCATTTACTACGAGGTTTTGGAAAAAGCATTCAAAATTTCTGCACTTCAGTACCCCCATCTTAAAAATGAAGGTGAGAATAATATGTACCTCATAGGACTAATTTGAATATTAAACTGGTTAGTATTTTTAAATTCCTTTTGCTAGTGCTTGGTATACATAAGTATGCAGTAAAGGTTAGCTGTTATTGCTATCACCATTACTCATGACCATCGCAGAGTGGAAGGCTTACAGGAATTAGCATGAATTATAACCATCATGATCCATCACTTTTATTTGAGCCTTTACTACTTTCATCACATTTTACGTTAACAATTTAAAATGATCCTCACAACCAATTCTGTGAAATCCCTTTCTTCAGATAAGGAAACTGAAACACAAAGGAGTTTAGTGGCCTCTCCATGTGACGGTGAAAAGACGCAAAAATAGATTTTTGGCTGTCTGGTTTACTATTCATTTCATTACACTGTGAGTTCCAAAATAAATTAAGTCTAAGCCCTACACTAAATTGATTTAATTTACTCACCTTTTTAAATTTTAAAAATGAGACAGTGAATGTTTTGATTGCTAGGACCATGTTATATTTTATCTGTATTCTCTGAATTTCATGCAATACCTAGGAAAAGGCCTATACTCAAATATTTTTGAAAGGAAAAAATTAAAAAGAAAGAAAGAAAGAAATGAAAATATTTTAGGGTATGCAAAAATCCCCCCCATTTTTCACACACCTATAATATAAGTTATGTTAACTATTCTTTATCAGAAGTGAGTGTCCTTTTCTTTTTAGTTTAGTGGACAAATAAGTACTAGCAATCATCTCTTACCCAATTCCTCTTTAGAAAATGCAGAATGCGGAGTAAGTAGAGTAATATTCCCCTGTAAGAATCCTCCTACAATTTCTCTGACATCATGAAAACATTCATAGTACCGCTCAATCTGAGAGAAACATTAATTATATTCAGAACTCTTGAATTTATGTCTTAGGAGTTGCTTGAGATGAAATTAGAAAACTCCTTTAAATTAATGAAAATCCTAAACTCATAGAAGAGACTCATTCAGCTGCCTTGTTCTATCTTGCAAAATCATCTTAGCCAAAATCTTGGAAATCATAACATCCAAAAGAGGCTTCATTAGAATAAATGCTCCACAAGAGCAGACCTTGCCTATTTGTGCTCTGATGTGCTCCCAAGTGCCTAGAATAGTGCCTGGCATGTAGTCAGAGCACAGTGATTATTTGGTGAATGAATTAAATGGATCCAATAAGAACCTTTGAATGAGAGTGCCTGTGATTTATTTATTCAGTTCAAGTCAGAGGCACTTGCATTTGCATGTTTATAAGTCTCCTTTAAAAATAAGTTGATCCCAATTCTCCTAATGATTCTGTGAAATCAGGCAGACCTTGCTGGATATTTATGATTGAACTTACTAATTAGTAAATGGATAAGCTTCCAAACACAAACCACAATACCTGACTTTTGTATACAGCAGCAAATCCAAATATATTCAAATTGTTCATATCAATGCTGTATGCAGTTTACCAGAAGATTTGATTGCCTTCTTTTGAGCAATGCCTGATGTAGCCGTACCTTAAGCTGCTTTCATGAATAGCACCAGCTCATTCTCTTCGGGACCCAGGACAAGGATGCACATTGTCTTTAATTCTAATTGAGGGCTTCAATCCTGGGACATTTCAAATATTGTAGGTGACACATGCTGTCTCTTCCAAGGCCACATTTCGAAGGGTTTTCTAACAAGGAAGCAGCCAGATTTGAATATGGTGACATTAGACCTTGTCAGACAAAAACATCAATATTGGTGCATAATTAATGATTGGAGCTTCTCTGACATGGACAGAGCAGGCCCAGAGTGCTTTCAAAAATCAATTTGCTACCTGAATTACAAACATCGTAGATGCAACCTGACAGGCTGATGCTATTAGAACATGGGGGCATCTATCGAAACAGTTGAGCAAATGAAAGATCTGATCTCTCTTTCACTCCTGATATAGGAAGAGATTGAACAGGGTTGAGATAAAAGAAGTAACATTTATTAAGGATTTATTATGTGCTATACAAAGTACTCAGAACTATATGGACATCATCTTGTTTCAATTCTCAGAATACTTGAAGAAATAAGAGTTATAATCCTAATATTAAAGAGAGGAGAATAAAGGCTCAAATAGATTAAAAAACATAACCGAGCCTGGTGTGGCGGCTCATGCCTGTAATCCCAGCACTTTGGGAGGCCGATGCAGGCAGATCATTTGAGGTCAGAAGTTTGAGACCAGCCTAGCCAACATGGTGAGACCGTGTCTCTATTAAAAATACGAAAATTAACTGGGTGTGGTGGCACGCACCTGTAATCCCAGCTACTCAGGAGGCTAAGGCAAAAGAATTGCTTGAACCTGGGAGACGGAGGCTGCAGTGAGCCAAGATTGCACCACTGCACTTCAGCCTGGGCGACAGTGTGAGACTCTGTCTCAAAAAAAAAAGAAAAAAAAAAGAAGACAACAAAGTTTACATGCTAGTAAGTAACACAAGAAGTGGCATTTGGATGCAAATATGGCCATAAATTCCATTTTTTTCTTTTACATTTTTTCCCCAGGACCATAGCATATTTCCATCTTCTCTGTCCTTTTAGAGTCATTTTTTCAAAGCTTTGTTCCAGGGAATGGTGAGTGCTTCTGCAGAAGTGCATTGTGACTAAAAAGTAAATAAGTTAACTTAAAGGAAAAATTCACCTTACAAATTATAATTTTAAAAAAGTACACATTCCATTATATGACCAATTTACATATCACAATGACTACCAAAGAGCAAACTTATTTTGTGTGTGTATGTGTGTGTAGACTTTGGAATACGCATGTAGACTTTGGAATAAATGAAATTAAACTTTCATAGTCTGTATGTCCATCCATCCATCCATCCATCTATCCATCCATCCATCCATCCATCCATCCATCCATCCATCCATCCATCCATCCATTTCTGCTGTCTGTCTCTCTATCTATCTATCTATCTATCTATCTATCTATCTATCTATCCATCCATCATCTATCTATCTATTATCTATCTATCTATCTTTCTATCTCTGTCATCTACCTATCTATCTTAGAAATGTAAGTGTGTCATTATTTAGAAGCCTGTAACCCTGGAGTGGGATTTTATTGTAACCCAAAGAAGTTATTTTTCACTCATGCAAAACTCTGTAATTGAGTACTACTACTTACCTGTGAGAAATATTTTTCTCAATATGTGTGACTCAAAATACTAAAGCATATTAGCTTCTCAAGCTATTTTAAGACCATAAGTCTTATCCAAAATCCTTGCATTATTGTTTTATTGAATAAAACATCGTTTTAGTGAGAGGTGTTTAAATAAGTGTTGTAAAAAGGAACTTAGTAAATAAATGCATATTATGAAGATGTGCTTTCATCTGTTTTCCATATTAAAACATTACATTTTCTATGTAAAATTGCATTTTTATAAAAAGAGTTCTATTAAAGCAAGTTGAAAATCATTGAGCTAAAGAAATTGGGACATCCACAAGTTCGATTCCTTTGATCTAAAAGATTTCAGGTGGCTCATGCCTGTAATTCCAGCACTTTGGGAGGCTGAGGCGGGTGGATCACCTGAGGTCAGAAGTTCCACACCATCCTGGCCAACATGGTGAAAGCCCATCTCTACTAAAAATACAAAAAATTAGCCGGGCATGGTGGCACGCACCTGTAGTCCCAGCTACTGAGGAGGCGCAGACAGGAGAATTGCTTGAACCCAGGAGGTGGAGGTTGCAGTGAGCTGAAATTGCACCACTGTACTCCAGTCTGGGCAGCAAGAGTGAAACTGAGTCTCAAAAAAAAAAAAAGAAGAAAAAGAAAAACAAAAGATTTCAGTTAACTCAGTGTCTAAAAATAAATATAATTGTTAACCATAATACCATAAATGCCCAAAGTGGATTTTTATACATAAAATCTTACCTATAGTTCAAGACCTAACTAAAAAAACACAGCTCCTTGTTGACTTTTTTTTCCAGACCACAGTTTTTCCACAATATGGAAATAGTACCAAGAGTGGGGTTGCAAAAGAGACCCAGAGATAAAATGTGAAACTAACAGGCACTTTTTAATAAGGGGATCAACAACGTTTTCTCTTTGGATATGCACAAATTTAGTTCTGCCTCTTGCTTAACCCATTCCTCAAGTCACATGCACTTTTTTTTTCTCCTTGCTTCTACTTCCATTGCTGACTCTACCATTTCTCTCTTCATTGCGGTCTTCAAATTTAATATAGTTTTTGTCTCCCTTACTGCAGTCTTGCCTCCTGTCAACCACCATCCGAGTTCTGCATCCACTTACAATTCTTTAGGCTGTTCTAATTAAGCAAGTTTGGTGCACTAATTACACTAATGACACCAATTAGTGGCCTATTTGAATCTGCATTCTTTATCTTTATAACTTCATAGTTTCCACTGTCTTTGACTCTGGGATGATTTTGTGATTTGATTTAGCCAATATAATGCAGTAGAAGTGACAGTGTGCTGATTCTGATCTTAGTCCTCAGGAATCCTTGCCTACTCCCACTTAATCTTTTTCATAATTGGTTTTCTTGTGCTTATACTATGGCCTTGACCCCCCCAAGCACCTGACTGAGGAATGTGAGAGACATATGGAGGCTGGCACATATGGAGAGTAGAGGCACCTTGGCTGACAGCCAAGCCAAGACCAAAGGAATTGTCCACCTGATTCTAGCCTAAACTGACAACCCAGAATTGTGTGATAAATAAATAATTGTTGCTTTGAATTACTAAGTTATGGGGTGGTTTGTTATGTGCAAGAACTAACTGACAGAGTAATCCTCTTAGACTCAACTTAGCCCCATTTCTCCCATTGGCTTCAACTGGGTTCTGCTGCATGCCTGGATATGCAGCCCTTAATCTGTTCTTCCTTCACAGAATTTAGCCCTTTTTGATAATTTTACCCAAATTATCTTGGCTTATATAATCTCATCTTGTCTACTGGATGGCAAACATCTTGAGAATGAGATTTGTGCATAAATCATACTCCATCTTGCCCTCTAAGATCCAATCACATTGCCCTTTTGACAGTTCCTGGAATGTGTTGTTATAGTTTGCCTTGGGGTTTTGGCACTTACCATTCCTTTCGATGGAGACAATTTTCCCCAAGCATTTCCCATTCTTCTCATGGCTGGCTTCTTTGCATCTTTCACATTTCAGTTAAAGGTCACTTTCTACTAGAGGCTTCCCCAGATGACTCACACTAAATCATATATATCTTCCTCAACTTTGTTGTTCTCTGTCACAGTGCTGTTTCCCTCCCAGGATCTTACAATGTGCCATTATCTTCTGTACTTATTTGTTTTCTTGTTGATTATCAAGTTCCTTCACTAGAATATAAACTCAATGAACACAAGAACCAAATCTGACATGTTCTCTTCACTGTGTCTTGAATGCTTAGCTCCTTGCATGGGATATAGGAGGTATACTACTAATATTTATTGAACAAATGAATTCATGATACCTTTCTGTATCTTCTCAGAGGTCTTGTACATTGTAGATATTCAGTGTATGAAGTGTTCATTGGCTGGTTCATTGAATGAGTTTATTCTATCACCCAAAAGCCTTATGAAGTCACTGTAATATCTAGGAGTATCTTTATTTTCTGGATGAGAGAGGATGGTGAGGTTAATTGCATATACTGATTCATTGAGCAAGTTAGGGAGCATGATGATGAGAACTCAGATATTCTGAGTTCTTTCCTGGGACTGTTCAAAGCACTCCACAGTGCTTGTACACAGCAAGCTCAGCAGATTTGTTCATTTAGAAAAATTAGGAAGAGACTGTTGTGTATTACCAAAGTCTCAATTATAATTTATTGATTACAATAGTTTTCATCAATTCACAAATTCACATCACAACTCAAACTCAGCTAATACAATTGTATATAGTATAGCTCTTCTGAGATCCTTTAAAAGCAAATATATGAGAATTATTTTGCAATTAGCCAAGTAACTCTACATGAATGGAGGTCTGAATCCAGCCTTAAGCCTTCACCTTCATGTCACACTACTGCTATGGTTCCAATGCCCCAGCATAGTTGGCTCAGTTAAGGTAGTTAACTAGCCTTCTTTCCTGTCCTGCTTACCAAAACTTTTAAAGACCTCGTTGAATTTTCGTAAAGTCTAAATTAATGGAGCTGAAATCCTGAAGTTAGATTTTTCTTGGAATGCTGGAGATTGGCTTAGATATGAGGCAAGCTTTTATAGGGACAGAGTATCCTAGCCAAGAATCCCAATGCAGCCCATGGGGATGGTGTGGTGTAGCAGTTCACTGGACAGGGACATCACTCATGGTCTCTGTCAGAAAGGCCAGCAGGCAGGGCTTTGACAACAATTTAATCAAATTGACACTCACCACACCTTTAGGTTTAATTCTGTCCCTGGAAGTCAAATGCTTAAGCAAACCAAGCAAAGTGTTTGCTCACTTTAAATGGAGTGATTCAAGGACATGCAGGAAGACAAAGGATGAGTCATAGAATTTTCCAGTTGGAGGGGTCCTTAGCAATCACCTAGTCAGAGAAACAAATCCTGACCCACATAAAAGAGATAAATAAAAATAAAGTATTGTTAATGTGAGAAAGCCAGGGATGTGTATAGGCAGTGCGTTGTGCTCTGGCAGGTGGGGTGCTGGGCTTGAAAGCAGGAAACCAGGAGACATCCAAGAGCAGCCACTTCTGAGCCTTGTCGCCCTGGGCAGGACATTTCCAGGTGTGGATCTCGGGGTTTGGATTTCTAAATGAGGCATGTGTGTTTGGGACGTGGTGGGGATGTTGATTATGGCTCTCAGGTCTCTTCCAACTTTTGGCTTTCTTGGAGTAAGTAAAGGCAGCACAAACCAAGACATCGAGAGGCTGAGAGAATTTGGACTTTAAAAAGCAGAGAACCCAGAAATCTAGATTTTAATCTCTGACACCACCTCTCTCCCATCAGAAGTTTTCAAAACAAATATCCTGGGTTGAATAATTTATAAACCAAGGCACAAAGGTTTTAAAAATAATCCAAAAAGTGTTTCCTTAATTACTCTTTAACTCTTATATCACACTAGTCTCCAGCCTCTAACTGGGAGAAAAGAAGACATTGAAATTTAGCAAAATGAAAGTGGTGGGGTGAAAGGAAAAGCAGGATTATCCTTGTGCCAGTAGAGGGAGGGGGTCTTGGAGCCACAAGGTGGACTCTGGTTTTGCTGGGTCGGGAGTCTGCCCCACTTGTTTCTGGTACTTGGCCTCTGTCCTTGCTCAATCCTTGGTGATATGCCTGGTCCTGCAGGGCCTTGGGGCCTGGGCTGGCATCAGTCACTGATCTTGGATAGAAATACTTTCAATAGAAAGTATTCACCTGGGAGGCCCCTTGTGAACTCAGGTCTTTGTTGAACCACTGGGCCTTATCCTGGGGGACAAAGGGAGGACATTCGAGGCCCCCTCAGAGCACACATAGGCTATGGGGGTCAGTTGATTTCACTTTACCTGTGCTGGGTTCCTGCCTTCTTGTGTCTTAGTGCATTCAGTGAAGAAGTCAAACAGCAGCTGGGTGCCTTCTTATTTTGTTTCCATATCTAGGGGTTGTAATGGAGATTTTACTGTGTTATGCCCTCTCCCTGATCCTTCTTTGGGTTGAATCACTTGGGGCTGGTGGGGTTCTGAGTCTCTTTCCAAGAACCCAGACCTCATCTCCACCTGTGTCTTATCTCTTCCAAATTTTCATCTCTAGCAAAATATGTCTCTCTTCCTCTTCCCATCTGGTGGAAGCTTGAGTTATGTCATATCCTGAGAATTTGTTTGTTTGTTTACCCATGACATGGAATAAAATTTAATGCTAAATTGTCCTGGTTGGGCTCTTGATGTCTAATGGTAGCTTTTAGAATTTAGCAATCCCTTTTCTTTCTAAACAAACTCTGAAGACTATTGTTTTACTTAAAAAAAAAATCTAACTTGAACATTTAAGTTGAGCTGTAACTTCATTATTTTAGCTAGTAATGTCCTCTCTGTGAAGCACTGCATGAAACACATGGATTCAATAGCTAGGGAATGACAGTGTGTTATGAATTGAGAGGAATGGAAAATACATTGCTTTGTATTATCAAAAATATCATATATTTTATATGAAGAATAAAGGAAAAGAAGAGAAATATGGTACAGTGTGGTATAAAGAGCAGATGTCTGGGACTCAGGAAACCCCAGTTCCAGTCCTGGCCCCTGATCCTACTGAGCTTTGTAGCTTTCGGTAAGTCACATAATCTTTCTGGTCCTCAATTTTTCCCCTGGTTCAATGAAACCACTGGGTGATGTGGAGTCCTAATAAGGGAAAAGGATTCAGGCTGGCAGAAGCAGGAGAAAGCAAGAAGAAAAAGCAGATAAGCTGTAAGTCTGCCTTTCTTCATGGTCCAGAACACTGACCCCTCTTGCGCAAATAACGTACAATCTTCCTGCACTGGATTTATCAACAGACCCTCGACTGATAGAAAAATGCAAGTTAGCTCACGGCAACCTTGGCTTTATCAGTACTACATGTAGCCTTCTCCAGCATAAGCACCATCTCATAAAATCCCCAGCAAGCCTTTGTATCCTTGTAGTCAGCTTTTCTCTTGCTGACCTGCCTGTTGCACCTGTGCAGCATATTTTCATATCTCCCTAATAAATCTGCCTTTCTTTACCTACAACTGTCTTAGTGAATTCCTTATGGCCCATGCCACCAGCCCCACTCAGTCACCACCTGCAACAGGTGAGATCATCTGGAAAGTTCCTTCGCACTCTAACAGGCCAGATGACTGCTAGTTTTTCCCAGGTTCAGCGTAGCCCCTCAGTGAGGATGGAAGGCAGGATGGTGCAACAGAATGAGGGCTTAGGAGTCAGGCAGGGATGAATTTAAAGCTCAGCCCTGCAAATTTTCTTGCTGTGTCTTAAGCAAGTACCTTCACCTCTCTGTCTCAATTTTCCTATCTGAAAAATGGGGGTTTTAAAAGTTGATAAATTTGTCATGAGGATTAAGTGATGCAATTGATCTCCCTCAGTATGAGGTCAGGGATGTGTTTATTTTTGTCCACCACTATATTCCTAGGGCCTATTATAGTCCCTGGTGCATAATACAGTCTCATAAATATTTCCTGAATAAATGAAAGAAGGAATGATGAATTTAAAATACAAAACAGAGGACTTAGGCATGGTAGATGGTCTTTGGAGGTCTTCTTTCCTCCTTTATGTCTGTTTTCCTTATTTTTCTATCTCTCCCTTCATTATTCATTCCTCTTTGCTCATTTCCTTCCTTTTTAGTTTGTGTAAAACTCTTCCTACCACCTGCAGGAACCCTGAGGAGATAGAGCCTCTGGCTGAGGACCCCAGAGTACACATTCAGGCTGACCTGAGTTGGAAGAGGGGTGTTTCTGGGGCCCTAGAGGAAGAAAAGCAGAGGCTGAGCTGTGCTCCTCACAGCTGGGGATGCTGGCGTCTGCCACACAGGTGGCGAGCTGCCTGGTGGGTAAAAATAGGCTGCAGGAGTGGAGAGTGTTAAAGCTGCCACCTTAGGATTGATTTTCAGAAAAAACAAGGCAACATATGGTGAGGCTCGAGTTGATGGGGATGGGCGGTGATGGGGGTGGGGAGGAGAGGTGTACAGAGGGGATCAGGGAGCAGAAAGAAGGAGCAGGGCAGGTTGCTCAATGAGCTCTTTGTTCAAGCCAACCAAACTGCTGCTCACCATTCCTTTGAGTAATTTTAGGTTATTGGAGCTAGGAGGATTGTAAATGAACCTGGAACTTGCCCATTTTACAGATGCAAATGCAGAAGCTCAGTGAGGAGCTGACCTGCTTAGGTCACAGAATGAGGTCAAATAGCAGCAGTTCATGTATTCCTGAATGCCTGAGCAGGATCATGAAGGCAGTAAGTCAGTAGGTGGATGGGCAGGGCTAGATCGGGCATCAGCAAGGTATAAGTCATCTCCGGTTTGAGAAAGCACACACGTAGAATGGATGAGCTTTGCCAAAGGACACGCTTGAAATACACAGGTCCTGGCAGGTCCCTGAGTACTCCTGCAAATTCAATACCTCTCCCTTAGATTTGTGGGAGACAATTTAAGTCTTTAAGCCCCTCAAAGACTTAAAAAACTGCAACACTGAAGCAAGCCTGGCCCAGCTGTCTGCAGTTGCAAACAGCCCAAGATAACTCCAGATTCTACCAGGGGTCTGATCTTTGAAACGTGGCTAAATCCTCTGGCTTCTGTGTATGCCCCACTTTTAGAAATGAGAATAGCAGAGTAATAGTGGTGGGTGGGAAAATTTAAAATTGATGCTAGCTGGTTATTTTGCGCATTAGTTGATGCAGTTTCTTCATAGTGTCAAAAACCCCATCGTCTCAGCCCCAAAACTCCTTAAGCTGATGAGCAACTTCAGCAAAGTCTCAGGATACAAAATCAATGTGCAAAAATCACAGGTATTCCTATACACCAATAATAGACAAACAGAGAGCTAAATCATGAGTGAATTACCATTCACAATTTCTACAAAGATAATAAAATACCTAGGAATACAACTTACGAGGGATATGAAGGACCTCTTCAAGGAGAACTACAAACCACTGCTCAAGGAAATAAGAGAGGACACAAACAAATGAAAAAACGTTCTATGCTCATGAATAGGAAGAATCAATATCGTGAAAATGGCCATACTGCCCAAAGCAATTGATAGGTTCAATGCTATTCCCATTAAGCTACCACTGACTTTCTTTACAGAATTAGAAAAAACTCTTTTAAATTTCATACGGAACCAAAAAAGAGCCTATATAGCCAAGACAATCCTAAGCAAAAAGAATAAAGCTGGAGGCATCATGCTACCTGACTATAAACTATACTACAAGCTACAGTAACCAAAACAGCATGGTACTGGTACCAAAACAGATCCATAGACCAATGGAACAGAACAGAGGCCTCAGAAATAACACCACACACCTACAACCATCTGATCTTTGACAAACCTGACAAAAACAAGCAATGAGGAAAGGATTCCCTATTTAATAAATGGTTTTGGGAAAACTGGCAAGCCATATGCAGAAAACTGAAACTGGACCCCTTCCTTATACCTTACACAAAAATTAACTCAAGATGGATTAAAGACTTAGACATAAGACTTAAAACCTTAAAAACCCTAGAAGAAAATCTAGGCAATACCATTCAGGACATAGGCATGGGCAAAAACTTCATGACTAAAACACCAAAAGCAATTGCAACAAAGCCAAAACTGACAAATGGGATCTAATTAAACTAAAAAGCTTCTGCACAGCAAAAGAAACTACCATCAGAGTGAACAGGCAACCTAAATAATGGGAGAAAATTTTGCAATCTATCCATCTGACAAAGGGCTAATACTCAGAATCTACAAGGAACTTAAACAAATTTACAAGAAAAAACAACCCCATCAAAAAATGGGCAAAGGATATGAACAGACACTTTTCAAAAGAAGATATTTATGCCACCAACAAACATATGAAAAAAAACTCATTATCACTTGTCATTAGAGAAATGCAAATGAAAACCACAATGAGATACCATCTCACGCCACTTAGAATGACAATTATTAAAAAGTCAGGAAACAACAGATGCTGAAGAGGATGTGGAGAAATAGGAATGCTTTTACACTGTTGGTGGGACTGTAAATTATTTCAACCATTGTGAAAGACAGTGTGGCAATTCCTCAAGGATTTAAAGCCAGAAATACCATTTGACCCAGCAATCCATTACTGAGTATATACCCAATGGATTATAAATCATTCTACTATAAAGACACATGCACACGTATGTTTATTGCACCACTATTCACAATAGCAGACTTGGAACCAATCCAAATGCCTATCAATGATAGACTGGATAAAGAAAATGTGGCACATATACACCATGGAATACTATGTAGGCATAAAAAAAGAATGAGTTCATGTCTTTTGCCGGGACATAGATGAAGCTGGAAACCATCATTTTTAGCAAACTAACACAGGAACAGAAAACCAAACACCACATGTTCTCACTCATAAATGGGAGCTGAACAATGAAAACATATGGGCACAGGGAGGAGAATATCACACATCGGGGCCTGTCAGTGGGTGGGGGGCTAGGGGAGGGATAGCATTAGGAGAAAATACCTAATGTAGATGATGGGTTGATGGGTGCAGCAAACCACCACGGCACATGTATACCTATTTAACAAACCTGCCTGTTCTGAACATGTATCCCAGAACTTAAAGTATAATAATAATAATAATCATAATCATAATAAAAGAAAATTTAAAATTGAAACCAAGAGCCCAAATAAGGTGTTTTTTCTCTCTCAGACTCACTTTGTAACATGGGAGCCATATAGATAGATTCATGAACTCTGTCACTAGTTACCAGACATGAGCTCTATGAAGGCAGAAATATCTGTCTTCTGTTTTGGGTAATGTAATCCCAAGGCCTAGAATAGTGTTCTAGTCATATAATAGGTGCTTAATAAATAAATATATATATGGCATGAATAAATGAATGTATTTTGAAATTAGGTAAAGTTGAATGAGTTCTAAACTCAGTTCCACATCTCACTTAGCCATGTGGCTTGGACAAGTCACTCCCCTTTTCTGAATCCTCATTCTTCCATTAATAGATGGGATAATCAGATCTAGCTGATTAAGGTGTTAGGAAGGGTAAATGAGGTGGGCTGTGGAAAGGATTTAATAGAATACTCAGTACAAAGTTGCACAACTATGGACAGTATTCTGGCATTGTCACCATCATCACTGCTGAGGGGCTTTCTCCCAGGATTGAGGGAGGGCTCCTCATTTAGGTAGAAAGATCCTCAGGAGTCTAATCCACTTTGGATAATATTGTGTCCCCTTGTGCTTTTTTCTGGGGCCAGTTACTATTATAGGCATCTCCCAAACCATGTTTTCTTTCCTGTTTAATAAGGTCTCTTAGTAATACCCTGGACCTCCTTTTGTCTTAGAACTTCTTACCTTTCCCAAATCATCATATAAAAGACACCTGCACTCATATATTTGTGGCAGCACTCTTCACAATGGCAAGGATGTGAATCAACTCAAATGTCCACCAATGGCAGACTAGATAAAAAAAAATGTGGTAATACACACTATGGAATACTACTCAACTATAAAAAAGAATGAAATCATGCCTTTGCAGTAACATGGAGGGAACTGGAGACTGTTATCCTAAGTGAAACAACTCAGAAACAGAAAGTCAAATACTGCATGTTCTCACTTACAAGTGGGAGCTAAAAAATGGGTACACATGGACATACAGAGTGAAATAATAGACACTGGGGACTCCAAGAGGTGGGAGACTGGGAGGGGGATGTGGTTTGGAAAACTACCTGTTAGGTACAGTGTTCACTATTGGGGTGATGGGTACACTAAAATTCCAGACTTCACTACACAATGTATGCAAGTAAGAAATGTGCTCTTGTACCCCTTAAATATATACAAATTTTTAACTTAAAAATAACATAAAATAAAAAGGCTTTTGAAGGTGGTGAAAAAGAAGAACATTTTACCTTTCCCTCATAGACATGTAAGATTTACAGCAATCCATCTGACCCATCCATGCTGGTTATGAGAGAGGACCAGGTGATGTCTTTGGAGCCAAATGCCAGGAGGGCTCAGATCTATCCAGCCTGTTTCCCAGGGCTCTCATAGATGGGTTGTGTATGCCAAAAGATGCAAAGAGCCATCAGAAAAAGCACAGTACCTAGCAGGAATGGCTGATGACAAACACCTTAGTGCAGCCAAGGTGGCTCTAGGAAGACCTTTCCTCCTGTCTCCTGTGATAACATCCTCTCTGCTGGTACTGGAATGTGGGTTGTCATGGAGATGGGGTTGGGCTGCTGAACAGAGAAGAGTTATACAACACTGAAATTAGAAAATGTTTTCATAGTTGATGTTATTGTGGTTTTGACTTACACAAGAATTGACCAAAGTGTATTCTTTTGAGATGAGAATGTGACATTCCCTCTGATATCAATAAAATCTCCTAAGATTCAGCAAGCTGGAGTAATTGCCACCTTCCTTACATTAGTCAGAAACCAAGACATCTTTTCAGAGGGTTCTAGTACTAGTAACATCACTCACTCACTCACTCAAGCAACAAGTGATTTTCTGGTCTGTGGAGGAGTCATCCATTGAACAAATAAATCTATAAGTGCATAAAAATTTCAAATTTTGATCAGTTTCGTGAAGTAAAAGTACAAAGTCCTATGAAAGAAAATTACATGAGAGAAAAGTTTAGATCTGGGTCTCTTGGAAAGCCTCTTTGAGGAAGTGACATTTCAGCTGGGACCTGAAGAATGAAGAACTAGCCAAGAAACGAATGGGAGTGGAGGGTGTTCTGGGCGAGTGGGTGGGTGGATGTGAGCATGGGTGTGAGTGTTCCAGGCTTTGAGGTGAGAAAGAGCTTGCTGTGTATGAACATCCAAAAGAGGACTGCATTTGGGAGAAAAGTTCCAGGCATTTGTGTATATCAGCACTGCAGCAATCTCATGCTTACTTATTGGGAGGCCTGGACAATCCTTGACTTAGCCCTAGGAGATGACATGTGATAGAGGAACTGTCTTTATACCGGATGCACTTGGTGACCTTGAGAAGGTTGCTCTCTGAACCCTCTTGGTGGAAGAGCAAGAAGTCACCTCCCCTTCACCTACCTTAGCTGCTGAATGAGACAATAACTTCTCAGGTGAAGAACTGTCACCTGTCAGTGTCTCCCTGGGCTTAGCATGGTGTTTGATTATACATTTAAAAAGTTTGTTGATTAAGGGAGAGGAGGAATTATTGTATGGATGAAAAAGGAGTGCCTGAACTTTTAAGAGGAGGAAGAATCTGTCCACAGGGGATAGGACTGCCTTTAATTAGATGCCAGATGTACCATAAACCTCTGGAAGCATCTCTGATCTGAGCAGGAGCTGATGTTTAAGCCAGTAGAAAGACCAGTGGGAACCCATAGGTGTCAAGAAGCAGATGGCTCCAGTTCGATTTGCAACAATCATAAAATGGCCCAGTGGAAGGCCTGCCAGTGGGGATGAGCTCTGTCTGTATAGCTAGGGAGTTAGATGTATGCCTTCCTGACCTGCACACACAGCCCAGGCTTCTTGCCTTATATCTTGGCTAGGGCTTCATACAGATGGATGCTGCTATTCTGGCTTGAATTTCCCTGGAAGGCAGCATCTATTGGTGGTTTAGCTTTAATATTTCATTTCTGACTTAGCCGCTTAGTCAGTTCTTCTTGTCAGAGGAGTCTGAATTCCCCCTCTCCTCTCTTATTCTAAACTACCTTATGGACAGAAGGGACTGGGGCACTTGAAAAGAGCTTTCAGTTGGCTGGAAATTAGGAGAATTGAGTTCAAATCTCAGCTATGTTAACTTTCTGTAAGGCCTTGGTCCACTCTTGTTCAGTGCTTGGATTTCAGGCTTTCTATCTGTAGAATGGGCTAGATCAGTGGTTTTCAAACTTCCTTCCTTCCTTCCTTCCTTCTTTCTTTCCTTCTTTACTTCCTTCCTTCCTCCCTCCCTTCCTTCCTTCCTTCTTCCCTCCCTTCCCTTCCCTTCCTTCCATCCCTCCCTCCTTCCCTCCTTTTCTCCTTCTTTCCTTCCTTACCACCTTCCTTCCCTTCCTTTCTCTTTATCTCCCTTCATCCTTCCTTCCCTCCTTCCTTGCTGTGTGTAGAACATAACGCTTTTACTTCCAAATCAATATTTGTTGGATGAATGAATGAGTGAAAGGATATTTTATTTGAAATTTCAATATATTAAAAGAGAAAAAAATGGAGATTCTGAGTCAGGCAGAGGTGGGGTCCCTGAGATCTCCAAAAGAGGCCCTGGACCGCTTACAGGGAGTCCTGGGGACTGCAGTTTGAAAACAACTGGATAAGAAAAATTTGAAGACATTTGTTTGGGTTTAAATTTTTGTGATTATTCACTGCTGTGACCATTAGAGAATACTTCAACCATCTACCATCTTTAAGGTGAAGAAGGAAAGACAAGGATAGCACAAGTCAATCAAGAAAGTATCAGAATCATAGTTTATTAGATCTGAAAGAATTCTTAGTTGTCATACAGTTCAGGCCAATGCCTACTCTGATTGATTGATTGGGAGGCTATCTCTGGAGCACTCTGAGAGAATTCTGCAGTTATGACACAGTTGGAAAGAGTGCAGAGATCCATTAGTGATGTCTGCAGTGAGTGCAGAGGTGGAAAATGATGGTGTTTATGCCATCTATATATGCCAGCTACCTGTCTATTAGTACCCACTTAATATTACATATTGGGAAACTGAGGCCCAGAAAGGACAAATAACACAATATACCCCATGGTTAGTAAGTAGTACATCCAGAATTCAAACAAAGTCTATCTGTCTCTGGTTTTCCTGCTTCGTAACTCAGAAATTCTAGAGGGCCCTGCTGTTCTGAACTGTGACCATGATGAACGGAGTTCTGGCTTCTAACTTGGGTCCGCAGGATACGTTAGGCTGTGTCATGAGCATTGACAGTTCTAACAGCTGTCTTCCCTTACTGGATTGGGCTCTATCTTTTTCTTTCTCTACCCTCTTCCTATGACTTCCAGGAACTTCCTGGTTGCTGTATTGAATATTGCTCCTTGGTACCACACTTCCCTATTGCTGTCTGCTTTCTTGTTCATTCAATATTGCCTGTTTTTGACCACTCCATCACCATGCCCCCACACCACTTCATTAAGAACATAAGCTCTCAGGTCAAATGGAACTAGTTTCTAGACCCAGCCACTCACTAGCTGGACAACATTGAGGAAATCAATTGACTTATCTAAGCCTCAGTTTTCTCACCTGTCAAATGAGGACAGCAATAGAACAATAGTACCTCTCTCCTAAGCAGGATTGTAAAGATTCTTTGAGATCAGGCACTTAATATACTTAATACAGGGTTAACATATGATAGTTGATTCAGAAATATGAGTTACTATACTGATAATGATGATAATTATAACTCATTAAAAACTACTTTTATGATGCATCATTATCATCATTATCATCATCTTGGGCACCAAGCTGCTTGCCTGTTCGCATCTTCTGGAGATGGTTATAAATAATAATAGCAAAATGATAATTCTTCCTATTGTTGAGTTTTTACTATTTGTCAGTGCTTTACATAAATATCATTTGTCTATCTATGTATTATCTATCAATCATTTTATATTTTTTATCTTCCATCTATCTATAATCCACAACACCTCTATGAGGTAGGAGTTATCATCCTAACTTTACTAGAAAGAAAATAAAGAGCTTAGGGAAGAAGTGCAACTAGCTCAATTCATATAGCTGTCAGCTGGTCCTGCTTGGACTTGTGCTAGGGTCTGTCCAAGTCTGCACTGACATCTGTCTAATTCGACACTGCCTCCTAACACTGTACCCAGTGGCATGGATTTCTTTCCAGCCCTTGCTCCTTGGTATGCATCCCCAGTGGTGAGTCCAAATCCTTGTCCCAGCTTTTCCCATTTTGCCATGCACTTGTCTTCAAACTCTCTACTTCCCATCAGAAACCACCAACACAGAGACTAGCTGAGGACACATCACAGAATGAAAACCAGAGAGGTTCAGCAACTTTCCCAGCCTCTTCCAGTCACCAAGTGGGGAATTTTGGATGTCAGCTCTGTGTCTCTCTCTCTTTCTTTCCCAGGGTGCCAGCTACTAAGCCAACTGCCATCGCTTGCCAATAGCGGACAAACAGGAAGCGACATCTTGGGTGCCCCAAAATGTCACACAAACCGTCTGCACAACACTGGGGTTCAAATAGCAGTGGGACATTAACAGCATTGTTTCCCTGCCTGTGGAAAGCACGGAGTCAGGGAAATGGCTGAGTGTTTTCAAAGAGCGAGATAATTCCGTGTGACCAACAATAACATTTACAGTTATTTAAGCTTAGATAAGGGTAATTAAATCTCATGCTTCATGGGCTAAGCTGATTGCCTGCAGGGGTCAAGGAGGACCGCCCCCCCGCCTCAGTACAGCATCCATAGAACAATTATCCAGGTGCATTGTGGGCCCTCTAAGACAGAACAGGTTTCCTCTAAGGCTGAGGCACCAAACAAGGTAGCCCCCATATGAGCATCTCAGGGGAGGGGCTCAACACATTGGATTCAATGCTTTATTGCACTGTGGCTAAAATTCAGTCTCTGGAGTTATATGGCCCAAGATTTGAATTCTGGCACTGCTAAGTGCAGGGTGAACTTCAGGGAGTCACTTGACCTCCATTTGAATTAGTTTCTTTGCTTGTAAAATGGAGATAGCACTGTGTCATTGGGTGCTTAAAAATATGAAGAACAACTAGTATTTATTGGGTGTATTCCAGAAGCCAGACTGCTTAAGTGCTTTTCCTTACTTAATTCTCACAAAAGCCATGTGGTCATCCCCCTTCCTTTCATCATCCTGTCCTCTGATTATCCTCCTTTGGCAGATGAAGAGACTCAGGCTCAGAGGAGGGGTGACTTGCCCAGGATCCCATTCTAGAAGTCAATGCATAGCCGGCATCCGATGACACACTCAGATAAGGTAACTCAGGAGAGTTGAGGAAGGGCCTACTTAAAAAGGGGTGCACCAGGAAGGTGGATAGTGAATCTCCCTAGGCTAAAGGGCAGGGGATGGAGCAGTTACCAGAAATTGGAGAAAGTAGCTGTGACCTAAGAGAGGACTTCCCTAAAGGGGCTGTGGTCCTGGCCAGGTGGGCAAAGAACTGGGGACAGGGTGTGATGCTGTGGCCCTTACTCTCCTCCAGTGCATTGGCTAAACCCAAGTGGACCATACAGATCAACTCTCAGGGCACAGAGCAGGGTAGAGAAAGGCAGAAAGAATCCAAAGAAGCAAAGCAAAAATATCCAGTCCTCTGGCTGGAGGGTGATAGAGGCAGGAGGTGACCTGGGGCAGTCTGAGCCCCAAGCCCACCTTCACCTCCATGCTATGCTGCTTCTCATCAGACAGCATACAGTAAGTGTTCAGCAAATGATCGCTACTGAAGTTTGTTTGCATCTTTCCCGCATCCCCCAAACAGAAGGGGAATGCACGACAGTCTTGTCTCAAGTGGAAGTTGAAGCCTTTTCCACTCCTCAAGTTGAGAATAGAGATTTCCTATTCCGTAAGGGGAATAGACATGATTGTTCCCCTCCATGAAAAGAGGATAGGTAATTGCCATCTTACCCCTGGACAGACACACAGACCACTCGGACTAAGTGTGAAGATTGGAGCGGGGCTGACTGGAGGGAAGGTGAAATCTCAGCCTGGAAAAGGCAGAGACAGCAAGGGTGAGGAGGAAGTGGCAGAATCGAGGACTTGTTCAGGATGCCATGGCTGGATATGGGGAGAGAAGAGATCCAGGGTGCATGAATGCAGAGAAATGGAATTGCATCCTGCTCTGGACCCAGAAAAGAGGGGTATAGAGAAATAAGTGGGCCACTCTTGAGAAAATTCTTGGTGTTAGTGACACAGGGGCTGCTGCATGCCCAGAGAGGTGGAAGCTGTCAGAGAGCAGCTAATTGTTTCAAGAGGATGGCAGAGTTAAGGGATCAATTTATAGAGACAGGTTTTCCAGCTCCGGCAGGTAAAGGCAATTCAGTCCAATTTATGTCCAGTGAAAATGGACACTTAAGGGGAAAATATTTGCAGATCGGTATAAATTCAATCTTGCCCCTAAGGCCAGCCACAAGCTGAAGGGGAGGAGGAGGAGGAGGAGGAGGAGGAGGAGGAGGAGGAGGAGGAGGTGAAAGAGGGATCTTCCTTTCTTCCTTCCTTCCTTCCTCCCTCCCTCCCTTCCTCCCTCCCTTCTTTCCTCCCTTCCCCCCATTCCTCCCTCCATTCCTTCCTTCCTTCCCTCCTTCTTTCCTCCCTCCCTCCCTTCCTCCCTCCCTCCTCCCTTCCCTCCCTCCCTTCCTCCCTTCCTTCCTTCCTTCTTTCTTCCCTCCCTTCCTACCTCCCTTCCTTCCTTCCTTCCTTCCTTCTTTCCTTACTTATTTTTTCCCTCCCTTCCTCCCTCCCTCTCTTCCTTCCTTCCTTCCTTCCCTCCATCTTAGAGAACAGCTAGTGCTGCTTCTGGGTGGAAAGAAGATTCAGTTTGCCTGCATTCTTTCTTCATCTGCAAAATGGGGGGAATTTCCCACATCGTCTCAGTCTTGAGGTTGTGAAAATCCAATGAATGTTTGCGAAAGCCCTTTGCAAACTGAGATGTGACATATTCATAAACTATATAATGAACTCTTCAACCCTTGGTATTATTACTACATTACGTGCTGTAATAGAAAAGAAAATCAGTGGCTCAAGTCTCAAATAAGCCTGATTTTACATCCTTAGCTTTTCTATTTAGTAGTTGTGTGCCTTTGGGCAAGTTACTTCACTTCTCTGAAACTCTATTTTCTCATCTTGAAAGTGAGAATAGTAGCACTTTTCTAGCAGGGGTATTTTATCATATGAGGAAAAGTATGCCAGCCGGCTAAGACAGTACAAAGTGAGGATGATAATTATTACTTGATTGATAAACCCAGGATAAGGTTCATTAAAGACAGCTTCCTGCAAGATTTGCTATGTGCATTCTCTGAAAACTGTAATTTAGTTTTGGCTTCATAAGGGTTTCTCAATTAATATAGATTGAGTTAGTTTTGGAATGATGAAAGCTGTCAAAGATGAATAGAATCTGAGTAGAAGCAGAGGAGAAGAAAGTCAGACATTCTAGGATGACAGGTCAAACTGAGCATAAGTGTGAAGATAAAAATAAATATGATTTGTTTAGGAGATAAGGGGACCCCTGAATCTAGAACTTTGGGTCTGGGAAAGCCATTGAGATTATGGCTTTGATCCAGAGGTCAGAATCAAGCACACACAGGGGCTGGATGGGTGACATACCTGATTTAAGATTGTTGGGGAGACATAAGTGAGGACTGTGCTCGCTGGTAGAGCATATATACCTGAAAACATTCCCATTGGGATGTTATAAAATCCTATGCGGACAAACAAAGCACATAGGCCCTTAGATCATGAGTTTGAGACCCCCCATTTAGTCCAAATCTCATCTTACAGAAGGCAAAAATGACACTCCAAAGAACAATGACATTACAAGATTCATGATTGAATGGAGAACTTGAAGGGCTGCAGAGAGAGGACGGGTTACTGCAGGGCCCCCCACCTACTCAGGGAAATCCTGGAGAGACTTAGTGGAAAGAGACACTTCCTTCCTTCCACACACAGAGTGGTCTGTGTGTCTGTCCAGAGGAGGTTGAGAGTTAAGATTGACTAGTGGGAGGAGACTTAACATGCATAGGCCCCAGCCATCACCAGGGATTGTAATGTATATTTCAGACACATTGCTCTCATTTAATCTTCAAAATAATCCTGTGAGTAAAAGGTATTAATGTCCCCATTGTACAGATGACAAAACCAAAAGTCAGAGAGGTGAAGTGGCTTCCTTGTGGCAACATAGATTGGAGTAGGAGTTAGATTTGAACCTGAGTCTGCCTGGGATCCCAACTCAAGTTCTCTTCTCTATCCCACTCCTGGCCAAATGGCCACCTGCTTAATAGCTATGCTGTTTGTTTCTTTGTGCTATAGACTCCTATCTGCCTTGGGCAGTGTTCTTTCCTGCTAAAAAAAGACTGGAGCCCACAATGTTCTCTTGAGTCTATTCCCCAGTGGCTCCCTGCATCTGTACCTTCAGGTAAGGTATGAGGGTGTGGGCCACCCACTGATAATTTTAATGAAAAGAAATAAAAACTGAGACCAGCTTGTCAGGTGCTGTTGGAAACCTTGCGTCACTGTCTAAAACAGGCTCCAGGGCAGCATGCCCATGGGAAGCAGGCGCAGCCCTGGGAGGTGTCTGTGTTACTCAGTATCCTCAGTTTCCTCTGCATTCTCTATGTTCCTTGGTCATTTTTATTCTCCAGATTACAATGAGTCCTAAGACATCATGATACCTGCTGGTTGGCTTTGAATGCTTTAGAATCCCAGAATGCCTCTTCTATCCCCAGTCTTGTGGCTTAAAGATATAGCCCTGCAGGATGTGTCAGTGAATCCTCTGACCCAAGCTTACCTGTCCAGCCTCATCACCTGCCATCTTCTGCTACCAGACACACAAACACATACACATGCATGCACACACACATATATATGCACACATGCTCACATACACAGTCACACAGGACACATACTACATGCACACACACAAACATGCAATACACCCACACATATGCAATGCATGTGCATACATGCACACACATGTGAGCACACATGCACACATACATGCATGCATACGCATGCACACATATGGACACATGCATGCATGTGTGTATGTGCACAAACACATACAGCAGTTTATGCTCTAGCAAGGATAGATTTGTTTTTCTACTCTGTACATACTATGCTGCATCAAGCTGTCCCATTCTGTATGCTATTCCTGTATCCCAGAGCAATCAACTTAGTAGACATCTCTCAATTTTCTTCCATACAGCACTTCCTCCTATGAGGAACAGACCCCCCTCCCCAACTCTATGTAAAACTGGTGAAGCTATCAATCCTGTAGCCCTGACAAGATGACTTGAGATACTTAATAGAGTACTCCAGTTCCCTCCCTCTGAAGATGTGCATAGTGATTGGTTTGGGGCTGGAGAGTCTTTTTTTTTTTTGAACCTCAATTTAGATGTTGAAGGGGAACCTCATTCTTGCTCTGGGGCTCTGGAGTCATCTTAGCTTGGAGCCTCCCAGAGTTATCACTCAGCCTTGTGGAAGATACCTGTTTGCAGACGAAGCCAACAATAGTCAAAGTGGAGAGAGAGAGAGAGAGACAGAGAGAAGAGAGAGAAAGAGAGGGAGGAGAGACCTAATGACATAGTCCTTGGATGTAGCTATTCTGGAAGTCAGATCTATTCCTCAGACTTCAAAGTTATTTAAGCCAATGTATTCCTCAGTTTTTTTAGCTTAAGATATTTTAAGTTGCTATTTTCTTAACTGTAACCCAAAGTCCTGATGTAATAATACAATGCTAATCACTTAACCTATATTGTATTAATATTATTTAATCCTCCCAACAGCCTTCTGAGGTAGACATGATTATGTCCACCTTTCAGATTAGGAAACTGAGGCTCAGAAAGGTAAGGTGAAGTAACTTGCCCAAGAGCATGCCCACTGCCTCCCCACCACCCTGCTATTGTCTCAACAGCCTCTATTTTCTATTTTAGTCCAGGCAGCTCCAGCATCACTTCCTCTGGGAAGCCTTCCCTGAATCAGTTACGACAAATTGGACCTTTCTTCTCTTCTCTCATCGTACTTTGGGGATACACCCTGAACTGGTTAGGATAGGCCCCAAGTTATATGGCAGTAGTCTACAGCCCCCCGGATATCAATGACTAAACATAATAAAAATTTATTTCTAACACGTTACATGCCCAGTTAGGGTCCGCTGAGTGGGATACGTGCATTCAAGCCACTCAAGGAGGCAGCCCAGTGGAGGCTCCATCCTGAATTCTAGTTCCACAATCAATGAAATAGGCCGAAGGGAACAATAGGAATTAATAGTAGCCCTTAAAGGTGTTTGCCTGTAAGTGACACATGTGACTTTCACTCATGTTTGTTTGGCTAATGTGAGTCAAGTCACCCTGCTGAAGTTCAAGCGGGTGGGGAAGTGCAATACTACCATGTGATTGGAAGTAAAAACTCCAGAACGTTTACTGTGACACAGTGAGCTCCATGAAAGAAAGACTGTCTTATTCTTCCCCAGAACTCTGGCACTAAGCACCAGGGCTACGACAAAGTAGAAGCATTGGGAGAGTGTGTTCAATGGATCTTAGAGCGTATTGCATAGTGCCAATTGTTCATGTCAATGGTAAACATTTCTGGGGCATGAATTATCATTGTCACTGTACCCCCAGTACCTGGCTCAATGCCTGACATCGAGTAGATGCTTAGGATTCATGTAGAATTAGCAATAGGTGATATCTGCTCACAGTGATGCTTATCATTTCTTTCCATCTGTTTGGGCAACATTTGCTAGTACCAAGGCCAGAGCGGCGAACCTGGATATGCAGAATGCACCGAGATCATATTCTAGAGAGAGGTTAGACAGCACATGCCAGCCTGAAGCAAAAGGAAAGTCTTGGACAAGCCTGGTAGGAATCCAACCAAATAACAGAAGATTCCAAGAAGGAATTGGGCTTTTGTTGGAAATCAGTTTGCTGTCCCAAGTTTAGAGACAGTAAAGAATAAGGAGGGCCAACGGTGGTGGCACATGCTTGTAATCCTAGCACTTTGGGAGGCCAAGTGGGGAGGATGGCTTCAGCCCAGGAGTTCAAGACCAGCCTGGGCAACATAGCAAGTCCCATCTCTACATAAAATGAATGAAATTAGCCAGGCATGGTGATGCATGCCTGTAGTCCCAGCTACTCAGAAAGATGAGGCAGGAGGGTTGCTTGAGCCCAAGAGATCAAGGCTGCAGTGTGCTGCTGCATTTCACCTTGGGGAAAAGAGTGAGGCCCCATCTGTTAAAAAAAAAGAATATGTAGGACAAGATCAAGGGACCAAGATATATATGAAAACCAGAGCTATTTGGGGAGAGGGGCTCATTATTATTTTTTGACTTGCTCCATCATATGTTCTTTTTCTTTTGGAAGAAACTGTACTCTTTTGGCATAGTCATAGTAAAAAAGCATAGCTCATGAGTTGTGTTGGCATCTAGTTCAGTTCACTCCTTCACTCCCAGACTGTAAACTCCTTGAGGGCAAGAACCGTCTTATTTATCACTGATTCCGTATCAGTATTACCCAGCACAGGACATTGCAGACAGCAGCGATTCAGTAAATATTAGTTGATTTGTACTGAATGTGCACATATGAATCTACAAGGAACAGGGAAGACTATTTGGAGCAAAGTTAGAAGGCATATAGTAGTCAATAAAACAGACAGGTCTCACTGGAGCATTATGAGATACAGAAAAATACTGGGTCTCCATTATTCTCAGGGAATTGGTGATTCTGCAGAGTAGGAATATTTATAAAAGCCAATCTCTTCAAACACAGAATTCCTTTTAAAAAGACAAATATATATATATATATATATATATATATATATATATATATATATATATATATATATATATAAAAGACCACAAGATTGGGTACCTATCTAAACAGATCATGTACTCCCTGACTTTTTAAGCAGGGCATTCACTCTACCATTTTGTGAGGACTCAGAGTAGCACAACAATTTTTCCATGCTGCATGGTCCTAGCACACAGCTCTCGGAGACACTGGTGCATGCAGAGCCACCAGACCCTGCACTGAATGGTACCAGGGCGCTGTGCTTTATGTTTTAATTGAGCTGATATTTACTATCCTCAGCTTTGTTTCACTCTCCTCTCTTAAAGTCAGATTGTCAGCTATTATTTTTTTTGTCATTTCTCACCAGCAGAGTCTTTTTCTATGAATAATCTCCTGATGCTTCATAAATAAGATAAATAAGCCTTAACATTCAAGCAAACAAACCATCTAGTGAGTACCCCTATTTTTGAGACACTGTGCAGGATGCAGTTTGGAAGCTATGGGGTCTCCTCACAGGTATGTGGGTCATACCTGACATATAGAGAACAGGTTTTTTTTTTTTCTTCTCCCACTTAGGGGACTTCGAGCAAGTTACCATTCCATTTTTAAGATACAATTCCCAGGTCTGTAAATTGGGAATAATAACAGTGCCTATCTCAGAGGTTTGTGGTGGGGAATTATTTGGAGAATGAATGCAGGTGTTAGGTGTTGTTATATTTATAAGAAGTTTGAAGACTGGTACAGGAGATAAGACCTGTAGATAAAGTCTGCAGGAAGGTCATGTCTTTCAGGGGCCACTAGGGATGTGGTGATGAGTTGGAGGCTTGAAGAACTGGGAGGATGTTTAGGAAGGGAAGAAAAATCCAGGCAGAAAGAATAGGCAAATGGTACAGAAGCTGGAAATGAAAGAACTTGCACACAGTAAGACAGCCCTTTCTTTCGATGGATCCACAAAAGGAACACAAGATAGGGCAAAAAATACAAATTGAGTCTAGCCAGGGGTTGGCAAACCACGGCTGAGGGTCACGTTGGCCCATTGCCTGTTTTTATATAGCCTGCAAGCTAAAAATAATTTTTCATCTTCATATGGTTGAAAAAATTAAAAGAAGAATTTATTGTGCATAAAAATTATATGAAATACAAATTTTAGTGTCTACAAATAAAGTGTCACTGAAACACAGCCACTCCCATTTGTTGATACATTATTTATGGCTACTTTTAGGTGACAAAGGCAGAGTTGAATAGTTGAGACAGAGACCATATGGCATGCAGAGCTTCAAATATTCACTATCTTGCCCTTTACAGAAAAATTTTGCTGGTCCATGGTTTAGATCCTAAAATGACCTAGATCCAACCAGGGATTAGAATCAACCTGTACTCCACAGGGAGATACAGAGCTGGGGAAATGGTGGTGTCAGGAATGAAAATGCCACCCTTTCTGATTATCACAGGCTCGCCATGTCCCCATTAAGCACCATCTCCTCTATAATGTTCTCCAAATAAGTGCTTTCACCAAAACTTTTGTTCTTTGAAAAGACAAACCCATTCTTCTTCCTTTTCATGTGGGAATTTTTAAAATGAATATTCAAATGGACTTTCTACCTTACTTACTAAGTACAGACAGCTCTGGGCCTCACGCTAATCAGAACTGGGTGCCATTCTGTAAGT
This sequence comes from Homo sapiens, assembly GCF_000001405.40. Taxonomy (NCBI): domain Eukaryota; kingdom Metazoa; phylum Chordata; class Mammalia; order Primates; family Hominidae; genus Homo; species Homo sapiens. Next base: position 119,885,647 of record NC_000009.12, on the reverse strand, counting down.
CATTTTGTGCAATTTCATGTTCTCTCCCTCTGAAAGAAGGAGAATTACTTTGATAGATTAAAGCCGTTTCCTTATTGGAATGGGCGTTTTGTCTCTTTCCCTCTGCTCTTGTCCACTGTCTCTCGATGCCTCCAAGGTAGGGAGGCCCTAATTTCCCTGAGTCGCTCTTGGTAAAGCAATTTCTCATCTCCACCTGCCCTCCAGGGTCTCATTTGTAGAATGAGGGGGGCTCTGGTGAGGGTAGGAGATGGAAGGGGCTGGAAGGTGACCCGCTCCTTTCTGCTGTGGATTTGTGTTATAAAATATTTTCCACGCAGAGGCAGATGCTCCTGGTTGTTGGTCAAAGAGGTTTCTTTTAACTCTGGTCTTTGCAAGGGCTATGGAAGGGCATATGGAGAATAATTGAGCTCCCACTGTGGAATAAACTGGACACTGTGCTCTTTGAACTTAAACCTGAATAGCTACATTTACAACTCCGCATAATATGCAGGCATAATATGGGTAAAACACTGGGTTACTTGCTATTTCTTTCTTAGAAAGATTTTGATGCACATAGTAGTGCTTATACTTCAGTGTATTTAAGAATTACTTGGGGGCCTATGTTAAAATGCAGATTCCTGGACCCCACCTCCAGTCAGTGATTCTGATTTAGTAGGTCCAAGGTTAGGAGTGGAAATCAGTATTCTTAACAAAACCCTTGGATGATTCTGATGCTGGTACTCCCAGAACACCCCTTGAGAAATGCTGTCCCAAGATAACATTATATCCCTGGCTATTTTCTTAAGCTTGCAGGAGATATCCTAAGGACCTGGCACATACAGGGTGCAAAATAAACAGTGGCTGTTGTCATTACAATGTAGGGTTTGTCCTCATAGACATTATTGCTGTATATTTTTGTGTTCTTCTAATCTGTGTGGTTTGCATTTACACTCTGTGCTGATTCATACTGGATTCATGATTGACTTCTTGGAACTTCTGTTTCCTCCTTGGTGGAAGAGAAAGACAAATACCTAACTTCAAAAGAATGTCTGTTGTTATGCTAAATGCGAGAAATTCTCAGGTCACCAACTGAATTTCTATTGCTTTATTCTGGTTCCTAATTCCTTCCGCATAAATCCACACATGGGAAGGCAGTTCAGATGGGTGTCTTTCTCTGCTTTGCCCTGTGACCTTCAGATGAAAATGTGCTCTGCCCAGGTAATACTCTCTGCTGGGGTGGGGCTGTTTTCGGGACTATCCAGGATGAAACACATGCAATTTCATTGGTAGGTTTCTGTGGCAGGAGGCAAAATGGACCGAAAACAGGGTCAGGAAACCTGGGTCTGCCCAAACATTACAACTGGTGCTGCAACCAGTTTCTATCAACATGCAGGCAAAGATAACATACACCTAATTTTTCTTATCATGCTATTTTCTATTCATAAGTTTTGTTTGTTTATTTTCTGTTTATTTACTATTTATTTTCTACTCATACTATATATATATATATTTGTGTGTGTGTGTGTATGTGTGTGTGTGTTTTGAGACAGGGTCTCACTCTGTTGCCTAGGCTGGAGTGCAGTGGTGCAATTTTGGCTCACTGCAACCTTCACTTCCTGGGTGCAGATGATTTTTCTGCCTCAGCCTCCCGAGTTTAGCTGGGACTACAAGTGGGCACCACCATGCCCAGCTAATTTTTGTATTTTTAGTGGAGACAAGGTTTCGCCATGTTGGCCAGGCTGGTCTGAAACTCCTGGCCTCAAATGATCCGCCTGCCTCGGCCTCCCAAAGTGCTAAAATTATAGGCTTGAGCCACTGCGCCTGGCCTCATACAATTTTTTACTCAAACTATTTAGTGTTGTAAAACTATATTCCTAAAATACTGTCAGATTTCAATAAACACTGGGGCACACTGTTATCACCATTTACACGAATCTAACGCTTAACCATTGCAATGAATGGTTCATTCAATCCTGGCTCCCAAATGGACAGAAATAACTCCCCCCGAACCTTTCCTTGAGAATGAAACTTCTATAAGGTGTGTTCATTGCTAGCTACGGTGAAGTTCATTTTAGAATCACAAGCCCTTGGAACTTCATGTTAAGAGTTCTGCATTCTTGGCCGGGCATGGTGGCTCACGCCTGTAATCCCAGGACTTTGAAAGGCCGAGGCGGGTAGATCACGAGGTCATGAGATCGAGACCATCCTGGCCAATGTGGTGAAACCCCGTCTCTGCTAAAAATACAAAAATTAGCCAGGCATGGTGGCATGCCTGTAGTCCAAGCTACTTAGGAGGCTGAGGCAGGAGAATCACTTGAACCTGGGAGGCAGAGATTGTGGTGAGCCAAGATCGCGCCATTGCACTCCAGCCTGGACAACGAGAGCAAAATTCTGTCTCGGAAAAAAAAAAAAGAGTTCTGCATTCTTGAAGGGGTTCCCAGTGGCAGCTCACCTACTACCATTGTGCTTCTCTTTGCTACATCAAGGCTGCAAAAATGAACAGGGCAGCGTCTCCAGCTTTTCCAAGCTTATACAACAGTAAGAAAGACAGACACATCTGAAATAAAAAAGAAGTCTATGGGATAAACTAAAGGTTTGTGCAACATGTGTGGGGGTGTGGTCATTAGCAGGAGTGATGAAGTCCTATCTGAAGGAGATGCCCCTTGGACTCAGGCTTGGGAGGAAGAGAAGCTCCTGCATGAGCTCAGGAAGTGTCCAGGCATGGGCATGGGCATGGGCAAAGGCCCAGAGGTCACTAATTCACTGATTCATTTGCTAACCATTAAAACAAACAACAAACAAACAAACAAACAATATTTGAGGGGACTAAGTCAGGCATGGTGCTGTGGGTTTGAATGAAGACAAATGACATGGTTGGGGAAATAGGAAGATGCCTATTTTGGTAGTAGTGGTGGCTACAGAAGATGAACCTGGAAAAGTGCTTTAGGGCACATTTCATGTAATTTTATAAGCCAGTGGAAGATATTTGTGAGCAATGTAGAAACCCTGGAGCACATAAAAAAGCAGAAACTCAGTGCAAGCAATGCAATAGGTATTCATAGTCAGAGAGAATTATCAATAGATAAAGAACATCCCTGACATCCTCAGACCCCACCTCTACCCTCCATTGTCAACCAAGATCACTCTCTAAAGTGTCCACTTCACCCTGGCTTTGAGGGTCTCCTCAGAGCCTGGAGTCACATCACTCCTCCTTTGGTGTCTTTGCTATGATCGATAATTTGCACCAAATCCATTTTGGGAAGTTGCTTTTCTTCCATGACATACATCACAGGATATTTTTATAGCTTGATGAATCTAACACATCTGTGTAATCACACAGTTTCCAGAAATCCAGATGTTCCCCAGAGCACCTCTGGCTCCTACGCTCTTGCAAACATTTGCTGTAAACACCAAAGGCTGTTTGTTGGTTTTAATGTTCTAGCTCATCTCATTACCCAGTGAAGGTGAAAGATTGAAGCCAGATAGTGTTGCCAGTAAATGTTTTCGCCCCTAATGCATCTATTTCTAGTGACTGATTAGTATGCAGTGGGGCCCACAGGCCTACACAGTCTAAACGGCCAATCGTGTTCTGCCTACTGTGGTGCAGACAAAGAAGTCAGGCAGGGTGTGTGGATTCCCTTAGGTTTCCTGGCCTGCAGTCCCCAGCTGAACAGAGGGCGCAGCCAGCTGAGATGAAACGGGGGAAACAAGGAACCACTATCAAGCCCTGTACCACTGGGTTACTGGGACAATGCTATGAAAGCTGAGTGTAAAATGTTAACTGTATTTGGAATATGAACAAACCCTTCACAAAAGGTAGCTATTGTGCTTACTCTTATAACCATTGGTCTATAACAAAGACATGCACATACTGTCTTTAAAAAGCTCTGTGGTAATGGAACTTCACCCTGAATCTGAGGAAAGAACACTAGAACAGGAGGACTCTGGCCTGAGCCCTAGCTCTGCCACTGTGTCATTGTACGCTCTAAGGCACATCTCCCACCTTCTCTAGGCACCAAGCTGTCCATTTGTAAAGTGAAGAAGTTTCCCCAGATGATCCCTAAGGGCCCTTCCAGTTCTAACGCTTCTCCTAAGAGGCTGCTACAAAAGCAAGAGGAAGCATTTCAAACTCTAGAGTCGGTTAACTGATCACCTAAATTGGAGAATGTAGATGCCTTTCCCCTATAAAGCCTTAAAGAGCAGGTAGGAGGAGCTGGTTTTGGGTAAAGAGCCTTTCTCCTCTTTGTCCTCCTAAGGAGTCCCCTTCCAATCTCCTATCTCTATTCAGCTCATACATCTTAATGGGGTCTTTCTCCAACCCCTGCCTAATGACTCTCACCAATGAGACAAATTACGTCCCTTCTGTTATTATGTTGCTCAGCCTCACAGATTGAGACTATATATTTTGTAATTATTTCATTAACGTTGATCTCTCCCACTAGATTGTAGGCTCCATGAGAGCTAGGACCATGTGTGTTTTGACCTTCATTCTATCACCCACACCTGATTATGCTCAATCAGTATTTACTGAATGAGTAAATAAATAAATGAATGAAGTCTTGCCTGGGGAAGGGGGATGGGTTAGATAGCTGCCTTCTGAGATCTCAGAGTCCTGGGATATTTTACAAAAGCAAATATAGGGATGCAAAGTGATGGGCAAGTGCAAATACTGGCCAAAAAGCCAGATGAGCAGAAAGCAATCACCTTTTAGCCAGGACAAAATTCGATGTTAGAGGGAGAAAATGGGTGACAAAAGGAGAGGAATGAATATGCTATTAGACAGTAAAAACAAACAAAAAACCCACAAAACCCAAAAACTGTCTTACACACAATAAGAGCAAAGAAAAACAAATGCAGGGCATAATGTTTGAGAGAGGAAAGGACAGGGAAGGGTTTTCTGACTGAAGCCTGAAGATCAAGGATGGCACTGAGCACATTAAATATTTCACAATCATTATCAACTTATTAAGACAGAAAGATTGATTTGTTCTTATGTTCTTGAGAGAGAACTGTGAAGAGCAATAACCCATCTCGAGCACAATAAGCTCGCCTTAATCAGAACAGATAAAGCTTAGAGGATTGAGGAAGATTAAATGATGAAAGAATGAGTCCCTGGGGTTTTTTGGGGAGGCAGTGTAGTGAAGAGGAGAGAATGAGCAGGGGAATCCTATAGATGTGGATCGAAGCCTGGCTTACTGCTTAGAAGCTGGATGACCTTGGGCAAGTCTCTTTCCCTCTCTTAGTCCCAGTTTCCTTTTCTGTAGGATAGGAGTAAAAAAACTAAGTACCATGGGCAAAATCCAACCCACCACCTGTTTTTTTAAAATAAAGTTTTATTGAAACTTTTGTATTGTCAGTGCCTGTTTTTGGATTACATGAGGAGAGTAAATGGTGATAGGGACCCTAGAGACCACAGAGCCCCAAATCACTATAATGTGACTTTACAGAAGAGGTTTGATGACTCTTTGATTCTTGCTCTGAATGATAAAAGTGATGACCGCTAAACAGGTTTGTTTTGAATATTCATTCCTGCGGTGTCTTACGTGAGAAGGTGCTCAATACCTGTTGGTAGTGTTTGGTTGAATCAGGAAATATGCACGACTCACATAATATGCCAGAATGGGTAAAGACAGATGTGGGATCAGATCTCAGCTCAACTCTCTAAGAGCTGTGCAACCCTGGTCAAATTACTTTCCCTCTTTCAACTTCTTTATCTTCTCACCTATAAATTGTATAGAACAAAATTTATCTTGCAAAATGGTGGCTGGTAAATAAAACATAGTATGATTGCCACACATGTAAACACTCAATAATTTCTTATTCAAGAGCCTAAGGATAATAAAAATAATTGTTATTGGTCAATTATTGCCTTTGAGGTATCAAAATTTAGTGAAAGTTGCTGGAGTTCTCAGCTGAGGTTCAGAAACTACCTCCGGTAGCCACTAACATGGGATCATGGTTCAGAATCAGGGGTTCTTTGAGCTGGAGCCATCACCTGAGTCCTAGTACCATGCCTGGAACATAATAAGAGCTGAATATTTATGAATGAATGAATACTGCATGCATGAATGAATATAGGCTTAGGCATCAGCTCCAGTTAGGACTCCCCATTGGGTTGAAGTACTGCCTTCCAGGTCTTTTGGTGTCATCTCTAATGTTTCCTAAGTTGTTTCAGACAGCAGTGTGGTCCTTTCCACCCTGTTAGGACTGGAAGGAATGCTGGGGCCATTGTCCAGAGGATATTCATATAGGGCTTTCCCACTGTCATCTGTAGTTGGCAGTTGTCAATATTTCTGAATGAATGTGACTGTTTACAGGAGAGTGTACACATTAGAAGCAACTTGGGAGCTTCTTTTTTTTTTTTTCTTAAAGGTGATGTATATTGTCCTTTATGTATATGTATATGAGAGCAAATAAATTAGAGTTTCTTTTGGATGGGTTCAGGCATTGGCATTTTTTAAAACCTCGCCAGGGATGGAGAGTTTCTACACTGGAGGCTGTGGTTTAGCCTTGCTCCACTGGACCCTGAGGTCTCTTTGGCGGGTTTCTGGGCAGCCTCGGGAATGTCTGCAGTAGGAGTTCAGCTAAAACAGCTTCCAATCTTCTCAGCTGAGAAGGCTGTAGAAATCTGACATTGGATCTAGGCGTTTCAGGAAAGTATACTAGTTCATAAAACGTTAAGAAGTTAAGGATTTTATCCTGGGGGTGGGGGATCCTGAGTTGAAGGTATCTATTCTTAGAGCCTAAGCTTGCTGCTGGTGGTAGAGCAGTCTTTCTTGGTTTTTCAGAGACTGAGGAAAAAGCATCTCCTTGGATCCTGGAGAGAGCCAGTACAAGGGATCCCTAGGACCATGAGAAACATCTGGGTCCAGCTGACTAGTGGCAGAAGGGACAGCTAAAACTATGTCGCTGAGTTCAAGGGACTACTTACCTGCCCCAGAGTGAAGCTGTGTCATAGGAGGGAGGATTTAGGGCCCTAGGGTCTGGTATAGGTAGAGGTACAGGGAGCCTTCCGTGGGAAAGAGGCTTCTCTGTCTCAGGAGAGGCCCAAAGGCATGTGATCAATTTAGAGAGCTTGGCTAAATCAGTTTTCAGGGGTCTCTGAGACTGAGGACCAAATTGAATCAGTTTGGCCAAGACCCAGGCTATTCTAGACCAGCAAATGGATTTAATGTTTTGTCCCAAACATGATCAGTTGGTTGTGACTGCCTGGAACACCGTGTTGAGAAAGATTCTGAGGTCGTGTCTGACTTGCTAGGAAAAAGTGCCATGATTCTTGAGGTTGGCTGCATATGTGGGAGAGGGAGAGCTCTTAGTAGAGAAATGGCAAGAAGATGGTGTGTTAGAAGATTAGGAGACAGGACAGGAGCTCTCAGGGAGACAAGGCTGGGACCACATTTTGCAGGGCCTTGAATGCTAGGATAAGAGTTTGGATTTGAATTTTTTAGATCTGAGAAATTCTATTATGCCCTCTAAACAGAGGGCCAATGTTATCAGATGGAAGTTCGGGAAATATCTTTTAACTGCAGTAAGGAAGATAGCCTGAAGGAGGTGATTATGGCACTGGGTGGGGAAATAAGGAGGCCATTGCAATCCAAGATCCAGGCAAGAGATGAAAGATTTGTTTGTCCTTTTAATAATTGTTCAAGTGATGAGGTGTGAGGGTGGTAGTGGAGTGGACAATTAACTGTAGGATGGTCCTGTGACTATATGTTGTTTACTCCACAAGGTTTGGGTGCTTGGTATCCTGACCCCATCCCTTCTTCCAAAATGAGGAGTGAGAGGAAAGTAAGTTTTCCTTAACTCTACTCTGATCAATAATAACAGCAGCTGTAGTAACAGCCATTTATTTAATGTCTTTTTAAGTGCCAGGCACTGTGCTATGCACCTTGCATACATTATTCTTTTTAGTCCTCACAACAACCAAATGAGTTAGGATTATTTTATCATTCTTATTTTGCTGATGATGAAACTTCAGCATGGTTCAGAGACGTTAGGTAGTATGCCCAAGGTCTCACAGCTAGTAAGCAGCAGACCTCAGTCTAGCCTGGCTGAAAGCCAACATGCTTCACCATTACACTACTATACCCCTGTCTCTGCAATCAGCCACTCCCGTGGGTCCCCTTTGCAGCATTAAATAGACCTGCAGGCTTTCTGATTCCACAGGGGTACCGAGCTCTCATTGTTTCTCGTTAGCAGTTGTCTTCCCTCTCTCTGCGGGCACTTGGTTACATAATACCTGAAAATATTAAATTAGTTTTCCTTTACAGGAAATTATGTTCCATTAGGGCCACTGACATAGCTATTCTGAGACCTCCAAGAGAGTTGTGTGCTTTTGGAAATGTCTGACAAATCCGATTGCTCTCTGGCAAGGAGCTCTCTGAAGGCCTTGTGGCTGGTTGAGTAATTAGGCATTAAGTGGCTTTAATAATAGAAATAGGAGGCCCAGACAAGAGGGTTTCACCTGTGATCATCAGAGCTGCCTTGGGTCCCTCTTCTGGCAGAGAAAAGGAAGGGGGCAGAGGCACATGGTAATCTTCAAAACCATCCTGTGACTCCGCTTCCCATCACTCAGCACTCAGCACAGGCAGAGACTTGCTCCAGGAAGGAGACCAAGCCTCCAATCCTCTAGGGGACTCTGCTTTAATCAATCGCACTAGGATACTACTCTGCTTGAGTCATGCCTTTAACTCAAAATGCGCGGCAAAGTCCACCTTGATTTGGCATTCAAGATCCTGCAAGATCTGGCTTCCATATATTTTTCAGAATGCTTCTTTATATGAGCTAGTGGTCCTCATGACTTCCTGTTCCTCCTCATATTTGTTACTCCCTTGTTCTTGCTTGAGACACTTCTCCATGAAGAAGACCCGCCTTTTATGTCTGCATTTCCATATACACCCTAGAGTTCAAGCTTCAGCTTCAACACCACCTCTTCCTGGAAATTTTCTCTAAATTCTCTTGCCAAAGAAATCTTTCTCTCTCTTTTGCATACCCACAGCACTTTATAGCACTTAAACTAATTATCCTATTTCCTCTCACCTTGTATTATAATTATTTTATAGAAATCTCATCTCTCTTGCTATATGGTAAATTCTTCAAATGGACGGGCTATGTTTAACCCCTCTGTATAGCTTCCCTGGCTTCTGTTACAGAGCTTTGCATGTTGTGTTTAATAAATACATGCTATATACATTATTATCACTTTGAAGACAGATAACATAGCTAGAGATTGATGTCCCATGGCCATGTATCCATCCATTCATTCTTTCCCTCTAGTAGCTCTTACAAAAACTTTTCTCTACTCTCATGCATATCCCCAATACCAATATGGTATTGATGCACGCTGGGGAGGGAGGCGTGAGATGTTATGTCTCAACACACAGATTGATAGCTAAGAATCTTAAGAGTGGAGCCCCATTTCTCTAAAGGGAGGGTACATTTCAGACTTAATATAGTTGATATTTGGTATGGAGGAAGGGTACTGAAATTACGTGATAATTTGGATATTTTCTCCCCCATTTCTTAAGAAACAAGTTGGCCTTTCCAGCTTTATCTACCACCATCCATACCCTGCCCTGTGATCTAAACACACCAAACCATGCACTGACCCAGTAGCACATGATGGGAGATTTAAGCCTGCCAATACCTGGCTACTACTCTCCTCCAGATCCAGTCAATTTAAAAACGAACACAAAAACATAGGTAAGAAATAAAACCAGAATCAGATTCACTAATGGTAGAGCTTGATTAAAGAATGTGCCGGCCGGGCGCGGTGGCTCACGCCTGTAATCCCAGTACTTTGGGAGGCCGAGATGGGCGGATCACAATGTCAGGAGATCGAGACCATCCTGGATAACACAGTGAAACCCCGTCTCTACTAAAAATACAAAAAAAATTAGCTGGGCGTGGTGGCGGGCGCCTGTAGTCCCAGCTACTCGGGAGGCTGAGGCAGGAGAATGGCGTGAACCCAGGAGGCGGAGCTTGCAGTCAGCCCAGATCACTCCACTGCATTCCAGCCTGGGCGACAGAGCGAGACTCCGTCTCAAAAAAAAAAAAAAAAAAAAAAAAAAAGAATGTGCCTGCACTGGGACCTTCTTTCCTGAATCAGGACTGTGGAACCCACCTTTCTTTCCTCCTGAGACTGATGGAGAAGCTGGCAAACAGGTCTGCCTGAGCTTGTAGGAGCAAGCCCCTCTGCCCAGAGCCTACCAACCTGGGCCGAGGTAGGTGAAAGGATCCCCATGAAAGACATCTTTACTCATGCCTGGAAGACACCATTCTTTCTTGCTCTTTCCCATGTATGCCCTTTGGATGATGGGATGAGCTGCTCTTTAGCCTTACCAATCAAATCCATTATTCCTCTTGTGGGGAGAGGTGAGTAAGAGGGTAGATAGAGATACCTTAGAAATCCCCAGTTCTCTCTCTTTTAGGAGAGGACTAGAAACCTCTGCTTCTCAATACATCTGTGACATCAGAGGCTTCAAGTCATTCTCCCATGATATATATTGTATATCCACTTGGCATCATGCCTTTGCCCAGGCTGGTCCTTTTCCCCAGAGTTTCCCTCTCTCCTATTTCCACTTGGCAAGGTCCTACTCAAATGCCACCTCCTCCTGGAAGTCTTCCCAGATCTGTCTCTATTCTTCGCAGGAATTCAATAGCTCCCTTAAGTTTTCTATTAGCCTTGGTGGTGCTGTTATCACAGCACTTACTCCAGCTTGTGTTCTGGGGACATGCATGCAATATGTCTCCTTTCCTTCCTGCATTCCCACCCCTGCTCCCTGGATGGCAGTCTCCATGAAGGACAGCCCCCATACCTCTAGTGCCCACCTTGAGCCCAGCACAGGGTTGGTGCTCATGAATGTTGGTTGGATCTGCTCAGAGAACTGGCTCTATGATGGTACAGGGGCAAGTAATGGGATATGTAACTCTGGGCTAAACATGGACAACATTCTTTGTTGGCATTCATATTCCTGCATTTAGAACTGGACCATGTGGTGCTGGAGAGGCCATTGCACTGACTGGCAAGAGAAGACCTGCTTCACCGTGGTCCACACAGTAATTTCCCTGGCTTCACTCAAGGCTAACTGTCCTCCAGCAAAACACCCCTCTTTTCCTCTCACAGATGAAGCAGGTGAGTGACTCCATTATCTTCCAGAGAGCACTCCTGTGAACGTAGCCTTGTAGCACAAGCTTACACCCTAATCATAACGCCCGTAGGAGAGGCCATCAATGCTGAGTGGATATTGCAGGAAGGGAGCTCAGATATGGGGCCTGACAAGTCCAGGTTCTTGTACAATTCTTGGTGTAAACGAATGGTTCATAAAGTCTGATTTTCTTCCTTCTTACAGCTTGAAAAAGGGCATGATCTTAGTGGATTCTCACAATAACCCTGGGGAAAATTTTTATTGTCGTTATTAGTATTTTAAAATTGTCTGGTTTAAATCTTATGTAGGAGAAAAGAGAAGTCTTTGCTTTAAAGCAAATAAAGAAGGGAGGATGTTTATCCAGTGGTTAAGAATACAAAGATTATATTGATAATATATGGAAAGTACTTAGCATGATAGGTCATAGCAAGTGGACACTCAGTAAACAGTAACCACTATTATCGTTATAATCAGAGATGGGGAGTGACTCACTCAAAGTCACAAAGCTAGTTAATAACAGAGCATTGCACCTGGAACTTTAGGCTCTAGGTTCCCTGCCCTTGCACTTGCCCTTCCTTACTTTCATGGCTTTGTGTGTGCGACCTTCCAGATCCTTTTTATGTCTTGGCCAAATTCATTCTGCCACTCAGCAGGCACACACATGCATGCACACACATGCACACACACACAAACCGAAGACCAAAAATGTAAAAAATGAAAAAAGAACTCTTCCACCACGATGCAGGGAAAAAATTACTCTTAATTACTGGGGCTTCTCTACAATTATAGGACGTGTGTTTGAACTCTGAAGGGTCCTCTCCTGAGGATAACCTTTATTTGCCTGATTGCGTCTGTTCAGTTAATTCTGGCTAATTACTATTTTCTTCCTATTAGATTCTAATTATATACAGTATTTTCATTATAAAGCGTAATGTTTCCCAGAGAACCATGTCAATTATACAGGCGATATTACCGGAGGTCTGGTTTACCTCATTAAGCCCAAGCGATGAAGCCATGCATCTGATTAAACCCACAATTTGCAGGGTGGACTTTAACTATATGTGGGTACCAGTGAGTCTCACCTAAAACTTGCTGGATGTGGGAGAGAGCTAGAAAGCCTAGGAGAAGCTCCTCAAAGGATGTGGCAGCCCATTTGGATGTGTTGGATTTTCTGCAGGAAGAACAAGTGTTGATTTATATTGTCTATTTTTAAGCACCCCATGATTTCTAGTTTGGCTGAGGCATGAATTTGATGCTATCATGAAAGAGTAGGTCTTACCCTTGCTTCAAATGATTCTGGTAGAACACCCAGCATTTCCACCTCCATGCCTCAATATACTGACCATCTGATATCTTTCTGAACTTCTGGTTTACACACCCAACAACCATTTGATATTTCATGAGATGTCTAATAGACACCTTATCCTTAATATACCTAAAATAGAATTCTTAATTTCTGCTCTCCCTGAGCCCCAAATCCATTCATGCTTATATTACTCCCATCTCGGTAAATGCCATAACCTTGTCTACCCAGATGCTCAAGTGAAATGCCAGGAGCTCATACTGATGTCCTTCTTTCCTTTATCTCTCACATCGAATCCACAAAGTCTCCTGTGAACCCTAGGTCCCAAATATATCCTGGATCCATCCAGTTCTTCCCACCTGCACTGCTATACCCCTAGTCTAGGCCAACGTCACCCCTGCTATATAGTGACTTGGTCTCCTTGTTTCATTTCCTTTCACATGTATGTATCCCTTCTCCTAATGCCATCAAGGTAGTTTACGAAAAAGGAAAAAAAAAATCCATAAAGACCATGTTACTCTCCTGCTTAAAAGCCATACAGATGTTGTTTTGGAATTAAAAGCAAACTTCTTACTGTATCAGTAAGACACTCCATGATTATACTTTTGCCTACTTATTCAACAAGTATTATTCAAGGTCTAATATAATATGTGCCAGACACTGTTCTGGAATAAACAGTTCTTGTTTGTATGAAAATAAAATAATAAAATAGACACAATCACCCTCATGAGCACTGCTTTTTCCTATCATCTTGATAGTACTTAATATTTCATGTTTGTTTTTATCCAGCTGGCTTGTCTAAACGGCCTGGGTCCATGTCTGTCCCCCATACTCCAGCCCCAGCCCCTGTACCTAGAAGCTTCTCAGGAAATGTGGGCTCTTCTGTTATGATTTGACACTTGAGTAGGAATTGAAAAACAAACTTGATTAAAAAAACACACTTTTATTGGATTCTAAAGGAATTAATAAAATCCTTCCTTTGGGGATTAATAAAACAGGATTTTTTAATATTAGCTTTATTTTTTTCTACTTCATAAAAGCATTTTAATCAACATTCTGAGCTTTAAAGGATGGATTCAAGCTCTGTTCTCTATTTGGGGTGTGGGCAGGGGTTTAATTTATAGATAAGTTCCATTTTTGATATTTGCTCCTCTCTCTGAAAAGTGTTACCATTATTGTTTCCCTAATAAAAATCTCTGGAGTTCAAGCAAAAAGAGAAGTAAACTTTTGTGAGCATCTCATAATTAAGAAGTTAATTTTTGATAATTATAGGCCATGAGAATATTGCTTTAGTTTATAGAGATTCAGTACATTGTTTAAAGTCCTAGATGACTTAGTTATAGTAATACTGACTGTGTGGGCTCTGGGGTCAGGAGGCCTGGGTTCAAATTCCGGATCTTCCATTTATTACCTGTCTGTGACCTTGAAGACATTTACTTAACCTTGTACCTCACTTTCCCTATTTATAACATGGGGATAACAGTTGTTTCTGCTTCCTGGTGTTGTTTTAAAAATTAAATGAGTGAATCCACTTAGAACAGTGCCTGGCATATATATGCTCCATAAATGTAAGCTGCTATTATCTGAGTCTAAATCTAAACTCGTCTTACCCCAAACTACCTTTCCTGCCATTAACAAGTACCACCAGCAGCATTAGTAGCATTCATTAAATACTCTCTACAACCCAACCTCTAATCCCTTCAAGACACTTGTAATGCACACATTATTACTTCAATTTACAGATGAGTAAAACTGAGGCTCCGTAAGGTACTCATCCGAAATCAGGCAGAAGGTAAGTGACAGATCTAAAAGTCATACCCATGTTTGCCTGTCCCCAAAGCCCACATTTTTACAAGTTGTTACATGTTCTCTTAACTTCAAAATGCAACATATTCTAGACATAGAATGTGTTATAGACAGAATTATCTTCCCCTCAAATTCACTCCTCAAGGTGATTGTATTTGGAGATAGGGCAGTTAAAGATGCAATACAGTTGAAATGAGGCTGCTAGAGTGGGCCATAATCCTATCTGACTGATGTTCTTATAAGAAGAGGAAGAGGTACCTGAGGTGCTCGGGCAAAAGACAAAAGGCCATGTGAAGACACAGGGAAAAGGTGGACATCTACCCGCCAGGGAGAAAGGTCTCAGAAGAAACCAAGGCTGCTGACACTTCCAGCCTCAGAACTTCCAGCCTCAGAACTATGAGAAAATATTTTCAGTTTAAACCACCCAGTCTATGGTATTTTGTCATGGTAGTACTTGCCAACTAACACAGAAGGGAGCATTGTTAGTAGGAAAAACACACAAAAAAGATGTCAGGTGACTTGTGTCTTATTTACTGGGCTGTTTCCAGTGCTCATCTCCATGTTGGTGAGAGGTGACAGCGTGCTGGCAGTCCTCAGAGCCCTCACTTGCTCTTGGCACCTCCTCTGCCTGGGCTCCCAATTTGGCAGCATTTGAGGAGCCCTTCAGCCCACCACTGCACTGTGGGAGCCCCTTTCTGGGCTGGCCAAGGCTGGAGCCCACTCCCTCAGCTTGCAGGGAGGTGTGGAGGGAGAGGCACGAGCGGGAACCGGGGCTGCGTGCGGCGCTTGCGGGCCAGCTGGAGTTCCGGGTGGGCGTGGGCTTGGTGGGCCCGGCACTCGGAGCAGCCAGCCAGCCCTGCTGGCCCCGGACAATGGGGGACTTAGCACCTGGGCCAGTGGCTGCGGAGGGTGTACTGAGTCCCTCAGCAGTGCTGGCCCACCGGTGCTGCGCTCGATTTCTCGCTGGGCCTTAGCTGCCTTCCCACGGGGCAGGGCTCGGGACCTGCAGCCCGCCATGCCTGAGCCTCCCACCCACTCCATGGGCTCCGGTGCGGCCCGAGCCTCCCAGACGAGCACCACCCCCTGTTCCATGGCGCCCAGTCCCATCGACCACCCAAGGGCTGAGGAATGGGAGCTCACGGCGCAGGACTGGCAGGCAGCTCCAACTGCAGCCCCGGTGCGGGATCCACTAGGTGAAGCCAGCTGGGCTCCTGAGTCTGGTGGGGACGTGGAGAGTCTTTATATCTAGCTCAGGGAGTGTAAATACACCAATCAGCACCCTGTGTTTAGCCCAAGGTTTGTGAGTGCACCAATCGACACTCTGTATCTAGCTGCTCTGGTGAGGATGTGGAGAACCTTTATATCTAGCTCAGGGATTGTAAATACACCAATCAGCACCCTGTGTTTAGCTCAAGGTTTGTGAATGCACCAATCGACACTCTGTATCTAGCTGCTCTGGTGGGGCCTTGGAGAACCTGTGTGTCGAAACTCTGTAACTAATCTGATGGGGACGTGGAGAACCTTTGTATCTAGCTCAGGGATTGTAAACGCACCAATCAGCGACCTGACAAAACAGGCCACTGGGCTCTACCAATCAGCAGGATGTGGGTGGGGCCAGATAAGAGAATAAAAGCAGGCTGCCCTAGCCAACATTGGCAACCCACTCGGGTCCCCTTCCACACTGTGGAAGCTTTGTTCTTTTGCTGTTTGCAATAAATCCTGCTACTGCTCACTCTTTGGGTCCACGCTGCTTTTATGAGCTGTAACACTCACAGCGAAGATCTGCAGCTTCATTCCTGAGCCCAGCGAGACCACGAGCCCACCGGGAGGAACGAACAACTCCAGACGCGTTGCCTTAAGAGCTGTAACACTCACCGCGAAGGTCTGCAGCTTCACTCCTGAGCCAGTGAGACCAGGAACCCACCAGAAGGAAGAAACTCCGAACACATCTGAACATCAGAAGGAACAAACTCCAGACGCGCCACCTTAAGAGCTGTAACACTCACCGCGAGGGTCCGCGGCTTCACTCTTGAAGTCAGTGAGACTAAGAACCCACCAATTCCGGACACACTGGGTTCATAGGGGGAGCTTAGGAAATGGAGGGACCAGTGTTTAGAAAGCGCCTTCTCAGTCAAGATTGAGGATGGTGTCCTCTTCCCAGCCCTGATGTGGCCACCATGGTGGCACTGCATGGCAGTGGCCTGTTTTCCCCACCAGACTGGGTGCTCCATGAAGACTAAAGCCAAGTGTGTCTTTTTGTTCAGCTCAGGCATAGTCCATGACAGCGTTCTGATAATTACATATTGGCTGCATGTTTGCATAGCCATGAGGTCTGTGGGGTGCCTTTCAGCTCTACAAGCCTCTTCTCTAAGGAGTTGCCCTTGGCTGGTCAAGAAGCTCAGGTGTGGGAAGTGGGTTTTACGTGGCAGTCCTGCTGGGCCCCTGCCAGAGTGCTTGGAGCCGCTAAGTCTGGGCCATGCAGTCTGTTTACATGAGCATTAGGGAACATTGCTGAGATGTACTGTAAACATGGGGCAGGCTGTCAGCATTGTGCTGGTTTCTGCATTATCTCGGTGCCATCTCAGAACAGAGGCAGGCCAGAAAGCCCCTGCCAAGTGGAACTGGAGCCTGAGAGATAGGCACGAGCCTCCTAAGTCTGGCTTCCCTGCAGGGACGAGCCTTCCTGAGGGTGGGTTGGATGTGGGTTCATACAGCAGGGATGCTGAGCCAAGCTCCCACTCCACTTAGGGGCTTGGACCAGGGTAAGAGATGGAACTAACTTGTTAAAGGAAAAAAAAAAATAGAGAAAAAATGTGAAAGTTTTTCGCTTGAAAATATAGATCAGGGTAGGTTCAAAGTCATTGTGCTAATTTCACCCTTATTATATTTCATTTACTTTCTTCAATAAGAAAGCTCTTCCTGGATTTTAGCTGAATCCAGAATTGTGCCTTATCATGAGTGTGCCACAACAGAGGCAGAAAGACTGAGAGCCATTGAACTAACTGAGCAGGCCATGCAGAATCATTTAAGGGCTCTTGGAAGGCTTCTTTCTCCCAGATAATTCCTTCCCGGAGGCCTAAAAGTCTTCTCTTTGAGTTGTTTTTCTCTAAGAACTTAACCGTGGTCATAGCCTCCTGATGGGTGGTCCCAGTGGTGAGCCTGATGACCTGGCTCTGCTGCCCAGTGCTGCGGCTTTGTAGGCGTGTCTCCTTGGGCTGGTCCCCGGATGGGGATCCTGCTTTGTCCTCAGTTTCCTCACTGGTGAAATGAAGAGTTTGGTCTAGAATCATGACTTTCTCTGCCTCTATGAATTGAGAGCAAAGATACCTCCATCTGGATGTTATAGCTCCTCATGCCAAATATCAAGTGTTTGGCAAAATCAAGGCATTCTTGCAGAGGTGACTGAGGTGGGAACTATGGCAGTTCATCTGCGTGGTGCATATGGTAAGGCAAGTGTGTGGGGTGGGTAAGAGGAGTGGGCATGAGGCCCCCAGGCCAGGCATCATATTGTGTGTGACCAGCACCTGGACCAGCTCTGGGGACATGGGTTCTGGTCCTGATTCCAATATTTGAAACCAAGATGGGTCATAAGATTGATTTGTAGCCAATAGAATGTAGGCTGCAATGATGTACACTGCTTCTATGCCCTTACAACCTTGTATGAACCTCCATGTTCTCCTCACCTTTTCTTTTGTCTTCCCTTATCCACCTTTCCTTTCCCTTCCCTTCCCTCCTTTCTCTTCCCCTCCCCTCCTTTCCCATTGTACTTTCCTCTTTTCCTGTACTCTCCTCCTCTCCCCCCACACTCCTCCTGCACACTTTTTTTTTTTAAAACTTTTATTTTGGATTCGGGGGTACATATGCAGGTTTGCCACAGGGTATATTGTGTGATACTAAAGTCTGCGGTATGATTGAACTCCACATCCAGGTAGTGACCATAGTACCCATTAGGTAGTCCCTCAATCCCTTGCTCCCTCTCTACCTCCTCTTGTAGTTCCCAGTGTCTATTGTTCCCATCTTTATGTCCATGTGTACTCAACGTGTAGCTTCCATTTATAAGTGAGAACATGTGGTATTTAGTTTTCTGTTTCTGCATTAATTCACTTAGGATAATGGCCTCCAGCTGCAACCATGTTGCTGCAAAGGAAGTGACTTCCTTCTTTTTTATGGCTACATAGTATTCCATGGCATATATGTGCCACATTTTCTTTATGCAGTCCACCATTGTTGGGCACCTGTGTTGATTCCATATCTTTGCTGTTGTAAATAGTGCTATGATGAACGTAAGGTGCATGTGTCTTTTTGGTAGAATGTATGAATGCATGGGTCTTTTTGGATATATACCCAGTAAAGACATTGCTGGGTAGAATGGTATTTCTGTTTTAAATTATTTGAGAAATCTTTGAACTGCTTTCCACAGTTGCTGAACTTGCTG
This sequence comes from Homo sapiens, assembly GCF_000001405.40. NCBI lineage: Eukaryota > Metazoa > Chordata > Mammalia > Primates > Hominidae > Homo > Homo sapiens. The sequence continues at coordinate 119,866,977 of NC_000009.12, read as the reverse complement.
AACTAATTTACATTCCTATCAACAGTGTATAAGCATTCCTTTTTCTCCACAGTCTTGCCAATATCTGTTATTTTTTTACTTTTAATAAGAGTAGCCAGCCATTCTGTGAGAGAGTGAGACTCTGTCAAAAAAAAAAAAAGAAGAAGAAGAATAGCCATTTTGACTGGTTGAGATAGTATCTAATCGTGGTTTTGATTTGAATTTCTCTGATGATTAGTGATGATGAACATGTTTTCATATCTTTGTCACCCACTTGTGTGTCTTCTTTTGAGAAGTGTCTGTTCATGTCCTTTGCCAATTTTTAAATGGGATTATTTGTTTTTTGCTTGTTGAATTGTTTAACTTCCTTATAGATTCTGGATATCAAACCTTTGTTAGCTGTATAGTTTGCAAATATTTTATCCTGTTCTGTAGATTGCCTGTTTACTCTGTTGCTAGTTTATTTTGCTATGCAGACGCTCTTTAGTTTAATGAGGTCAATTTTTGTTTTTTATTGCAATTGATTTTTGGGGACTTAGCCATAAATTCTTTGCCAATGCTGATGTCAATAAGGTTATTTCCCAGGTTTTCTTCTAGAATTGTTATAGTTTGAGGTCTCACATTTAAATCTTTAATCCATCTTAAGTTAATTTTTGTATACAGTGAGAGGTACGTGTCCAGTTTTAATCTTCTACATATGACTAGCCAGTTATCCCAGTACCATTTATTAAATAGGGAGTCCTTTCTTTGTTACTTATTTTTGTTGACTTTATTAACAATAAGATGGTTGTAGGTGTGTGGCTTTATTTCGGGGTTCTCTATTCTATTCCACTGGTTTATGTGCCTATTTTTGTACTAGTGCCATGAGGTTTTGGTTGCTGTAGCCCTGTAGTATAGTTTGAAGTCAGTTAATGTGATACTGCTAGCTTGGTTCTTTTTGCTTAGGATTGGTTTAGCTATTTGAGTTTTTTTTCCGGTTCCATATGAATTTTAGAATATTTTTTTCTAATTCTTTGAAAAATGACATTGGTAGTTTGATAGGAATAGCATTGAATCTGTAGATTGCTTTGGGCAATTTGGCCATTTTGATGATAGTGATTCTTCCAATCCATGAGCATGAAATGTTTTTTCCATTTGTTTGTGTCATTTTCATTTGTTGCTTTCTATGATTCATTTAAGCAGTGTTTTGTAGTTCTGCTCGTAGAGACTTTTCACCTCCTTGGTTAGAAATACTCCTAGATATTTTTTTTATGTGTGTGTGTGTGTGTGTGTGGCTATTATACATGACATTGAGTTCTTAAATTGGCTCTCAGCTTGAATGTTACTGGTGTATAGAAATGCTTCTGGTTTTTGTACATTGATTTTGTATCCTGAAAGTTTACTGAAGTCATTTATCAGTTCCAGGAGCTTTTTGGTGGAGTATTTAGAGTTTTCTAGGTATAGAATCATATCATTAGTGAAGAGATAGATTTCTTCTTTTTCTTTTTGAATGCCTTTAATTTCATTCTCTTGCTTGATTGCTCTGGCTAGGACTTCCAGTACTATGTTGAATATGATTGGTGAGAATGGGCATTCTTGTCTTGTTCCAGCATTCAAAAGGAATGCTTCCACCTTTTGCCCATTCAATATGATATTGGCTGTGGGTTTCTCATAGATGGCTCTTATTATTTTGAGGGATGTTTCTTCAATGCTTAGTTTGTTGAGGATTTTTATCATGAAGGGATATTGGATTTTATCAAAATCTTTCTCTGCCTCTATTGAAATGATCATATGCCTTTTGATTTTAATTGTGTTTATATGGGGAATCATATTTATTGATTTGTGTATGTTAAACCAACCTTGCATCCCAGGAATAAAGCCTGCTTCATCATGGTGAAGTAACTTTTTGATGTGCTGCTGGATTTGGTTTGCTAGTGTTTTATTGAGGATTTTTGCAATCTATGTTCATCAGGGATATTGGCCTGTAGTTTTCTTTTTTCATCATGTCTTTGCTAGGTTTTTATATCAGGATGATTCTGGCTTCATAGAATGAGTTATGGAAGAGTCCCTCCTCCTCAATTTTTTGAACTAGTTTCAATAGAATTGGTACCAGCTCTTCTTTGTATGTCTGGTAGAATATGACTATGAATCCATTTGATCCAGGGCTTTTTGTGGTTGGTAGGATTTTTATTACTGTTTCAGTTTTGGAACTCATTATAGGTCTGTTCAGTGTTTCAGTTTCTTCCTGATCAAATCTTGGGAGGTTGCATGTTTCCAGGAATTTATCTACTTACTCTATATTTTCTAGTTTGTGTGTATAGTGATGTTCGTAATGGTCACTGAGGATCTTTTGTATCAATTGTAGTGTTACCTTTGTCATTTGTGATTGTGATTATTTGGGCCTTCTTTCTTTTTTACTTTGTTAATCTAGCTAGTGGTCTATCAATCTTATTCATCCTTTCAAATAACCAATTTTGGTTTTGTTGATCCTTTGTATGGATTTCTGGGTCTCAACTTCACTCAGTCCTGCTCTGATTTTAGTTATTTATTTTCTTCTAGCCCTGGGATTAGTTCTTGTTTTACTAGTTTCTCTAGGTGAAATGTTAGATTGTTAATTTGAGATCTTTCTAAATTTTGGTGTATTTAGTACTATAAACTTTCCTCTTAACACTGCTTTTGCTGCATCCCAGAGATCTTGGTATGTTGTGTCTCTGTTTTCATTAATTTCAAAGAATTTTTTGATTTATGCTTTAATTTATTTTTTACCCAAAAGTCATTCACGAGCAAATTGTTTAATTCCCACATAGTTATGTGGTTTTGAGAGATCTTCTTGGTATTGATTTCTATTTTTGTTCCATTGTGGTCTGAGAATATGTTTGGTATAATTTCAGTTTTTTTGAATTTATTGAGACTTGCTTTATGACCAAGTGTGTGGTCAATCTTAGAGTATTTTCCATATGCACATGATAATGTATGTTCTGTAGTTGTTGGATGGAGTATTCTGTAGATATGTTTAGTTCCAATGGTCAAATGTTGAATTTAAGTCCAGAATTTCTGTGTTTATTTTCTGTCTGATGATCTATCTAACTCTGTAAGTTGGGTCCCACACTTTTCTCATGTTCATTGGACACCAGATAAAGAGGATCCATCTGAAGACTCTATGGCCTTAGAGGATGAACAAGCCACTAAATTAAAAAAGCCCAAGTCCCTGAATGATTTTGTGAGCAGTGCTAATCCTGCCAAGGCTCTCTTTCCCCCTAGATTTAAGCCACTGTTATTTTTGGGTTGTCATAGCAGTTGACATACCTTGACTAACATGCAAGAGTTCTGCATTTTTGTGCCAGTAACCCCTGAGAAGAAGTTATCTCTTTCCCTGCATTACAAGACAATATATGGGTATGACATAGACTCAGGGTGCCCTGGAAGCACAAACTCAGGCTTGACTGGTTTGACCCAGAGTAGATGTTCCAGGAAATCTTCCCAGAGGAGGTAGAAATGTGGTAGAAACAGCAAAGACTGAGGTCACATAGACTTGGGGTAGGATCCTAGTGCCTCTAATCATGAGTTTTTCAGCTTCAGGTAATTAGCTTACCCCTACTCTTTGCCTAAATTGAGCCTACTCATCCTTCTGGTCTCTGGAAATGTCACATCCAGAGAGTATTTTTTTTTCTGTCTCCCAGGCTGGGCAATCTGCAAAAGCCCTGTGCTTCTCTTTTTAACCCCTTGCTACATTTGTTATACCTTGTTCAATCTCTGTATCTCCTGTTAATAAGCTTCAAGAGTGCAGGGAATGAATATCAATTTCAGCCCTATTATCTTCACCTTTCGGTCGAGTTTCTGGTACACTGTAGATGTAAAATAAATAATTGTTGATTGAATAGATAAATATATAGATGAACTTAAGCTCTTTAAACCCCAGTATCATTATCTATAGAGTGGACATAATGCTAGCCATATCCTGGGTTTTGGTAAAGATTAGTTGAGATCGTGTATGCAAAGCCCAACCCAGCACAATACCTGACATATCACAGCCAACAGTAAGTGTTGGTTTCCTTCAGACTTGATGAATAATAAGTTTGTTAGGCTACAAAGAAGGGAAAGAACATTTGTAGTGGAGGGAACAGAATTATTTTAAGGCAAAGCCGTGCATTTTGTGTTTGTGGAAGCTGATTGGGGGGGGCAAGTACCAAATTATAAGTCTTATGTATTGGATGCACAAGAAATAGAACTATATCATTACTGTGCCTTAAAGCCACCAAAAAGTGATGAGATTATAAATATTTAGCAAATAAAAGACATAACCTTGTTAATATTAATTCATGACCTGTGACAGCAAGGAAGGCTCCTGGGGGATGGAAATTTGCACTGAGCCTTATAAAATTCATGTTGCTGAAGAGCAGAAGGAAAGTCATTCAAAGCGGGATTTATAGCCATAGGCAAATGGATGGAGGCTGGGAGCCAAGGGGGGAAAAACAAGTTTGGTTAGAGTGGAGTTTATATTGGGGATTAAGAGGAGATGAGGTAGTATGGAACCAGATCATTGTGGCTCTCTGAAGCCAGGTGGAAATGCTTAGACTTGATCTGAGTGGCATTACACAGAGGAGAGAGAGAGCTGTAGAAAGCCTGAGTGTTGTGAGCATCAGATGGCCATGCTCTTCTTGCCTGAGGGTTTTTAGGGGCAGGAGGCTGGACCAGATGACCTCTGGAAGTTTCTTCCAACCACAGGGCTTTGTGGTAGTCAAAAGACAGATAGAGAGAAACAAAAACCTGGGACCTTGGCCTGGATTTCACTCCCTCATAAATCTTCTCCACTGCCTGGCATCATCTCTCAGTCCTCAGATTAATCTTCTCTGGCTTCCTGCAGGAACAGAAGGAACTATTGACCTCATCCTGTTCTCCAGGCTGCAAGTGAGAAATGGGGTTCTTAGACTGGAAGAAGCCTCAGTGTGGGTAGAGGCAGCTGGGGCCTGAGGCATGAGCCCCCAGAGGAAAACACAGGAAGCAGGTGGCCAATCTTGTTCCAGAAGGGCTCTCACCAGGACTGCCCCAGAGTCCACACCAGATTATGAAATATGCCTTGTGATTTTGCATGAACATCTTTGGCTGAAGATTGACAAATGTTGGAGGAAACTGCAACCTTTTTTTTTTTTTTTTTACCATTAGTTATTTTATTGAGCAATTACAAGTCCCAGGCTCTTACTTTTTCATATTAATTTTTTACAACAAGTTTATGAGATGCACACTGTTCTCATTTATCATATAAGGAAACTAAAACTAAAAGAGTTTAATATATTGCTCAAGGTTATCCAGTGTATTGGTTTGCTAGGGCCCTGTAACAAAGTACCTACAAACCGGGTGGCTCAAACAACAGAAATGCATTGGGAAACTGCAACCTCTTATCAGTTAATTTTCCGAGGCAAACAGTAACCTGGACTGATTGTGATTTCCATGAGTTTCTCTTCTTGGTTTTTTTCCTTCTTGGTATTGGTGGCTCAGATGCAAGGCCCTGTGGTTCAATAGGAAGAGCAGGAGCTTTATATTGGAAAACCTGCACTCTGGCTGGCTGTGTGCTGTCTGTGCCTCAGTTTCTTCATCTGTAAAATAGGAATAAGAATATTACCCACCTTAGATAATTAGAGGGAGTATTAGAACTCCTTGAATACTACTAGGCACACAGTAAGTACTGAAGAAATGTTAACTAATTATTAATCTCACTATTTATTAGAAAATGGAGATTAAAGTACCTGTCTCACAGGTTTTTGTGAGAGTCAAATCCATTCATTCATTTGTTCAACAAATACATACTGAGCACCCCTATGTGACAAGTAGTATACGAGGCACAGGGCTGCTATGTTAAAAACAAAATGAGATCATTCTGTACTCCCCAGAACTAACAGACTGGTGGGGGAAGAGATATATTAAGTGATGCATAAAAACACAGGCATAAATGTGCAAATTTGTTGTAACAATGCTTTGAAGGAAAAAGGTGGTGTGCTATTGAGAGAATAAGAGGGGAGGCTGCCTTAGGTGGTGATGTGGTTTGGCTCTGTCTCCCCACCCAAATCTCACCTTGAATTGTAGTAATCTCCATGTATGGTGGGAAGGACCTGGTGGGAGGTAATTGAATCATGGTGGTGGGTCTTTCCCATGCTGTTCTTGTGAGAGTGAATAAATCTCACAAGATGTGATGGTTTTATAAAGGGGAGTTCCCCTGCACATGCTCTTGGCTGCCACCATGTAATATGTCCCTTTGCTCTTCCTTCGTCTTCCACCATGATTGTGAGGCCTCCCCAGCCACGTGGAATTGTAAGTCCTTTAAAGCTCTTTCATTTATAAATGACCCAGTCTCAGGTATGTCTTCATGAGCAGCATGAGAATGAACTAATACAAGTAGGGTGGCCACAGAAGACTTCCCTGAAGAGGCAGGTGTTGAGCTCACCTATGAAGGATGGGTAGGAGTTAAATATTCCAGGTAAAGGCAAAACACACCTAAAGGTCTTACCTTAAGGGGAAAAAGGGTGAGGTGAATTTGAGCCTATGAATGAGGTGACAGGGTTAGCAGAAAATAGACAGGACAGAGGATGAGTTCTATTCTGAGTATAAACCACAAAAGCAATGGAGGAGGTAAATGCTTTTATAAAGTGTAAAATCCACATGTCTATAACTTACTATATTTTCCAGCATAAAAAGCTAGGAGTTGAAGTTTCACATGGAGGCCAGGTGAGGAGTGATTTCACCTCCATGGCCTTTGCAGTTTGCACTCAGGATAAAACAATTGCCTAAAAACTACACATGTTATGGCAGAAAGTGTGTGTGTCAGTGTGTCTGTGTAATCCGAATTCCCAAAGTGCATAACCCTTTCCTCGAATCTCATCATCTGAATGCATCAGCTCTTTGAGCCCCAGTTTCCTCCTTTGTAATCATGGGGCCATTTCTTCTTCTTTACTAATGTGGCTGTTTTCTCATAAGGTTGTTCTGAGAAAAACTCCAGTAAATGTTGATTCCCTATGCCTCTTCTTTTCTCTGTGGCTTAAGCTTCACTGTCTGGTGCTTCTGATGACAGTCTGCATTTGAGAGAAGGCATTAAACATTCACAGCTGGCTTTTCATCAAAATGTGTCCTGCCCACCACACAATCTTGGAGAACCCATTGGCATCTGACCACTCTAGAGATTGCCCCTTTCTTAAAGGAGCCCCCTGGCCTCCCCTACCCAGTACTAAAATCCATCCAATTCACACACCATTGCTGTGGAAGTTAGTCCTTCTTTTAATTCTGATCAAGTGAGCAAAAGGGGAAATAAGGAGGGATCCATCAGAACAGCTCATGAAAAATATGTACGTTCTTTAAAGGAAGACAGCATACAAATGGGATATATTTTTTTTTCCAAAAGGGAGGGGGAAATACACGCAGGCTTTTAAACAGAAGACTTTAAGCGGGGAGTGAGAGAGGAAAAATATGTCTCTTAAATGCATTCAGCGCCATTGCCACAAGGCTGCCGAGCCAGGATTGTTTATTAGAAGATAAGATAGTGAAAAATGTATTTTGCAGAAAGAAAATAGTAAAGTCAGGTCTGAGGCAGATAAGAAGCCAAATTTCTATTTTATGCTCAATTGAGTGACTCAGTTACATTATCTGGGAAGCAGGGGTGAAATAACACCCTTCGGAAATGAGGCCTGGGTTGCTCTGGGTCTCCTTCCAGCCTTGGCCAAGCTGAACTCTGCACAGCTGGGATGCTGCCTTCTCAGAGCAGAGTATTTGCCATCTAGGGATGAGGGGAAGAAAGGTTCTGATCTTTTCTCTTCAGCTCCTTTTTTTCTCCATCTTTTCATATGAGCACTCCAGTTCAGCTTCATGCTTCCCCTTCTGCTGCTGAAGGTGAGAAAATAAAAGCACACACATGCATACAAGATGAAGCTCTGCAAAGACCAACCGATGTTGAAGCCAGAAGCATCATTAGAGTTCAGCTGGTATAGGGGTCTGTGGTCAGTCCTTTATTTGGCAAGCACAAACATGTCATTTGAGTGTTTTTACACAGGGCATTGTTCTCTAGTTTGCCAAAGATCCTACTACACCTTTTAAAAATTTTACCTGGTGCTTTACACATTTTCATTGTGTGTCTGGTCCCTGGAGAAATGTAAGATGATTTCTCTAGACATCTTCCAGAATCCTCAGTGAAAAGATGGAGAAGCTTCCCTCCAGAGAGGTCAAGAGGCTCATTAAAAGTCACACAGCTGGTGAGTATTATCATTACAAACAGGCTGTACTTCTAATCATCTCTTATCCTTTCCTAATGGTTCAGCGTTTGGGCCCTTTTCCATTTTGGAGATCCTTCATTTATTATCCAGTTGGAGGTCAGAGCAATTTGAAAAATGGATATTGACTTTTTGGGCCAATAGTCAGTTCAAAAACTCACTTAGTTGTGCATTGGTAAGCCTGTGGTAGACAGAATAATGGCCCCTGAAGATGTCCATAGCTGAATCCCAGAAACCTGTAAGTAATTTTGCAAATGTGATTAAATTAAGGATCTTCAACTGGAATGATTATCCTGAATTATCTGGTGATATGGTTTGGCTGTGTCTCCACCAAATCTCATCTTGAATTGTAGCTCCCATAATCCCCACGTGTTGTGGGAGGGACCCTGTGGGAGGTAATTGAATCTTGGTGGGTGGGTCTTCCCCCAGTGTTCTCGTGGTAGTTAATGAGTCTCATGGGATCTGACGGTTTTATAAATGGGAGTTCTTCTGAACAAACCCTCTTGTCTGCCACTATGTAAGACATGACGTTGCTCTTCCTTCATCTTCCACCATGATGGTGAGGCCGACCCAGCCATGTGGAACTGTGAGTACATTAAACCTCTTTCCTTTATAAATTACCCTGTCTCGGGTATGTGTTTATTAGCAGCAGGGGAACAGACTAATACATCTGGGTGGGCTCAACCTAATCACATAGGTCCTTAAAGGTGAAGGAATTTTCAAGGTCAGAGAGGGAGAGATGTGGCAATGGTCAGAGAGATGTAACATTGCTGCTTTGAAGATGAAGGAAGGGAGCCATGAGCCAAGGAATGTGACCAGCAAAACTGCAGAAGCTGGAAAGGTCACAGAAACAGTTTCTCACTTACAGCCCCCAGAAAGGAACAGTGTCTTGCCAACACTTGATTTTAGCCCAGTGAGTTCCAGATTGAATTTCTGATCTGCAGAAATAATGACAAGATAATACATTTGTGTTTTAAACCATTAAGTTTGTGGCAACTTGTTACAACCACAATAGGAAATGAATACTACAGTCACCTAAGTCCTAACAATGTTTCATACCCCATTCATTCTCATATTCTTCCTTTGCTTCAAGGTTTCTATGAGGTCACTTGTAGCTAATTTTTAGGCCCATTTGGAACTTAACTTTGAGATAAAAGTCAGCTCCAATAAAGAGATTAACTATAAAAAAAACTTTGAATTTGGTAAGCCATTGTGTATTTGAATATAAGGAGTAATATCATCATCTAGTCCTATTCCCTCAGATATATATTTTTAAATAAAAAATGGATGCTCAGAGAAGAGAAGTACTTCCCCAAAGTAGCATAGGAAATTAATGTCAGGATAAATTTTGGTTTTCCATCTTCTATCCCACTGTCCTTAAGATTACTTTTTTTTATTGGTTAAAAGTACTATCTGTCCAGACACTGACCCACACATATTTTATGATCTTATTTACTACAAAAACATGATTGGCATTCAAAGGGAAAAGAAAGATTTTTGTTTGGTCAACTGAATATCCATATGGACAAAAATCAACTTTAACCCTTCTTTCATACCATACACAAAAGATAATTAAAAATATATTATAGACACAGATGAGAAAGGTAAAATAATAGAGGTTCTAGAAGAAAACATAGGAAAAAATCCTCATGACTTTGAGGGAAACAACTCTTAAATAGGACATTAAAAAAATCACCAGCCAGAAAAGAAAACTGATGGTGCTCAGTAATTAGGCCATTCTTTTTCTTTTGGGATTTTATGAAGTTCTCTAAAGAGAATTTTACCCTTTGAATGATAAATGAAATATTATTAAAATTAAGAACATTTGTTTATTGAAAGACACCAATAGTGAAAATCACAGATGGGGAAAAGACATTTGCAACATGTATATCTGAATGGGGTTCATATTAGTAATATGTAAAGAACTGTTAATGGAAAAAAGACAACTCAGTGAGAGTGGAAGACAGACAATGGAGACTGGGAAGGGTGAAGGGTGGAAAGGGATTCGGTGATGAGAATTACTTGAGTGCAATGCATGTTGTTTGGGTGATGGATATTCTAAAGCTTTGACTTAACCATTATTCCATCTATGGATGTAACAAAATTGCACTTGTGCTCCACAACTTTATATCAAAAAAAGCTAGCAAAGACTTGAACAGGCAAGAACTATAAAAGACTATAAAAGAGATATCACAATGGCCAATAATCATGTGAAAGCTGCTCAGCATATTAGCCACCAGAGGAATACAAATTAAACTGCAATGAGATGCTATCCCACACCCACCAGAAAGGCTAAAATTAAAAGGACTGATAATACTTAGGGTTGTCAGGGATCTGGAGCCACTGGAACTCTCACACATTGCTCCATGATACTTCCTCATCATATCCCTTTTAAGTTTTTTGACAGCAAAACTTGTGTTTTATTCATATTTCTCTCACCCCCTCACCTGCCCTGTGCCAATAATAAGTGCTCAAGTCTTTGGACTGCAAGTCCCACTCTAGATAAAAAGCCACCAGCACAAAAAAAGTAGTAGTGACCATGATGAGAAGAGATGGCCCAAGTAATCTTCCAAAATGGGAGTCTAATAGACTGTTTTTGCACCAAACTGCCTGCCTTTCCCTAGGCAAGTATGCAACTCTTCATGCTGAGTGTGATTCCATGGTCTCAGGAAGCAGCACAGCACCATGGACTCCTTTGGGCTCTGGAGTTAGATGAATGCTGGATAGTATCCCATATCAGCCATTTACCAGCTGTGTGACCTTGAAGCAAATGACTCAACCTCTCTGTGCCTTGATTTTCTCATTTACAAAACAGAAATAGTAATGGTATCTATCTTCTAGTATTGTAGTGAGGATAAGTGAGACGTTAGAAGCAAAGTATCTGCCCACTTTTAGGTGCTTAGTAATTAGACCATTCTTTTGGTTTTGGGGCTTCATGAAATCTTCTAAAGAGAATTTTACACTTTGCATGATGGTAATCCATTTTGTTGGGAGCAGTTGTGAATTCTTCTTTGCATATTCTGGAAATATCTTTTGTGTACCTTTAAAACTATCCCTCAATAAAAGCTCTGACCGGCATTGTCCAAAACCTCCACACCTTGTGGCCAGTGGATTTGGAGGTCCTCTTGGGAAAGGCAGGGCTTTGGGCATCCCCAATGCATCGATCACCTTTATGTCCTATCCTAGCTCTTGCTGCACTCAGGACTCATGAGACAGTGGTCAGGAAGGAAGCCACAGAAAAGCCTCCCATAATCCCCATCATCACACCTCCTATGGCAAAGGCAGAGAGGCCCTGGAACAGTTACAGGTGGCTCATGCTGAGCATATGCTGGAATTGTTTATGCCTTGTAGATAAAAAAGCTGGGAGTAAATATTTGCAGTCAGGGAGCCCCGGCATGCTGATACGCTGATGGAATGAGAAACTGTGCATGCATGAATGAGTGTGTGTGTGTGTGTGTGTGTGTGTGTGTGTGTGTGTGTCTATTTGAGAAGAGAGACGGAGAGAAGGGAGAGAGAGTTTTGCCTCCTTTCTCTGCCTGTAGATGGAGAGACGGTAGGTGAAGCAGAAAGAACCATTCCATGGACTACAGTCAGGTGCCCTCTGGACTGGTCCCTGCTCTGCCACTTGTCTGATTTACTATGTAGGAGGCAAGAAGCAGAGACTCCTTCAGGCTAACTAGGGGGAGAGCAGTTTATTATCTAGATGAATATGTTCCAGTGAAGGGGTTTTACACCCCTGACCAGGGGATTTTATAAAGGGCAGTTCCCCTGCACTTGCTCTCTTGCCTGCCAGCATGTAAGATATGCCTTTTCTCCTCCTCTGCATTCCACCATGATTGTGAGGCTTCCCCAGCCATGTGGAAGTATGTGTTCATTAAGCCTCTTTTTCTTTATAAATTACCCAGTCTCAAGTATGTCTTTATTAGCAGCATGAGAACAGACTAATACAATGACTCAAAATCCAAAGAAGTTCCAGGGCCTTTGGAAACAGATTTGATTGAACTTGCAGACTCTGGAGTCAGATGGCTTCACCTGGAAATAGGGCTCTTGGCAGTGGGAACTTGGACAAGATCCCTGGTTTCTCTAAAACCATAATTTCATCTTCTCCAAGATGAGAATAATTAATAATATCTCCTTCAGAATGGCATTGCGTAGGATGATGCACATAGAACACTTAGCATAGTGCCCAGTATATAGTAAGAATTTACACTGTTGTCATTGTCATTGTTTCTTCCTTTTTGGATGAAATTAAGGGGACCTAATTCTTGGGCATACTGGTTTTCCTCATCTTTGCTCTGTATCTCTTCTCAACAGCAGTGGTTTTCAAGTGTTCCCTGGACCAGCAGGATGAGCATCACCTGGGAAAAAGTCATGGGCGGAGGTCCTCTCCTTGGGAAAAGGCCAGGCTTTGGGTCCCTGCAATGCACCAATCACCTTTATGTCCTATTATAGCTATACAGAATTCCACGCAAATTCTCCAGCTGCACCCTCTGTCCTATGGGAGTAGAAACTCTGGGGATGGGCTCAGCAATGTGCACTTTAGCAAGCCTTCTAGGGGATTCTGCCGCATACTGAAGTTTAAGAATCACGGACCTACACTGAGGCTGTTCATTACCTCCAGGTCATCCCCTCATAGCTTCTGCTTCCTTGTGGTACATGATGGCCCTTCTGATCTGGCTTGTCTCCTTGCCCTCAGAATCTATCCTATACATAGCTTACTTTTTAAACATCCTGCAATGGCTTCCCATTGCCCTTAGAATAAAACCCACACTGTAGCCACAGCCCAAAGGCCCATTGTGATCTGGACTCTGCCTCCTCTCCAACTTCCTCTGTCCCCTCCGTCCTTCAGCCACTGCCCCCTCCCACACCTTTCCCCTTCCTGGCTATGTGTCTTTGTCACCCAGGCTCGAGTGCAGTGGCATGATCATGGTTCACTGCAGCGTCGACCTCCTGGGCTCACGCAATCCTCCCACCTCAGCCTCCCAAGTGGTTAGAACTACAGGCATTTACCACCATATCCAGCTAACTTATTTTTTATAGAGACGGAGGTCTTCCCATGTTGGCTGGACTGGTCTCGAACTCCTGGCCTCAAGTGATCCTCCCACCTCAGCCTCCCAACCTGCCGAGATTACAGGCATAAGCTGCTGTGCCCAGCCTTTATCTTAGTTCTTTGTAACATTTAGGCCTCAGCTTACCTGTTCTCTCTCAGGAAAGCCTTTCCCTGTCCTCCCTCAAGCTAAAGAAGCCCCACCCCTTCACACTATCAAATGCTTGTTTTATGGCTATGAAGGCTCTTATTTCTTCCCCATCATTTCTTGTTTATTTATTTGTTTATATGTTTACTGATTGTCTTCCCTATTAGACTATAAGGTCCTGGAGAACAAGGGCCTTGCTCACCCTGTTCCTCTTATATCCAAGATGGTTAGAAAAGTACCTGGCACAGGTGCTGAGCAAATATTTGTTCATTGAAATAATGACTAAGAATGAATAGATGGATGAATAAATTAAACACAGCAGAGTGTTCCAGGAGAATAATGCCTGAAAGCTGTCATTTAAGTCCTTCTAATCCAATGAATTCATACTTCTATAGTTTAACTCAGTGACTCACAACAGGGTGGTCCTGCTCTCCCCCTCTCTGGGGGAATTTGAACATGTGGAGATGCTCTGCAGGAAAAATGGCTGGAGACACTCGGGGCATCAGCATCTGGTGGGTGGGGTGGAACAGCCTACAATGTGCAGAATCGTCCTGTTGGACAACGTATCTTCCCTACACCCCTCTCCCAGCAAATGACAGCCACATTCCATGCAAGAAACAATGGTTGAGCCTAATCATTGTATATTACAGTAGTTGGAAGCTGGGGATGCCAGGTATTTCTAGGCTCCCAGCCCCTTGTGTTTCACCCCTGGCCTGTGCAATATTTATAGCTTCACTGAAGAAAATTCAAACTGGCTCAGAAATAGTTAATCCAGGCTGAGACAGCAGCTATTTTGCTCGTGAGTCTTTATTTTCAGTGACAAATAGGTAAAAGTGACACGAGTTCTCCTGGTCTGTGGAGGCTGCGGCATAAACGATGTCTCTGAAGCCCATTCCTGTGATTACTGAGCTGGATATGAGCGATAGGATATTTTGAGGAGATAAAAATGTCTGACCAGCTAATAACTACCAGACGCCGTCTCCAAAACAGGGGGCAGAGAAAGGGAAGGAGGGGAGAGAGAGGGACATAATTCACTCAGAGACAGAGGCCTGGTGAGGAATTCATGCCAGGCATATACATGTGCACACACACAGGCACATGCAACACAGACACTCAGATACCCAGCACAAACACTCACCCTACACACAGACATAGAACACAGTCCAGAAACACAGAACATACCCAGGTACTCCATATTTTAACCTACAGGGCACAGACTACACACATAAGTACACACAGGCACACAATATACACTTATGCAGAACACTTCCTTCCTGGATGCACCACACATCCCCATGCAACACCCAGCAACAACACTGAGACACACCCGTACTGCACAGGCATATGAAACACACCAAATACAATCAGCTCATGCAATAGATGGACACACATATATAACACACAACCCATGCACACAACTCACTCATATAAACAATACTCATTCTTATACCGTGTACACAAGGAACTGCAATACACAGATAGATACAGACATATGCAATATTACATGTGTAATATTCAGAGATGTGTGTATACAAATGCAGGTCCACCTAACCCAGATATAAATACAGGTAAAACATGCAAACACACATACACTCCACTAAAACACACACATCCTTAAAAGTACACATGTAAGGCACAGTACATACACACACACACCTCTAAGAGATACACACCCTTTAGAGACAAACACCATAGAGATACGTGTTCATCCTTTGCTAACAACCACTTTTTAAAATGGACTCTCAGACCCCTACTCCAACATGTGTGACAATTCCAGCAACAACAAATCAACACAATATACAAACTCTATAACTGTCAGGTTAAAAAAATCATCATGGAAAGAAAACTAACGTGTCATGTGACTCTTTGACCTTTGTGAATATTGTTTCATCCTTGCTACAGGCAGAAATTTCAGCCTTTAGCGTGGCTGAGATGGGGCTTGTTCTTGCTCTTTTCTGGCTGTGGGAGGAGGGAAAGAGAGAGGAGGAGAAGCCAAGGCTCTTAACAGGCTGCCAAGATGGTGGGGCTTCAGTAGTAGGACACCTGGGTTGTGGCTCTATAATCTGATATGAACCTACTATGTGACCTGGGAGGTGTTGTTCCCCATTTCCAAACCTCAGTCTCTTCATCTGTTAAATGGGTATGAACCTACCTCATAGGGATACGATAGATAAACTAGGATCTAATCCAAATGTGAATTGTAGACTTGACCTCCTCATATTCCTAAGAGGAGATGAACCCGCCAATGACACTCCAACAAATGCATCTGTTTTTAGTTTGAACCCCTCACTTGCCTTTTCTCCAGCCCCTGCAAAAAATTCTGCATGGCATGAGTAGCTAGTACAACCGGGCTTGTCCTCAAAGAGAGGCCGTAGATTATTTCATTATCTTCATTGAGTCTATTAAGTATCTGGTCCTGTGCCAAGTGATTTACCTGTATCATCTAATTTAATCCTCACAACAACCCTTTACAGTGCATTCTGATTTTATTCCCATTTTACAGATGAGGAAATTGAGGTGTAGTTTGGTCAAGAGACTTACTTGCTCAATACCTCCCAAGCTGGTAAGTTTTGGAGCCACAATTTAAACCTACTCTGCAGTGGTGTAGAGTGCTATCCCTCTCCCTCTTCCCCACCAAAGCTGCTCATAGGTTCTAATGAGTTAGTAGGTGATGTCAGCTTGAAGTCAGAACCCAGGGTGATTCTAAGAAAAGCCCTCTTATTCTGGTACATTCTCCACTGTGACTCAGGAGCTGGACATTGTAGTTTTTTAGGCCTTATCCAGACCTAAAAAACTTCTCACTTAACACACGGTTTCTATTCAAGTTTGTAGCATACTTTCAACCTTCTTAAGCCCTACCTTCTCCATCTATAACACTTATCTGTCTCTATGATCATGAATTGGTCAATAGATCCCATCAAAAGCATACCAGGTGGCAAGTCATTCTCTAATTATGTCCTTTTTTGCCACTCTCCACTATCTATGATTGGTAACTTTGGATTGATCAATATGCAGTGTTTCTGTAAATAATATCAGAGGTTTGTGTGGGTATTAGAACTCCTTTGTAGGCATTTAATATTGGGTTTTTATACTTTACACAACAGCATGGCTGTGATTGAAAAACAAGAGTTTAGAGTCAGGCTTTTTGGGTTCAGATCCTGGTCCTGGTACTCTAGGTAACCTTGAACATATTACTTCACTTTTGTGTATCCCAGCTTATTTTTACATAAAATGGGGCTTATTCACAGTACAGAGACTTTTTGAGGTTGTTGTATGCTCTAAATGAGTTACTATTTGTAAAGTGTTTAAAATAGGATCTGGCACATAAGTGTTAGCTATTATCATCATCAATATGGGCCTGCAGCTTTTTATGCTATTTCAATTTGACTATGCTCTTTGTTTTACATTTAACTTCTTCAAGTTTGGGTCACTCCGCTTGCCTTCCTTTAGTCATCTTGATTTCCTTGATTACCATTCCTGATATCTAATGTTTTGAAAATAACAGGACATCCCAGACTTACCTTGGCTTTCTCTATGTCAGGATTCAGTGCAAGCTGTTTTCTATGGAACTGTCTTGACTTCTTTTAGTTGAGGGCAATGAGGTAAATTTAGACATCAGAGGTGCACATTTACCTACCTCTGGTGATAGGCAGGTGACACAAGAGGTGGCATGGTTAATTTTAATGACAAGGTGCACAGGAACCTTTCAGAGACCTGAACAAATTCTGCTGTTTCCCAGTTAATTGTGCTTCCTGAAGTCCCTTTTCACCTTGCTCCAATCAAAGAGCTTCAATTTCTATTCTCCTTGCTTTTTCTGAGTTACCAATTTCTCTTCTCTTTCATTTACAAAATCCTCCCAACCAACTTTGATAGATCATGCTGTATTTTGTCGCAACAAAACTTGTTTCAATTACTGTGTAATCCAAAGATTTAGAAACCTAGATATCTGCTTTGATAACATTAGATCTTATCCAGGTGTACCTTTGGTGGAAAATTCGCTGTACTCTCAGTCATCCATTGTACTAGCCTGATCTTTGAGGAAAAGTAATGTGGTTTGGCAAGAGTATGTGGGCACCACTGTCATGGGAACAACTTCAGATCATGTGTGTTTGTGTACATGTATGCATGTGTATGTGTGTGTGTGTGTGTGTGTATATATATATATATATGTATATGTATATACACTGTAGGTTAAAAAAGTCCAATACTGGCAACCCAGTAGGGTTCAGACTCAGGTTTTGCCTCAAAAAAAAGAGATAAAACAACGTCTGCCCACCCCAGGATGGTATGCAAGAGTTAAGAAATGTGGGATTTCCAGGATCATAAATAGATTGCTTACTATCAAATTTAATTATTATCTTTCGCATTTTCTTGATACTGGCTCCACAGCTCATGTCTTTGTCACAGACCCTTTTAGGCTGAACTTCATAGAAACTTCTTAGAAACCGTTGTACACAGGCAGATGCCCATTGTCTGAAGTTTCAACCGCCCTAAGACCACTTTGAATATTAAGAATATTAAGACATCTAAACAAATTGATGTAAGGATTATTAAAAAATAGACATCAGACTGGGTGCAGTGGCTCACACCCATAATCCCAGCACTTTGGAAGGCCGAGGTGGGCAGATCACTTGAGGTGAGGGGATCAAGACCAGCCCGGCCAACATGGTGAAACCCTGTGTCTACTAAAAATACAAAAAGTAGCCAGAGCATGGTCGTGGGTGCCTGTAATCCCAGCTACTCTGGAGGCTGAGGCAGAAGAATCTCTTGAACCCGGGAGGTGGAAGTTGCAGTGAGCAAAGATCATGCCACCGCACTCCAGCCTGGGTGACAGAGTGAGACTCCATCTCAAAAAAAAAAGGAAAAGAAAAAAATAGACATCATACTTGATGCTGGAGAAATCGCTATCTTTCTCTGAGTCTCAGTTTCCCTCTGAGTCTGTTTCCTTATCTGTGAAATGGGGACAACATTTATTTCAGTGGGTCATTGTGAGAATTAAGTGAGAGGAGCTGGATCAGGATTTATATGTCCAGGCTCATGTTTCTGAAGCTGGATTTGGAGCCAGACTGAGCAGGGCTTTGGAGGAAAGTATAGGAAGTTTGGAATTATATTCTATAGATGATGGGGAATGATATTCACTCATCCATGAATTATTTCATTCAACTTCTATTCATTGGAAAGATAATGATGAATAAAGTAAATTACATTCATGTACTTTTGGAGCTTAGAATTTTTAATGTGCAACAGATGTAATTATATAATCACACAAATATATAAATTGGTAGCATTTAAGATAAGGAGGGGCTGATGTAGATGGGGGAGAAATTCAGAAAGGTTTTCTTGAAGAAGCAACAGTAGTGCTGAGACATGAAAGTGGGTCGGTGAACGGGTAGGGGCTCATTCTACGCAGAGCAAACATGATCTATATAGAAGTCTTCATGGGGTGAAAGGGAGGGTGGCCCATTAATAAAAAGGGCGAGGATGGTTGGAGCCTGTGATGAAGGGAAAAAGTTGTATGCAATAAGGTTGGAGAGGTAAAGGCTGGAGAGATGGGCAGGGGGGTGGCTAGATCAGGTAGCACTTTGCAAGACATTGTAGAATGTCTTTGGATTTTTCATAAAGAGCAGTGGGACACATTTGATGGGTTTAAAGCAGGGAAATGGCAAGCTTATATTTGCTTTATACTAGGATCTCTTTTGCGGCTGAGAATGGATTGGCTCAGAGCAAATAGGGAAGATGGAGATCATGGGAGGAAATTGCAGTAGTCCAGGGGAAAGACAAATGGTTCCACCAATGGCCATAATGGTAGAGCTAGAAAGAAAAGGATGGCTTCAGCATATATTTAGGAGATAAAATTGGCAGTTTTGAAATAGTGAGGTGACGATGAAGGAGGAGAAGGTATCGAGGATGACTCCTAAGCTTTCTTCTTGCCAGAAGGATAGTGGCAGTGTTTACTGACACTTTAAAGATAGAGGATTAGAGAATGCTGTTTACCAGTCTTGTTGAGACAGACTTTTCTTATTCTGTGGCTGTCCTGTGGGAATTTATTGTGTCTCTATACCTATATTTATTCTCCCTTCTAGTGTCCTCTGTGGTTCTGGGCTCACAAGAGGGCACCTGGCAAGGGTACAGAATTGTAGAGTGAGGGATACCTCAAGCACCAACTATTCCACCACCTCATTTTATGAAGAGACAAAGAGATCTGTGACTGGTGACCCCAGAGTGAGGGAGCCACAGAGCTGGCTTACAACTCTTAGGCCTGGGTCCTCTTCATTGCTTCTGCTGCTATGTACCCTTTGATAGATGAAGAGAATGTAATGAAGAGCTGTCCATTGCAACCCTCTTGTTCAAAACCCCTCAATACTTACCGTAATCCAATTAAAGACTTTATTCTTTAAGCAAGCCCTCACTTCTGGCATTCAAATTGCTTGTAAGGATTAACTGAGTTAATACAGACAAAACATTTAGAAAGTTCCTGGGACAGACTAAACACTATGTAAGTCTTTGCTTCTGGTATGTTGTCACCCTATATGGCCCCATAACAGAGATCCCCAGTATCCATTCTCCTCTCCTCTCTTCTTTCAATAACACAACAACCTTTTCTGCCAAGTTTGGTTGGGCACATGGCGGCCTGAGCAGTCACTATGTTTCCCAGCTTCCCTTGCAGCTAGGTGTGGTCATGTGACTAGGTTCAGGCCAATGGAGGGAACATGGAGGAAAGGTGAGTGCCATTCTCATTTCTAGAAGATTCCAGGCCATTTCCTAAAAGGCAAACCTGTCTGTTCCTGACTCTGTGTCCTTATTTCCCTCTGGCTTAGATATGGCAACAACTGGGACAGCTGCCTTGGACCAAGGATGGAAGCCCCATGTTGAGGACAGTAGAGCTGATCTAGAAGCCTGAGTCACTAGGTGACCATTTATAGCAGAGCTGCTGCTGCCCCTACCCGCTGAAATCCTAGGACACTCACCAAAGGTTACTCCTGTGAGGGTGGAACAGACTGCTCTCTTATGTAAGCCCCTGCATTTTGGAAGTCTCTTTGTAACAGTAACTTAACCTGAACACAACTGACACAAGCCTACCTACCTTTCCTACCTCTCTGCTATGACTGCCTTTCACTTACTCTGTGCCCTGGCCGTACTACTATTACACTACTGTTATTGCTGTTTCTTATAGCATTGGCTTTTCTTCCTCCAGGCCTTTGCTCACGCTGTTTCCACAACTGAAATGTCTCTTCAGTACACATATTAAATGTCTCAATAGTGTTGCCTAGAGAAAAGCACACAGACTTTGTGATTAGAGAGGACTGAATTTGAATCCTGGCTCTGGAACTTTCCAGAGTGCGATGCCTTTCAACTCCCTGAATGTCAGTTTCCTCATCTGCAATATGGGCCTACTGATTATTATCTCATGGAGAAGATTATGATGATTGATACGAAGTGTAAGTACAATGTCTGGTTCTCAAAGCTGGAGACTACTATTACTATTGTCACCTAGCAGCCAAGTGCCAACTTGGATGGCATTCACTCCAGGGAATTTGGAAGTTTTCCAAATTTCCTTCATGATATGAATCCTGGGGTGCTTGTTAAACATGCAGCTTTCCCAG
Organism: Homo sapiens; assembly: GCF_000001405.40. Lineage (NCBI taxonomy): Eukaryota > Metazoa > Chordata > Mammalia > Primates > Hominidae > Homo > Homo sapiens. The sequence continues at coordinate 119,845,968 of NC_000009.12, read as the reverse complement.
CTCCTTCCCTAGCCCCTTTCTTAGAGATTGAATGTGTGTTATTGTTGATGAATTTGTATTAACAAGGCTCTCAAGTGATTCTCATCATCAGTGAAGCTGGGGAAACTGACCCTGTTTTCCCTAGCTGGAAGCAGCTGCCTCTTTCTCCTTTGATGTAGCTGAGCACTTTTTGTATTCTTCTGTTTCATCCATTTCTACTTTGCATTATTATTTTTGTAATGTACATGTCTTTATCTCCACTAATAATAGTGACTACTTACGGAGTGCTCATTAGGTGCCAGACACTATGTAAAGTACTTTACATACATTATCTTACCTAATCCCCTAACCTCCCTTTCCTCAGCTGCTAACTGAGAAAATAATAACAGCTACTTTTATATTGTGCCTTTAAAATGTGCCTGGCATGAAGCAAGGCACCTTTCGTGCATTAGCTCATTGTTCCTCACAGAAGCCTTCCAGGATGGGAATTAGGATCCCTATTTCACTGGAGAAGTAGCTAGGTTTAGAGAGGCAAAGTGACTTTTCCAAGGACACACAGCCTGAAGGTGGAAGAGAAAGAGTGACAGAGCTAATCAAAGGCAGATGGTAAAAGCTGGATAAATCTCCTGACTTCTGCAGGGAGAACATAACTTCTCTTGCAAGCTAATGCCACTAACAGTAACTCCATAGACCATCTCCACCCAGCTTGTCAGTCCTGTATGAGCAAAGAGAATAATTGATCAGTGGCAACCTTCTCTTTAAAAACATTCCACATCCTAAAAGATACTCATCATTTACATATAAACTGGCACTTTGGAGTTTCTGAGCACTTCGTGCCCATTATCCTATTGAGCCACCCAGAAGTCTAGTAAGATAGATTAGGAGCGAAAGACTCAGAGAAGTTTGGTACCTTACACGTCTCATGCAGTCTGGGGCCCTGACTCAAAATTCATTGCTCCATTCACTAGACCAAGCTGCTACTCTAATCAAATCACCCTTCAGATTTCTATTTGCTTGACTGAAAACCCCCCATTTTTCATATGAACATTTTCCCCTGCTTTCAATCATCTCTGATGTGGGGTAGAAATGCAGCTGTATTAAAGAATGATTCCATCAAATTGCAGAGCAGAAGCATAGCAAGAGATGAAGTGTTTCTGGTTGAGAGCTCCCCATTCTTCCAAGTTAGTGCCAAATACAAGGGGCTTCTTGTACCGTAGTCAAGGAGAATATCCCCAAGAACAGATCTCCTAGGTGACCAGCCTCCAGACTGTCCTGGTAATTGGAGTCACCAGGTAGAGCCATTGGCTTCTCAGGAAGCAGCTCACATTTAAGTCAAACAGATGGCCGGTACGTTTGGAAATAGATCTTTCCAGGATTTTCCCTGCAACCAGATTCTAAGAGCCAAGACAGCTGAGTCATTATCTCATCAACTTGGCCTGTATTGACTGCCAATTGGGGTAACTCAGGATTAGGATTCAAGTCATGTCAGGTAGACCAATGGGCCAAGAAATGTCTGGAAGATAAATACAGGGCATCAAAGATGATGAGGTTAGCTAAGTGAGGACACTTCAGAGGTGGGATGGTGAGAGAGTAAGGCAGTGAGTTTCTCTTCTGGTACAGACACAGTTCAGCTTTTGTTCTGTTTTACTTGCTTGGTGGGTGGGTGGAAAAGGCAGGTGGGCCCCATAATCAGTTCGTGAAGCACTTTAGAGGTTCAAGGAACTATCATGTAATGTTTCTCACTTTAGTTTTCATTTATCTATCACAGGTAATAGGTAAATATTTCCTGCCCCTAAAAGTGGCCCAGCTTTCTCCCTGACCCACTTCCTTTAATGTGTATGTTCTGCCATGAGGTCCTAGCACTCCTGAGCTTCTCTAATACCTGATCAGGATCAGTTCTCAGCAACAGATTTTGTCGTTAAACATAGAGTTAAAAAGCCCTTACAAATAACGGTGTGGTCTTAGCATTTTGCTGGTAGGTAGAGCGTCCATGTCTCAGGGTTCCCAGGACAAAGTTTATATCTGTGGTCCTGGTGTCTCCTTAATTCATAGTACCTCTTTTCACTCTCACTAGTGTCCCAGTTTGGATCATAAATTATGGATCCCTGGATTGATCAGTAAACGTGGGTACAGAAAGAGTTAAGTGTTCTGTTCAAGGCACAAAGTGGGTTGGTGACAGCTGGGATGGAAACCATTGCTCTTCGTCCTAGGCCAAGGCTCCTTGCTCCCCGGGTACCCTTTGTTAGGTTTTCACTTATTTACACTTTGCCTCATTGCAGAGAGGATTTGAGGCCTGCCACTGCCCCACAAAGTTTAATACGTTGTCATTACCATTTACCACCTTTGAATCATAGAAATTTAGAGCTTCCCCTCATACAACCAACTTGGAAATGTGGTATGCTTGTATATCAGGAACATACATTAATTCCAACCTCTGTGGGGATTTAAAAGTTTTTCCGGAAAAGCCATTCTTTATTCTAGAGTTTTTCAATGACTTTAGTCGGAAGCAATAATGCTCTTAGCAGGATTATAGCTACTGGAAGGCATTTCAGAGGCATCTGGAGCACCAATTAAGAGCACAGGATAGGGAAACAGAATTTTCCCAGCTTAAGTCCCAGCTTTATCATCTATTAGATGTGTTACCTGGAGCAAGTTTTATCACCAATCTGAGCCTTGACTTTGTTATCTGCAAAATGGGATGTCTAGTAGCAGGTAACGTTTTTTAGATACATAGTAGGTACCTGGTTATAGCAGTTGAATATTTTATATACATCACTTATTTTCACCCTTATAGCAACCCAAGGAAATAGGCACCATTAGGATCTCCAGCTTAAAGACAAGGAAACTGAGACCCAGAGTGATTAAATAACTTGCTCAATATCACACAGCAAGGGAGTGGCAGAGCTGGGATAGAAATCCAGGCAGAGCCATTGATACTGACTATAACCTGTAGGATTACTCTAGCAATCAATGGAAATGACACCAGCAATAGGCACGACTAGAGCTTTTGAGCGCTGACTATGCATAGGCACCAGGCTAATCACTTTATATGCATTAACCTATTTGATTCTCAGGCTAAATCAATGAGGTAAATACCTCTTAGTGTATGATAGGTACTCAATAGGTAGAAATTCCTTTGATCTTGTCCTGTGTTTTCAGTTTCTAGAGGCAGAAACTGAGGCCTAGAGAAGGCAAATGATCTAACTTCCCCAAACCCTATAGCAAGGAATGAAAGCTGGGATAGGAATCCAGGTTATAGCTCCATCTAGGGAGATATTACTCTATCAGGACCAGCTGAGAGCTGACCTTTGCAGAGATGAGTGGCAGAAGGGTCCTGGGAGGTGGCATGGCCACTCCTTTTAGCCTTCATTGGTTCCTATGACCCCACCCACCGTCATCTCACCATTATCCCCATGCGCTCTTCCTTATGGTCACTCTTGCCGCTTAGTGTTCCTAGGCAGACCACACATTTCCGTGTCTCCAGCTTATGTTCCTGCTATGTTTTCAGCCTGGAATACTATTGTTGGCTTTGTTCATATGGGAAATCCTTGTTCTTTCTTCTAGAATCAGCTTATCTGCAAAACCTTTTCTAACACTCTGCTGCTCTTGCTCTCCCACCCCAGGCAGAATGAACACCCTCTTTGTATAACTCTGTTGTACCAATATCATAGAACAGCAAAGAGGTTAGGCTGGGTTTGGGTGTGGCTCCGTCCCCTTGGGCAAGTCACTTAACTTCTCTATGCCTCAGTGTTCTCATCCATACAAAGGGGGCACTTTAATTTACAATTTTAATTTTACCTTCCTTCTATAGTTGTTATGAGGATGAAGGGAAATACTTGGTGTAAACTGCCTGGAACATAGTGAATGCACAGTAAGCAGGAGAGGCTGTTTTTATTTTCCGTGTTCATCTCTTCTGCCAGGCAGTGAACACTTTCAAGGTAGGGAATGTGTCTTTTCCCCTTTGTCCTCAATGTTTAGTATTATGCCAACCTAGTACATGGTAGCTGTCTATAAGGATTAAATGTAAATTTGGTTTCCACCCAGAAGTGTATACCTTTCAACTGCTGGTGGAGAGGGGAGAAAAGTCCTGGGCTGGTGTAGAAAGTCTTTCCCAGGGGTAATCAAATAGATAATAGTCATTCATTCATGTATTTATTCACACATTCAACACATATTCGTTAAGTGGCTAGTATTTGCCTGGCACTGGGAATATAGTGGCGGTAAACAAGACAGATAAGGTCCTACTCCTCAAGTTCATGGTCTGTTGAATGAAAATGGACACAATGGGCATGTATCAGTTGGCCAAACCATCCCCAGAATTTAATGATATAAATGACATCTATTTATTTAGTTCACAATTTTGTGGGTTGGTCGAGAACTTGTCTAGGAGCTCTGCTGGGCTCACTTATGCATCCCTGCTCAGCTGGCCAGTTGGCTGGCAGCTGAATGTCCCAGGATGGCATCACGCATGTCTGATAATTTGCAGGGTGTTGGCTGGGGAGTCAGGCTGATTGGGTCATGTGTCTTTCATCCTCCGGCAGGCTAGCCTGAGTTTCTTCAGACAGTGATCCCACTGCCCCAAAAGCAGCAAGAAAAAGCACGTTCCAATGTGCAAACACTGTCCAAGTATCTGTTAGCATCATGTTTACTATTGTCCTATTGGCCAAAGAAAACCTCATGGCCATGCTCAGAATCAGTGTGACAGGGGACTGCTCATGAGTACAGATACAGGGAGGGGAAGGATTTGGGCCTGTTTTTGCAATCCTATTGATGACATCATCAAGGATATTTCCCAGAACCTGTCACTTCTCTCTGTTTTGCTCACTACCTCCTGTGGAGCCCAACCTGCCGTATTATTTTGTCTGGCTCCCTATTTCTTCCCCTGCTTTGACCCAGCCTGTTCTCAACTCAGTGGTCAGAGCAGCCTTTGCAAATCATAAACCTTGCATATCATTCCTCTGCTTGAAACCCCTCAATGGCCCCCTCTTGTTCTAAGGATAAAGACCAATGGACCTATAGTGGCTGTAAGCCCCTGCATGATCTCCCAGTCTGCATCATTGGGCTTATTCCCTCACCCTATGCCCCATCCCACCTTCCTCCTTGCTCTCTGGGGTCTAGAAATACTGGTGTCCTTCCAGCTCTTGAAACACTGGTGCCCTTTCTGGCCCCAGAGATTTTGTTCATGCTGCCCCTTCTTCCTGGAAGGCTTTTCTTCCATCCTCACCTGTTTGACCCCTATTCATCATCCTTCAGGTTTCAGAGCTAATGTCACCTCGTTGGGGAGTATCTTCTGACTTCCACATAGGTCAGGCCTTAGTAACATGCTTTTCTATATCATGTACTCTCCCTCTGAAGCAGGTGCCCCCGCTATAATTATGCATGTGCATGGTTATTTGGTCATGTCTGTCTCCTTTGCTAGACTTTAAATCCCAGAAGAGAGAGAGAGTCTGTTTTGCTTGCCATGGTATCCACAGAATCTAGTACAGAGTCTGGTACACAGTAGGCACTCACTTGTTAGCCTTTTAATGAAGACGGCTTAGGCACCTCCCACGTTGCTGCTCTCACCTCCCTCTCACCTCTCCTCTGTGCTTCTGTGGAATTTGTCAGCAAAAGAGCCGAGAATTTGTCTTGAATTTTAAACAACATTTGATTCCAAAATGGGGAGATTTAGCAGACAAAGCTCTTTCCTTTATCTTTTTTTTTTTCTTTTTTTAAACTAAGGCTGAGATACTGCTCACCCTCTGGGGACATTTCCACCCCCCTCTCTCCCCACAAAATGAGCGCTGTGAACTGCTCTCTCGGAAATCTTGTGAAAAGGGCAGGGTATTGGAATTTGAGACAAAGGGAAGAAAAATGAGCTGGCTTGAAAAGTCTGCCGGCATCATAATGAGCAAGATTATTCTGGGAAATGCAGGAGTCTGCTGTAAAAGGCCCTAGTAAGAGGCAGTTTATAACTAGCTTTGGGTCAGACACACAGCCCACTCGCACACACAGACACGGCCGTGCAGCCAGCCTCCCCGCACACACAGACACGGCCATGCAGCCAGCCTCCCCGCACCAGCCATGGTCAGAAGACTTACTCCAAGTTGGGAAATTCAGTGTCAGCATGGCTGGGCAGCTCTTCTGATGGGAGAAGGGGCAAGAGAGCCAGGTCTTGAGGTGAGGTTACCTGGCATCACCTGGTGCCACCAAATTCATATATGGGTTTCTAGTTTTCTTGCTGCTCAAATACTTCCAATCTCTAGGCCTACCTTATGTGAGTCAGAGGAAAGTAGCTCAGTGGGGCCAGAATCCACTGAATTCAGCCCAGGAACCTGCATTTCAGTTTCAACTCTGCTGCCAGCATGCTGTGTGTTCTTGAACATGTCACTCTCCTTGCTTCAGTTTCTTCACTTTTAATAATATTTAGTATTTTAATATTGCTATTTATTGAACATCTGCACATGTGCATACTAGGCACAGGTACCTTAATTATGTTTCATCCTCACAACAATTTTAAATGGTAGGCATTATTTTCAGTTATAAATACCAAAAGTGAGGCTCAGAGAGGCTGTCCAAGATCTCATAGCAAGCGAGAGTGCCAAGATCTTAAACCCAGGGCTGCAGGTCTTCAAAGCTAGAGCTCATGGATCAGTGTAGAGGCTTTGGGTCCCCAAATGACTCATCCTCATTGCTCACCTTCTTATCCAAATTCCAGCAGAGCACTGGGGACATTCAGACACATACCTGGATTATTATTATTTTTAAATTTATTATTATTATTTTTTTATAGAGATGGAATCTTGCTCTGTTGCCCGGGCTGGAGTGCAGTGGCGCAATCTTGGCTCACTGCAACCTCCGCCTCCTGGGTTCAAGCAGTTCTCCTGCCTCAGCCTTCTGAGTAGCCAGGATTACAGGCGCACACTGCCATGCCTGGCTAATTTATTTTGTATTTTAGTAGAGACGGGGTTTCACTGTGTTGGCTCAGGCTGGTCTTGAACTCCTGAGCTCAGGCAATACACCCACCTCAGCCTCCCAAAGTGCTAGGATTACAGGCGTGAGTCACCGCGCCTGGCCTGGATTATTTTAATGGTCTGGAATTTATACTATCTGATTGGCCCAACAGTTGATACTAGTGTTGTCCATGTTTTACAGATAAGAAAACAGAGGCTCAAATAAGTTAACTGACTTCCCTCAAGGTTTCAAGGCCTCAAGGACAGCCAGGATACAAACCTGTGTCTGTCTTATCCTAGAGATTATTTTGTTTAATCCATACTTTAAAATAAGGGGGTTGAGCCAGAGAACTAAGGGCCTCTGGGTGACACTGTATGACAAGTAGGTGAGCATAGTGTACTTAAGAGTCCGGACAGGCCAGGTGCAGTGGCTCATGCCTGTAATCCCAATACTTTGGGAAGCCGATGTGGGCAGATCACTTGAGCCCAGGAGTTTGAGACCAGCCTGGGCAACATGGCGAAAACCCATCTCTACAAAAAATACAAAAATTAACCAGTCATGTTGGTGTGGGCCTGTGGTCCCAGCTACTCAAGGGGCTGAGTTGGGAGGATTGTCTGAGCCCACAAGGTCGAGGTTGCAGCCCAGGAGGTTGAGTCATGTTCACGTCGCTGCACTCTAGCCTGGGTGAAAGAAAGAGATCCTGTTTCAGGAAAAAAAAAAAAAAAAAAATCTGGACAGGGCTGGACTCCTCAAAAGATGCAACCTTGTCTGGACTCTAGCCAGGGTGAAGCAAATGAGGCATTCATTTCAGGAACAAAATTTAAGGGGGCACCAAAACAAAAAAACCTCAGTAATTAAGATAATTAAGATAAATAATATCTAATTTAACATAAAAAACCCTTGAAATTGATGTGAAAAATATCCAGATTGTTGAAGACAGAATTAGACCCTGTACTTGACAACTTATTTCTCTTGTCTCCCCTTAGCCCCGGTCCTGCACAAGAGATGGTCTTGTGCTCCAAGGTCTGGCTGCTGATCATGAACTCCTGTGGCCTCTAGTGGGGAGGGAGGGTCCCTGTGTCTGTGACCAGAGGAGAGACAGCCCTGGTTGCAGGAGACTGGACTTCTGAGTTGACCTTGCATAGGCCACCATTGGAGAGTGATGGATATGAATGGGAAGACATGAGCTTGGAATGGCACTCAATCTACACGTTTCTTCCTTGGGAATAATGGGTAGATGAATGAAAATGTCTAGCCTCTCTGGACCACAAGGTAAATACTCTGTGCCCTCAGAGAGTACAGTAGTCCTAGTGGTCTTAACTTTTAGGGTTTTGTTTTACCTGAGAGTCATAAAGATGTTGAACTTGTTGCCCAGTAAAAACAAAAAAAGTCCCTACATGAACACATAAAAAATTTGCACACAAGTTCAAGAAACTCAAGGATATCCTGAACCCCATAAATTGAATTCTAGTAAGCCTCAGTTAAGAGTTTTGGTGAAGTGAGAAGTGCATTGTGTTTGGACAGAGAAAAACAAAATTCACCAACAACAATCTGAGTAGGTCACTTTACTCCCAGAACCTGTTTCCTCAGCTGGTAAATAGGGGTGGAAGCAATACATCTGCCTGCTCAAGATATTGTGAGGTTCAAACAAGTTAATGAAAGTCAAAATGCAATGTAAACTGTGAAATGCTTTCCTCTCAAGGGGATGTTTAGTTTAACCATCATTATTTCTGTGGATCTTTAGAAAGCTGGTTGGACTTTATTTCATTCTTTTTCATGGCTGTGTAGTATTCCCTGGGGTGTGTGTGTGTGTGTGTGTGTGTGTATATATATATATATATATATATATATATATATATATATATATATATACCACATTTTCTTTTTCTTTTTTTTTTTTTGAGATGGAGTTTTGCTCTTGTAATCCAGGCTGGAGTGCAGTGGCATGATCTCAGCTCACTGCAACCTCTGCCTCCCGGGTTCAAGTGATTCTCCTGCCTCAGCCTCCCAAATAACTGGGATTACAGATGTGTGCCACCACACCCGGGTAATTTTTGTATTTTTAATAGAGACTGTGTTTTGCCGTGTTGGCCAGGCTGGTCTCGAACTCCTGACCTCAGGTGATCTGCCTGCCTCAGCCTCCCAAAGTGCTGGGATTACAAACGTGAGCCACTGTGCTTGGCCCCACATTTTCTTTATATAAAACATTGTTTATGGGCTCCTAGGTTGATCCCATGTCTTTGCTATTGTGAATAGCTCAGTGATTAATATATAAGTGCATGTGTCTTTTTGGTGTAATTATCTATTTCCCTTTGGGTATATGTCCAGTAATGGGAGTGCTAGGCCCAACGGTAGGTCTGTTTTAAGTTCTTTGGAGGCCATAATCCTAAGTGAATTAGCATGGCAATGGAAAGCCAAATACTGCATGTTCTCACATATAATGAGAGCTAAACATTGAACACACATGGACACAAACCTGAGGACAATAGACACTGAGGATTATTAGAGGAAGGATGGAGGGAGGGGGGCGTGGTTTAAAAAACTCCCTATTAGGCACTGTGCTCACTACCTGGGTGTAATATACCCATGCAAAAATCCTGCGCATGTACCCCCTGTATCTAAAATAAAAGTTGAAAAAAGCAAAAAATGGCTGACCTAAGAATCTACTGCCCTGGCAGGCAGGGAGGGGCTTCTTCTGTGGTGGGTGGGGTGAATTGGGCCTGGCTGGCTCCAAGGCTCTGGGCTTGGCCCCCCTCTGTCTTTTCCTGTGCTCCTTCACCAATCACTTCAAGCCCCCTGGAGAGCTCTTTCATGCAGACACGCACCCCTCTCCCTGAAGATTAGTCACAGTAGCAGATAAAGAGGGTTGAGTGAGTTAGGGAGGCCACAAATGAGCTCCCATTAGCTCTGTCTGTGTGTCTCTAGTGTAAGGGGTTGGTAAACAGTTCGCACTTATCTTGCTCCTCAGCATTTAGCTGATTTCCATAATGAGCTCCATTGAACTGCGAGGCCCCAGAGGTGTCCCAGGGCTTCCAAAATGCACTGTGCTCTGTAAATCTGATTTATGGAGAGGTGAAGGCAATTAGGTTAACAAATCAGAGTGGCACCATGCATAGGCACAGCATCTGGGGGCAGAGAGGCCCCAGACTGGGGATACTGAGGCACCCAGGGCCTTGGCTGACTCTGGTGGCTGCTGGGATTCTGCAAAAGCCTTTTCTAGGCACAAGGAGAGGGGAACTGAGTTGAGGTACCAGTACACACTGGCCGGTAAGGGGTGGGTCATGGGATCTGAATTGGACTCAACCTTTCTGAAATTTTTCAAGGGCAAATGACATAAAGGAGGCAATGTGTTCTGATTCCTTCTGCAGCAATAACTCATGTCCCAGCCAACTTAACTGTAGCAGATGTGGCAGACTTAGAAAATAAGGTATTTACTTGTCCTAGGTATTTACTATTTATCTACTCCTCCCTCCCTCTCTTCCTTCCTTCCTTCCTCCCTTCCTTCCTCTCCCTTCCTTCCTCTCCCTTCCTTCCTCTCCCTTCCTTCCTCTCCCTTCCTTCCTTCCTCTCCCTTCCTTCCTTCCTCTCCCTTCCTTCCTTCCTCTCCCTTCCTTCCCTCCTCTCCCTTCCTTCATTCCTCTCCCTTCCTCTCCCTTCCTTCCCTCCTCTCCCTTCCTTCATTCCTCTCCCTTCCTTCCTTCCTCTCCCTTCCTTCCTTCCTCTCCCTTCCTTCCTTCCTCTCCCTTCCTTCCTCTCTCTTCCTTCCTACCCCTCCCTCCTTTCCTCCCTCCCTCCTTCCTTCCTTTTTTCTTTCCCTATTTCCTTCTTTCATTCAACAAATATTTATTTAGGGCCTACAATGTGCTAGATTGTTGTGTGTAGTAAGGATAAGATGATGAGCTGTAACAAATCTGGATCATGCTCCCATGGAATTTACAGTCTGTTGGAAGAGATGGAAATTAATAAAATCATCAAATAAATAAAAGTAAAATTGCCACTTGGAGAAGAGCTATGAAGGAGAGATACTTGATGAGATGAGAGCCTCTGACAGGGGAGAATGACATAGTTAGGGAACACTTCCCTGAAGAAGAAACGCTTGAGTTTTGAGATCTGAAGGAGTTTTTAAAATAGAGAGGGGAGAGATTTCCAGGCAGAGGGGCCAGCTGGAGTGAAGACCCTGTTACCAGAGGGGGGATGATATCAGTGTATTACACAGATTAGGCTAGCTTTTGCTATAGAAACAAGGAGCCCCCAATTATTAGAAGCTGAACGTAACTGTCTTAGTGAGCTCAGGCTGCTATGATCATACTATAGACCAGGTGGCTTAAACCACAAAAATTTATTTCTCACAATTCTGGAGGCTGGGATGTCCAAGGTCAAGGGACTGGCAAATCTGTTGCCTGGTGAGGGCCTGCTTTCTGGTTGCAGACGGTTATCTTCTGGTTGTATTCTCACACATCCTAGAGAAAAACCATCTCTTTAGTGTCTCTTCTCATAAGGATGCTAATTCCATGCATGAGTGCTGCCGTCATGACCTCATTTCCTCCTAAGGACTCTACCTCCTAATATCATCCCCTCGGCGGTTTGGATTTCAACATACAAATTTTGGGGAGGAGGCACAAATACTTTGTCCAAAACAATGACGAAGATCTGTGTCTTACTTCTACTCCATGTCCATCATTAGTTAGCATAAAATCTCTGTTTCAGCAGTACAGACGGATGGAGCTTACATCATCAGGAATTTTGCAAGTTGCTGTGAAGAAGCAGAACTAGAAATACTTGGTGAGCAGCTCTGATGATTCTACAGGGTGTATAGTAAGATGGCAAACATGCCAAGACAGCAGGAAGGAGGGACATGTGATCCTGGACAGGCAGTCAGGGTTCTGATCCTGTTTGGTCTCCCAGGCTATTGTAAAGATTTGGATTGTTACACTAAAAGCAATGGGCAGCTGTTGAAATTTTGTGAACATAGAGTTCTTAACGAGGAAACTATCAGTATTCTGATTTTACAGATGTTGATATTGATAGTAACCAAGAATTGAGTACCTACTCTGTACCAGGCAATTATTTCCCCACTTATATCACCCCAGTAATTCTGAAATATTTAGCATTTTTATCCCTATTTAATGAGGAGGAGACGAGACTTAGAGCAGGCAAACAACTTAAAGTCACAGGTACTATGTTCTTCCCAATTTATCATTCTAGTCTTAGAGAAAGTTAGACCTCAGTAAGGCTACAAGGGCTGAAGGTCATTAGAGAAAAAACACAGGCAAAGGGGAATGAAGGACATTTCACATACGGCAGCCATGAGCCTTGCCTGCGTTGGTAACTGCCACATCCTCAGCCCTGGCACAGCGAATGGTACCTGGAATACACTTCACGCATGGGAAGGGTGGATGGATGGATGGCTGGATAAATGAATGGGTGGATAGATGGATGGATGGAAGGATGAATGGATAAATGAATGGATGGATGAATGGATGGATGGATGGATGGATTGATGGATAGATAATGAAGAGAAGAAATAATTGGAGGATGGTCAGATGGTTAAATGAAGATAGGCAGCATCAGGGAAGTTGGTTACCATATGGCAGCTACCCAATATCAAACTTGGTTTTATGGGCGGCATTCTCAGTTCTGCAGATAAAAGGTGGGACCTGAGAAGAACAAAAGCAGGTCTGCATGTTAGAGCAAGATAAATTAATCTGAAGAGACCTATAATTTCAAGTGTCTCATATGTATTAGGTACTTTTATATATTGTTTAATCTGTGAGTTAGAAGCCCATGGGGCTAAAAACAGATCTACATTTACTAGGAAAACAAGTGTATCAGATTTTGCATACCTAAGAGTTGCTGAATTATCAATTTTTGTACTATTAAAAAGCCGAATACAGGAGGAGAGGAAGCTTCAGCTCCACTCCATAAGGTCATGTTAAGTGTGATTCTTAAGGCAAATTAGTCAACAAACAAAGCGCTCAACAAAGGGCTGCTGCTCACATTGTTGAGAGCCTTGTATCTCTCACATCTTATTTTAGTCTGTATTGATGAGGTTATTGTTCCATAACACCCTTCTGGAATACACACCTAGACATCCTGTGTGATTCCTATCTCTGGTAAGAAAGTAACACCAATGCGTGTCACTGGTATGCAGCCTCTTTTAGTCAACCTGTTGCTTTATGAGAGACTTCTTTCATGCTCTTGCCCTGGTTTTCATTACCTCCCTAGGAAGTTTTTCAGGTTTCCTGGGTTGTAAGAAAAAGTGAGTAGATTGAAGAAAGAAAGAAGGCATTGGATTTTTCTTTCATTATGTACTTCATCCAGTACTTCCAAGTTTGGCCAAATCTTCCCTAATATCACTCAGCTCAGGCCTTATACCTATAATAACCAGTGGTACCCCAATATCTCTTGTTTTCTTCAATCATTTGTTTATTTGACTACTTATGAATTAATTCACTCAGTTATACACAGTACATTTCAAGCCCATTGCAAGTGCTCGGCTCCCCCCTACAAACTCCTTTTGTGTTCTGTATATAGATTCTTCTTTTTAAAATATGTTTCTCATCATGACTTTCCTTAGCTCAGGAATCTGCACTTTTGCCTTTTTGTCTACTGGTGGTCAGAGCTCCCTGTAATCCTATCACTGATGCCCACAGCCCTATCCTCTGGTTAACCTTCTCCCTACCGCTGTGTTCATGTCTTCATGTTCCTGCCTCTGTATTTTTGCTTATCCAGTTCACCATTTAAATCTTGCCTAGCCTTTGAGAGCAGAGTCCATTCTCCATTTTCTCCCTAGCACTTTTTCTACCTGCTTCAGGCAAACTTATCTTCTGTAACCCCAGGTAGCAGAGATTTTTGCTTATCACTATCAACTCAATCATGCTCTCCTGGAGTATTACACAGATTTATTAACTAGAGAGAAGCATATTGAAGTTGCATACCAGATTCTACACTCTTTTAATTTCATTCATTCATGGTGTAGTGGAAAGAGCTCTGCTTTTAGAGCCTGAGAATGTGGGTAGTGCTTGGCTTTTTTACTTACTAGCTAGGAAACCTAGGAAAGTTATTGAATGCCTCAGAGCCTGGTTTCCTCTTCAGGAAAACCAAAATAGTAACACCCATCTCAAGGCCTGTGGGGCTGCCAATGAGTTAGTTAAAAGTACCTGGAACATAGTAGGTGTCTAATGAATGTCAGCTGCTCTGGAATAAATCTTGAACCCTTAACTACGTGCCAGGTTCTGTGCAGGGCCAGCCTCTGTTCTTGCCATCAGGAAACCTACAGTCATCTGGGGATGATGATGCTGGCAAAAAGGTTAAATGAGATATTGAATAGAAAGTGCTTAGCATGATGCGTGCATCTATTAAGTGCCCTGTAAGTGGTGTTATAAACTACTGATGTGCATTTATTCCTCTATATCATTTAACATAAAGCATATGTGAGAAAGTGTGGCTTAGTTATGAGTCACAAATGGTTGCTCTTTAATCATATAATGGTCCTGAGTCGGAGCTGATTTCAGAATGTAAAGCCTGCTAATGGATATTTGCAGCTTTGTGCTATTAATGGACAGAAATGCTGTGACTGAGAGAACAGGTTGCTGAATAAAAACACAATGCAGGGAGTGGGGTTTAGATAGCAAAGGAGTTGAGAGTGACTCACAGTCCCTGTAGGAGTGAGAACACTGGCATGTGATGCCCCAAGATCCAAGACCATGCCATGAAGCCTCCTCCAAACAAAATGGGGGTTCCCAGGGGCAAAAGACATCTGAGTGTCCCCTGAAATGAGGACTAGAATTCTGGATGAGAACACCGAGTTTTTGGTGACTCAGAGCCATCCACTGATCACCAGGAGATAACTGATGCAGTCGACTGAGAAGCAAGTGGGTCCCAGAGTCTCTTTCCAGCTGAGTATTGGCCAAGTCACTTGACCTCTGTGAATTTTGTTTTTCTTATCTGTAGAATTGGGGCAGTCAAACTCACCTACCCAAATTATTACAAAGCTCAAATGAACTTCAGTAAGCGATGCAATGTCTCAGGGCCATTGTCCATGGCTCTTCTAATGGGCCAACAAGCAAGTAATAGCTCTCTTGGGCTCTCCCTTGAGTATGGGTCAGAATAGTGGCCTCCATAGGGAGTGCTGCAGAAGTGTCAACTCTTCGAAACCCATTTCTTCCGATTGACTGTCCCTGGGTATGACCTTGTGGGAAGTCATGAAAGATCATTTTGGCTATAAGTCTGAGTGGCATCACCCAATTCAGCTTTACCTGTAATACAGCTGACATTTTAGCTTCCATTTGTCTCCTGCATCTGTTTCTCACTTGGATCAGCCCTGATAGGGGAAAGAAGTCAGTCACCTTACAGGGCTGGGTGAGAAAATGTGCGTGAAGACACAGCAATCAGTGGGGGCTGAATAGATGCACATACTCAGAAAGTCAATGGGGACTTTTCCTAAGAGAAGTGATCATCAAGTCATGTTTCTTAGGCAAAAGGCAACACAAATTGGCAGATATAGATCTGGGTGTACTGGGGAATCACACGGAAACTGGGAATCATAGCAACAGAAAGCTAAGATGACTTCCCTAAAACCCCACCATATCATCTTATTAGCAAAAACAATCTTACTTGCTACTGCTTTTACTTTTTACATTGAGCTTTGGGGTCGGACAAATTTGGATTTTAATCCTTAAGATCCGTGTATCTCAGTTTCTCCACCTGTTGAATGGGGATAATAATGGCTCCCTCAGAGTTATTGGAAGGATCAGATGGGTAAATGCATTTGTCAGCAGCATAGCACAGACACAGTAAACACTCAATAAGTGACAGTTATGATTGCGTGGTCCCCACTATTATCCTATAAAGTAATTTTACAATAATCAGCCTACACTATAAAAACCATTGAAGCAGGTAGAGCAGACATTGTTAATTAGTTAAGTGGGCAATTATTAGATTTAATAAATATTAATCAGGACCTACTATTTACAAGGCAGGAGTAGACACTGCAATAGTTAAAGACAATGGATCTTCCAGGGGCTGGAGAAAAAGGAGGAATGGAGAATGATTGCTTAATGGATATGAGTTACCTGTGGGATGATGATAAAGTTCCGGAACCAGCTAGTGGTGAAGATTGCACAACATTGTGAATGTACTTAACACCATTGTACAGTTTAGTACTAAACGTTATGTTTTGTGTTTTATCACAATTTAAGACAAAACAACGAATTAGGTCCCATGTTCTCAAGGAGCTTACAAAATAAGAAAGGGCAGTTGGTCATCATTTAAATGATCACTTAAATGATCCACATCAGGGTTGAGGCTAAAGGAAGGTGGCTCAGGGGCTCTGAATAATTTGCTAAGAACTAACTGTAGGTGAGGGAAGGAACTGGGGCTAGGGCCAGCCTTTCATAGCCTTGTAGTTTAGGGTGCTCCCTTCCATGATGGAAAAGCTAGGAGTTGTTATAGAAGATGAATCACTCTGCAATGAAAACCACGGAATAATGCCTTCTTCCCCAACTCTGCTGCAGTCCCAGACTCTCAGGGTAATGGGATTGATGGTAAGTGTGTGCTTGGAGGAGAGGCAGGCAGTGATGGGCTTCTTGGGTGTAATTATGTATTTTGGAGTTTGTGGAAAGTATAACATGAGCTTTTCTCCCACCCTCATTTAATATTCCACAAACACTCACCACATAAACAACATGTCTTTTCTCAATCCTTATTATCATTCCCAGAACCACTTGCAGGCTTTCAGAAACCCATTATTATAATTATAATCAAGAATCTTAGGGCAGAGCCATTTGTGCCAAAAATACATTTACACTCAGAATTGTTTGCAGAAGAACAAGAGAGAGAGATGCCGTTTTGCAGCTCTGGAATCTATTGGTAGGATCTCCTACGCCATTTAATTTCTTTTCCTCCATTTAATTTCTTAATTTAAAGTTTTGTTGTCAAATTTCTAAATGATATTTGCTTTTGTCTCTTTGTTTTGTTTTGTTTTGTTTTTTTACCCCCTTGGGCCTTAATTTTCAGAGAGAGGCCTAAAAAATGCATTTGTTATCTTCATCCTGTTGGCTTTTGCATCAGGGATAGCCACAGACAAGGGTGAAATAGGGCTGATTTCAAAAGCATCAAAGGGTCTCTCACAACCCCCCCCCATGAAAAATAACTATCCACACCCTCGATTCTTTTATGTTAGAACAAAGGCTTTTATTTCATAATTAGAGATAAATCAATGTAGAATTAGTTTAATTCAGCTCACATTTATTTAGTTTTTCTTTTTTTTTTTCTTCTGTAGGCATATATAGATGAGTCAAACATAGCACTAGTACTCAAAAAGAACATGGTTCATTATGGGACACAGACTGTTAATAAATATTCAATGTGATGAGAGCCATAAAAAATGAAAAATACAAAGCAAAACACCAAAAACAATCATGTGCCATGGGAATGAGAGGAGGGGGAGAATTATGAGACTAGGTTTGATAGAAAAGAGAACAGAGAAGTGGGCTCTTTTATTACATTTTGTGAAAAAGGTGGTTGGTATTACATCACATCTAAGGTCAAATCTTGGCCTTATATTTACTACATGATAACTACAGATGAGGTAGATAACAATTCAATGCCTCAGTTTCCCCACTTGCTAAATGGGAATTATAATGTCTATCCCACAGAGTTGTAAATGTTGAGAAATTTAACTATAATTAGCCTATAATCCCACTAATTCCACAGCCAGTGGAAATCCCCAGGTCTGCTGGTGCTGCAGGTTGGGTTCCCCAGGAAGCAGATTCTGAGACAGAGTTAGCATGTAGAATGTTTCCTGGGAAGTATCCTTGGCATCAACAACACCTGCACAAGGCTGGGGAAGGAGGCAGAATTTGGGCAGAGAGAGAAATTAAGGTTTGAAGCAGCCCCGGTGACAGACAGCCTCAGCTGACCCTGCATATTCTCACAGCTAAAGGAGCTCTCAGAGCTGTTCCACTCTGGGTCCCAGATGATTTGGCCCTTATACTCCTGATTCCATTAGGCATTCAATGTGGGACACCTAGGAAGGGGATGGCCTTGGTCTGCAGCTGAAACAGTCCCTGAGAGGGCTAACTAATGACAGCTGTCTCCAGCTACTGAGCAACAAGTCTTTCTTCTAGTGGGGATCTGGGCAGGGCATTTCTAAGTCCCCACCCCAGTAGACCACTATACATACTTTCCACTGGCCTCCTACGATTTCTGGGCTTCATGTTAGGTTTGCTTCTGCACAGGATTCCGTAAGAAATACACATGTGCTAAGCATGCTGTAGGACACAGATTGCACTGCTGGCTTGGAAGTCCTAGGGAAGGATCATATCACAGAAAGAACATGTGCTTCCGGCACCCGCTTGGCTCCTTCTTCTTATGCTCTCCTTCCCTGCCCCTTCTCTCTCTGATGCACAGCAATGTAGCAGAAAACTTGTGTTTCTGCTGCAGACCCTGCATTAAAAGCTTTATTCTAAATGAACACAATGTTCTCACCTCTCCAGAATCCTGAGGATTAAAATTTTCTCTCTCATTACACAGGTCATACGTTAAATAAATAAGGTTTTGTTATTATTCATTAATATCTACTTTATGAGGTCTGACTCATCCACAGACAGAAAGTCACGAAAGTGTGTCTGTCTTTGGGAGAAGTCTCAGCTTCTCTTTTTGTACCTTTTTGTCTTTTTGCCTTTTCCCTTATCTGGGGCTTTCTCTTAGTCATCTGTGAATCCGCAGTCCCTAGAAGCTGTAAATTCAAGTGGGTGTAGTTTGATGTAATAAGATGTACTCTGGAGCTAGATCCAGAATAACTGACGTTGACTTCCCTCTGCCCCATTTATCCTATTCTTTGATCTTGGTAGCTTCTGTTTATTCACTTAGGAAGGGGGATGGTAATGCTTATGCTGCAGTGTGTTCTGAAGACTAAGTCATCATTCATTCATTCATTCATACATTCATTTACTCTTTTCTTTGTTCAACAATTATCAAGCATCGATTGGTGCCAGCTCTGAAGATATTAATACAATAGTGACCAGGACAGATACATTCCTGTCCCTGTAGAACATTCATGCTATTGAAGCAGAAAGACAATAAGCAGGTAAATTAATTACTTTGTACAAGTTGCAAACAGTGCTGTAAATAAGGGAACAGGGCCCAAGAATAGAGAAAAACACACCGCCAACATAGATGGTAAGGTCAGGAAAGGGCTGTTTGAGAGGACACTGGTGACTCTAGAGAATGGCACATGCAAAGATCGTGTTGCAAAAGTCTGCAGCAGAGCACTGTTTCCTTCTCTGAGCATCCACAACACTTGTAGGTACCAATGTTATAGCACTTGTCACCTTCTAGTATGACATGGTGAACTTAATTATTGACCGTGAGCTTTCCTCCTCACTCCTCCAAGACTAGGAATACTAGTAAAGGCAGCATGTGATAGCAGAAGAAAAACATCACTTTCTAATCAAGTAGATCTTGTTCAAATTTGTAGCTATCACTTTTAAGCCATCTTACTGACTGTAGATAAACATCAGCATAAACTGGAGATTTATAACATCTCATTCATAAATGGGACTTTTTATGTGTGCGGAATCATTTGGAGTCTATATCACAGAAAGAACATGAGCTTCCACCCATGTGGTTTTCGCACATAGTAGTCACCCAAGAAATGTTGACTGAACCTGTTACTTTTAATTCTTAACTAATATTCAAGGTTTTCTGAGTCTAAACCTACCTCTCGGGTTTAGGTGAGAATTAAGCAGTGTTAGTAATGACTGCAGTGGCTGTCAGCTAGTAGGTGTGCAACAAATGCCACTGGAATGAACTGATTGGAAAGGGCGGTGGAGGTGGAGCCCCAGGGAGGCCATTGCATCCGTTATTGGGAAGTTTGGGGTGGAACAGACTTTGTGGGAAAACATAAATGCAAACTGTTCCTGGATTTTATTAGCCTGTTACCCACGTCTTTGCTCTTGAAACACTTTGCAATCAAAAGAATTTGGAGTGGACTATTTTCAGCCCTCAACCTTCATCCCGTGCTGCACTAAGAGGAAAAGCTGATTAGGGAAGCTCTGCGGTGTGCACATAAGTCAGAATCACCAATATCCATCCTCTGCAGAGTTAGACCGTTAATTTTTCCCCAGAAACATTACAATCATGTTTTCAATACCCTAGTGTCACTCTTTTTAGGATTCATTATGGCAAAGACCCTGAAATCTATGCCTCCTTTTAGCTAACTTAAAACTTCCTGAAAACTTCTTTCAAGACCTGGTTCAAAACTTCTCCTTAACTAATACGCCTTCTCTAGGTAACCCTTCCTTCCCTAGAAAGCTCCAGTCACCTTCCTGCTGCACAGAACCTCCAATGTACACTTGCAGCAACTCATACCATGATAATCTGCATTTGACTGAATGTCTCCTCTTTGATCTTCTCTATAAATAAAAGAAGCCTGGGTTTAGAATCAGACTACCTTTCATTAATTTATTTCATTGAACCTCTATTTCTTCATCAGAAAAAATTATGGGGAAAATAAGACCTATCCTTTAGAGTTGTTGTGATGATTACGGTAATGGATGTCAGTATTTTCAAGGAATTGTTGAATGCTCCATAAGTTCGCCAGTATTGTGTTTTTTCCTTGTGGATATGGCTGGTCTTCCTAAATTATATTGTAAGATTCAGGTGGCCTGGGACCAAGTCTTCTTTCACTGACTTTCTATGTAATCTCGTGAAAGTTCTTTTCTTCCTGTAGGCCTCAGTTTCCCTATCTGTTCAATTATAATTTTGAATCTGATAGGTGGTTTTCAAATTTTAGTACATAGTGCACTGGGGAGGTGGTTGAAAATGCATATTCCTAGGCACCATTCCTAGAGATTCTGATTTAGTAGGACTAGTCTGATTTAGTCCGACCAGTAAGACTGGCCCTGTAATCTGGATATCTTGCTAGCTCCTGAGGAAATTCTGGCATATGTTGTCTCTGGACACATGTTTGAATATCATTGTACTGGGTGATCATGTAGCACTAGCCTTCTCATTGTTTGTGAGGTATATGTAAGCTTGTCTAAGACAAATTCTTTGCAGGCTGTCCTCTCAGAGAAGGAGGTGGCAAAGTTCCTGGGGAGCCATTTATGGCTTAATACGTGTCAGTTACTTCAGCTCAACTGCAAGGTCTGAGATTTCCAGTCACAACTGGAGGTGGGCTGTTACTCCTTCCAGCCACAAATGTGGATCTGCCCACTTTGTCCCAGCCCATGACTACACCACAAGTAGGCTATGTTTTCTCAATCACAGAATTTCACAACCCATGGCTTGGGGTCTGTATTAGTCAGTTTTAATGCTGCTGATAAAGACATACCTGAGATTGGGAAGAAAAAAAGGTTTAATTGGACCTACAGTTCCACATGGCTGGGGAGGCCTTAGAATAATGGTGGGAGGTGAAAGGCTCTTCTTACATGGTGGCAGCAAGAGAAAAATTAGGAAGAAGCAAAAGCAAAAACCCGTGATAAACCCATCAGATCTCATGAGACTTATTCACCACCAAGAGAATAGCACAGAAACGACTGGCTCCCATAATTCAATTACTCCCCCTGGGTCCCTCCCACAACATGTGGGAATTCTGGGAGACACAATTCAAGTTGAGATTTGGGTGGGGACACAGCCAAATCATATCATTCTGCCCCTGGCCCCTCCAAATCTCATGTTTTCACATTTCAAAACAAATCATGCCTTCCCAACAGTACCCCAAAGTCTTAAATCATTTCAACATTAACCCCAAAGTCCACCACAGTCCAAAGTCTCATCTGAGACAAGGCAAGTCCCTTCCACCTATGAGCCTGTAAAATCAAAAGCAAGCTAATTACTTCCTAGACACAATGGGGGTACAGATATTGGGTAAATATAGCTATTCCAAATGGGAGAAATTGGCCAAAACAATGGGGTTACAGGGCCCATGCAAGTCCAAAATCCAGGGGGCAGTCAAGTTTTAAAGCTTCAAAATGACCTCCTTCGACTTCAGTTCTCACATCCAGGTCATGCTGATGCAAGAGGTGTGTTCCCATGGTCTTGGGCAGCTCCACTCCTGTGGCTTTGCGGGGTACAGCCTGCCTCCCAGCTGCTTTCATGGGCTGGCACTGAATGTCTGTAGCTTTTCCAGGTGCACAGTGCAAGCTGTCGGTGGATCTACCATTCTGGGGTCCGGAGGACAGTGGGCCTCTTCTCACAGCTCTGCTAGGCAGTACTCCAGTAGGGACTCTGTGTGGGGGTTCCAACCCCACATTTCCCTTGCACCCTGCCCTAGCAGAGGTTCTCCATGAGGGTCCCGCCCCTGCAGCAAACTTTTGCCTGGGCATCCAGGTGTTTCCATACATCCTCTGAAATCTAGGCAGAGGTTCCCAAACCTCAGTTCTTGACTTCTGTGCACCCTCAGGCTCAACACCACATAGAAGCTGCCAAGGCTTGGGGCTTCCACTATCTGAAGCCATAGTCTAAGCTGTACATTGGCCCCTTTCAGCCATGGCTGGAGCAGCTGGGACACAGGGCACTGAGTCCCTAGGCTGCACACAGCACGGGGAGCCTGGGCCCAGCCCATGAAACCACTTTTTCATCCTGAGCCTCCAGACCTGTGATGGGAGCGGCTCCAGTGAAGGTCTCTGACATGGCCTGGAGACATTTTCCCCATGGTCTTGGGGATTAACGTTAGGCTGCTTGCTACTTATGTAAATTTCTGCAGCTGGCTTGAACTTCTCCCCTGAAAATGGGTTTTTCTTTTCTATCACATAGTCAGGCTGCAAATTTTCGCAACTTTTTTGCTGTTTTCCTTTTAAAATGCAATGCTTTTAACAGCACCCAAATCACCTCTTGAGTGCTTTGCTGCTTAGAAATTTCATCTGCCAGATACCCTAAATCTTCTCTCTCAAGTTCAAAGTTCCACAAATCTCTAGGGCAGGGGCAAAATGCTGCCAGTCTTTTTGCTAAAACATAACAAGAATCACCTTTGCTCCAGTTCCCAACAAGTTCCTCATCTCCATCTGAGACCACCTCAGCCTGGAGCTTATTGTTCATATCACTATCAGCATTTTTCTTAAAGCGGTTCAACAAGCCTCTAGGGAGTTCTAAACTTTCCCACATTTTCCCATCTTCTTCTGAGCCCTCCAAACTGTTCCAACCTCTGCCTGATACCCAGTTCCAAAGTTGCTTCCACATTTTCGGTTATCTTTTCAGCAATGCCCCACTCTACTGGTACCAATTTACTGTATTAGTTCATTTTCATGCTGCTGATAAAGATATACCTGAGACTGGGAAGAAAAAGAGGTTTAATGGGACGTAAGTTCCACATGGCTGGGGAAGCCTCAGAATCATGGTGGGAGGTGAAAGGCACTTCCTACATGGCAGTGGCAAGAGAAAAATGAGGGAGAAGCAAAAGCAGAAAACCCTGATAAATCCATCAGATCTCATGAGACTTATTCACTATCATGAGAATAGCATGGCAAAGACTGGCCTCCATGATTCAATTACCTCCCCCTGGGTCCCTCCCACAACATGTGGGAATTATGGGAGACACAATTCAAGTTGAAATTTGGGTGGGGACACAGCCAAATCATATGAGGGTCTCACATCTGGAGTCTGACATTTGGCTCTACCAGATAGCTGCGTGCTGTTCTATGGCACAGTTTAAAATGGGAGACTACCTGCCTGCTACTATTCCTGTCACCATGAATTTTCCCCAACAAATGCTGTTTTTGAAGATCTGGGGTGTGTGCTATGTGGCCATTTGCCTTTGTGTGCATTGCAGACATCTTCAAGCTTGATACTCCCCGAATAATATATGTAAAAGAACACTTCAAACCATAAAGATTAATTTTTTGTATTATTGCCCACATTCCTTTAAGCCTGAGACCTGTTTCTGATCATGCTGTCACTATAATTTCTCCCCTCACCAAACTCAGAATAGTGCTTAAATCATTCATTGTATTAGTTTCCTATTACCGTCATAGCAAATCATCACAAACGTAGTAACTTAAAACAACACGAGTTTATTATCTTACAGTTCTGAAGCTTGTAAGTCTGAAATGGGTCTTATGGCTAAAAATGAAGCTGTTGGCAAAGCTGTATTCCTTATGGAGGTTCTAGGGGAGAATCTGTTTTCCTGTCTTCTGAGCTTCTAGAGGGCCCCTGAATTCTTTGGCTTATGGCCACTTTCACTATCTTCATTAACCTCTGCTTTCATTGCCCTGTCTCCTCCTCTAACTCTTATCTTTCTGCCTCCCCCTTATAAGGATCATGAAAATCACATTGAGTTTACCCTGATAATCCAGAATAATCTCCATCTCAAGACTCTTAGTCACATCTGCAAAGTCCTTTTTGCCATGTAGGCATCAGACATATTCACAGCGTGAATATTTTGACATATTCACAGGTTCCATGGATTAGAGTGTGGATATCTTTGTAGGTTCATTATTTAGCCAGCCACTATGTGCCAGGTGGCTGGGAACATCGCAGTCAATGAGACAGACATGGTCCCTGACTTGAGGAGACTTACTGAAGGGAAGATAGACTAGCACACGGGTGATGAAAATAAAGGATGAGGAAGGTTTTGAAAGGAAGGATAAAGAGAACTATTTTGGAACATAGTAAGTACCAAAAGGGTTCCTGTATGCACACCACCTGCCTAGACTGAGTCACGCCAGCCTGCACTTCCCAGGTCTGTGTTCTGCTTGCATGGAGCACTACCCACTCTCATATATTATCAAATCCTGGTTTGTTTGGGTTGCTATCTATTTGACAGTCTGCCAGTAGAACCTTATGCTCCTCTGCTGGACTAGACAGGCAATAGTAGGTTTTCTATACCTGCATAATGCTAGGGGTTGAATCCTGGTTTCTTTTTAGGGTTGGCCACACCTCACTCCCAGGAACTGGGTCATATTCAGCCTAGTCCTAAGCCATAGAACAAAATGAGATATTCAGTGCAGAACAGTTTAAAAATGGACACATAAATGCAAAGGATCCTTGTCATCTCCTCTAAATGTGTTTGTGTCTCACTCCTACTTCCCACCTCAGCCACTGTTAAGTCCACAGTGACTTCTTACCATGGCATTCAAGGTCCCTTGAAACTGCCCCCCTCTCTAGCTTCAATCCCTGCCACACAGACCTTCAAAACTAATGCTCTAATAATGCAATTATGGCTTATTGCCCCCTAAAAGACTATGCTCTTTTATTATTGCATTTAGGTGGGCAGGGAATTCAAAGATAACTAAGATCAAATCCTAGACCTTAAGAAAATTGCAATTCAGTGTAGAAGACAGGTAGATACACCATTATTAAGTTACAAAACTTCAAGCTCTAGATAATAACAAACACTTCCTGAGCACTCAATCTGTGCCATGTAATACATTATATACCTTGAGCACATTAATTCTTTTGTATTCACAACAATCTTATGCATATATTTGTCCAATGATCTTTTCTTCTCTTGGAACGGCACAACCCCTACCCCAGCTTTCCTATTCTAATCTGCCTAACAGATTCCCGTGTATCTTTCAAAACTAAAATAGGTATCAAGGCAGCTCCAAGAAATCTTCCCTGACCCTTCTAGAAACAGTTAGGCATGGCTGTGGAATGCCCTTCTACCCTGAATGTGCTTCTATTTCTGCTCCTGCCACAAGGACACATGGATTGCTAATTAATGTGTTTGCAAACCTGACTCTCCTACTTGCCTATGAGTTCCTTGAGGGGAGGGGCCTGCACCTTCTTCATTTCTGTGTCTTATATAGCACTGACCCTTGTAGGGCTACCATGTCTTGCGGCACATTCTCCATCGTTCCACAGACTATGATATGAATAATCATAGCTGGAGTTGCACAACATGGTTGTTCTGGCTGCATCATAGATTTCAGTACCTATTTGTGAATGAATGAATGATTGCAGTCTAAGAATGAACGTGTCTGTAAGAAGACAATAGTGACATATACTCTCAGCACCAACATCAATTCCATAATCATAATAAAAAGTTGATGCCTTGTGTGTATGCTTCTAGACACTGTATACCTTGACTGTGCCATTCTGCACCGGTTCCCAAGCAAACGCTCTTTGGACAGGTGTGCCTGTCTCTGCTGACACCATTAGTGCAGACAGATAGGTACATAAAACAGTCCTACTGGCTTCTGCTTCATTAGAAACTCAAGGGGAAGGTGGGGGAAAAAATCTATCAATGTTTGCCACTCAGAGATAACATCAAGAGAGGAAGGAATTTTAATTTTTTGAGTTACTGAGAGGTTATTAAAGAAGTGCAAGGTAAACACAAGGTTGGATGTCACTGAGATATTGTGTCTCTTCTGACTCAGACTGACAGCCACTGAACACTTCACTCAAGTACTTCTGAACTAGGATAAGCCACTAGCAGCAGAGAACAGAGGAAAATGACTCTCCTTTCTGACTTTGGAAGGCTTCAAACAGATTTATTCATTCATTTAGTCATTCATTAAATATTCATCAGCACCTATGTAACCAACATTGCATTAGGTGGGCAGGGAATTCAAAGATGACTAAGACCAAATCCCAGACCTTAAGAAAATTGCAATTCAGTGTAGAAGACAGGTAGATACACCATTATTAAGTTACAAAACTTCAAGCTCTAGATAATAACAAACACTTCCTGAGCGCTCAATCTGTGCCATGTAATACATTATATACTTTGAGCACATTAATTCTTTTTGTATTCACAATCTTATTAGGTTAGTGCTAGGTTACTCCCATTCCTCAGGTGAGAAAATGGAATTACAGAGAGGCTTGGTATCTTGCCCAAGATCACAAAGCTGGTGGGTTGCAGAGGAAGGCTTTGCACCCAGGCCATCTGTCTCCATTGCCTGTGCCCTCAATCCTCCTGCTATACTGTCGGGATAATAATCTATGCAGCTTTCTCTGGGATTCATTCAGTTTAGAAAGTGTTGGGGACAACTTCTCAGAGGTAGTGACCTGGGATCACATGGGCAACAAGGTGTATAAGGAACTGTATTAGGGTTCTCCAGAGGGACAGAACTAATAGGTTATACGTATATATGAAAGGGAGTTTATTAGGGAGAATTGGCTCACACGATCACAAGGCAAAGTCCCAAGATAGGCCATCTGCAAGCTGTGGAGGAAAGAAGCCAGTAGTGCCTCAGACCAAGTCCAAAGGCCTCAAAAGCAAGGAAACTGACAGTGCAGCCTTCAGTCTGTGGCCAAAAGCCTGAGAGCCCCCGGCAAGCCACTGGTGTAAGTCCCAGAGTCCAAAGGCTGAAGAACCTGGAGTCTGATGTCCAAGGACAGGAAGAACAGTAGGAAGCATCCAGAACATGAGAAAGATGAAAGCCAGAAGACTCAGCAAGCCAGCTTATTCCAACTTCTTCTGCCTACTTTGTTCTACCTGCTCTGGCAGCTGATTGTATGATGCCCACCCATATTGAGGGTGGGTGTTTCTCTCCCAGTCCTTTGACTCAAATGTCAATTTCCTCTGGCAATACTGTCACAGACACACCCAGAAACAATATATTACCAGCTATGTAGGCATCCTTCAATCCAACCAAGTTGACACCTAATATTAACCATCACGGGAACTAAGTATAATTAAAGGCATGGAGATGGGCATGAGCCAAATGTGTTCCAAGTAGCTGATAATATTGTGGCTAAAGCAGGAAGGGTAAGCAAAGCAGCCCAGATCCCATGAGTTACACTGTCATATCTGAGGTAAACATTACTAGTCACACAAAACAAACTTTTAGAAGCAGTGTCTAAGCAAAGAAGGAATGATGCACATTACTGGTGATTCATTGGTAATGTCTGGGGAGGGAGTGGGAGTCAGTGCTTCACTGCCTTTTGTCCTTCCCAGTCTAGGCTTGTTGGGTATTTGGGAAAAATTGGAAAAAGATGAGGCCGGAAAGGTTGTCTGAGCAGACTGCAGCAGGTGGTAGGCCATGGTAAGAACTGGAGGCTTTGTCATGTAGGTGATGGTGATTCAGGGAAGTTTGCAGAGGCTGAAAGGGGATGGATGGGAGCATGGAGGGATTCGTGGGGTCATTTGTCCCTCTGTTCTGCTTCACTCTACCGTGATTTCTGGCAGGAGGCAAAGTCAGTTATCAAGGAATCCTAATGTATGACAGTCAAAAGAAAGGGTGTGAGACCCTTACTGAGAAAGGTTCAAACTTATTAAAAGAACCCAGAGTTCACTAATTGTAGATAATCTTTTCGGGGAAGACTTGAGACCAGTAGAACAATCTCTTTGCCTGGGGAAGGGAGGAAAACAAGAGTTGGGAAAGAAGAAGAAGGGATAATAACTTCCTAAGATTGACTAAAGCTTTCTGATTAAGAATCTTTGGGAATCTGTGAGAGTTTGCTTCTTTATCACTGGGGTGGAGTTGACTTCTGCCTTCTCCAAACCATTAACTCCTTGATCTTGCCAATGTGTCTTTCCTTCTTTCATCAGAGTTCCTCCACAATGGAAGGGTGGAGAACTTGACCAGGAACCAGCAGGAACATGCTCTGGCCTCCACTCTGTGGCTTATGCATTGTGTGACCTTGAAAACGTCACTTTCCCTCTATAAGACTCCATTTCTACACTCATAAAATGAAGGGGTTAGATTAAAACATGAAGGAATAGCTATGGCATGTGTGCTCACACTCTACCAACTAACCCATGGAAGGCATGATTAATCAATCATAGCATTCGCTACCCAGTGTGCCTGGAGCTGGCTTTTGAATTCTTCCCCAACACAGTACTTCAAGATATCAATCAGAGTTGACGTATGGTTCTAATTCTACTTGCCATTCCTGGAATAGATGATCTCAAAAACCTCTTCCACTTCTGATATTCTTAGATTCTATAAAATATCATTCCTGGGAGTAGAGAAAGGAAATTCTAGAAAGATATGTTGTTGCCAGATATTTTAGGAAGGCCTTGAATGCCAGTCTGAGTGTCAACAGTTTTGGTATTTCAAGCAGGGCCACTATTCCATATGCTCAAAGCAACATAACAAATGACAGCCTAGTGGCCTCATTTTAATCGGCCAGGGCATAAGAGGCCGTGTTTCTATTACAAGGAGATCTATAAGGAATCACACCCATTAATGGTTCCCATTAAATTCAGGGCATGTGGGGAAAACTGTAGTTTGATTTAGTTTAGCAACACGAAGATATTGGCAAGATAATCACATAAAAGCAGCATCTTTTATGGCTGGGCTATTTGATTTTATGTCAGCAGGTTTCAATTTCCCACATTTTTATGATGGCATATAGGTTACCCCACCTAATGTATGCATTAGCCTGAGTAAAGGTTAAATAGATTGTTTCAACATTCGGGATTAAAACCTGATAATAATAATACAAAAATATTCCTTGTTATAGAAGACCCTGCTTCACCTACACCATATCTGTTACTCCTCCTAAGTCATTCTCAGGCTGAGTGACAGTGGGAGTATAAAGAAGCCAGTGGAAGACAGAAGGAAAGGACATGGGCTGAACACTCAGAGGCCTGAGCTCAAATCAAGTAGGGTGACTGTGGTTAAGGGGTTTTCCTTTCCATAAAATGCTTAATCTATAAAACAGAGACTATAAGACATACCCTGTGGATTCATGATAAAGTAAGTAAGCAATAATGAGGAAGGGGTCCCAGATTGGGGTAGGCCCCAGGTGAGGGGAAGAAAATGAACAATTATTCTGAGACATGGCTAATCACAAACAACTCCTGGCACAATGACCCTGAGCTCCATCTACATGTAGCCCCAGCAGCACAACCTCATTTTGTAGCCCCCTCCAGCACAACCCTATAAAACTTTCCTCTAACCACTTCTTCTTGGCAGACAGCCCTTTCTCTACTCGGCTGCCCGTTGCCCCCTTGCAAACATATTTTCCTACTTTCTCTAATAAATCTGTCTTTCTTTACCTGCAACTGTCTTGGTAAATTCCTTTACCACCCTCTACACAGGTCCCAGCTAGTTGCACCCACGACATCCCCTGTAGGGCTCCTGCCAGGATTAAGTGGGACAATGCAATAATGAGTCTAGTGCAGTGTGGGGGTACAAAGTAAATCCATGATAAATTCATACCCACACCCTGTACGATGGACAAGGGAGCAAAAATGAGAGCCCGTCATCTCAAATTAAATTTCTTATTTAGAAAAAAATATAAAAGGGCCATTATTCCTTTCTCAGAACATAGTTCTAAAGGCCCTGATGTCTTCCTGCTGTGTATCAGGAGATAACAGCTGGGACAGGTCATCTGACCACTCGGAGACTGCTAGAAATTAGCTCCTCAGCGACAGTGACCAAGGTACTGGAGTTATTTAATAGACATTGTTTTGGTGCTGAAAGGAGGGAGACCAGAGGGGAGGCCCATTGAGCTATTTGCTTTCAATATCCATCCAAGTCCTTCTGTACATTTAAGCCCTTAATTCATCCTCTATTTAGGCCTCTTTCTTTCCCTGATAAATTTTTGAGGGGTGTTTAAAAGAAAGACTAATATTCTCCTGGCAAAATGTAATTGGCAGTCCCCTCCCCACTCCACCATTGTTGAAAATCTCTTGGTTCAGAAGCCTCGGTTTCTATCAGGGGCTGAATCTCCAGAGATTATTTGGTGGACTCCTGGAAGATAATTCAAGCTGTCCCTTTAAATCTATCCCTCTGACTTTCAGTTTGGCCCTATTTAAATATTCCAGACAATTTAAAGACTTAATAAAGATGAATATGATTAAGATTAGGGTTTAATAACAGCATTAAGAAAAGATTTTTCATTTGATGGAGGTGGGCTGCTGTGAGGATTGAACTGGCACCAGGCTTCCCAGTCCACACTGACCAGGAGGGTTCCTCACCTCTCCCAGCAGGTTAACTCTCTCGGGTCAGCATCCTAGGAAGAATCTGAAACATTACTCATATCTCTCATAAAGAAAACCCCCCAACCCTACTGGGTTGGGGACAGGCCACTATCTCGCCCCTCCCAAGTCACTCTCAAGCTGAGCATGTTCTTCATATGCAAACCTCACGTGGTTACTCATTCAATTCTCACTCAATGAAAGCCCTTTGTTATAGATTGTAGGGAGGTTTGGACAGACAGGAAAGAAAAACCTAGAAACTACTAATCCTTGTCTCACACCTGGCTCACTTTCACCTACAAGAAGTCTAAATGAGATGTAATGCAGTCTAAAGTGGTGAATGGGGAAGCAGAATCATTGGAATTCTGGTACCTTGAACTCCCTCTTAGATCAAACCTGGATTTGGAGATTTTTTTACATACATGGGCCTGGCCATAGGGGAAAAATGGAAACAAGCAAAGAGGAAGGCCCTGAATTCAAGAGACAGATCTAGACCAGGGTAAGCACACATTTTTTTTCTCTAAAGGGCCGGAGAGTATATGTTTTAGGCGGGGTGAGTCACATAGTCTCCTGGCAAGTCCTCAACTCTGCCCTTGTAGTTGGAAAGCAGCCGCAGCCAATACCTAATTAAATGGGCATTGTGTGGCTGTGTTCCAATAAAACTTTATTTATGGACTCTGAGATTTAAATTTCATGCATCGTGAAATATTATTCTTTTGATTTTTCCAACCATTCGAAAAATGTAAAAACTGTTCTTAGGCAGCTGGATTTGGCCTGCAGGTGGTAATTTGCTGACCCCTGGTCTAGATCTTTTTAATGTGAAGGAATCCACCCACTGGTAATAATGGCCCATTTGGTGTCCTGGAATCTAAAAAATCAAATTAGAAGCTATTTTTCCCTGCAGTTTGGGATTGGCATGAGGGCCAGTGACACACTGGGCTCTTTGATTGTATCTTCAGCTACTTTGCAGTCCCAGTCTCCTGCCCCACCCCATACCTACCATCAGCCTTGCCCTTTTTGACCTACTCTTGGCTCCCTGAACCCCCCATTTAGATGACAACAGTCATTTCTGCTAGCCCCTCCCTTTGTTTCCCTTAGCGTTCTAGCACTCAGCACATTGCTTCCTAAACATGGTGTTCCTTGTGGTCCTTCCTTTCTCCAGAATCTACAGTGACTCCTCAGTGATACAAGAATTCTCTCGGCCCCTTCACTGGACTTGCAATGGGGGTACCCATCTACTCAGCTGGTCTCGCCTCACTGAGTAGATGGGACACACCTGTTGTAAGTCCTCCTTGAGGGAGGGAGCCTGTGAGCCAGTGAGTGCGAGATCTGGCTGGACTCTTGGGGCTCTGGCAAGAGCAAACTTTGTGCAGGCCCTGCAGCAGCACTCAGGTAGGGGTGCCTGTGACCCCTGAAGCCCCAGAGGGTGTGTTACAATGCTCTTCTTAGCTCTGCTGTCTGTGGACAGCAGTGTGTTATCAGCTCAATGGGCCCTTTGCCTTGTTGCGTGGGGTGGCTGCCATCTGCCAGTGAGAGCAAGAGGCCAGTGTGACAGCCTTTTTTGGGTACCCGCACTCACTGGGTCCCGAGCTCTTGTCTGGTGCCCAAGAAGAATGAGGTCACATGGACGAATTGAAGGATGGTGAATGTGCAGAATTTTATTGAGACCTGGAAAGGGGATGGGATGGGCAATAATCTTCCCCTGTAGTTGGGCTATGTCTGGCCAGCTCTCCTCTGAAGTCCAGCCATCCCTCTGAAGTAAAGTCACCTCTCTCTCAAGTCGAATCACCTCCCTCCCCTACCTAATGAGTCT
The DNA here is from genome assembly GCF_000001405.40 of Homo sapiens. Taxonomy (NCBI): domain Eukaryota; kingdom Metazoa; phylum Chordata; class Mammalia; order Primates; family Hominidae; genus Homo; species Homo sapiens. Next base: position 119,813,425 of record NC_000009.12, on the reverse strand, counting down.
GAGGTCTCTATAGGCACAGGATGGGGACACGGCAGGCAGTGGGTAGTTTTGGAAAAGGCAACATTCAGTTGATTCAGAAAGAACCAATCAGGAGGGAGCAGGCAAAGACAGATAGAAGTTCTCGCTTTGGGCTGCAGGTTTCAGGCTTTTTGGCTTGAATGTGGGGTTTTGCCAGGGACCAACCTTTGCCTGCTTCTATCACCAGCATATTTTGGATTAACTGCAAGTCCTCATTCTTCTTTCAGGAATCCCTATCCTCAAAGTCGACCTTGTCTGCTCAGCAATCTCTCCCACAGCTCCCAAGAACAAATCTTCCACCTGTCTCTGGTCAGTCTCCCTGACCCAGGTCCCTCCATGACATTTATCTCCTCTGCACCTTGCCACATGCAGTTCCCTCTGCACTCTCCTTCCTCTTGCTTATCCCTCAAGTCTCCTTTCCTCATGGAAGATTCCCTAACCACTGTTTATATTCCTTGGCCTCCTCTCTGCCCTGCCGCTCTTTGCACGTGCTGGTGTCTCCATCATATAACCACATTTTTTGCTCTCATTCATCTACAGCTTACTGGGCACCACTCTGTTGTGTGGGGTGGCTGCCTTCTGAGGCTCTGCTGCTCTTTGCATATGCTGGTGTCTCTGTTATATGACCACACTTTTTGCTGTCATTTGTATACTGCTTCCTGGGCACCACTTTGCTAAGCATTACACTAGAGGACCCTCTCCAGGCAAAATCCAATATGTGTCCCTGATTTCCAGGGTCCTGAAATTGGCACATATTTTGAAGCTTAAAACCTTGTCCTCCTATGGAGAGATCAATGGTCCTGTTTTATGCTATGTTTGTATTTGTTCCCCTCCCCTACCCATGGTGTAGGAAAGGGTTGAACACATGGAAAACCAATAAACATATGTTAAATTGAATGGTTGTTCTAGGCATAGGAATGCAATGGCTACCCATTGAGCTCACGAAAAAGCTCCCAGGTTAAAAGGATGAATTATGAGAGCTTTACTATTTGGTTCTTGCTTCCTTCTCCTGTATCGCCTTTCACACCTTCCATCTCTCTGTCTCCATTCCAGCAAACCTGAACTTCCTTTCATTCCGTCCACTCAACACAGTTGCTCTTCAGTCTGGAACTTTGCATGGACTTTGGCCTCTGCCTTGCCCTCTTTTTCTAATTGATCCGCCTAATTCCTGCTCATCCCGATGATGCCAATTTACCAGTCTACTTTGTGAAGCCCTCCCTGCCTCTGCCCTCACACTCCATGTCTCCTGTAGGTGTCTGTTTTAAGTACTTCCCTCTGCATAGTAGCAGTAACAAGCACCATGAGGGCAGGGGCCTTGTCTGTTTGTTCATTCCTGTATCCTAAATGTCTAGCATGGGGCCTGGTACGTTTATGGTTAAGGCTTTATAAACTGATTTTTTTAATGGAATGAATTTGGAATTTGGGAATAATAGGCTGGAAGGTTTTTCTTTGTAACATTCCTTCTGGGGCCAGATGAAAGTGTGTTAAGTATGAGGACTATTAATTTGTGTTACTGTGGGTAATAGAAAGGGCAAATTGGGGATTGGGAGGAGAGAAGGACTATAAAGCTGATGGCTAACCAGGGGCAAAGAGCTTTGCAAATCAGCCCTGGGAGAGGAGAGGGAGACAAATGTAGAGTACACGGAGATGTAGCCCAGCTTTCCAGAATTCATTTGTGGGAAAGAGGCTGAGAAAAGGGAGAGGGCCTGGCATGGCCCAGTCTAAACTAGGGAGAAAGGCAAAATGCCTGTGAGGCCCAGGCAGAGGCAAGAGCCAGAAATGAGAAGGTGTCAAGCTTTGGAATTCAGGAAAGTGAACTCTGGATTCAGGATTCAGGAAAACTGTGACAAGCAAATGTCTCCAGATATTACCAAATGTCCCCCAGGGAGGCAAAATCACCATTCTAGTGAGTCAACATCTATTTTCTTCCAACCCTGAGATTCTCTGATTCTCCAGGTCATTTATTCACATCCCCTCATTTTGGCTTTAAGGAAACTGTGAAGCCCAGAGAGAAGTTGGGATTGGCTCAAGGATTCAGCCAGCTTGTGACATCATTGCCCTGGCCTCCTAAGCTCGAACCACACCCAAATGCTCAAACTATCTCCGTTCTTTTAGGCCTTTATGTTTTGGCATGTGCTGTTACTTCCACTTTCTCCCTTTCCCCCTACAACTAGAGAATTCCTACACAACCTTCCTGTGGCTGATGCTGTGTTCTTGTTTCTCCGTTAATGCAGTCATCTCAGTGCATCTGAATGACTCACTCGTTCTCGCTTCCCTCTCAACCGTGAGGTCCTAGGGAAGACGGACCATGTCTGACTCAGCTTTGATTTTGCACAGAGGCTGGCGTATAGCACACACTCAGTAACTATTTATTGATTAAATAAATTAAAGGTCATCTGATTCAGCTGCTTTCAAGCTTTTTTAAAGCTAGCGCATCCTTTGTTGAAATGCATCTTGCATAGAAGCATAAATGAATAAAAGAGATAAAAGCAGAGGCTCTGGTTAAAATTGGGAGATGGGATGTAGACACTCCACTTCCTTCCCATCATGACTCTCTTCCCATGACCTCTGCCCCTTACCCTCATCACCATCCTGCAGCAGTCCCAGAGGAGCTCCAGGACAGAGCTTAGTTTTAAAAGCACTGATCTGGTTCAACCTCCATTTGATGCTTGAATTCTTGCTAATTAGGCTCATGATTCTTAAACCTGACTGTCCATCAAAATCACCTGAAAGAGTAAAAAGTACTGATTCATAGACCCTATGGCTAAAGATTCTGATTTAAAAGGTTTGTGGCTGAGCCTGAGAGTATGCATGTGAAATAGTCTCACTGGGTGATGGCTATGTTAATTTTCCTGACTGCAGAAATCACTTCACTATGTATATGTAGATCAAAACATCATGTTGTACACTTTAAACATATACAATGAAAATATTTTTTAAAAATATTGACCCTTACCTTACACCAAACATAAAAATCAATTCCAGGAAAATTGTAAGTTAAATGTGTTAGGTAAAAAAAATTCTCACCACATATTAATAATTCAACAACACAGCTAGATTTGGGAAACTTCTTTGTGCATACCCTACAGTGAGTACTTCCTCTGTTACTGACCTCATTCTCTTCCTGAAGCCCATTCCTCTTAAAACCATTCTGATGATTAGAAAGTTCTTGTTACTTTTAAGGCTGTCTTAATTGTAAACCCTTTAGTATCTTTCACGGCCCTTTGTAATTCACGCATTCCAGAAAATATTATCTGGTTGGTTGAACCTTGACTAAGGGCAAGTTTAAAAAGGAAAGACCAGAATGAAGGGCAATATTTCATTGGATCTTATTTTGGTTAACCTTTCATGTTGTCCCTGCCCCATCCAGGAAACAGGATTGGCTCTCAGGCCTGGCAGTAGATCTACGAGCTCTAGAGTCTGTCCATGATGGGGGAGAGGATAGAAGGTGGCTGTTCCGTCGGCAGCTCCAGCAACCCCCAAGCTCTGTGTGTCTTCCAAAGGCCATGCCTTCCTGCAACAGTTCAATTTGCCTTTGAGGACTAGGGAAACAGTTCCAGAGGGAAAAAGACCCAGAAAGAAATTCTAGCCCCCACGATTCTGTCCCTCGATTAAGCTGGCGGAGCAAATGTTTATATAGGAGAAAGGAACCCAGTGATTGGAATTGGAAACTGAATTCTAGTTCAGGGTTTACCATCAGCTGACTGTGTGATCCTGGGCTCTTCACTTCAACCCTCTGAGTCTGTCTATTCATTTGTAAACTAGTGATAACATACTTCTAACCTCACAGGGAACATCAAATGCAATTGGGGTATAAGAGCTATAGAGTAAAGCACAGATGTGTGGTAGTTCTTCCACCAGGATTTAAAAGAGAGGCTAATGATAATTGCAATACTTGCCATTTATGTTCCAGATGCCATATTCACATATTATGTAGATTACATATTTTATTTAATTCATCCAACAATCCTGTGAGGATCCTTGTCACCATCTCACAGGTGAAGGGTTAAGTAACTCACCCAAGCTGCTAAGTGACAACTTTTGGTTGGATTCTGAGGCTGCTGGCTCTAAAGCTTGGAGTCCTAAGCCTCACCTTATACAAAGATGGAGGATTTGGAGCGAGAAACTTTCTAGTTGGAAGGAGGATCATGGAGAAAGGGACCGAAGTAGGAAGGTGTCAAATTTAGTTGGGAAACAAAGGCCATCAGATAAATGGAAAAACAGCTGAAATTGTAAAAGGTAAGGCTGAACAGCAGGAGAAAGGGAGACCACAGAGAGTTTTGAATACCCCACTGAGAAGTGTGAGTTTGTCCAGGCAGGCAATGAGGGGCTGTTAGAAGCTTTGAGTGTTGCATGAGCCATGGTAGGGCCCTCAGTGAATAAATGGATGAATCTGAATCCACAGGAAAATAGCAGCTAAGAAGTTAAGGAAGGAAAAAAGAAAGGGAGGAAGTAAGAAAGGAAGGAAAGAGAAATAAAGAAGGCAGTTTCTAAAAAAGCCCCCAGTGATCCTCACCTCCCTGTCCCTGTGTAATCTCCTTGAGGGTGGGCTTCCTTAGTCACTTGTTTCTAAGAAATCAAACGCAGCAGATATGATATGATATCCACCCTGAGATGAGGTTACAGCAGACTTTGCTATTTCTCCTGCTCCACTCTCTTGCTCTCCTACTTGCTTGCTTTGGTGGAGCAAATTGCCACACTGTGAGATGTAAAACTGTGATGGGTGACAAAGCCAAGACTTGAACACAGGTCTTTCCCCAAAACCTGTTCTTTTAACTATTATGATACAATAAGTCAGTCATTTGGTAAAAGGAGAGGAAGTAGGCGAACGTAAGGCCATAAAGGTAGATGAATTTGATAGTGAATTTGGATGAAGGAATGTGAATCTGTGGGTAATAGAGAGACTTCGGGTGCTCTTGGAAGAGGAAAGGAAGCAATGGAGCCATAGAAATGTGAGCCCCTTGACTCCTTTTAGCAACCCCTTCCTTTGCTCGATGCACCACAATCCTGGCATGTTCAGAAGACTGTTGTTGTATCTGTGATTTGGTTCTTGCCTCTGCCTCCCAAATGCCCTCCAAGATATGATGTGGAAGAGGCACCAAAGCAGTAACTTGGACGTAACTTATTCTTGACTTGACTCTTTGCCAGGGCTCATAATCAACCCTGAAATTGGTCTTTTTACCGTTGTTTGGATGATCAGGTATAAATATACATTTTAATCATTTAATTAAGTCAGTGATTTGCTGCTGATCCAATATGTTTGACAATATTTTGGTGCCACCTGTTTCCTAATTGGACTTAATCTTCAAAATATGTTACCAAAATAGTCACCAAATAATTACATATACAAAAAAATCAAGCCACATAAAACAAACCCTTCACTGCCCTGAACTGCACTCATCGATACATACAAACACACAGTTTATGTGTGGTGGGACAACACAATTTATCTCACCATTTGTAGTAGTTTTAGGTATTATGTGTGTGACCTGATAGTTTATATTACATATTAAAGGTATTAGGTAATGTTGGAAAATTGGCCTATTTTGGCCCCGGGAGGCAGGGTGAAGAGCTGACTCTTTGTGTGCCCTTAGACAGGCCAGTCTCCTTCTTTGGTCCTTGGCTCTGATGTGCACATAACTCAGGTCCCCTTCCAGCACTTGAATGTCTTCTTCATTGTATGCTGTTCCTGTCACATGGATGCTACTCCATCATTGGGTATATTTTATTACTAAAAGGTCCCTCTTGAAATATGGGCCTGGGTGAAGACTTTTCTTTGTGACCTTGAACGAGCCCTTTCCCTTCTCTGAGACTGAGGCCTATTATTTGGTAAAATAGAAGTAATAATATCCAATATTGGTTATGCCTCCTTACTCTGCTGGATTACCTTGTCATGTAAAATAGCATTTAGGTCAAGAGAGTGGCTGTGAAATCAAAATGCATGGGTTGGAATTCCTGTTTCACCACTGACCAGCAATAAGCCCTTGAGAATGTTATTTAGTTTTTCCAAGCCTCAGGTCCCCCATCTGAAAAATAAGGTTCCTGATAGGCCCTTCCTCCTAGGAATATTGAAGTTTAAATAAGAGTATGCCTGAACAGTAGCTGATGTACAACAAGCTCTCAATTAATATTAATTGTCATTATTACGAGATTGTTTTAAGAGTTTCATTTGAAAACCTGCTTTGAAGGACAATGAAAAGTAGTCCTTTTTAATTTTTCAAAGTATGTGATACTGGTACAGCAATTAAAAATATTATCCTGTGGGTTAAAGAGAACTTTATCCTCATTTTATAGGAGAAAAACAGGGCAAAGAAGATTTAAATGACCAATCAAGAAAGAGCTCTTGTATTTCAAGAAGGCTTCATTTCTCCTTGCAAGAAAAGCCTCGTTTACAGAGCTGTCTTGTTTTCTCTTCAGATTTCATGGCTCACGTTGAGTGGCCAAATTATTTTTCTTATGTGTTTCCCCCCACACTCCTAATCCTGGAAAGAATTAATTATTAATTTTAAATTAATTTATTATTAATTAGTATAGAAATACTTTTGAGCACCTATATGTACCAGGTGCTGTCCTAGGACTGAGATCATAGCAGTAGATGAGATGGTCAAGTCTCCTTCTCTACTTCCAATATGCATATTCTAATAGGACACATAAGCCCCCTACTCCCCACCATGTGATGTCCAATGGTGAATTAGGGACTCAGAAACAAAGCAGGAGGGGGATTGTGTTCCATTTTCAACAGGGTAGTAAGGGAAGGACTTTATGAGGAGGTGCTGGTTGAGAAACTTGTTTGAAGCAAGAGAATATGCATGTGGGTATCAGGGAGAAAGTGTTCTAGGATGAGGCTGCAGCAAATGTGAAGTCTCCAAAGGGTGACATGCTGGCTCATTAGAGAGTCTCAAGAAGGCCAGCAAAGCTGGGGCTGAGTAAGGGGAAAAGTGGGAGGAAGCAAGATCAGAGTGACAGCCAGGAACTGGACTTGTTGGAAGGGAAGGATCAGATTTACGTTTTAATACGACTATGGTTCCTGTGTTATGAATAGATAGTAAAGGCTGAGAAGAGAAACAGAGACCAGACTGGAGGCTATCATGTTGCGTTCATGATACACCATGACAGTGACCTCAACAACACGTGTGGGAGAGATGGAGGTAGTAAAAGTGATAAAATTCTGGACATGATTTAAAGGCAGATTCAACAGGATTTGGGGGGTACTGGGAAAGTGAGAGGACTCAAGGATGACTCCTAGATATTTGACCTAAGCAACTGAGGGAACTCGTTCATTCCAGAGATGGAGGATGCTAAGTGAAAGAAAAGGTTTTTTTTTTTTAATTTTTTTTTAATTGTTTTTCAGGACAGGATCAAAGGTTTCATTTTGGCCATACTAAGTATGCCTTAAATTTACAATGAGAATGCATCACCGCATAAATGCTGTTGAAGCCAAGGTCCTGGATCTAATAAGTATGTAGCAAGTATGCTACAGTAGAGTTAAAAACGGTTCAAAGTCTTCTACCTGGAATACTCCAATATTTAATAGTAAGGGAAATTAGTAGGAACCAGGAAAGGAGACTGACGATGGGCAACCAGGAATGAAGGAAAAATATCTGGTCATCAAATATACTTGTTTCCTAGGGCTGCCTGCTGAAAATAATGGAAGTTTATTCTTTCAGAGTTCTGGTGGCTGGAAGTCTGAAATCAAGTTGTTGGCAGTGCCAGCTCCTTCTGAAGCCTCTAGGGTAAGATCCTTTCTTCCTTCTTCCAGCTGCTGGTGGTTGCTGGTAATCTTTGGTGTTCCTTTGTTTACGGAAGCATAACTCCGATCTCTGCCTCTGTCTTAACAGATCCTTCTTCCCTATGTCTGCTCTATGTGTCTTTAAATCTGTCTGTAAAAGTACACCAGTCATTGGATTTAGGGTCCATCCTAATCCAGTGCAATCTCACCTTAACTAGACTCCATCTGCAAAGATACTGTTTCCATATGAGATCACATTCACAGATACTGGTGATTAGGACTTAAACCGAACTTTTGTGGGACACGATGAAACCCACAATAGGAGGTAGTAACAGTTCCTGGTTGCGTCTGTATTTTATGTCTTCTGGCAGTGCTGCCTGATAATCATAGTGAATATTCAGCTTTTAATTCTCTCTTCATTGGTCATTTGGGGGAATTCAACATAACAGCAATTTCCAAATAGTAATTAGGCAGGATGTTAAGAAAGTATGAACATGAAAGAAGGTTTCTGTGGTCAGATACATTGAAACAATACTCTGTTAAATAAGTATTGTTACTTATTTATTGTTAGTGTGTTTAAATTGTAGGACTTATCAGTGCCTTTATTGGATGAATGAGCATTAGGGATCTCCAAGAAAAGGTATGGAGTATACAACATTCCCTTTAGTCCTCAGAACCTTCAGGTCATTGAGCATATCATGTTCAAATGAAGGGGAGGGCATGGGTGGTTAGAACATGGAACTCTGAGGGAGTGCTAAGATACTGAGAAATCAGAGAAGATGGCCCTACAAATGACTTATAAAACCTTCATCGGTTTATCCTCTGGAGAATGCTCCTGTGCACATTGCACCATCTATTCACAATCAGCACATTCCATTATGCAGATGAAATTCTGGGGACACAAATATGACATGAGGAGAAAGAGAGAGAAAAAAAGTTTAATCTACCTCAGACATTTGATTTCATTTAACCTTCTCAGGAAAATGTTTCCTCTGTAATAGTTCAATGGATTTGAGTTGATCCTATTATGCTCTGTATTTATTCATTCTTTTCCCACTAATATTGGAACGTTGATCTGGAGCGCACTGTGGGCCAAGTACATTATGTATATCATCCCATTTAATCTTTCCCATGCCCTAAAATGTTTCTCCCCTTTTATAAATGAGAAAACTGAGGCTAAGAGAGGTGAAGCAACTTAGACAATATTGCAAATTTAGTAATGGTGGTAATGGTATTCAATCCTAGGGCTGTCTATCTTTTAAACTCATGATTCATCCAGACTATTCTGGATGCCTTTTGCTTATTAGTTTGTTTTTTGGAAGGAAGAAGGTAAAATAATTTTTAATTCTCATTAATAACTTGCTACTATTCTATGTTGACTTTACATGGAATATCAAATAAGGGAAAGCAAGTTATTAATGATAATAACAGTAGCTAATAATAATTGCGTTTTTACCATTTGGCAGACATTTCTGGTTGAGACATTCACAACTTTCTTATAAAGGTGACATTTATATTACCATTGCACAGATAAGGAAATTGAGACTTTGAGTGACTTTCCAGCTAATAAGTGCTAAAGTTGGGATTAGATACCAAGCCTGACTCTAGGGTTCAGAATTTTATGCCATTTGTTTTCCTTTTTGCTATCTTTAAATGGGCTCTTCCATTTGATGGTGTTGGAAGGTTATAAATATAAATGATGGTCCTTATTTGAAGCATTATGTTAAGAAGGATCCTGAAGCTCTATCTGGGCTCAGTGAGAAAGAGTGATATTTAGGTTTGGTGATGTCTGCACTGGGGATGGCGACCACAAGCATGTATGCTGTCATTGTTATTTTAGCTTAGCTTTTCCACTGTTCTGAGACACCTGTCTTGTTTTCTCATTTCCCCTTTTTCATCTTTCCAAATTTCAAAGTACCAAATGGATAGTTACAAGAGTAGTTTTTATTTAAGAATAAATAAATTATAATGCTACCTAACAACACCTTGACATTGTACTACCATTCAAAGGCACTGTCATATCCTATTGAGTTAGTGGATCCCCACAACAGGCTTGCAAGGTAAGTATGTAAGAATATAGTTTATTATCCCACTTTAAAGGTAAGGAGGCTGAGCCTCAAGGAGGCACAGTGACTCCCTCAGGCCCTCACATAGTCTCTAAGTAATATTCACAGGTTTAAACACAGGTCTTCAGCCTTCAAATCCAGTGGCCTTTCTACTACATAAATACTTATCTTATCCTAGTCTAGTCATCGCCATAGATATGCTCAGAGAGTTGGGATAAGACCAAGATAGAGGTGAAGTTAGTCCTGAAGACATATTAGGTTGGTGCGAAGTTAATTGTGGTTTTGACCATGACTTTTGAATGGCAAAAATTGCAATTACTTTTGTACTAACCTACTTTAGCACCAGCCGAACAATTTGGGTGAGATGTAATGGGCATGGTTGGGAAGGGGGAAAGCTTAGAGATGAAAACATTTCAGTACCTCTCCTTCTCTTCACAGCCAACAATTCTTTCCTATATAATAATAATATGACAATAACTAACATTTTTAGGTGCTTACTATAAGCCAGGCAGTGTGCTAAATGGCTTCCCTGGCTGATATAACTTAATCTTAAATACAATCCTGCAAATGAGGCCCAATTTGTGCCCCCTGTGTTACAGATGACAAAACTGAGTCTCAGCTGGGTTTACTATTTGCCCCAGCTGGGAAGTTTCTGAGCTAGGATTAGAATGCACGGGATTCCAGAGCCAGCTCCCTCATCCAGTGTGCTCCTCTGCCTCTGTGAACTCCACTGTCAGCCTAGCTGGGAAGCATGGACACCCTTTTGATATCTATTTTAAGATTCCAAAGCTGTTGTTTGCTTATAAACATCAGATCTGCAGCTGATGTAACACACAGCACAGACTCACAGTGTGTCACAGAGCTGGCTGCACCAGGTTGTGGCCGGGACCCAGCCAGGCAGTCACGCGCCTGCTATAAATACAGCCCTTTCAGCGGATGCAGCCAGAGACGTAAAGTCTTCCCTTTCAGAATTCTGACTTCAAATACATTTTTTTCCCCCAGGCTTGCTGTCTTTTCTCAAATACCCATATAAATCCTCAAATTTGTTGTTACCTTAACCTGGATCTATTTTTTTCTTGCTTTGTATTGTTTTTAAACAGAAAAAAAACTGCTTTTTTTTAAATCCAATTTAATACCCCATTTAAAGTTGTCTTGCCAATCAGGAAATGAAATACAATCACATCAGGCAAGGCTTTGAAGTCAGCCCTGTCTTCATATTTTGCCATTTGAGTCCTGAAATTTACACAGCCTCATTCCCACTCTAATTGATTCTTCTAACCTGACCATGACTTTTACCATCCTGTGGTTAGAACACTCGACTGGGCTTATTTCTCTGCTGTCAGAGCATATTTCACCTTTAAAGGGACCCACACCGTCAGGAAGTTTATGTCTCAAATTTAAGATTTCTTAAATGAAACAAGAACTTCCGGGCAGTTTAGAGAGCTTAATATAAATAATAAAACATTCAAACATGAAGGTTTTTTTTCTGAAAACTTTATAAAAAATATGACAATAACATCTACCTGTATCACAGACATGCCAAATGCAACCAATTTCTTTCAGCCTTATAAAACTTGTAACAACAGAATCTACTCTTACTTGAATGATGGTATCATTAGACTTGGGCTTGCAAAGGGTGATCCTTGCTCTATCTGTAAAAATAAGAAGAGATTGGCCAAGGCAATTGAAGCTCTAAGAGAATATAGTTGGTACATTTAATCTGCTTCAGAAGTCACACTGGTTAGACTTAGAGAACACTCCGTTCATCACCTCATGCCATTATGTTTGCAGATACTACCAACAATTGCAAAGAGACCTGGGAGTCTTGGTGGAACACACATCAGGCTGGGAGATCATACTCCTGGACTCTAGGTTCAGTTGTGGCACTTAGAGCCACCATTTACTATGTAACAAGCACTTTCAATCTTGAGTTAAACCTTCACAAAAATCTCTGGGAAGTCTTATTCTCCTCATTTGACAGATGAGCAGACTGTACCCTTTAATAAAGAAATTCAAGAAAGTCTCCTAAGGACATGAAGCAAGTAAATAGAAAATTGGAATTCGACCACGTCTGACTGTTGCCCGCCTCTCCTCTTAGCCAATGTACTGACTCATTGTGTGTTCTTAGACTGGCCACTTCCCATCAGGTCTTAGTTTCCTCAGAGTGGAATAAGGAAATTGATCTACATGATGTTTCTTGCAAAACTAAAATGAACTTGGATTCAGAAGATTGATCTTGAGACCCAGAATTTCTTTATAAGTTTTGTAGTCCTAGCTGGGCACGGTGGCTCATGCCTATAATCCCAGCACTTTGGGAGGCTGAGGTGGGTGGATCACAAGGTCAGGAGTTCGAGACCAGCCTGGCCAATATGGTGAAACCCCATCTCTACTAAAAAAGTACAAAAAGTAGCCAGGTGTGATGGCAGGCACTTGTAGACCCAGCTACTCTGGAGGCTGAGGCAGGAGAATCGCTTGAACCCGGGAGGCAGAGGTTGCAGTGAGCCAAGGTCATGCCACTGCATTCCAGCCTGAGCGACAGAGCAAGACTCTGTCTCAAAACAAAAAAATAGCAAACAAATAAAAGAGTTATGTGGTCTTGGGGAAATTGTTCAATCCTTCCGAGCCTCAGTTTCTACATCTATAAAATGGGGATAAAATCACTACCTAAAAATCAAATGAGATAATACAATTAAGAATTTTGTACACAGGCAGGGGCTTATTTTTATTTGTTGAAAATGGTTGCAGTAGGACTTAAATCTTAAAAAATCATGTTAATAATGTCAACAGCTAGCTTTAAAAATATTTCTATTCTTACACTCATATCTAAGACACAACTGACTGGTGGAGGAGTATTGAAAAGTAATTACAAGCAGGGACTATAGAATTAGACAGACCTATCTTCTCTATCACATACTAGTGATATTACTTTGGGAAGTGGCTAAACCTCTCTAAGGCTTGTTGTCCTCTGTGAATGGAAATCATGATGGGGCAACCCAATGGTGCTGGTGTGAAAATGACATGGGATAATAATACCTGAAAGGCACTTAGCACAGGGCCTGGCACACAGAGCAGGTGCTCAGTCAGCATTAGTAAATGAGAGAACATCTAGCTTGGTAGCTCATCAAGCACCCTGGACTGCAACACAGAAACCCTGGGAGATCTTCTGAGTCTTTTGATCATTTTTCTTGTGAAATTATATAATCCACTTAACCTCCCAGGGCTCTTTGACCTTGTGGCCCTCCCTGCCACCTTCCCAGCTGTTAGCATTATGAAACCTGAATGAACTGAATCCTTCTGCAGGAAGGAACCATGACAAGAAAGCTGGAAGGAGCAGAAGACAGAGATGATTTACATCTCAAATTCAGAGATAATTCTTCACTAATTCTTACCTTCATCTAGTTGTAGGCTCTGCACTAAGTTCTTCTGCGTGCATGATCTGATCTGATCTATAGACAACCCCACGAATAACGGGACTGACATTGTTGACACATTTGAGAGGCCAGAAGGCTGAGGCTCAGAGAAGATGAATGACTTGTCCAAGAACACTCAGATAAAGAGTGTTGGAACCAGGATGAAAATTCAATCATTCAACTATATACATATATATATATGTATATATATATATGTATATATATATATATATACACACACACACACGTACACATACATACACACATGCATATAATTTCACTTTTCCCCTCCTTGCTTGCCATTCAGTGACTGCTCCTCTCACTTTTAAAAGAGGATTATTTGTCATTGAGGGATGAGAGTATAAGAAATGCTTGGAATTTTTGCAAAGGATGCCCCGGAAAAGTGCCTGGAATCTATAACACATGGAGACTATTCTAAAATATATTTTTAAAAATTCCTTTCCATTTTCATTGTTTCCATCTATGGTGAACAGAATAATCACCCCCTAAAGATGTCTATGCTCTGGAACCTATGAATATGTTACCCTATTGGACAAAAGGCTTTTTACAGATATGATTAAGTTGTAAAGATCTTAAAATGGGGAGATTATCCTCAATTATCTATGTAGGCTCAGTATAATCACAAGAGTCTTTATAAGAGGGAGGCTGGAGGATTAGAGAGATATATAAAGATACTGTGCTGCTGGATTTGAAAATAGGAGGAAGGGGCCATGAGCCAAGGTACATGGGCAGCCTCTAGAAACTGGGAAGGGGAAAGAAATGGATTCTCCCCTAGAGCTTCTAGGAGGATTGCAGCCTGGCCCATGCCTTGATTTTAGCCAATACAATCTATATCAGACCTCTGACCTCCAGAATTTTAAGATAATATATTTGTCTTGTTTTAAGTCACTAAGTTTGTCCTAATATTTTTACAGTAGCCATTAGTAACTAATACGCCACCATTCTCTCTTGCCTAGAGAACTTCAGCTAACTCCAGACTGGTCTCTCTCTTCCCACTCTGCCCACCCCAACCTACGAAATCTATTCTCCATACAGCAGCCAGAGGAATCATTTAAAATTGAAACTTGCTAATGTCCCTTTTGTGCTGAAGATCCTCAACAGCCTCCTGTCACACTTAGGATAAAAGGCAGACCCCTTATCATGGCCTCATTTTCCCACCTAAGGCTTGAAGGTTAATAAACTTGCCCAGTCACTCCTGGGAGGTTAGGGGGAGAGCTGAGCCTAGAACTCTAAGATCTGGACTAAGTTCCTCTATTTGGGGATATGTAAGCACTTTCTTTGATCTGGACTAGGTTCCTAAGAGCAAGGAAGTTATGAGATTTTCCCCAAAAATGTCAGCACAATTGCCACAAAATGTCTGAGGTTTCTAGATGGAAGGCTGAAAGGAGCTGGAAAAAATTTTTTTGGAACTTTCTCCTTCCTGCTCTTAGAATTTCCTGTACTCAGAAATATATAAAGTGTTAGAAAATCAATGACTCAGGGGAATTCTCTAGGAAAAACAAGGACCATCTAACAAACTACTTGTTTCCCAAATGCATAAATAATAAATAAATAATAACGTATAAAGTATATACTTAATTCATGTAGGGTTATAAACACAAAATGCCTGCAGTCTCAGGCTAGAAACATATGGGTGGGTGTATAGGCAAAGTGTTGCTAGATCTGCTTTTTCAAAAGAAAATAGAAATCTGGAGTTTTATGTGAAAAAAATATCAATTTTTAAATACTGACAACGGAATGAAACAATTCTTTTAACCTTATGAAGAACAAATGGAAGGTTTCTATGGACTGAATAGGGTCTATGACCACGTGCTTAAGATGCTGGTCCTCCAAACTCTGAGAGCCATGTCCTCTCTGACATACTGGGGTTCTATGGTCAGGTCTGGCTTCAGTCTACATTCATGTCTTTCTTCTTTTTGGATCGTGGTTGGCAAATGGGAGCCCAGCAGAGCAGCCAAGGGTTGAGTGCCAGGGATCTCAGAGCACAGCACCCAAAGACCACAACCCTGGGTCAGCTCATGTCTAAGGACTGTGTCATGCCCATGTTGGGTGCTGAGAGGACAATGACTGTAACAGCCATGCTCTTTCCTCAATTTAGTTAAACTTTTAAAATACCTGATGGGCCTGTTAATGCTCTAGGATCGATATAGTAGAGTCTTCAGTTACTGAGCTGAAAAATACAGGATCCCTGCCTGCAGTAAGTTCATGATGGGGGAGTCGGGTCATTGTGAGACACATAGATAAACATGTAAGCATCATAATTTGCTCCATGCTGAACATGGATTTATAAAATTACATAAATCTGATGGTACAAAGCCCTGCCTTGGAAGACTGTTAATCCAGGTAGGATTTTTAGAGTAGATGGCTTGAAGCATATCTTAAAAGATGATAAAGATTTTTTTTTTTTTCAGACGAAGGTGGAGAAGTGTTCTCCAGGAAAAGGAAACCCTTTGAGCAAGGGTCTTTGCTCTAAGTATCATAGATAAACTCTAGTTAGGGAGAATGAATATATATTTGAGGAAATTAGATGATAAGATAATAAATTGGAACATACAGGACATCAGGCAGAGTATGGCAAAGAAAATATGCAAAAGAGGAATAAGATGGTGCACCAGAATGAGGGTCATAGGTCCTCATGCTAGTCTCCTTGGCTTTGCACTGACTTTGCTAAAAGTCTTGGCCTTCTTTCCAAGGTAGGGTCTTTGCTCATCACCAGTGGGGCTCCAATTATGCCAGGGAAGGGGACTCTTTTTCCCTTTCTAGGTTCTCATGATCATCTCCCAAGGCACAGAAAGAGTCCCTGTGGCCGGCTTAGGATCAGTCACTGGGACCCAGGTTAGGGATAGCATCTATGTTCAGACAAGCATGAACAAATCATATGGCTTGCATCTGCCTAGTCTGAAAAGAGAAGGATAGGGACAGGGCAGCCTCCTCCTTTTCCCCATGATTCACTCTGCCCACAGAACTAAAAATCCAAGGTCAGTTATCTTGAAACTCTTGATAATCTTAGTTCTAGCAAAAATATTCTATTTGAACTCACACACTTCCACTGCATTTTCTATCTCTGCTGACCCCCAAAGCATGACTTTCATTGGTTTACCATTGTTCACAAAGATACCATATTCATTTTGTAACTTATCTTTCAAGTTTTGTCATTAATTCTTTACTCAAAGCACCACAGTGAGGTCTGTTTTGACAATTCTATTTAACTTCCCCCGCAACAATAACTCCCTATCCTTCTATTTTACTTTATTTTCACTAGAACACAACCTCTAACAGGACAAGTATTTTTGTTGTTTTATTTACTGCACCATCCTGGCACCTATGACAATGTCTGATACACAGTAGAATGTCTTTCACATTGACATTTGTTTCACAGATATTTATTGAGCTCATACTATGTCCCAAGTCTCTATCCTCATGGAACTTACAATCTAACTGCCACTTGAATATCAGACATGCCAGGGCAATGACTGCATCTTATCCATTCCTGTATCCCCAGATATAGGATGATGTGTAGTACATGAAAGATGCCCTGTAAAGTCTTGTTGAATGAATTAATCTCCTCAACGTGGCCCCCTACAATCCAGCCAAACTGGGTTTCTCAATAATCTTGAGAATGTCCATGTTTCCTGAGACCTTTTAACTATTCTGTGCAAAAAAATGGATTTCAAATTATCTCTCTAATATCATTCACTCCTCTGTAGTGATACAATGAGATACTAAAAAGATGAGCTCTGGAGTGAAACAGATGTGGCTTCAAAACCTAGTACTAGCTGGGTACAGTGGCTCATGCCTGTAATCTCAGCACTTTGGGAGGCTGAGATGGGAGGACCGCTTGAGTCCAGGAGTATAAGACCAATTTGGACAACATAGCAAGACCTCGTCTCTACAAAAAAATTTAAAAAAATAGGTGGGCATGGTGGTGCACACCTGTGGTCCCAGTGGCTTGGGAAGCTGATGTGGATTGCTTGAGCCTGGGAAATCAAGGCTGCAGTGAGCCATGATTGCTTTCCAGCTTGGGTGACAGAATGAAACAATATGGTGAGCTAGTATTGGAACACCTGCACACATATGACACAGTGACCCCGACACTGCTACAAAAAGGCAGTTCTTAGTGACCCCCTTTGAAAATGAACTAGAATTTATGAAACTTAGCACTGTTATTTACTGCCTTTGTGAGTGTGGTTAATTAGCTTAACTTCTCTAAATCTTGGTTTTCTCACCTTTAAACAGAATTAAACAACAGTGTTCCTCTCATTAGATTGCTGTGAGGATTTAGTAAGGTAATGCATTATAAAACACTTGGTACACCAAGACCTTAATATCAATCATTAATAATATTTTTTTTAAAAAACCTTTATTTACAGTCTTATTGGATGATTCTAGTATCTCCTTTATAATGCTTGACTCAATTTGTCTTGCAGTATAAACGCTTACCTATTAATCTTCTTTCTAAATTGTATTCCTTGTGTAGAATGTGTTTATGACAGATAAGTAAGGTGGTAAGAGTAAAAGGCAGAGGTTAGGCAGGTGATGAGTCAGATCTGAACTTTGTTACTGGGTAGCTGTGTGAGTAGGAGCAACAACTTCCCTTCACTTCTGTGACCTCCACTTCCTCATCTGATAAATGGGCATGTCAATGTCTGCAGCACAGAGTTGATAGGAACATTCGACAAGATCCCATTTGGACAGAGTCTAGAACACACTTGATGGTTAATACCTATGAATGCCTGTCTCTTGACCATTTAAAATTCTTTTCATAGGATGGACTGTCCATCGAAACCAGTGGCTCTCTCCCTCCTTCCTTCTGGGATCCTGAACCTTTTACTATATCTCCTTTTTGCATTTCATGAAATCCCACTGCAATGGGAAAGCGGGATGGAAATATCTCCCAGCCTCTTGTGGATGATTGGTTTACACCTAAATCACAAAATCTGATTATAAGTTTGTAAATGTCTTTGCTTGCCGGGAGAGACCCATATTATTAATGGTCATAAAATTAAATTACCCAGTGCATTTCTATTCTGAAAGAAAAACTTATCCGTGTTCCCCAGTCAGCCTGCATAACGTAGATGTATAAACAAAAATGGGAGGAGAAAAACACCCGCCATATTTTTTATTCAGTTCCAAAACATTTTCCACACACCATATGGCAGGATTTTTTTTCCCTTCTCAAGCCTTCTTCACAGATGTAATTATAATTCCTTTCACCTTCCCCAGAGAGATCATCTTGAGTATTGTAAAGATTTTGTGAAACGTGAGACCTTACGTGGAACTTTGTTATCATGGCCATTGGTCTCTTCCTCCTTTTCAAAATTCAAGGACACTTCCTCTGCTGAGCATCTGGCCCGAGGTTTTCCCTGGGGACTATTAACGATGGGTGAAGGATAAATGTTATCATGCCCACTTTTGTATCACCATCTCTCTGGTAGGTATGCAATTCAGCTGGACCAGTGAGCTGCATGATCAACCTGAAACATGCCCCTGACCCTCTTTTTCTCTGCCTTCTTTATCATCTTTGGAGTGTTTTCTGATCCCATTTCAATGCGCACTTATGCAACATTTCCATATCACATTCTTAGCTTGAGAGACCTCAGCATGTACCTCTCATTTATGTCACACGAAGCCAAGCATGGGATTGAACACAAAGAGGCATTGGCTAAATTCTTGTCTTAGTCCGTTTGGGCTGCTGTAACTAAATATCATAAACCTGGTAGCTTATAAACAACAGAAATTTATTTATCACAGTTCTGGAGGCTGGGGAATCCAAGATTAAGTTGCTAGCAGATAAGTGTCTAGTGAGGTCCTGCTTTCTGGTGCATAGATGGCACATCCTCACTATGTTCTCACATGGACAAAGGGGTGATCTAGCTTTCTGGAGTTGTTTTAATAAGGGCACTAACCTCATTCATGAGGGCTTTGCCCTCATGGCCCCATTACTTAACAAGAGCCCCACATCCTAATACTATCACATTGGTGATTATGTTTAAACATCTGAAGTTTGAGAGGCTAAAAACATTCAGGCCATAGAACTTACCAATTTTAATTTTTCTGGTGCATAGGATTATTAATAATGATTGATTTAGATCAATCCAGAATTGTATGCAGATATGGCCAGGCATTTCTGAGAAGGCAAAGACGTCCCCACTTTTTGTTAAACACTCTTCTTGTGTTAGACTTTGTACTAAGTGTTGTGTGTACATGATCTCATTTGTGTTTCTAATAACCCTGTGAGGTGAATGTTGTCATTTTTTTCACCCAGGTGGAAACTGAGTCTCAGAGCGCTTACATGCTTGGTCAAGGTCACAAGTGGTTTCTCTGTCACAATGTTGTAATGATAACAAGAGACACAGTGACCTAGTATTAGATGCCCTGCACACATATGACACAATGACCCCTACATTGCTACAAAAAGGCAGCTCTTAGTGATCCCCTTTGAAAATAAAGTAGGACTCATGAAGCATAAGGAACTTAAACACAAGTTCCCACAGCTAGCAAATGTGTTCTTACCCAGTTCACCACACAAAATATACATCATGTCACACACCCTCTGAGTTTTAAAACATGGAAACCTAACCTCCATTTATATCCTTGTTTCTATGGGATGATGTGTTCCAAACTCCAAACATCTGAGTTACGAAGGCACTTTTGGCAGCATAACCTGTTTATGTGTTGAAGACTGTCTGTATCTTCCATGCTGATAGGGTGCGTCTGGCAAGAACAAAAATTGTCTTGTGATTTACCAGATGGCAATTCAGTTCTCCAGCTGGATTGGAGATCCCAGGGGACCCATCTCTTCTAGCAGGATTCCAGCAGTAGCACCCTATGCTGCAGCTTCACCACCAGACACAGGTCTTCCAGGGCCCAGACTGGAACCACATGTCTCCCATAGAATGAGAAGGAGTTTACCCAGGTGACAAGGTCCCATGCTTGGCGTTTTCCTTGGTAATTCCTCAATGGACACATTCAGCGTCAGAATAATCACAGCCATGTGCCTCCTCCAAAGTTTTATATTCACAAACCATTAGATCTAAAAGGTGGAAACAGTTCTGTAGAAGTCATCCAGGGAAGGGCTATGCTCAGTGGCTTACAGTAATGTTTTCAAATGTTTTTGACCACAACTTCCAGAAAGATGTACATTTTATATTGTGACCCAGTGCAGCCATAAGTATATATGCATATATGCATATAATTAAAATATATGTGTAAAACATATATGCATGTGTATGCAACTACAACAAAAGTTCACAAAACAATACTGACTCTTAATTTTGTGTGATTTGCTCTTATTTTTCTATTCTAATCAATTTCAGTTTATTCCATTTCATTGCTTTCCATTAAAAAATGTGCTAGTTGCAACCCACCACATTGTTTTTACAGCCTGCAGTTTGTAAAACACTATTTTGGTGTGGGTTCCAGTTACAGCTCTGGGGTACTGGACCTAGCCTCCCAACCTCAGTTTTCTCTTCTGTAAAATGGATATAATACCATTATTTTTCTCATCTGATTGTTGTGAGGACTAAATAAAATGATGGTTACATATGGATCCTCAATAAATGAAAGCTTTTATAATAAAAATCATGAAATATTATCTAATTCATATTCTTCACTTTGAAGACGGGAAGCTAAGAGCCACTGAAAGGGAAGAAGTTCACCAGAGGTTACTCTAGTAATAAGCAGAGTTTGTGGCCAGAATCAAAACTTGTGACACATTCTAGTACTCCAGGCCACCTCTAAGATGTCCTGCTTTTAGAAGCCGCACTAACTGCTCAGGATGACCTCATGTCTTCAAATGTCCCACTCCTTCTGTGCCTTTTCCAGCCTCTTGGAAAGCCATTTTTACCGGGTTTCCTGCAGAGGCTTTTCAAAATGCCAGTGCCCCAGGGAGACCATGTGTTTTCCCACCTGCTGAGTGTAACAGCCAGTAAATGGATGTCTTGGTCAGGGAATGAGGCCACAGGGATGCTCAAATGGAAGGAAAAAAGTCTCCCAAAGGGCTCGCTTAGTCACTCTAAGTCCCTCAGAGGGACTGACACTAGGAAGATGAGATGACAGAGTGTGCTTAAGTTCTGAGTCTGGTCCTTAAGAACCACAGAGGCATAAGCTCAGGGTTTCGTGGGGGAAGCTGATAGCTGTGAGTAAAGAATGTTTTCATCATTTTTGCACAGGTGTAGGATGAGGAACTCAGCTAGGACTTTCCAGCCCTGTCATTCCTGGTGATTACCTAGTGCTTTCTCACCTCCTTGCCTTTGCTCAGTCAAGTTCTTCCTGCCTAGAACATGGTTCCTTCTTTTGCCGTGTATTCAAATCTTTCCTATCCTAATGCCTTTCTCTGTTGCCTCACGTAATCCCCCCGCTGGAAGATACCTCATGGCAGCTGGTCATTCCCTAGCTGTGTCATAGGTTAGTATATAAAATTGTTCTCTCCTACTGATATTTAAGTCCCTCAAGGGGCAGAATCTGCATCTGATTTGTCTTCATGTCTTTCTCTGCCCCTAGCAATACAGATACTTCTTGGCTTATGTCAAGATAAGCCCATCATAAATCGAAAATATTAAGTCAGACAAGCATTTAATACACCTAACCAACTAAACATTATGGTTTAGCCTAGCCTACTTTAAATGTGCCCAGAACAGATACATTAGCCTACAGTTCGGCAAAGTCATTTAACACAATGTATTTTTATAATAGAGTGTTGAATATCTCATGTGCTTTATTGAATTCAGTCCTGAAAGTAAAAAACAGAATGGTTGTATGGATACTTAAAATATGGTTTCAACTGAGTATCATTTTCGTACCAAGTTGAAAAATTGTAAGTCGAATCATCTCAAGTTGAGAACTGTTTGTATTTTGTTCATGTAAGGCATTGAAATGTGTATTGGGTGAATGAATGAGTGAAAAAATAGATGAGCATGTGGGTAGGTGAATGTTATGAAACTGCTTAGTATTACAAGAATACATTATTGAGGATGTGTTTACGTGTGTGTGTTTTCCATAACTAAATTGCAAGTCACAAGTTCTCAATCTTGGGTGCTCATGAGCATCACCTGCTGAGTTTATATTAAATACTACAAACCCACAAACAGAAATTCTGTTTAAATAGGTCAGGGCTAGGCCCTGGAACAGCCATATATTTAACATTCTCTCTTGGCTATTCTAATGTGCTGCATCATAGTTCAGAGCCCACTGCTGTTAGCTTTTTGATTAAAAGGAAAATGATGCATGGAAGTGCCTGGTGGAGTAGCTGGTACATGGTAGTGCTCTGTAAATGTATATAAACACTGCCTCTTGTTCCTTCCTCCTGAGGGTTGGAACTCTATTATGCCTTTTCCTATTGTGCATGGAGCTGAGCCCAAGGGACAAGTTAGAGAGAGGGCAGCAGATGTTTCAGTGGGGAATGTGATCCAGTGTCCAATGAGGCAGCCCAGAAGATGTTACATACTCAGAACTTGGGTAGAATAATTGTAGACTACTGCATTCAAGGAGAACTTTGCAAATACAATTAGAATTGAGTTGGCACTCACTTCAATGGGCAGAATTTGATGAACTGGTGAAAAACATGCAGGACATTCTAGAAAAGGAACATAGCATCATCAAAGACAGGAAGATGGGAAGGATTATCATGTGTCAGGCAAGGCGCTGAGGACTTTACATGCACGGTCTTATTTAAAACTCATAGGAACTATTGCTATCCTTACTTTGCACATGATAGGACAAGGTTCAGAGTAGGTAAGCAATTAGTTCAAGGTCACATAGATAGTAGGTGGTGGTCCTGAGATTTAAATGGGGATTTGTCTGAGATATTGACTGCTGGAAAAAAGGTAGAGAGCACAGTGTATAGACAAGTCTGGCTGGTGGACTTGGAAAGGGAAGAGGTAAATCTATTAGAAAGGCATGTTTGGGCTAGAATGTGGATGCTAGTATACCACCAGACTTTGATTTACCTTGAGGGCCTAGGGAGTCACGAATTTTTGAATGACATGATTCATATGGCTAAAAAGTACAAAGAATCAAGAGTTAGCAGGGTTGACAGGAGCCTTAGGGTAAGTTACTTAATTCACAGCTGGCCTAATGAGGAAATTGATTTTACCATTGCCAAGTTATTCTTGCTGGAGATCAAACCCAATGATTCAACCTTTTTTAGAAAAAGAAATTTGTAAGCATCTGCATGAGCAAGTTTATAATCTCATTTCAGATTTTTTTTTCTTCAGGGGGCATTCAACAAGAGTGTTTTTACTGAACACCTACTACAGGCCAGAGCCAGTATGGTGAGCTGCAGACAAAGAACTACAGAAGACTCTCTCCCTTCTTTTTTTCCTCCCTGTGGTGATGACCTGGGAGACTAAACTGGAATTGACTCATCAGAAGTTTTCCATTATCTCTCAGCCATCTTTTTGCTGAGCTGAAAATGCACAGAATTACCTTAACATTCCCAACTGGGTCTTATTTTCCAAGCCACTTTCATCCGCTGTCTTGTTTTCCTTTGAACTACATCCAATTTATCACTTTTTTCTTTTCTTTCTGGAAACATGATGCTTAGAATTGAACACAGCCGTCCAATTAAGTCTTAACCACAGCCAACTAGGGCATAGTAATTGTCTAGCTTGTTTTACACGGTGAAGTCTTATTAATAGGTAGACGAGGAAGAGGACAGAAGTATACTTGGGCCATTTGAAATTTTATTTTGAAGCAGCACATGCAAAGGTGGGCAGCAGAAACTAATAAGCCAAATAAGCCATCAGCTGCCTTGGAAACATTCTTTTAAATTTTTTTGTGCCATGTTTTATTTGGGAGGGTTTTGCATTCACTTATTTTATTACCTTGACATTTTTATACCCCTAGTAACAATTTTTTTTATATATAAGTTAAGCTTTTACTTAGGTACAGTGCAAAGCTGTTCTTGAGATGAAAGCTGTTATCTGATTCAGAGCTTAATGTTTAAAAGTTCTCAAGCTGGTGAATCTAAAGACATTCCCTGCATAATTGTGTACTTAGAATTCAGTGGCAGCGTAAAAGAGAGAGAGAGAGAGTGCTTCATGTTCTGTCTGGAGTTACGAAAAAAGACAATTTATTTTTAAGTGAACTGGGGGAGAAGGGGGAAAAGACTGCAATGAAGGTGTTTGGCTGAGTGACTGAAATACCATCTGGAGGCTTGGCTGGTAAAGAAGAGAAACCCTAGAAGGAAGAAGAAATGGAACACCTAAGCTGAAAAGGGACCAGCATGTTCTGGGAGATGTAGTCTTAAACCAATGATATAAATTTGTATGGAGTGAAGGGAGTGAGCTAATTAGCCCCTTTTGATAACAAGGTAATTATTATTTAATTTTTTTAAACTGTGGTATAGCACACTTCAGAAAATTGATCATTTTAACCATTTTTAAGAATACAATTGAGTGGCATTACATGCATTCACAATGTTATGTAATCAATACCATCATCCATCTCCAGAAGTTTTTTTCATCTTCCCAAACTAAAATTCCGTAGCCATTAAACAATAACTTTCTACTGTACTTCCCCCTAGTTCTTGGCAACTACCATTCAACAGGAGGCCATTATTTTTAAAAGGATAGAAGGAAGTAAATGTCTTTGTGTCAGGGCTCAACCAATCACACCAATTTTATGAAGCGACTTCCAACCATTCCAATGCCATTGTTTTCCTCCAGCCTCAGTTTAGTCTTTTCTTCGATGGTGGCTATAGTTCCACAGGTCTATGTTGTCTGTCTAACCAGACTGTGATGTCCATGAGAACAGGTAGCCTTAAGGTCACCTTGTATGGTCCTCAGGGTTCCTGTAATACTGGATGCTAACAGCTAACTCTTCTTGAGTGTTTGCCATCTGCCAGGCACTGTGATAAAACATTTTACATCTTTTACCTCTAGAATCCTCACAGCAATCCTGCAAAGGAGGTAACGCTAAACCTGTCTTCCAGATGAAGAAACTGAGCATATGACCATTTAAATAATTTGTGGAAGGTCAAGTGGAGAAACCAGAGTTTCAATATAAATCCATCTGTTTACCAAATATGGGCACTTTCCAATGTTCCTTTTAAAGCCAATCTTCATCAGCATCTTTGTCTATAGGAAGATGGAACTTTCAGACACAGAAACAATGTGGTTAGTAGAAGTCCATTTCCTTTCGAAGATGGTGTTTCCCAGAACACTAGTTCCACAGCATGGTAGTAGGTACAGTATTTCTTGAAACTGAAAAAAGGGAGAAGGGTAGGGAGGACTTTTCATATGTGATTCAATACTTTTGGCATATATTGAGTTAAACACAGGTAAACAAAATCTTTCTTGCAGGACTTCTCAGAGCCTAGATGATTCATCCGTTTGCAAGCTTATTTTTCTTTGTTTTATGACAATCTTGTGAATCCAGTACTCCATAAGAAAACTTTGGCAAATGCCAGGGGTGACATTCAAAATATTTAACAACTGTTACAGCCTGGTTGGCTGATCATAATGGGTAGCAGTCTAAACAGAATGAACAGGAGCCAACAACTAGGGCGGACACACCGATGGGTACTGATGGGAAATGCCACCTGCAGGACATTGGGCCTCATCTTAACCTATCAAGGCTCCTGGAACATGGACATTGCAGGGGCTGGGGAGCAGCTAAGATGTCCAACTGTCCCAAGGGAAAGAGGAAGCCAATTTCCTAGAAATGCTCTTTGGGGATGTCCAGAGTTCACGGATTGGTAATAAATGTTGTCCGTCTCTGATGTGACACCTTGCCTAACCTATAAGTAGAGGTTAGGATGCCTCAAGTCTGTCCATGGTAGATTTTTGCTAGGCTCTATTTTATTTTAAGTAATGGCAACATAGCTTATTGAAAGGAAAATTAGACAGTGATCCAGAGGGACTCTGCCTGGGATGCTTAGTGACTAGAGGTTGGTTTTTGCTCTTTGATTTGCTTGTCTTTGTAGTGAAGGGTGTGGGCTAGGTTATCAAAGTTCTCTTCAGCCTCTAACATCTCACGACTCCATCTTTTGGACAGCTCATAGATTTGCTGATTCCCATTTTTAGGGAGTAACTATACTTTTCTTCTCTCCTCAAGTAAAGGTAGTATATGTTTCTTCCTTACCTGTCATATCATGCTACTACAAAGAGGAAGTTTTCTGACTTTTGAATTCTGTGTCTGTCTGATTATTTTTCATGCTTGATGCAGCCAGGAGTGGAGTGGGGACATGTATCTTTCATATTTATTCAAGGGCTCCAAATCTCTGTAATCTTTGCTCTTTGCTCCTGTTAAATATTCTATACTTCTTTTTTGTTTAAACGTGTTTGAGTGGTCTATTCATAGGCTGATGTGCATCCCTTGCTTGCTTTCTCTGCATCTTTTGCAGTGGGACGGGAGAGTAGTGATGAGGTTTTCGGGAGATGTTTAATGCTCATGTCGATTCAATTTCTACTTTGTCCAAGTTAACCTGGAATCTAACCTGGAAAACCCACCAGTTTGATTGATGTTTAGGAACTTATCACAAAGAAAACAAAGTTATTTGTTTGAAGATATTTGTTGTTATTTATAAGAGTGCAATATCAGAAGTGCACTTACAGTACAGCACAAAGAACACGTTTAAGTAAAGTATAATAGAATGATAATTTTATGCAGTTATTTAGGTTTTAGCCCTGAATTTGACATAGAACTTTAGGGGAGCTCTATGGCTATGACTACATAAACTCCACAACTGCCTGCCTACGCACAAGATTGAAGAGGAATGTGGATGAATAAACATGATTGATTTGTTAGGGTAGTGGGATTATGGATAAAATTGTTTCTTCTGTCAGTTTCTGTTAGTTGCAACAAATGTTTATTCAATGTATAAGATATGGGGAATCATGTTATTTACGGTGGAATAAACACAGATTTTAGAATCAGACAAATCTAGATTTAGATCCTGATTTTTGTTACATCTTTATGTAGGATTTTGGGCAAATATCTTATTCCCATAAAGCTGTGTGTGGAAAGTGAGTTCTTTTCTTCCCCTAAAATCAAATCAAATCAAACTAAAAGGAACTTCTATATTATAGTAAAACCATCTAGCATTATAATAAGCCAGAGTTTGACCTTTGCTGATTCATGATGATCCCTATTTTAAGGCTGTCTCGTTCTAGAATTAGTAGGAGACACTATAGCATCAGGGTTCTCCATTTGAGCTCCAGAATGCCTGTGTCCTAACTGCGTGCATGGCCTTGGCAAGGGACCCTTCTGAGCTTCAATTTCCTCATCTGTTGAGGTTTGACCTGGGTAGCAGGCAACAGTCC
Source organism: Homo sapiens (assembly GCF_000001405.40). Classification (NCBI taxonomy): domain Eukaryota; kingdom Metazoa; phylum Chordata; class Mammalia; order Primates; family Hominidae; genus Homo; species Homo sapiens. Next base: position 119,785,917 of record NC_000009.12, on the reverse strand, counting down.
TCTTTGTTGCTTGAATTCAGAACCAGCTGAGAAAGAGACATCTGAGTCACAGATATGGAGATCAGAAAATTACCTTTATTCCTTTAAAACCATTTTGAGAATGTAACATGGACACACAGCATGGATGTGTCTCCTAATCCAGTTTTTTTTTTTTTCCAGCTATATACAGCACCGCACAACCATAGAAATTTCTTCCTCAGGTAGAACAGGCTCCTGTAAGCTTACAGGAAGGGTGAGCAGAATGCATCCAAGAGAAGCAAGACTCAAAGACCCAGTGCCCTCTCCCAAACACACCCCTGAAGACTCAGTGGGATTACACACGTTGGTTTTTATTCAATAGCTGGCATATATAAATAGTGCTCAATAAGTGGGGATGGCTACTGTTCATCTACCAGCTTCCCAGATAAAAGATTCTTCTGGATGCCTTCATGGATGAATTGCCAGACCAGTGTGGCCACATGTGGCCCCATAGCCAACCTCATGTGGCATGGGGTTGAGGGTGTGAACTTAGAAACTAGATGGTCTAGGTATAAATCCTGGCTCCACCATTCCTGGTTGCATGGCCTTGGACAATTTACTTAACCTCTATGCATGTTAGTTTCTCCATCTGTAAAATGGGGATAGGAACAGTAACTACTCCTAGATTCTTTATGAGGATTAAACAAGCTAATATTTGTAAGCACTCAGAGCAGACCCTGGCACATAGTAAAAATGTTTGGTGAATATAAATAAGTAATGAAGATCTAGATGTTAATTATGGGGCCTCCCCACTCCACAAGCTCAGTGGATTTAGGGCACAATGATGACATACCGGATCGTCTCTATTAATGAGTGTATTAGAGAGATTTCTCATCCCTGTGAAACTTCCCATCCCTTTTTTGTTAGAAAAAATTGCTCTGTGGTTGGCAACAGGAATGATTCTGAGTTAAACTGCCTCCATTAGTATGTGCAGAGTTTTAGACTATGGATCGACAGTCTTCTTCACCCCTCTTACCACTCTAAATTTCTTGGTTAAATTTCCAGCAAGATGAGGATTATTTATAATTTGGCCCTAACTACAGCCCAGCAGGAGAACATGTTAATGAGTTCATTAATTAATTAGCTTGCATTTGCATAGTACTTTAGCATTTGCAAAGCCCTTTCAGATTCATTATTTCATTTTATGATCACAACACCCCAGCGAGGAACAAGGCTGGGGTTATCCAGATTTTCAGACAAGGAGTCTGCATCTCTGTGAAGCTAACTGGTCTGCCCCAGAAAACTAGCTCAGTGGCAGAGCTGGGATCAAACCCAGCTCTCTGTTCATTTTAGGCAGAGACTCTGGATTCTTTTTGACCTTCATTTACATCCTAGCTCCAATCTATATTACCTGTGTGATTGTAATCAAGTTATTCAGCCTCTAGGATCATTAGTTTTCAAATCTTTACAATAAAGATAAAAATAGTACCAACCTTATTAGGACTCATAAGAATATTAACCAAGATAATACACAGAAAGCACACACTGTAACTGTGTGGCCTGTGGGAGGTAATGCTATTATTATTATAAAGAATGAGGCCGGGCACAGTGGCTCATGCCTGTAATCCCAGCACTTTGGGAGGCTGAGGCAGGCAGATCAGTTGAGGTCAAGAGTTTGAGACCACCCTGGCCAACATGGTGAAACCCCATCTCTACTAAAGTACGAAAATTAGCTGGGTGTGGTGGCGGGTGCCTGTAATCGCAGCTACTCAGGAGGCTGAGGGAGGAGAATCTCTTGAACCTGGGAGGCGTAGGTTGCAGTGAGCTGAGATTGCACTACTGCACTCCAGCCTGGGTGACAGAGGGAGACTCTGTCTCAAAAAAAAAAAAAAAAAAAAAAGAAAGAAAGAAAAGAGTAACAATAAGCTTCTACTAAGTATAACATGGTGTAGGCTGTGGAAGTATCACGTGCAAACAGAGAATAAAGAAGAAATGAGTTGGATCCCTTTTATGCAGTTGGGGAATTGGGAAAGCCTTCTCTGAGGCATAGGGGCTGAACTTGGACTGGTGAATATAAATTTTTCCAAGCAGAGAAAGATGAAAGAAAATATCAGGGAGCAAAACTCTTTGGCCCAAACCACAGTGGTGGTGAACCTATTTTCTGTCTTTAGGGACAGGATAGCAATTTGGTTAGGGAGTTGTGGGGGGTACATAGTAGTGAACATGATGACAGATATGTAAATTTGATATATTATGAGATTTCTGTAGTTGTGGTCATTGATGGGATATGGCATAGTGACAGCACAGGATACCTACTGGTTGAGGTGGTGGTAGGGGTGCAGGCATACAGTACCTAGTGGCTGAGGTGTTGGTGGGGGTGTGGGCACAGGAATAAATTGTTGATAAGATGAGCTAGCATGGCAAAGATTAAATTGTGAAGGGTTTGGAGTCCATGACAGCAGGTTTGTACTTTTATGATAAACCATATAAATGATGCGTGTCTTTTTTTTTCAGAACAAGGAGTGATTTTATCCGATCCATGTTTCAGAAAGATTGCACTGATTGGGAGCACATGGGGTGGATTGAAGATGAATCTTTCTATCACAGGAGCAATATTCCTGGCTTATCCTGGAATGTCCTCTAAAAAAGAACATGTTTTCTTTTTCTCACTTTTGACTTTACTTTGAATTTTCCAAGGGTCTGTTTCATTCTAAGCCTGCAGCATAAAGTTTGCAAGTGCAGATTTGAAAATGCAGTGTCTTTCCAAAACCAAAGGGCTTAGATTCATAAATTTATAGAAATGTAAGCTTTAATGGGACCTTAGAGACCTCTAATTCCAAATTCTCATGGAACAAGTTGGGTAACAACAGTAGTCTTTACACATTTTCCTCTGGGCCTCTGACTCTGCACACCTGTGAATCGCAAGCTCTGATATGTCTTGTAAGTCATCTGGCTGCTCAGGGGCAAATCACACTCATGGATCACCCACTGTTAGATACAATAAAGGGCATCAGAGCCCGTATAGCTCAACATCTTACTATACTATAAGACAACACCTGGTTGAATAAGTTTGGGGAATTTTACTGTGACGGTTAATTTTAATGTACCAAATTGACTGGGCTAAGAGATGCCCAAATAGTTGGTAAAACATTATTTCTGGCTGTGTCTGTTAGGGTGTTTCTGAAAAGGTTGGCATTTGAATTGTAGACTGAGTAAAGAAGATCATTCTCACCAGTGTGTGTGGATATCATCTAATCTGTTGGGGTCCCAAATTGGACAAAAAGGCAAAGGATGGGAGAATTTGCTCCATTTGATCTAGGACATCCATTTTTTCCTGTCCTAGGACATCCATTCTCCTGGCCCTTGGCACTTCTGGTTCTCAAGTTTTTAAACTTGGACTGAATTACACCACAGGCTTTCCTAGATCTCTAGCATGCAGAGGCAGATTATGGGACTTCTAAGCCTCTATAATCATGAGAGCCAACGCCTATAATAAATCTCTCCCTCAACACATGTAGAAGTGCACAAGTGCCTGTACACACATGAGTGCACACACACACGCACACACTTTTTTACTTTGGCCAGTCACAAGTCATATTGGAATATTAAAGGCTCTGCAGGGAAACAAAAGCAGCAACAAATAAACAGAAAACCAGCATTTCCCAAAATTAATGAACCATGAAAACACCATTTTTTAAAAAGAGAAAAACTTTCTACATCCCACTTTGGGACATCCTGATCCATCCAGTCTTCTAATAATCAGATAAGATCTGTGAGTTTGCTAGAGACACTGAAGTAGTTACTGCTAGAGCTCTGACTAGAATCCAAGTTCAATGTCTGGATGTTCTCATTTTTGTAAAAATATTCCAAGTTCTGAGTCTCCTGGCTTGGATCTCCATTATAAAGATAGATTTGGGAGAGTATCAGGACACACAAGAGCATAGCTATCTATCAGTTATGACTATATGAGTTGCTGGAGAGTTTTTCTCTCTCTAAGTAACCAATATGCACTGGGGCTTTCTTGTTATAAAATGTCTTGAAGAGTGAGAGTTTTATTTTTGTCTCATCTGTTTCTTTATCTGCATCTTGCATTTGTAGCAATCTAATAGTAGTTGCTGCTTTGTCCAAACAGAGTATTCTTTCAGAGGATGAAATTTTGATCTGATAGTTTATCAGAGTGATATGTTGCTTAATTGTGTTTTAATAAAGTCCAGGGAAGGAGCTAAAAATAGTTTATTCTTTATAAAAATGAAGGCATAACAGGAAGCTTACCACCTTCTTCTCTAACTCCAAAAACATTGCAGTGAACACAACTTGGATATCAATGGTCTGGCAGAGTCAAGCTTGATGTTCACCAATCCTACCTATTCTTGGAAACAAAAGAAGGCTACATTTTCCAACCTCATTTGAACTTAATTTAGGACCATGTAACTTGGTTCTGGCCAGTAGATGTGGGTTGAAGTGATTGTACTGAATTTCCAGTGTTGGTTCTAAAATCTCCTGTACAAACGTTTTCTTCCCTCTCTCTTTCTCTTCTTGGTGACCATGAAGGCCTTGTGTTAAAGATAGCGCCAATGCTGGTGGAAGTTTCTGAGTTGCCACTGGAGGAGAATCACCAAGAGATCTACCCAATCTGTACACTGTGGCTCAACAAGGAACAAACATTTGCAGTGTGAAACTATTGAGATTCCAGGGTCTATTGCTTACTTCAGTCTAGCCTAGTCTGTTCTGATGAATACAAATAGCATGTCAGTGACTTTAATTTTCCCTAATGTATTTGAATATTGCCTATTGGAAAGAAGGATTGATTCCTTGAACTCTAAGCATTTGTATAGCACCTCACAAAGAGAGCTTCACATCTCTCTACTCTCCTTTGATCCTTCCAGTACCCCCTATGGGGGAAAATCAGAAAAATTGTCATCATGCCCAATTTATAGGTTTAGGGGACTTAACTTAAAGAAGATTGTCCAAAATAACTTGGGGAGTGGGGTCAGTGTTTTATCTGAATTCCAAACTCTGGCTTCCTGTCTTTAACTCCAGGGCTCACTCACCATACTCTCTCTGCAGACTGGCACGAAGTTAGCAGATGGCAAAGCCATCCAGGACATTCAAGATGGTTCATTTTATATTATCTATATTCTGAAGATAGGAGGAATTTGACTATCAAAATTTTAGAGCCAATGACATTTCCAAATTAAGAAAAACAAAATCCTTCTAACCATATTCTTATATTATTTTGCTTTCACTGCTAGCTATACATTGTTTTTCTATGTTTTCCATGGTTACTCGAGATTAAAAATAAGTAGTATTTTTTGTCTTATTTAAAGTCTAATATAAATTTGTACTTTTTGATTTCCTGGAAAATACAAGGGCCTTAGAACGCTTTTAATTCCCTTTACTCACTTCATTCCTTTGTGTTATTTCATTGAGTTTTAATTTCTAATTCTAATTTATAAAATTAGAATTTTGTAACTATTAAAGCTCACAAAGCATTATTTTATTATTGTTTTATATAGTCAGTATTTATGTTGATTTGCCACATCTCTGCTTACATGCACTTCAATCAATATACTTTTCTTTCAGTCTGAAGTATATTTTTAGTATTTTCTATAGTGAAGATCTATTGTCAATGAAGTCTCTAAGTTTCATTTTTCTGAAATTATGTTTATTTTTCTTTTTTCTTTTTTTTTTTAACTGGTATAGAATTTTAGGTTGACAGTTATTTTCTTTCAATCTTTGAAAATATCATTAAATTTTCTTCTAGTCTCATGACTTCTGTTGAGAAGTCAGCTGCAATTTCACTGCTGCTCCATTCAAGATAATATACATTTTTTCCTCTGACTACTTTTAAGTTTTTCAATTTTTCCTTGGATTTCTTGTCTATATAATTTCCTTTGTGTGTATGCTGATGGGGTTTGTAGTGCTTTTTGAATCTGTGGTTTGATGTCATTCATTGGTTTTGAAAAGTTCTTAGTCATTATTCCTTCAAATATTATTTCTGCCTATTATGTCTCTCTTCTCCCTCTAGTGTTATGAAGTTTTAAAATATATATAGTGTGTGTATGTATGTATATATACACACACACACATACATATATATATATACACACACAGAGACCTTTTGACAGTGCCTCATTTTGTTGTACTCTTTTTTCTACATTTTTAATTATTTTTCCCTTTGTGCTTTAGACTATATATTTTCTTTTGACTTAACTTCCAGTTTATTAATTCCCTCCTGTGCTCCATCTCATCTTCTGTTAACTCACTCATCTATTGTCTTCTAATTTCATCTTGCATTTATTGCATTTTTTCATCCTGGAATTTTCATTTGAATCTCTTTTACAGATTCTAGTTTTTTGCTGAAATAATCCATCTTGGCATCAAATTTTTTTAAATATATTGAAACTTTAGAGAGGATTTATATTTGCTTCTAATAGACTGTCAGATTAGGAGTAGATTTTAAAAACTGCAACAGATTAAGCTAATTTGCATATGGTTTTTAGTATTTTTAAGCACTTCCTTAGTTACAGTTTGTCTTATTCTTGGGATAGGGTCTCTCAGATACCCCTAGAGCAAGCTTCTCCTCCTTGGCAGACCCTGAATTTAAATTTAAATTTAAAATACTCCAGTCATATAAGATTACTCTGTTTAGCATTTTTCCCTCTCAGCTACCATTTTATGACTAGCTTGACTAATTTTTATCCACTCAGGCATCTTTTTAGAATCATCAAATGCCTCTAGGGATTAAGTAGCACCAAATGCTACATTCATTTCCCTGGACTTTTCTTCTCTCTGGAGTGGTAATATCTCAAGTCTTGGTAGTTCTCAGATGTCTTCAGAAGGATTACTGTTTTTTTTTGTTGTTGTTTGTTTGTTTGTTTTGATGGAGTCTTGCTCTGTACCCCAGGCTTGAGTGCAATGGCACGATCTTGGCTCACTGCAACCTCCGCCTCCTGGGTTCAAGCAATTCTCCTGCCTCAGCCTCCCGAGTACCTGGGACTACAGGCGCCTGCCACCACGCCTGGCTAATTTTTGTATTTTTAGTAGAGACAGAGTTTCACCATATTGGCCAGACTGGTCTCAAACTCCTGACCTTGTGATCTGCCTGCCTAGGCCTCCCCAAAAGTGCTGGGATTACAGGCATGAGCCACCGCGCCTGGCCGGATTACTGTTTTTAGCATGGATTTAATTGATAGAACTTTCTAGTTGTTCTCCATGGAACTGTTGGTCTGAAACAAACTAGTCCACTGTAGCCAGAAGCAGAATTCCCCTCCTAAGCACTTTCTGGTAAAATCTTTAGGCTTCTTTCATTCAGTCATTTGCTTTTGCAGAGTCTCTGGCTGCATTTAAATTTAAATGTGTATCTTCATGCAGAATTGAGCAGTTATGGCCCCAGAATAGAATTTCTGAATATTGGTATAATTGAGGGAATGTATCTGGCCTTTAAAACTACAGGAATATACCACAGTTCTGAAAAATGTTTCAGATCTTGGGAAACAAAATGAATTGAAGGGTAGGAGAGAGAAAATTATGAGCTCAGTATTGGAGTCTTGTACCAGCCTCTATCTGCCAGATGTTCTTCCATTTTCTACTTAGAAACCATTCCCCTATTTAGTCAAGGGGAGATGAGCTGCCTTTTTATTTGGTAAAGGAGATGGGAAACATACATTAAGAAGTATATCATTCTGGAATTTAAAGGGATGGGAAATGGAATAATAGGGGAAGGAAAGTTTTGCCTTGATGACTACCTTCTGGACATAGAAATTAAAGTGCGACAAATAAGGCATTTTACTACAAATAAATGGTAGCACCACTTTCATAACAGTAGCAAATCTAAGGAAATAAAGCCTAGTTTACAAGGTCTATGAGAGCATGGATTTTGGCTACTATTTGAACAACTTACATCTAGTGCTAGCTTGGTAGATGTTCTAGAAGTACTTTTGTAAGAAACAGTGGTTGAAACTTAGAACCCTATAGTGTCTTTTTTTCTCTTTTTCTAAAGCTGGAATTAGGAACTCTGTATATCACCTAGTTTAACCCTCTTATTTTACCAGTGAAATAAGAGGTTGATATTTATTGGTTCATATTTGTTGGGTTAAAAGCAGAGTAAGAACTGTAAACAAAAATACCAGAACCTGAAAAAGAAAAAACGTTTGGAATTAGGCATTGTTACAAAGCTACAAGTGTAAAAATATGTACACTTACACTATATCTACAAACATACACAGAAATGCCAACCCACACCCATGCAAATAATTTCTTTTCTGGGTCACTCTGTCACCCAGGCTAGAGTACACTGGCATGATCATGGCTCACTACAGCCTCAACCTCCTTGGCTCAGGTGATCCACCTACCTCAGCTAAGTAGCTGGGACTACAGACATGCACCGCCATGCCTGGCTAATTTTTTTATACTTTTTGGAGAGATGAGGTTTTACCGTGTTGCCCAGGCTGGTCTTGAACTCCTGGACTCATGCAATCCACCTGCCTTGGTCTCCCAAAGTGTTGAGATTACAGGTGTGAGCCACTGCACCCAGTCTTATGCAAATAATTTTGACTAAGAAGCTGGATGAAGGGCAACTGAAAGTTATTGAAGGAAACTTTCAGTAAATCAACCAGGAAAAATAGTGAGCTACATCCTGTGGTATCCTGGGAAGATTATGGGAGTTGATTCTTCCACAGTTTTTCTGCAGTGGGTTTGGGTACATTGGCTAAAGTGATTTAGTACAGGAAAACCTGTGTTTTCCTAGTGGATGATTTCCTTCTATTGTTTTGATAAAATAGTCTCTATCTCACCTTTCAAGGGAGAATCATCTGTTATCAACATCTGGCCATTGGCATTTAAGTGCACAGAAACTTGGGCTTAAAAGAGAAGACTGTATTTAAGTCAAATGTCAAGTCTAATTTTTGAAATGGAAGCCCTCATTGCTGTCTGAAGTAATTATCAGAATGTGGATTTGAACAAAGTAATTTTATTTCAGCCAGTGCCCTATAAGTTGAGATCAGGAAGTGGGTTAAGACTGACTTTTTCTTTTTCTTTATTAGATTCTCTATGGAGAAAAAATAAAACCCCTCATTTAAAATCTGTATCAGATGATACTTTGCTGACATGTTATCTGCTGAAATCGAGGCAGCACCCTGGCTAATTTGGAGTGGAGCCGTTTGCAACAATTTAGAACATAGCTTGGGAATTAGCTATTCAGCAAGCCTACATTAAAATTAATTTGATAGAGTATACATTAACATTCTTGACACTTCTGTGAGCATAGATTTTAATAGATCAGTGTATGGGGGGCCTGGCCAGTAAAATAAAAACCTCCTCAAGGAAATGGAGGGAGAAATTCACCATCTCACCCTCCCACACTGCAGGACTAAACCCTTCAGCTATCAGTACAGTACATCAAATTTAAGAGTCTTTAAATATTAAATATCAGTGTGCACCATGAAATGTAATAAACCCACTTTTCAAATAATGTTTCATTCTCCGACATCAAAATGTGTGAGGAGTTTTCTTTTAAATATACTGTAGAAGTTAATTAAGTTCACTCAAGTTTATTACACAGATTCACTAAGACTACATTAGGATATTTACGACCAACCCAGAATGCAACTCACTGAAATTTTTGATATGTTGATAAGTGATAAGGATGTCATTTGAGGTTTATTTTTTAATAATAATTTAATTGTCATTGTAAAATGCCTCATAGTTAGGACAGATTAAATTGCCACCAAAACCGTTACTAAAATTCATAACCTCTATAAATGTAAAGTGTTTTCTGCTGTGTCATAAATAACAACACTTGTTCCAGGAAGATGAGGTGCCTGAAATAAATTAAGAAAACCAAAACATATAAATGCATTAGATTGCAACAATTTCTTGTTGCTGATGGGAACGCAGCTGAATGGAGCGGTAGATTCTTTTACTGAGTAAGGGTTACTTATGATCTCAATAAATCTTAGGTACTGGAGGATTTCTACTTTGGGTTTTGTGTTTTTTGTTTTTTTTTAACCTTTTTGGTACATTTGGAATATGCTTCCTTTCCTGACTGAAGAGGAGCAGGAGAAAGAACCTGGGAAAATTAGAAGAAATTACGTCACTAGCAAGGTGACCTTGTCCAAGTTCCATGGCCTTCTTGAGTTTCATGTTCTTTGTCTGCAAAATGGAGTCAGGTTTGCCAATTGTTTTGAAGACAGAAGACTGCACTGGGTTTTCTTGTGAAGTCCTTTCCTGTTCTAATAGCCACTAGACTTGTCTGAATAGTCACCTTCCCCGGGAAACATGTTTTGGTTTCTTAAGTAGGCGTGAACCTTCTCTCTCTGCCTTTCATGGAATGTCATTTATCATATGGCTGTTATTGCATGCTCAGAGGCTGGTTTTATTCATCAGGGCATGAACCACTCAAGGCCAGAGTCTGTGTGCTCATCTTTGTATCCCTGTACCCAACAGACTATGGGATACAGTAAGTGCATAATAGATCTTCGTGGGATAAATAGATCAATATGTCATTTTGTATATTTGAAAAAGAATGTTTTTATATAGTTAAGGGGAATGCATGGTTTATATGAAAGAAACTGTCTTAAAAATTTAACTTTTGGCACCTGGCAGTTCAGTGTCAGGAACAAGGCTGGCTTGCTATTGGAATGAGCCGCTCAGGAATGTTTGGGGTAAAAGATTGAACAAAAGGACTGGCTGATTTGTCTACAGAACTAGCATCTGTCTAAAACATATTGAGCTGATAAATGATACAGCTGCCATGGAACTCAAGTAGAGAAGTAAACATGGGGACCATATGTAATTCATTGTCTGTGTTAATTAGAATTTTTTAAAAAATTATAGAAGCAGCAGAAAACATTCAGAAAACTGATCATCATAGGCATGGGTCATAGATTGAACTGGTACTCGCCCTGGCTAAGAAATATTACCTGGGCTGAATTCTGTGATTCAAAGAATTCCTGAGCTTTACATAGTGGGGAAAAAAGTCAACATTAAGGTGTAAGCTAAAAGATTTGGATTTCAGTCTTGACTAGGCCACATTCTTTCTCTGTGACCTTGAGTAAATCACTTTCTCTCTCTGGGCCTCAGTTTCCTTGCATGTAAAATGAAGGAGCTGTAATGATTTATACATGTTTTCTTCCATGTATCTCACATATACCATGACTCATCTTTGGAAGCCCAGATGGCTCTAAGAGATGGGAAAACTGTCAGATAAGACATGTGGAGAGTTGCAATTTCCATTTTTGGGAAAATGGAACACGAGGTCATCAAAGTTGGGAGGTGGAGATGACCTAGCATTTCCACTTCCTCATAGCTGAGTTCTCATTGTTCTTTTGAAGTCAGAGCCAAACTAGAAAATGATTATAAACTTGCAAGACACCCAGGATAAAAGGAGACTGAACAAGAATGAGAAAGTTCAACTTCCTGGCCCTTACAGCCAATTACAGCACATACCCTCCAAGTTGGGTGTCCCCACTGTGTTTAACAACCCAGCAGGAAATACAGCCTTAAAGAGACTTCACAACTTCTCTCCTAGACATGAAATAAAACAAAAGAATCCTTATTAGTGGATTGAAAACTTAGGGACAGTAACCAGGAAAAAATAATAAAGTTATAAAAGTTCTTTCCTTTTTAATAGAGTTTTGTGTTAGTACTGTAAACTAATATAAATGTCACTTTAAAAGAGAATACAGAATAAAATCCTAATAAAGTTGGATAGCACCACAGGGGTGGTCTGTAAATTGAGAGAATATCTGATTAGATTTCAAATGCTGCTTTTTAATTTGTGGGCCTTCTCTTCTCCCAGTTTATTAGATGTATTGTTTCAGCGTGAGTTTCCTGGGCTAAAAGGGGCTGCATTCACTTCTAATTCCGTATTAACTAGTAGATCACAGGGATGATGTTTAGCATTTGTATAGGTTCTGCTTTTGTAAGTGTTTTGAATTGTTAGTCAATCCCTTTGAGAAAGTTAAGTGGAAGGATTGTCCAACAAATGACCAACAAAAGAATCTGGAGACCAGGGAGGTGAAGTAAACTGAGGTCATACAACAAATTGAAAGCCCCTCCAGTTCCTGCATGAGTCTGCCAGTGCTGGTGCAGCTTCTGGAAGGCAGAGAGCAACCCTCCCTTATGTTTATGTATTCTGCCTGACCAAGCATATGCACATCATGACCATGTAATAAATGCTGATAGATTCTAGGTTCTGCAAGCATTAGGTTATAAAAGCACATTTTATTGGGAACTCTTTAATAGAGGAAAGATTCACATAGACACCTTATACTTGAGACTTTGTTCATCATTCTCATTTATATCTCATTAGGATCCTCCAAGAACTACGGGACTTGGGAGGGAATGTTCTTCATCATTAATGGAAAACATACCTGGCAGCAGAGCCAGAACATTAGACATCTAGTTCTGACTTAGCATGCACTTACCTGGGTGACCTTGGGCAAATCTCTTTTTTTGCACTGGTCCCCAGTTTCCTTATCCGGAAGAGCAGATTAGACTAGATTCAATATGTTTCACTCAGCACTGGTCCCATGAGATATTTCTTGATAAAAGTAGCCATCCTTACCATGGCTAAGTATGCTCAGATGAGAATGTGATCCATACCCATTCCTAAGAGATGTGCAGCACCCTTCAGGTAAGAAAACCTGTGGAACTTCAAGTTATTCCTACCAAGATGTATGTGACTTCAATCTGTTTCTGAGAAATGTCCATTGACACCCTTTAGATACATTGTGACATACACTTTGGCAGCTGTTAGACAAGATGATCTCAAAGAGCTCTTTCAAATCTAATATTTATTGTTTATTCATGACTATTTATCTCATACAGATGAGAAAACCTGAACCCACAGAGAGGAAATAACCAAATTAATAAGACAGATGAACTGGTGGTTACATCCCCTATATGGATTCCTTTTTTGGCAACATGTATCCTACAAACATTGCAAATTCACATGTCCCATCTATTCCATATGGCCACACTGACATTTAAAACTGTTCTCAAATGTCTAATAGGTCCCAAGCTTTCTTCAAGAGTCTTCACTGAGGAAGCCAATCCTGAAAAACAGAGTAGGATTAGGGAAGGATGATAGTTAAGATAAAATAGGAGGCAGCCCTTGTGTGTCCACAGCAGGCTTTTCTGACTGCCCCCACTGCCCCAGGTTGAGTTAGGGAGAGTTTTTGTGCACATATCTCTATTGGGACTCCTACTGCATTTTCTTTTTAAATTATGTTTGTGATTTCTTTCTTTTTTTTTTTCTTTTTTAAGGCAGAGTTTTGCTCTTGTCGCCCAGACTGGACTGCAATGATGTGATCTCAGCTCACTGCAACCTCTGCCTCCTGGGTTCAAGAGATTCTCCTGCCTCAGCCTCCTGAGTAGCTGGGATTACAGGTATCCACCAGCACACCCAGATAATTTTTGTATTTTTAGTAGAGATGGGGTTTCACCATGTTGGCCAAGATGGTCTCAAACTCCTGACCTCAGGTGACCTACCTGCCTTGGCCTCCCAAACTGTTGGGATTACAGGCGTGAGCCACCACGCCCTGCCTAAAATTATGTGTTTTAAATATATATCTTCTTCTTTAGAAATCTCTTTATAATTCAGTGTTCCTAACATAGTGCCTGGTACATAGTTGGTACTCAGCATCACTCTGAAACTGGAGAGTGAAACAGTGAATGAGTGAGCAAATGAATGAATAAATCAATGCTGACTGAAACAAAACATTTTAGAGCCATGTCTCCACTGTCACTGGTGTAATGGGACAGGATTGAAGGAACTTAATCAGAGACTGTAAGCCCAAACTGACTGCTTTTACTTCTGGATCCCACAGTCTCCTGTAATTTTCAGTTTCATTTTAAACTTCACCTGGGGCCATGTATTACCTTGGAGATCTCTTCCATTAACACAACACACTGATCCTAAGGACAGCCAAGGTCTCTTTCTTGGTGTATCTCCTTCTTTTCTAAGGAAGAATTTGTTTACATTTTTAAGTAATTAAAGAGATACAAAAAATATATCTGGTGGGATGACATTGTGTCAGAAAATAATACTAGGTACAGGGGATATGGGGATTTGTGAAGAAAACAGAGGAAGGAGAAGATGCTAGAATTCAGGACAAAACTGTCTAGTTTGGTGTTGGAGGTCAGAGAAGGATTTATGGAGGAAATGAAAACTAAACTGAGATCTGAAGAATACATAAGAGTTAGCAAGAAAAGAAAAGGATAAGTGAGTTGTTGCAGACAGAAGGAACAACAGGTTAAAAAGCCTGAACATGAGAAAAAAACAAGCTACATTTGGAAAACTGGAAGGTATTCTCTTCAGCTGGAGTAGATCATGTGAGGGAGGAGGTGTGAATGAGATGGCTGAAGTTATAAGCATGAATGGATAACAAAATAAACTGCATTTTACACCTGAGTGCTCCTGTGGACAATGGGCTGGGAGAACCAGAGGGTTACAAGCAAGTATATGATGAGAACAGACTGGCGCCTCAGCACAAGGATAGGTTAAAGCAAAACAGAATTCAAGGAGCTTAATCAGGAGCTTCCCATGATCACTGAAGAAGTGCTTGCATCCTGGGCTAGGGTAGCAACAGTGGGAATAAGAAAACAGTTTGGCTTTGAGACTTTTTTAAGGAAGTTGAATCAAATTGGAAGCTGAATTAACCTGATGATGAATTAAATGTGAGAGATGAGTGAGAGAGATGAATTAAATATCATTCCCAGTTTTCCGGCCTGACAGCCAGGTGAACATTGATAGATACCATTCATTGATATTGGAAAAACAGGAGGAGGAGCAGGTTTTTAATAATGTCAGGGATTTCATGAGTTGGGATCTCAGTTATATATTTTCTTTCTGATTCAAAACCATTTGTTAGTACTGTAACCAATTATTTTCTTAATTAATTTACCAGCCAGTATATAAAGCACACTATATAAAAAAGTTTAGGTTCCATAGATAGAAAATACCCCATTTATACAACTTTGAATCTATCTACAAGTTGATTGGCAGGATCTACCCAATTCAAGCAAAGCATCAGCAACGTTTTGAAACAACTAACGGTTTGGTTCATCAAATTTTATAAGTGAGGTCACTTGCACCTTTGGGCAGTAGAATAAACAAAATAATAAAAATGCTTTAGAAAGTACTGGTGAGCAATTTGAATTTTATGTATTTTTGATGAGTTGGAAAAAGAGTGAAACAGGTTTTGCTTCAGCATGTTACCTTGCAACTGAAAGTGTTGGTTTTGGGGAGGAATTCCTTAACTTAAGTGAGTTATTTGAAATGCCTCTAGACAACTGTGACCAGAAGGCTAAAGTAACTTAGTAGGTGATGTAAGCTACTGTGGGAGAAATTTGGAATATTTGATTTGAAAAACAGAAGCTGTAGAGAGGGTGGGAATAACTGTTCAGAAGCACACAAGGGCTCTTGTAGGTAAGGCATGGTTGAGGTTTATAAATGGTCAAATGGAAAGATAATGGGTTTTAGAGTTGGACATGGTTGGCCTCTGCCTCAGGCATTAATTAATTGTATGAGCTTGGTGAGGCTTTCAACTGTCCCAAGTCCAGTCTTTTCATCGATAAAATGGAGATAATAATGCCTCCATTGCAAGGCTGAAAATAAGGAGAATGTGATCACTTGTCAATGTCCATAATTTTATAATTTTACTGCCTTAATCTGATTCATCTATCTTCTTATTTCTGACCACATTGCAACCATCCTTAGTCTGACATCTTACATCTATGATTCAATTCTACCCTACCTGTTCTCTTTGCCTCTTGTCTTGCTTTCTTCAACCACCATCTACATGGCTCAGAGAATGATTTTTCTAAATTCCAAATATAATCATATTTTCT
This sequence comes from Homo sapiens, assembly GCF_000001405.40. Classification (NCBI taxonomy): domain Eukaryota; kingdom Metazoa; phylum Chordata; class Mammalia; order Primates; family Hominidae; genus Homo; species Homo sapiens. Next base: position 119,770,104 of record NC_000009.12, on the reverse strand, counting down.
ACTGGTTAAAAATCGTTCAACAGCTCCCCTTTAGCTGTACAATAAAGTCCAAACTCCAAACTCCTTAGTGCATTTTCCAAGTCCCTGGATGATGTGAGCCTCAAATTATTACTGAGACTGCCAACCTGAGCATCTGTCAGATCAAATTGTTTGTGCTTCCCCAAATTTGACTAGTATTTTGAGACAATTATGCTTTTGCTCAAGTTTGTCCTTTTCCTTGCAATTTTCTTTTTTTTTTTTTTTTTTTTTTGAGACGGAGTCTCGCTCTGTCGCCCAGGCTGGAGTGCAGTGGCGGGATCTCGGCTCACTGCAAGCTCCGCCTCCCGGGTTCACGCCATTCTCCTGCCTCAGCCTCCCAAGTAGCTGGGACTACAGGCGCCCGCCACTACGCCCGGCTAATTTTTTTTTTGTATTTTTAGTAGAGACGGGGTTTCACCGTTTTTTAGCCGGGATGGTCTCGATCTCCTGACCTCGTGATCCACCCGCCTCGGCCTCCCAAAGTGCTGGGATTACAGGCGTGAGCCACCGCGCCCGGCCGCAATTTTCTTATCCCTTCCCTTTACTACTCTCTTGCAGACAGCAAATATCTACTGTGACAGAAAAAATATGATGGTTCACTGCACTCCATTCCATTTTATTCCAGAGACTACATTTCCCAGTCTCCTCTGCATTTAAGTGGGGTCATGAGATTTAATTTTAGCTAAGGGAATGTAAGTGCAAGTAGTATTTGCTATACATACCAGGACCCTTAAACATTCTTTGCAAAGCTTCATTAAATTTGTTCCCTTGTCTATTGTCTGGTTGCGGATGATGCAGAAGGGGACTTTAAGACAGTGGAATATGGTAGTGTCATTAAATAGAAGGGGCTTAAGTACTAGAATGATTGTATGGAGCCCAGATCTTCAACCATCAGTGAATTATGAGAGAAATGAGTAGTACATTTTACTATATTAAACGAGTGAGATATGAAGGTGGTTTGTAAGATGCTAGCCAGCTGTTAGCCTACCTTAAATCATTATGCCTACTCAGCTTTCAGGATCTCTTTCAAAAGTATCTAGGTTCAAATCCCTGATCTATCACTTTCCACTTCCCTAGTAAGTCACTTAACCCCCGCAACTCTCCATGTCTTGTTTTCCCCATTTTTCCAGTTGGTGATAACACTATCCTTTGGTTTATGATGTGGATTGAGGGTTAAATGAGATAACCCATGCAAAATGCATGGATCAGAGTGAGTACAGGATAAATGTCAGCTTTCATTATCATGTAATATTACACCAACCATGATAATCCATTATTGATGACCTCCCAAAACCCAGAGCCAACAATCCTGAGAAATGACCTCAAATGTTTCTCCCACAGTTCTGATGAATAATTTTAGAATATAAGCTGTAGGAAATACATGGAATCGTAGTGAATTAAAAAAAATCACCTGGAGTGCCTTTTATAAATTCAACCTGATGAAAGGATAATTTTGATTGATTGATCATCAAGGTGTAATCTTGGAAGCGAGAAGCTGTAACAGCAGTTACAAGGAGTCAGGGACTGAAAATGACAAACATCATGAGATGAAGTTTTATTGTTATCCTTAGTTGGCTCAAAACTTTGTCACTGAAATAACACAGACCACTAACCATCTGTTCTCTAAGAGCCATGACTCATGCATTTCATGCTCTTCAAATCTGGTGCTCAAAAAGTCATTAACTATGTAAAGTTGTTAGAAGAAACCCCCCACCTACCAATTGCATCCAGCACTACTATTTGTTGTGTATTCTCTCAACGCTTGCTGAGATGTTTTGCTAGCCATCCAACCAAAGTTGTAATTAACTCAGTTTCTACGGGGTCATGGAAAAAGCATAGGTTTTGGTATAAGACAGACTTGCTTGGAATATAGGACCCATCCCTAAACTAGTCCATTTATTTTAACTCACTTAGCCTCATTGCCACTGTCGACAGAATGGGAGAAATTATGCATATCTTGTTAGATTTTTGTGAAATTTGGACATAAGTAATATAAAGTGACTGGCACATGACAGGCACTCGATAAATAGTGGTACTATATCCTGTCTTTATATCTATGTATAAATTTATACATGTATATAGATATAAACATACTTTTTTCTTCTTCTATTAAGATCCTATAGAGTGGGTTCTGAGATGGCTAAATCTTATACAGTTTAGATCATAAACAATCATGCAGAATTTTGCTCACAATATCTTCAAAATGTTTCAGAACTATTCCGTGACACGAGTGCCTTAATATGAATACCTGTATACACTCCCCTTTACATAGCTCCATTTATTTATTCCCCAAGGAAAACAGGCTGAATTGGGTCATATATGAGCTAGGTATTAGGCTTAGCTATGAGTAGCTAAGTTGTGGCTTAAATTAAAGTAAATTATTATTTATTCTCTTTCATGTAAAAGGAGTCTGGGGATAGGTGGTTTTCATGGCTGGTATAATGACTCCAAAATGTTATCAAGAACACAGACTTCAGTTATTCTACTTTACCATGTTAGGGTATTAATTTCATCATCAGGCCACTTTCTGGTCAGATATAGTGTCCAGATCATCCACAATGCAGATTGGAAAAAAGAAAAAGAAAAAAGACAAGGGCAGAATAGCTGAAAGGGCATCCTGCAAGATGAATCAGTCCCATTAAGCAGCCTTCCTGGAAGTTCTACATCCTACTCTCTTGCATCTCATTGGCTAGAATTTGATCATATGGCTTCATCTAGCTGCAAGGGCGTCTAAGAAATGTAGGCCTTTATCGTGGGTGTCAATGTTCTAAACTAAAAAGTTGTGTTTCTATTATTATAAAGAAATAAGACATGCTGGGATGAGATGGTGAACAAGACTGAAAGATACTGGAAGTATAACCCAGTAGTTTTTAAGAGATTTCAATTCATGGACCAACTCCAATTGATTTATAAAGAATCCCTGGAACAGAGAGTCAAGTGGGATGCTAGAGCCATAAATAAGGACCCTGGAGGGACAAAAAGTACCTTGACTGTTGAGTATCCCTCACAGGTGTAGATTGGAGGTGGGTGACAGCAGGCACACCATGGGTTTGCTATTCGTGGTTTAACTCGAGGATAACGGGATTTCAGACAGTGTGGTATTGGAAGAGTAGGTATTTTCATACCATAACAATGACAAATATTTGTGCTTTCTTCTACATTACAAAGATGCTTCTTAAATCATTTTCTTAGTTGATCTCTCCCCTCAAAAAAGATGGAATGGGCAAAGATTATTAGCATCTGCATTTGGCATTTGCAAAAATAAACTCGGATGGGTAAAGCAAAATGCATAAGGTCACACAGCTATCAAGAGGTGGACCTAGGATTTAAACGTCCGCTTCATGACTGCCAGTATTAAGCTCTTTATATTGGATTTGACAAGCACTCAGAAGCAGTGTGGCATTGGGGTCAGATAAATGTGGGCTTGAATGCAATCTCCACCTTGTGGGATCTTTCTGTTTTTAAAGGCAGTAATAATCATTGTTTTTTGGTGTACAGTTCTGTGAGTACACACATATGCATAGATTCTTGTAAACACTACCACAAATAAGACACAGCACACTTCAAACATCTCAAATAATCCCCCTGTGTGGGCCCCTTGTAGGCTCTACTGTAAAGTTAGTGAGATGCTGCTGCCTGTGTTGCTATTGATAATCAAGATTCAAAATAACAAGAGCAAACTCATTATGAGTATATGGTAGATTTATTGATTCCGAAGGTTTGGGCCTCAAGTAACAGAGAACACAAACGAAGCCCAAAAGAACACAAATAAGCCCAAAGAAAACATCTTATCTCACATGTCGAGAAGTCCAGTGGTGGCGTGAGTTGCAGGTGCCATGTGTCAGTGCCCCTGGCCTACTTTTCTGCGGTGCTCTTGGCTCTGTCTCTATAGGCTTTATTCTCAGGATGTTCACAAAATACTATAGATGTTCTAGGTTTCACTTCGAGATGCAACATACCCAGAGACATAAAGGTGCCACCATTTGCTGTTTCCTTCTTAGAGTAAGATATCCTGTCTAGAAACCCCAAGGCAGAGCATCCCTCTCATCTTTGTATATATCCTTAGTGCATCATTGTATGACTAATACTGGATCACATGCCTATTGGTTAACTGTTTATGGGCCAGGGAAATAAGATACCCCTGAATGGCTAATGCTAATCAGTATACAACAGCTAGGGCTGGGATGGTGTCAACTTCCTGTGAAACACATAGTTGTATGGTGGATTCTGTTAAGATGTGAAAGTGGAATTATGCATAATGGGTAGGCAATGAACAGTAAGTATACGGTGAATTTCTGTTGACAGCTCACATCCCCCTGTTCCAGACCACTGCATCACCCTCTGATCCAGCATGAGAGACAATTACCAGGTCATTACAGTCTTCCCCCTCAGAGCCTTTCAGTTTTGTTAGAGCTTCTGTGTGTGTGTGTGTGTGTGTGTGTGTGTGTGTGTACACGTGTGTGTGCATGTGTGTGTGTATGTGTGTGTGTGTGTGAGAGAGAGAGACATTATAATAGACACAGAGGAAGGGAGAAAGGGTGGGGGAGAGGGAAAGACAGCTAGAGGAGAGACAGAGAGAAAACAAAATAATTGCTACGCATATTATATGAACATACTTGAGCCCTACAGTGACAACAGTATAATGTTTATTTATTGTAAATAAAATTAAAATCCCACCAGAAAGTCATTAGTTACAAATCTCTGTATCTCTCCATTTGGTAGTTCCAGTAAGACAATTATTTCAAATCCAAACAAGGTCGAGAAGAATAAATTAGTTAATTTGTGATAAAATAATACAATTTATTCAAGTATTTCCTTTTTACTGGGTAAGATACAAAGTAAAGTTGCTGTATAATTAGTTCATAAATTACTCATCGGAGAGGGTGAATGTTGGTTCTTTTTAAAATTTATTTTTTGTTAAGACTTTCCAGTGGCTGGTTGGTAGGGGTAAAACATTTCCAAGTTTTAAATAGTGTTTTGGGAGGGGGGTTTCATTTAGTGCTGATAAAGGAACAGTAAGATGTCTTCACAGAGGTCAACCAGTAAATTAGCAGGAGGACTGGGGTCGTTATCTTGATTTACAATCCATTTAATCGTGTCCATTCTCTTTATCACTTTCAAAGCATGTTTATAAACCTGTGGCCTCCTTGAGGGCAGAAGCTGTGTCCTATTCATCTCTGTCTCCAGCATTGCCTATCAGAGGGTCTGGTGCATAACAAGTGCTCAGTGAACACTGGCTGAACTAAACTCAGGTGGGTGTCCCTGGTACTTAATATCCCTGTGTCTATCTTATCCTTAGAGCATCTTTGTATATATCAAAATATATTTATTTTTCACACCTGTTCTTTTCACTGAGTCTGCCTCAGGTAATATAGAAATTCAAAGCAATGAGAGTTCTTGCTGTTCAATCTTGATGGATGTGGAAATATTTCTTTTTGTGTGTCAAGATAACAGATAGGGTTTTTCGAAGACCAACAATTACCATCCATTAATCCTGATAGCATAAACTGAAGCACAGAATTGAATGATCTTGCCCAAGGTTACTGAGGACGCAACACCCCTAGACCAGAATTTCAGTTAATTCCAGATGTATGTTGTTACCAGTGTTATGTGGTGCAGTTTGATATTCAAAGGAAAATTCTCAACCAAAAGATACATCCCATCAATTGAGGTCTGTAATTTCACCTTTAATATTTAGTCCCTTTGCACTAGGTTTCTAATTTAACATTACATTTGCATAACACTTTTTTAGTTTACAAACTACTTTAAGCATCTCATTTGATCCTTACAGCAGCAGGGAGAATTGGGCAGGGAAGGCATAATTAACCCTGTCTTGGAGATGAGGAGACTAGCTCAGAAAGGTTAAATAACTTGGGAAGCCAAAGGACCGTGAAAGATATGAGTATGTTGCCTTCAAATTAATAAAGCCTTTGTTCACTGCCCCCCGACACCCTGCAAACCTTCCCTGTTTTCACTGGTTGGAATTCATTCTTTCATGATCTGTGTTCTAGACATCTGTCATATCCTGTTATGATAGTGTTTGACTTGTTCTGCATTGTTTTTATAGAATCTCAACACTTCTAAGAAACTTAAAGTTAGACTTGTCCAAATAGACATTTTATGCTTGAATTCCATCTATACTATCCCTTACAAGAAGTTGTCCAGACTCCTTGAATACTTCCATTGACAGGGACCTCACTACCTCTGGAAGCAGCATGTTTTCTTAGGACACCTTTGTATAAAATTCTCCATTTAAGACATGTTTCTGCTGTCTCTGGGAGAGTGTAAACTCTTTAAGGACAAAGCTGGGCATTCTTATCCTTCCTACATCTCATCCTGTTATAGCAGAAGCTCAATAAAAGTTTGTTGAATGAATAAATCAGTGGGTGAACAGTTGGATGAGTTTCTAATAAAAGCTTCAAACAGCTCTGTCTAGTATTTTTCAGAAGCTATTGACCTGACACCTAAGGTATTTTTAGTTGTTAATTTATTTTCCTCTGGTTGGGGTTTTGGAATTTCTAGTGCAAATATTTTTGAAATACAAAGCACAAGCCATCGGTCTGGCCTCTCATAAAGTAGATGCTTATCATAATTGAATGCAAGAAGATGCGAGATATGAAAGTGTAATAATACATGGAACAGTCAGCAGCAGGGAGATATAAGCTGATAACTGGCTGCAGAAAGATAACAGCTAAGTCAGGGGGAAAACAGGAATGTTGCTTCATATTGGAAAGGAACAAGCAACAGAATGATTAGTTGGAGGCAGTAGCATGGTAGGCAGGCAGAGGTGGAACACCCTGGTGGTTAAGCTCGTGCACACTGGCACAGATGGCATACATTTGAAACCTGGCTCTATTACTTATAGCTGCATGACCCTGGGCAAACCACTCAACTTCTCTATCATTGGTTTCCTTATATAGGAATATAGATGAAAAGAATTAATGTATGCATGAAAAGCACCCAGAACAGTGCATGGGGAATAAATTATCTTTACAAAGGGATTGGTATTGAAATAGCCTGGGTTCCAGCCCTGGTCTGCCTCTAACCAGCTGTGTGATTTGACCTCTGTTTTTATTTTACCAAGTCATCATTAGTAAGGGAATGAAAATGTACTGTAGAGAGTGGTTATATTAAATGAGATAAATACATAATCCTGTTTGTTAGCTAGTTGTCAACATCTCTGAGATTCAGATAATCTGGTTGGAACCCTGCTCATTGTGCCTCCTGTAAATAGACAAACCTTTCCCAAAATACGTGTGAATTCTTGGAGCAATTACATCCCTAGCACCACCTGGGACTCAGCTCCTGTACTGTTGAAACTGACTTTCTTTTGCATCATGTTGACTGTGATGTAAGGCTCCGCCTCTTCGGTTTTTGTAATAAACACAACTAGTCTTTCCTGAAGGTACTTGTAAATTAGGTAGACACTGCAGATGACTTGAAGTGAATGGGTGTGGGTGCTCACGTGAGTGTGTGAGTGTGTTGGAGGAACAAGGAAAAGCCACACCCATACCTCCCAGCCTCCTCCCATATATGGCCTTCTGCTATCTTCTTTTCATTTTCTAACACCCAGATTGTCGAGAAAACCCCAAATTATTGTTTCTTTTATAAGGAGCAGTTGATCTCCTCAGATGTTTCTGTACCAGCTGATATTCAAGTGTGAAGTCCCATCTTCCATTCTAGGCATTTATTAAGATTTTTTTTTCAAATAAATACAGCCCCCCCCCCCCCAATGACATCTTCAAAATCTACTGGTAAGTCTGTAAAATTTGACTAGGTCTTCAATACATGTTACTTCACCCATATTCACTTTCAGTTTAGTAACTCTTTTCTCCCTCACTCTGATTTTCTCCCTCTTACCTGGTGAGATAAATTCTGTTCCCGGAAGAATGGAACAGAAACACTGAAAGCACAGTACAGCTCAGCCATTTTCCTTTGGAAGCCAGGATACATGTCATCCAATCTTGCACTAAACCCTGACTCAGGCCCAGCTGACATTGATAACAAGGGGACTTGCTCTGAATGGAGGATCTAAAAATGTTCAAGGAACAAAGGAACCAATCAGGCAATAAATACATGAAGAGGAGTCATCCAAGTGCAGAGAAAAAAGTAAGAAAAAACTGGTTTGAACATTTCTCTGCAGACTTTGACGCCACCCCTCTTTTCATGCTCTGATAACTCCCCAAAGGCCAAGCTTCCTGTGCATGCAAGAGAGAAAACAACTGGCTGACTTTTTTTTTCTAAGAAGGAAACAAGATTTTCCCTAATCTCATTTACAGAAATTTTGAAAAGTGATGAGAAAATTCAAAATATATATATAAAGGGTTTAGAACAACAGAGCCCTATGCATCCATTGCTAAGTTGCCACCACCTCCCCTAGAGAACGAACAGTTCTTCAAAGAGGTGAGCTTTCATACATTCAACTAAATGCAAATCAAGGCCAGGCCCAGTGGCTCACTCCTGTACTCCCAGCACTTTGGGAGGCCAAGGCGGATGGATCATTTGAGGTCGGGAGTTCAAGACCAGCCTGACCAACATGGTGAAAGCCCATCTCTACTAAAAATACAAAAAAATTAGCTGGGTGTGGTAGCACATGCCTGTAGTCACAGCTAGTCGGAAGGCTGAGGCAGAAGAATTGCTTGAACCCGGGAGGCAGAGGTTGCAGTGAGCCCAGATCATGCCATTGCATTCCAGCAGGGGCAATAGAGTGGGATTCCATCTCAAAAAAAAAAAAAAAAGAAAAAAAAATGCAAATTAGCACTGAAAGCCAGACACTGTATTAGGCTCCTTGAATCTTGAAAACAGAAATAATCTCTGCCATCATAGTGCTTACACCCTAAGCAAATAATTATGTAAATTATTATGATTATTTTAATGCATATTACAAAAAATACAGGCTACCATTAATGTATAAAAGGAGGCCTTGATCTATTTTGAGGAATCAGTGAGCAATCCGTGCTTGAGGAAGGAACATTTAAGTTGACATTTGTGATGGTTTATGTTTCAGCTTGGCTTCTCTATCTAGTACTCAGTCATTTCACCAAACACTCCTATAGATGTTGCTACCAGGCTATTTTGTAGATGTCATTAACATCTACTTGACTTCAAGTTAAAAGAGGTTACCTTTGAATAATGTGGGTGAGTCCCATCCAGTAAGGTGAAGGCTTTAGGACTAACACTGAGGTTTCCCAGAGAGAAGAATAAATTCTGCAATATTATCTCCATCAAGTTTCCAGTCTGCTAGCCTTCCCTACAGATTTCAGGCTTACCAGTCCCACAATTAGGTGAACCAATTTCTCATTAAATAAATAGATAGACAGATGGATAGATATAGATAGATAGTTTATAGACACATAAACATACACACACACATGCATACACACTCATAATTTCCTATTGGTGCTGTAGATACCAAATGATGATACAACATCTAGAGGCAGGTAAAGAGTGAAGAGAAGAAATTGGGGAATGTGTTCCAGGCAGAAGGAACAGCCTATGAGAAAGTCTTGCTCACCATTTCTCATTGCATGCCTTTGGTGCCTCTAATAGCATGTTTTTGGAATGCCTCAGGATTTCCTCTACTTGTCTACCTGCAGCTGCCTTGATGAAACTCCAGGCTCTGCAGGTTTAGAGTGTCCCATGGACCAGCCAGTCAGTAGGAGCTCCAGGGAGTTGCCTACAGGCAGAAAGACTCTTGGGCTTGGAGTCCAGTGTCTTTGGTGCCCAGATCCCCACTTCTTCCCTGGGAATCCTAGGGCAAGTATATAAGTCTCTCTGGAGAGACTCATTTGTTGTTCTTCTATGAAATGCAAAACATAATAGTTAATTTTTATTGGGTCCTTAATATATTCTGTGCACTCTTCCAAGCATATATGTTAATTCAGCTAATCTCCTCAACAGTCTTAGGAGATGGGAAGTACTGTTACTCACACTTCACAATGAGGAACTAAACAGGTGAGGAGATGCGTAAGGCCCCACAGCCAACAGGTCTCAGGTACAGGCTTTGAGCTCTGGTGGAGTCCAGCTCTGGACTCTTTGCTCATAATCGTGACATTCACTCTCGCTCATAATCCCTGTGTCTCCACTTTCCAAGGCTGATGAAATCATTAGCTATCAAAAGCCTTTTTAAACTCATAAAGCTACACCAATGAAGATTATTGTTCCACTATTTTCCTCTTCAACTCAGCAGAAGGCTGTGAGATCTTTTCCAAAATTGTCTTAAGATTTGCTTTATGTGTATTGAGCATTTATTTTCTGAGTAGCAAGCTCTGCAATATCTTATTTTATTCTTGTATCAATTCTATAGGAAAGACATTTTTGTTTTAGGGCTAGGGGCCCTGAGGCAGACAGGTGAGATGAGACGTCAATCATGTGCCTGAGGTCACGTAGCTACAATTTGTGCACACATTTGCCTAAAAGGAGAGCCTGAACTGATGCTTCTTATGTTTCTGCTATCCCTACCAGCCCCTCTGCCATTCACACCTTGACAGGCGAGGTTGTGCTGGAATCAGCTGTGGCCTTCCTCCCTAGACTTTTCAAGGAAAGAAACAGTTTCATCAGCTTTTTAACAAATTTACGTTAATCACTTTTGAACATAAGCTCTTCAACTTGTGATTTTGATTCATGAAATTGCACTGCCTTCTCTTTTTTCCTCAGCAATGTCCGTGGCTTGCTCAGATATAGAAACCCAGGGAGACTCGTATCTTTCTCCCTCCTTCCATCTTCCTGCCCAACCGAGGGTCCCTTCTTTCATTTGTGTTGTGTCTTCTCTGGATCTGTTTTTCTCTTCCTATTCACATCCCTGCTTCCCGATCCTTTATCTTGCAGCTGAAGCCCCTGCTTCAATGGGCTCTGAAGCTATTTTGATGTTCTGCTTGTTGTGAAAACAAATTTTCCCTCACACACTCACACGCAGCGTGTGTTCTCCTAATGGAGTATGTGGTATGCATTTATATGCAATTCTGGTGCAAAAAAGAACTGTGGAGTCCAGGAGAGACCCAGGCAGGTGTTCCAATTGCAGAGGTGTTTTCATGGAGAGAGTATCTTACAATTTATTTACATTTTATTCTACCTTAGTATCAGCTAACTTCCTACTATGTGCTTAGATCACACTGATTTTTTTAAATCAGTAAATATTTCGTAGCTCTCTTTATATCAGAATTAATAGGGATACTTGGGACTGGGTAGAGAAATCAGGGAATGAAGAAAATAGAGGTTAGAGAAATAGATTTTGCAATGATATTCAGGAAAGAAAGTAAACAGCAGCAGCACAGAATGTCCAGGCTATATTTGCAAGTTCCAGAGGGTGTGGGGTGGTTCTGGGGAAGCGTAGGGGTATGAAAAGGGGACTGGTGGAGCAGTAAGATCTATTGAGGGCTATAAAATCCCACATACTAGAGAGGAGGGTTGAAAAATGGAAATAGGACACTTTGATGTGACTATTTTGATGTTATGAGTTTGCAGGCATTTTAATGTGACCTAAAACAGAAACCTTTCAACCTTCTGTTTTTATTTCTGTTGTAAAGTAATGTGAGCAGAAGACATCCTCAGCCCCTCCCTGATCTTGTCCTTAAGCCTGAACCCATGCATGAGATTGATTCCCCTTTTCACGGTGTCCTTGAATGCTGTCTTTCTATCCCTGTGCCTTGGTTCATCCCTAAGCCTCTGGCTGCCAAACCTCCAATTGGTTGTATCCAACAGTCCTGCTTACAGAGTAACACCTGCGTGAGCAGAGAGAGTTCTTTTATGGTCACGCTGAGCTTGAGTAAGTTAAATAAATATTTCCCAAGGCATTTGTCTACCTGAGCAACCAAGTTATTTTGTATCTCTTGTCATACAGAGAGTCTTGCAAGGGAGACATCAACAAGAAAGCTGTGACAGTTTTTGACTCAAAGTCTATTTTGTCTGATACAAGTACAGCCACTCCTGCTCATTTTGGTTACTGTTTGCATGGAACATCTTTTTCTGTCCTTTCATTTTCAGCCTACATGTGTCCTTAAATCTAAGGTAAGCCTCCTATAGATAACATATAGTTGGACCTTGTTGTTGTTGTTTTTTCTTTTTTTTTTTTTTTTCACTAAGTCACTCTCTAACTTTTGATTGGAGAGCTTAAATCATTTACACTTAAAGTAATTACTGATAGGGAGGGCTTATGGTTGCCATTTTGTTAATTGCTTTCTGTCTGTCTCATAGTCCTTTTGTCTCTCTTTTTCTCTCTTTCTATCACCTTTTGTATTTCATTGAATCTTTGGTGTATTGATATGCTTTGATTCCTTTTTCTTTTGTATATGTTATATAGATGTATTTTTGAAGTTACCATGGGGCTTATATAAACATCTTATGTAATAGTTATAAGTTTATTTTAAACTGATAACAACTTCACAAAAGACAAAGAAGGACATTCCAAAGTGATAAAGGTGTCAATTTACCAGGAAGATGTAATAATTGTAAATATAAATGCACCAAACATCGGATCACGTAAATATATAAAGCAAACACTGAAATAATTGAAGGAAGAAATAGACAGTAATACAATAATAGGAGGAAACATCAATAATAGATAGAACATTCAGACAGAAAATCAATAAGGAAACAGAAGACTTGAACAGCAATATAGACCAGAAAGTTCTTACAAACACACAGAACATTTAACCCAACAGTAACAGAATATGCATTCTGCTCAAGTGCATGTTAAATATTCTCCAGGATAGATCATATTTTAGGTCACAGCACAAATGTTAACAAATTTAAGAAGGTTAAAATTATACCAAGTGTCTCTTCTAAACACAATGGAATAAAACTAAAAATCAATAGCAGAAAGAAAATTGGAAAATTCACAAATACACAAAAATTAAACAATATTTCTGAACAACCAATGGGTCAAAAAAGAAATTACAAGGAAAATTAGAAAATATATCGAGAGAGACAAAAACATAGCATACTGAAGTCTGTAAACGCAGCATACTAAAATCAGCAGCAGAAGTTCAGAGGAAAGTCTATAGGGATAAATATCTACATTTACTAAAAAGAAAAATCTCAAACAAACAACCTAACTTTACACCTCAAGGAATTAGAAAAAGAACAAACTAAGTGCAAAATTATCAGAAGAAAGGAGGTCATAAAGATTAGAACAGGCTGGGCACAGTGGCTCATGCCTGTAATCCCAGCACTCTGGGAGGCTGAGGCAGGTGGATCATGTCTCTACTAAAAATACAAAAATTAGCTGGGTGTGGTGATGCATGCCTGTAATCTCAGCTACTCGGGAGGTTGAGGCAGGAGAATCACTTGAACCCAGGAGGCGGAGGTTGCAGTGAGCTGAGATTGTGCCATTGCACTCCAGCCTGGGAAACTGAGCATGACTCTGTCTCAAAAAAAAAAAAAAAAAAAAAACCACCAAAGACAAAGATTAGAACAAATATAAATAAAATAGAGAATAGGAAAGTAATAGAAAAAATCAACAAAACCGAGGGTTTTTTTTGGGGGGGGGGGGTGGGGAACAAAACAAAACAAATTGACAAACCTTTAGCTGGACTAGAGAAAAAGGAGAGATTACTCAAAATCAGAAATGAAAGAGAAGGCATTACAACTGATGCCACAAAAATAGAAAGGATCATAAGAAACTGCTATAAACAAGTATATGCTGACAAATTGAATAGTCTAAAAGAACTGGATAAATTCATAGAAACATGCAACTACCAAGACTGAATTATGAAAAAATAGAAAATATGAACAGACTTATAACCAGTAAGGAAATCAAGTCAGGTTTTAAAAATCTTCCACCACCACCAACAAAGCCCAGGATTAGATTCGCTTTTATACGGAATTCTACCAAACATTTGAAAAAGAAATAGTGCCAATTCTTCTCAAATTCTTTCAAAAATTGTATAAGAAGAAACATTTCCAAACTCATTTTATAAGGTAAGCATTAGCCTGATACCAAAGCCAGACAAAGACACTACAAGAAGAGAAAATTGCAGGCAAATATTCTTGATGAACATACATGCAAAAATCTTCAATGAAATACCAGCATACCAAATTCAACAGCATGTTAAAAGGATCATATATCATGAATAAGTGGGATCCATGACCAAGTGGGATCTATCCTTGAGATGCAAGGATGGTTCAAATCTGTTAAGATAATATACCACATTGACAGAATGAAGGATAATCATATGATGATCTCAATAGATGCAGAAAAAGAATTTGACAAAATTCAACATCAATTTAGGGAAAAAAACTCAACAAAGTAGAAATAGAAGAATATTACCTCAACATAATAGAGGCCATATGTGAAAAGCCCACAGCCAATGTTATATTCAATGATGAAAAACTGAAACCATTCCACTAAGATCGGGAATGAGTCAAAGATCCCCACAGTGACCGTTTCTGTTCAACATAATACTTGATGTACCAGGCAAAGCAATTGGACAGGAAAAATAGATAATATGCATCCAAATCAGAAAGGAAGAAGTAAAATTATCTGTTTGCAGATAGCATTGTGTTATATGTAGACGACTCTAAAGACTTCACGAAGAAAAGGTATTAGAATTGATAACCATATTCAGTAAAGTTGCAAGATACAAAATCAATATACAAAAATAAGTTGCATTTATGTGCTAACAATGAACTATCCTAAAAGGAAATCAAGAAAACAACACATTAAGCAAGCAAAACAATTAAGAAAACAATTAATGTCAATTTCCAATAGCATCAAGAAGAATAAAATACTTAGGAATAAACTTAACTAAGGAGGTGAAAGACTTGTATATTAAAAACTATAAAACATTGATGAAAGAAATAAAAGCCACAAATAAATGGAAAGATATTCTTTGTTCATATATTAGAAAATTTCACGTTGTTAAAATGTCCATACTACTGAAAGCAATCTGCAGATTCAATGTGATTCCTATCAAAATCTCGGTGACACTTTTTTATAGAAGTAGAAAAAAATTCTAAAATTCCTATGGTGTTACAATTGATTCTGAAGAGAAAAAATATTTTGAGAAAGGACAAAGTTGGAGATGCATCATCCTTCCTGATTTCAAAAATATATTACAAAGGTATAGTGATTAAACTAGCATGGTACTGGCATGCAGACAGACATGTAGTCCAAAGGAAGAGAATAGAAACCCCAAAAATATGTCCATGCATATACTTCTGATTTTCAACAAGAGTACCAAGAATAAACAGTGGGGAAAGAACAGTCTCTAAACTAGATATTTACATGCCAAAAAAATAAAATAAAATTGGTCACTTAACTTACACCATATATCAAAATTACTTCAGATTGATTAAAGGATTAAATATAAGACATAAAACTGTAAAACTTCTAGAAAAAAAGTGAGAAAACCATCATGACATTGGTCTTAGTAATAATTTCTTGGATATGACATCAAAAGCACGGGCAAAAATACAAAATATTAACAGATAAGTGGGACTACATTAAACTAAAAGCTTCTTCATGGCAAAGCAAACAATTGACAGAGTGACAGGCTACTACAGGATAGAGAAAAATTTGCAAACCATACATTTTATAAGGAATTAATTTCAAAAATATATACAGAACACTTACAACTCAACAATAACAATGACAAAAACAAAAATGACCCAATTAAAAAATGGGCAAAGGACTTGAATAGACATTTCTCTGAAGAGGATATACAAATGGCCACAGGTATATAAAAAGATGCTCAACATGACCAGTCGTCAGAGGAATGCAAATCAAAATCCCAAAAAGATATTGCCTTAACTTGTTAGGATGACTGTTACAAAGTAAGCAAAAAAGAAACCAAACAAACCCCCAAATAATAAGTGTTATTGAGGATATAAAGAAGAGGGAACCTTGTACACTGTTGGTTGAAATGTAAAATGATGTAGCCACTATAGAAAACAGTATAGAGATTCCTCAAAAAATTAAAAATAGACTGCCATATGTTTCAGCAATTCTATTTCTGGTATTCAAAAGAATTCAAATCAAGATCTTGAAAAGATATCTGCAAAGATGTTCATTGCAGCATTATTCACAATAGCCAAGATGTGAAAATGACGTAAATGTTCATTGACAAATAAATGGATAAAGAAAATGTGGTATATACACACAATGGAATATTAGCTTGAAAAAGAAGGAAATCCTGCCATATGTAGCAATATGGACAAATCTTGAGGACATTATGCTAAATGAAATAAGCCAGTCACAGAAGAAAATATACACATAACTTTATTTATATGAAATGTCTAAAATAGTCAACCTCATAGAAGCAGAGAGTAGAATGGTAATTGTCAGGGAGTGGGGATAAGAGGAAATGGGCAGCTGTTTAATGTGTATAAAATTTCCATTATACAGGATAATTAAGTTTAGGAGATCTACTGTACAATATTGTGGACTATAGTTTATAATATCGTATTGCATACTAAAATTTGTTAAGAAGATAGATCTTAGCTAAATGTACTTACCACAATAAAAATAAACAATAACATCAACCAAAACATGAAAGCTGTGAACAGACATTGAAATTAATTTGTTTCTCTTGGGGGAGAAAGGCAGCATGCTATATTGCAAGGATCTTCAAAACAGACTCAGAATGTGTGGATACAAGTCTCAGTTCTGCTTCTTGCTGGTTCTGAATCATTAAATAAGTAATTATATCTTTCTGACTTTCAATTTCTTCAACCTGAAAAATGGGAATATGACATTTAAAAAGGCTCCACCATCTAATTTGGTTCAGAAATTGTCTTCCCAACTTCCTCATGAAAATGCCAAGGCTTAGTGTGTTTCAAAGACATGCTCAAGGTCATATAGCTAGCAAATAATAGCGTTGGAGTTAGAATCTGGGTTTTTTGTCTTTAGTAGAGTGCTTTTCTTGGTATGACATTTCCATATTGTATAATTTAGTAAAGGACATTGTCCTGTCAAAAAAGGGTTTTGTTTATTTTTTAGCACCCTACCATTTTTTCTGAAATTTCTAATAGTAGCATTACATCTTGACCAGCTTTCTGGACACCTGTACTACCTGGGTTAAGAATTTGAGGGTAAATGAAAGTTGAGTTCTGGCTGAGCACACCCCCATAGAGAACGTAGTTCTCCTTTTAGGGAAGGCTCCTACAGACGTGGAAGTTTTCCCCTACCCCAGTTTTCTTCAAGGTAATTACTCACCAAGAAATGAACAAAATGAAAAATATTGTATATGTAATTGGGCACTTTTGCCTGGACATGGTCTTCTGGAAAGCTCTTATATCTGATATTTGAATAAAAAGCTAGCCTATACTCAGAGCCCACAGGCAATACAAGTAAAATTTACATACTCAGTGGGAACAAATAATCTTTCCACTAAAAGATCCTTGAAATTATCACCTTAGCCAGACCCTGTTGGTTTTATCTTTTAGACTTGCTTGTTCTGTGGAGCCCTCAGAAATAGAATCTTCTGGGCTGGGATTCAAAATCTTGCTAGTATTGAAAAAACACATCCCTACATAAAAAAATTAATAATCTTGTCAGATAAATAGTTCATTTATTCCATCCCTTTATCCTGGAAAATCACGCAAAATTTACAACTCTCCATTTGTAAAAATCTCAATAATATTGTTAGGAATTTTGCCAAGAGCTAATCCTGCTCTGAAAGTCTCATTTTATTTCTATATCTGGACATCTATCTCTTGGGGTCGTCCACAGTGTCTGAAGCCAGGGGATAGGTGGGAATGGATGAAGATATTTAGTAATTTTCACAGAGAGCTTGGGGGAGCTGGTGGGACATCAAAAAGCTCTTAGAGAAAAGTCGACAGGTGACTTTAGAATAAATGAATCTCTTAAAACATTTAGGGTGTAAAATATTAATGGAACCAGTGCTTGGCCCCAAAAGCATTTGAGACTTTTACTGATGCCAAAACATTTGAAAAATAGTTAAGCAATGTTTAACAACCTGGAAAAGCTGAGCTGTTCACCCACTTCTGTGTTACTTGTGAAGTGCTTGAAGAGCCTCTGAAAGAACAGCACATCTGCAGGGACTCCATTAAGGAAGGCCCCTTGGAGGTTCTTTTAAATGGGATGGGAAGGAAAAGCTGAGTAAGAGTCTCATCAGGGAAATGAGAAAATTGCGGAAGTGTTTCCATATTGCATTGAGTTGCATTAGTCACTCTCCTGGAAAAGAATCCAGAGTTATCAGCAAAACCCTGAAAGAAAGTGTCTAAAATATGAAGATTACAGTCTGCATTGCAATGACTACCACGCGAAAAGAATCACCCATCTGATATGATAAAGGAACAACAAGGTACAGTTTGGAGTTGCAGAAACAGTTATTAAGGTTAGGATATACTGAGCCACTTTCCCAAATTATCAATAGAATGATTCAGACAGGCTAGGGCAAGGGAAGAGAGGTGAGCTTTGAAAACCTGTTGATTTCCAGGCACTGGACTGAAGGTTTTCATACATTTCCTCATCTTAGTATTAAGTATTGTAAAACATTATTATATCTTTTTTAAAAATTAGAAATTAAAGATAATGGTGTTGAATAAATTGTATAAGGTCTAACCACTGATAAATGGCAGTACCTTGACTTGAATCCAAGTCTACTTAGTTCCAAAGGCCATGCCGATAAAGAA
The DNA here is from genome assembly GCF_000001405.40 of Homo sapiens. Taxonomy (NCBI): domain Eukaryota; kingdom Metazoa; phylum Chordata; class Mammalia; order Primates; family Hominidae; genus Homo; species Homo sapiens. Next base: position 119,751,492 of record NC_000009.12, on the reverse strand, counting down.
AAATCACACAAAGAATTCTCCTTTTTTGAAAATCTACACATCCCTCTAACTTTAGGTCTTTCTATATGCAGCCTAGTTAGGTCTAGTTCCAGCAGAGTTGTAGACCAGTGTCTTTAATGCCTTGTATAGATATCAGATTACATAATGTAAGGCTTGGAAATCTCTAATAGTTTTATAGAGTAGCAGACTTCCTACCTCTTTCGTCAACTGTTTTTTTTCCCAGTATAAAGAATAAAGAACCTCTGAGTTAGCATCCAGTGTTTTTTTTTTTGTTTTTTTAACGGAGTGTTGCTCTGTCACCCAGGCTGGAGGGCAGTGGCACCATCTCGCTCACTGCAAGCTCTGCCTCCCAGGTTCACGCCAATCTTCTGCCTCAGCCTCCGGAGTAGCTGGGATTACAGGTGCCCACCACCACGCCCGGCAAATTTTTTTGTATTTTTTTTTATTAGAGAAGGGGTTTCACCGTGTTAGCCAGGATGGTCTCGATCTCCTGACCTTGTGATCCACCCGCCTAGGCCTTCCAAAGTGCTGGGATTACAGCGTGAGCCACCGCACCCGGCCCAGCATCCAGTGGTTTTTAATTCTAAAACTTGTCCAGCTTTTTCTAGCTTCGTAAGTTTGAGAAATTCACATAACATTTCCAGATAGAATTTCTTGAACTATAAAATGTAGTAACACTTGGCTGTCACTTACTTAGATAATTGTCATGAAGATCAAATAAGAGTGCAAAGTGATTAACCAAGATGTGGATCTCCTAGGCCCTGAATAGAGTATGCAATGTGTAGAAATGAGAAATTACTAGACTCTGAATAGCCAAAGCAATTTTGAACAAAATGAGCAAAGCTGGAGGCATCCTACTACCTGACTACAAAATGTACTCCAAAGTTTAGTAATCAAAGCAACATGGTACTGCATAAAAACAGATACATAGACCAATTGAACAGAATAGAAAGCCCAGAAATAATTATGTGCATTTATAATCAAGGGAGTTTTGACAAAGGTGCCAAGAACACACAGTGAGGAAAGGACAGTCTCTTCAACAAATAGTGTGGGGGCAACTGCAGAAGAATGAAATTAGTCCCTTCTCTCACATCATATGCAAAAGTAAGCTTGAAATGGGATTCAAGACTTAAATGTAAGACCTGTAACTATAAAAGTACTAGAAGAAAGCATAAGGAAAAAGCTTTATGACATTGGCCTGGACATAACTATTTTTTAGATATCACCTCAAAAGCATAGGCAACAAAGGCAAAAAATAGATAAATAGACTACATTAAGCTCAAAAGGTTCTGCACAGCCAGGGAAACAATCAACAGAGTGAAGAGAAAACCTACAGAAATGGAGAAAATATTTGCAAACTATATATCTGATAAAAGGTTAATATCCAAAATACATAAGAAACCCAAACAATCCAATAGCCAAAAAAATTCACAAATAATGTAATTAGAAAATGGGCAAAGGATTCTCATAGATATTTCTCAAAAGAAGACATATAAATGATCAACAGATATATGAAAAAATACTCAACATCACTAATCATCAGGGAAATGCAAATTAAAACCACAATGAGATATTAGTTCACATCTGTTAGAATGGCTATTGCCAAAAAGATGAAAGATAAGTGCTAGAGAGGATGTGGAGAAAAGGGAACCTTTGTATACTGATAGTGGGAATGTAAATTAGTACAGCCCTTATGCGAAGTACTTTGATAGTTCCTCGAAAAATTAAAAATAGAATTACTGTATGAACTAGCAATCCCACTTTTGGGTATATATCCAAAAATTAAATCAGCATATTGAAAAGATATCTGCACTCCCATGTTCATTGCAGCATTATTCATAATAGCCAAGACATGGAATCAATCTATGTGCCTATCAATGGATGAATGGGTAAAGACAATTCACAATAAAATACTATTTAGCCTTACCAAGAAGGGAATCCTGTCACTGGGGACAACAACATAGGTGAACCTGGAGGACATTACATTATCAGCCACACACAGAAATTGGCTAGACACAGAAAGACAAATACCACAGCATCTCACTCATATGTGGAATCTAAAAAAGTTGAACTCATATAAGTAAAGAATAGAAAGGTGGTTATCAAAAGTTAGGAGTATAACGGGGTTGGATAAATATCGGTCAAATGATACAAAATTTCAATTAGATAGGAAGGATAAGTTTAACAGATCTGTTGTACAACATGGTGACTATAGTTAATGCATTGCATTCTTGAAAATTGCTAAGACAGTAGGTTTTAAGTGTTCTCACAGAAACAATGATAAGTATGTGAAGTAATACATATGTTAATTAGCTTGATCAGGCCATTCCACAATGTATGCATATTTCAAAACATCATGCTGTACATGATAAATGTATATTTTTATTTGTCCATTAAAAATAAGTAAATAAACAATGAAGTTAGGCTACCCATTAATTCCATTTAAGTTCAGGTAAAATTAAATATTTTAGAGGAAGCAGATTTAACAAAAATTAATTTAGAAATATACCAATTAACATGGATATATCCAGTTGGGAATTGAAGAAAAGCAAAATGTGGAATTATTGTTGTGACTCATTTATAAAGGTACTCATTTTTATTAAATAGGAAAATTTTCGTTATGTATCTAAAAACTGTTAAATTGAAAACAGAATAAGTGTTTTTGAAATTTTCATGGCCTTATGGGAACTTTATATCTCTATAAATTGATAGTAGTATGGGAATTAATGGGGGAGACCTTAGGGAACCATGAACCCCTTGATATTGCATTCAGAATTTTGTGAATATGTGATTTCCGAAAAGAGGATCCACAACATTTATTTTCCTCCAAAAATGGGTCCATGGCTACAACAATATTTAGAAAGCCCTGAGGGTCAGTTTCTACAATCACATAGCCTTGGATATTGGGCTTAAGGTTTGAAGAGACTGATAATTCCATATACTTCATCTATCAAGATCCAGCCAGGAAAGCAGAAACCACACTACATATTTTAACAAAGGAGATGTAATTGGTTATAACAGTTTTAGAGAGCTGTAAGAGGGATAAAAAGGAAGCATCAAAAATATTTCAGAGATTTAAAAAAATGCTTAGAGAAGTGATTACTCCTAGTCATGGGGAACCAAAGGAGAGACTCAGCATCTCCAGACCTTGGAGCTTGTAGGAGGGACTCTGTAGAGCTGGTGGTCAGATCTCTGGAAACAGAGGCACCAAACACGTTCTGAAGAGCTTGGTAAGACTGCTTCTGGAAGTGCTGAACACAGCTTGATGCTGGAGCAGACTACCACTGAGATAACTTTGACCACAGTACAAATAGGAAAAGGGTCCCTCTTCTCCTTATTCATTCTAATCTCTCTCTAGTGTTTTCTACTGGCAGAACCCCAGATGACAAAGCAGTCTGGGAAAGGTGGTTTGCAGAGTCCCTAGAGTATTTAAAGGTAGATTTTGAAAAATAACTTCCCTGCTTTGCATTTTAGTGTTGTCTATGTAGTGTACATAGCAGGAATTCCTTTATATGTTTGGAAGGACCTATTCAACATGCTTGAACTGGTGTCTCAGGGATCCTGTTATTTCAGAGAAAGTGGAATGCATATACATTAAAAACAGAAACCCACTAAAATCCTATGTGTGTTTCCAGACACCTTCCTGACATTTTCTTAATAATCTATGTTAGGAAAAGTGTTACTGCTGAGGTGGTCTAATGGGACTTAGGCATGGGGAGGGATGGTCATCATTCTGGCTGGCTTCACCAAGAATGTGAACACTGAGTTGAAGTGTGTATTTCAGGTATTTATGTGGTCAAGACGAAGATGGAAGGGTAAAGTGTTCTGAGTAAGAAAAAGGGAAAAAGTAAAGAATCTGGAAATTCAAGGTGAGTCCAAAAAACAAGTAACTTTTTTACAACTCTCATATCAAAGACCTCAAGGGAAGCAGATATACTAGTGATAAGTATGACTAGAGATCCACACTTGATCTGGAAAATGAAATCACTGCACTCAATCAGACCTGACACACCTTCTGAACTTTGTGTCTTTTTGGATAGATTAGGCCTTCCATACAAGCCATGGTAGTTCCTTGTTGGATAAATCTTAGCTCTCAATAAGGCCAGGAGAGTTGAACAACTAGGGAGGTGTGGGCTATCTTTTTTTGCTCTTGTCACCCAGGCTGGAGTGCAGTGGTGTAATCTCGGCTCACTGCAACCTCCACCTCCTGGGTTCAAGCGATTATCCTGACTCAGCCTCCTGAGTAGCTGAGATTACAGGCGCTTACCCACTATCACACCTGGCTAATTTTTTTTTTTTTTTTTTTGTATTTTTAGTAGAAATGAGGTTTTACCATGTTGGCCAGGCTGGTCTCGAACTCCTGACCTCGGGTGAGCCGCCCACCTCGGCCTCCCAATGTGCTGGGATTACAGGCGTGAGCCACCACACCTGGCCAGTGTGGGCTATCTTAGGACGCAACTCAGCGGGTAGATTCAGATGAGCAACAGCATCAAATGGAGCTCTCCATGGTTCTGACATTTATAACCACAGTGAGTCTATTTGCTGATGGCCCCAAAACTGCCTTGTTGATTTCTTAGTTTCCACCTTAAATCTCCCTACTCTGATAGGTTTGCCATTATCCTTCTCTGGGTGGTTAGTCTTTATATTGAACTTTATTAATAATAAAAACAAAAATTATATTGTGCTTATACTTCCTAGAAGGCCTTTAATATCTATTAACATATTTAATCATCCCATTAAACCAGTGAAGTTGGAACTGATGACTTCACTTTCCTTTAAAAGTGAGGCAATTGAGGTTTCAAGGTTAAGTGACACGATCAAGGACATAATTTTTAATGACTCATTAGAGACTTGAACCCAAGCCTTCTAATTCTAAAGCATGGGATGTTTCCAATTTGTATGGTTATTTAAGGGACTAAATTACTAAGATCTTACTCAGACTGTCTCAGTCATTATTATAAGTCTTTGTAATAGATATACATAAAAAATAATCTATGGTTCAAATAGATTTGGGAAACATTAAATGCTATATCCCCATCTATGCAATTAATAAAGCATATTAAAATATTAAAGACTCTTAAAAGACAGAAAAAATTTCTGGCTTTTGGTTGGACTTAGAATTTTCCCATTTTTGATCATAGATAGATTATCAGTATGGAACAGCCATTTATATCAAATGTGATACCCATATTTCTTTTTCTTTTTCTTTTTTTTTGCAGTTAACCAACACAATGTTTATTCCAAAAAAAACCCGTAGGATTTCGAGAAGTAAATAATAATGTTAATCCTTCATTTTTTTTCTTTTTTTATTATACTTTAAGTTCTAGGGTACATGTGCACAATGTGCAGGTTTGTTATGTATGTATACGTGTGCCATGTTGGTGTGCTGCACCCATTAACTCATCATTTACATTAGGTATATCTCCTAATGCTATCCCTCCCCCATCCCCCCACCCCACGACAGGCCCTGGTATGTGATGTTCCCCTTCCTGTGTGCAAGTGTTCTCACTGTTCAATTCCCACCTATGAGTGAGAACATGCAGTGTTTGGTTTTTTGTCCTTGCGATAGTTTGCTGAGAATGATGGTTTCCAGCTTCATCCATGTCCCTACAAAGGACATGAGCTCATCCTTTTTTATGGCTGCATAGTATTCCATGGTGTGTATGTGCCACATTTTCTTAACCCAGTCTATCCTTGTTGGACATTTGGGTTGGTTCCAAGTCTTTGCTATTGTGAATAGTGCCGCAATAAACATACGTGTGCATGTGTCTTTATAGCAACATGATTTATAATCCTTTGGGTATATACCCAGTAATGGGATGGCTGGGTCAAATGGTATTTCTAGTTCTAGATCCCTGAGGAATCGCCGCACTGTCTTCCACAATGGTTGAACTAGTTTACAGTCCCACCAACAGTGTAAAAGTGTTCCTATTTCTCCACATCCTCTCCAGCACCTGTTGTTTCCTGACTTTTTAATGATTGCCATTCTAACTGGTGTGAGATGGTATGTGATACCCATATTTCATAAAACACTGGGGAAATATTAACTCATCCCATATTCTCACCCTTGACCTTGCAGAATCAAAATGTATCTTCTCTGGAGACTGTCACTCCACCATTGGGAGTTTTCAGGCAAGACTTGTGGCTGGCTGGAAGGATTTTTCCATATTGGCTACAGGATGCCACACCAGACCTATCCTGTCACCAGGTTCAGTGACTGAGGAAAATGATTTTAATATTCGCAAAATTACTTTGTAGAGTGATATCCAAGGTTTGTGAGCCAAGGTGATTCCATCTATCTTATGGCCTATATTTTCTTTTTATATCACAAGCTTCTAAATGCTCTGTGTTCATTCATTATTTATCAGACTTCAGTGCACTCAATGGCTCCCTCTGACAAAATGGCCATCTTGGAATCAAGTTTTTTTTGTGGTATGGTGGTTATTAGAAGCTGCTCAGATAGACAAATGTTAATAGAAAATTAATCAGACAATAGTTGGAGAGAAAACAGAAAAATAGGGCATTGACAAGAAAACATGGGGCACAGTTCAACTCATAGGAGTGGCAAAAACTTTGATCTAGTTTATTTTTAAAATATCATTTCTAAGTCATTTGGACTTTGACATTGTATCTCCAAAAGAAATGCAACATTCATTGAACAATTATTTTGTCCTGGGCATTGTGCAGGGGGAGTGGAGGAGGCAGAGATGAGTAAGATTTATTCCTTGCCTTAAGTCTCTTGTGCTCTAGTAATGGGGAGCTAGGCAAGCACAACAGTGCCCATATACTCTATAAAGCAAATACAACAGATGTCAACCGCAGAAAAGGGGCAATAAAGTCTTATGGGGTGGTGGCCTGGCAATGCCTCTCAGAAGAAGTGACATTTCTATTGCTATTTAAAGGTGAATGGGAAATCTCTCATGCCATTTGTCCCCAGTATCATCTTCTGCCACTCTACCCTTTGCCCACCACTTCCTAGCATTCTCTAGGCTTTCTCTTCCTGGTTTTTTCTCAGGATCCCTCCTCAGGGCCTTTGCATACACTGTTTCCATTGCTAGAAACCCCTGCCCCCTCCTTTTTACCTGGCTAACTCTACTCACCTTTCCAGTCTCTGGTTAAATGTTACTCCTCGGAGAGGCCTTCTCTGTTACTCCTTCCCCCAAGAAATGTTATGTCTCCTACATTGTTCTTTCTCATTACATTTTGATGATTTAATTTTTAGCTGGTACCATATGTTTTTTACATTTTTGTTTCTCTCTTTTCCACGTGGTTTTGGAACCTTCATGAGATCAGTAACTGGCTTTATTTTGTTCAGTGTCTCTTTCAGTGCCTTCCTCTCAATAGGGGCTCAGTAACCATTTGTTAAGTGAATGAATGAAATCAAGTGGGGCATCTAAAACTGAATGAGAATCTTGAGCAAAGGCTCATTGACATCAACCTGAATAATGTGTGTGTTAGTGGCAGGTTCTAAGTTGTAAGGAGAATCCAGGCCCTGCCTATCCAGGAAGGGGAGAAGCTCAATGTGGGTAAGGATAAAGGCATTGCTGGTTACATACAAAAAGATGAAACATTCATTGAGGCAAACAGAGGTAATAAATTCCTGGCTCTTGACAGCATATTTGATTTTTTGATTCACCCTTTTGATTCATGCAGCTAATGTGAAATGCCATACCTGGGCTTTCCTCTTGCAGAAAGCTACCTTAATTCTGGAGAGGTGGCTCTACATCTTAAGAACAACCTTCTCTACCCCATGCCTACTAAATGTGATTTTTCTTGGGTTTAGCTTTCTGAGCCTCCCAGTACCATGAGAATGATAAGACATCAATGAACCTGTGATAAGGGATCAGAACAGACATGAGCCTGCTCTTAGTTAACATCTTAGGCCAAAGTATACTAGAAATCTTCATGTTTTACATCAAGTCCAACATAGCTCACCAGGACTAGGAGACCACATAGGATCTGGGAGCAAATTCTTATAAAAGAAGGATAATCATAGCTCTAATCATATGTCAGGCACTGTGTTAAGCACTATACAGGCATGTTATAATTAAATCCTGACAACAATATCCTGTGACATAGGTCCTATTATTATTTCTGTTTTATTGAGGAGAAAAGTTAGGTTTTGTGAGATGAGATTGGGTAAGTTAGGTGTATCAGTTCATTTTCACACTGCTGATAAAGACATACCCGAGACTGGGAAAAAAAAGAGGTTTAATGGGCTTAAAACTCCACATGGCTGGGAGGCCCTTCAATCATGGCAGAAGGCAAGGAGGAGCAAGTCATGTCTTACATGGATGGGGGCAGGCAAAGAGAGAGAGAGCTTGTGCAGGGAAACTCCTGTTTTTTAAAACCATCAGATCTTGTGTGACTCATTCACTATCATGAGAACAGTGCAGGAAAGACCTGCCCCCATAATTCGATCAACTCCCACTGGGTTCCTCCCACAACACAAGGGAACTGTGGTAGTTACAATTCAAGATGAGATTTAGGTGGGGACCCAGCCAAACCATATCATTAGGCTTCCACAGACTGAGAGTAGTGAAACTGATACAGGGCAGATGAGCCCCAAAATTAGGGCTTAGCCTGGGAGGGTTCTTGGCTTCCTCTAGGAAAGAATTCAAGAGCTAGCCTGTGGTGTTAGACAGCAACTTCTATTGAAGTGGCAGTGTACAGCAGCTGCAGAGGTACTGCTCCTTGTGGAGGAGGGCTACTGCATAGGCAGTGTGCTGAATAGCAGCTCAGAGGCAGTTCTGCAGTCATATTTATACCCACTTTTAATTATATGCAAATTAAGGGGCAGATTATCCAAACATTTCTAGATAAAGGGTAACTTCTGGGTCATCAAGTCATTGCCATGGAAAGGGACAAGTGCTGCCATGGCAATGGTAAACTGACATGGCATGCTGGTGGGCATGTCTTATGGAAAGTTGATTCCACCCTGTCCTGGTTTTAGCTAGTCCTCAATTTTTTTCAGTATCTGAGCTCTGTCTCTGAAGTCCAGTCCCACCTCCTGAGTTGAGTCTCACTTTCTACTTCCAACCCATTGAGCTTCATAGCATGAGTGCTTAGCCTACTACATATCTCTCTGTGGAATTTGCAGTCACATTAGGCAGTTGCTTGAAGATTCTGGGTGTGAGATCCCAGCCACATTTTCCTCTCTCTCTAGACCTGAGAAACAAGATCACCAACTGGTTCACAGAGGGTGGGTGGGTTGAGAGGGGTACATTTTTAAGATTGGTTGTAGAGGATTTTGAGTGATAAGCTAAGAAATCTGCATTTCACTCTTGAGAAAATAGATCGATGGTACTGGCATAAAAACAGACACATACACCAATGGAACAGGTTAGAGAACGCAGAAATAAAGCCACACACCTACAACCATCTGATCTTCAACAAAATTGACAATAACAAACAATGGGTAAAGAGTCCCTATTTAATAAAAGTGCTAAGATAACTGGCTAGCCATATACAGAAGATTGAAACTGGACCCCTTACTTTTACCATATACAAAATTAATTCAAGACAGATTGAAGATTAAAATGTGAAACGTGACACTATAAAAACTCTAGAATAAACCTAGGAAATACCACTGTGGAAATAGGCCCTGGTAAAGATTTAGTGATAATGACTCTAAAAACAATTACAACAAAAACAAAAATTGACAAGTGGGGCTTAATTAAATGAAAGAGTTTCTGTACAGCAAAAGAAACTATCAACAGAGTAAACAGACAACCTACAGAATGGGATAAAATATTTGCAACTATGCATCTGACAAAAGCCTAATACCTAGACTCTATGAAGAATTTAAGCAAATCAACAAGCAAAAAACAAATAATCCACCAACTAAAAAATGGGCAAAGGAGATGAACAGACACTTCTCAAAAGAAGACATACACATGGCCAACAGCATATGAAAAAAAATGCTCATTACTAATCATTAGAGAAATGCAAATCAAAACCACAATGAGATACTATCCCATACCAGTCAGAATGGCCATTACTTAAAATAACAGATGCTGGTGAGGTTGCAGAGATAAGGAAATCCTTACAATCTGCTGGTAGGAATGTAAATTAGTTTGTGCACTATGGATAGCAGTTGTAAATTTCTCAAAGAGCTTAGAACTATCATTTGACCCAGCAATTCTATTAATAGGTATATATGCAAAGGAATATAAATCATTCTACCAGAAAGACACATACGCATGTGTTCATTGCAGCACTACTCACAATAGTAAGGACACAGATACCCATCAACAGTGGACTGGATAAAGAAAATGTGGTACATATATACCATGGAATACTATGCAGCCATAAAAAAGAATAAAATCTTTTCCTTTGCAGCAACATGGATGCAGCTGGAGGCCATTATCCTAAGTGAATTAACAGGAACAGAGAACTGAATACCGCCATGTTCTCACTTATAAGTGAGACCTAAACAGAGTTCACATGGACACAAAGAAGGGAACAATAGATACCGGGGCCTACTTGAAGGTGGAGAGTAGGAGGAGGGTGAGAATCAAAAAACTACATATCTGATACTATGCTCACTAACTGGGTGATGAAATAATTTGTACACCAAACCCCAGCCACATACAATTTACCCATGCAGTAAACCTGCACATGTATCCCCTGAACCTAAAATAAAAATTGGAAGTAAACAAAAATAAAAATGGAAAATGGCAATTATTAAAAAAAAAAAGAAAAAGAAAAAGAAAATGGAACCAAAGGGATTGTTTGAATGGCATGCAAGAGAACAAAGGGACAGAGAGTGGCAATTGGGGGTTACCAGATGCAGAAATCTGTAGTATTACATAGTTCAGGGAGCCTGAACCAAGGTTGTGGTGATGGAGATGGACTGAAGAGTCATTTTAAGGCAGATTTGATAGGGCTTGGCAACTGACTGGTAGGGAAAGAGCTTCCTGTTGTCACTTAATGGTGAAATACATATCCCTACATTCCCAGCCACAGACTTCATCTCAGCAAATACACTTTTAATGATTGGTCGGTATTTACTTAACATCTTCACTTTACCAAGAAATATGAATTGGCTTCATCTTTGAAGAAGCATGAGTTCCTGGGCCTCTCTGACTTATAAGATTGGTGTTGAGATACAGTTATTGATGTGAAAGAATAAAACTGCATACGTATGATTCTATATGTGTGCTGCTTCTGTCACACTAGTACTTATGAGGCCAGATTAATTTTATTTTTATGTCTTTACGACGTAACATTATGACTTTATTTATTTAAGGTTTATCTTCTACCAACTTCTCCAAAATATTGCGGTGACAAATTAAGAAATAGAGAAAAGGTAAATTAAATGTAAAGACAGATTTAAACAAATTTACACGAGCAAATAATAAATATGCCTTCTGAGTTGAGCTAATTTGCTAACCCAGCACATAACAAATTGTTTATGCTATATGTCTACATCTGTATCTATACATCTAAATGTAATTGTTGATTTTGTTTTCATTATTGAACAAATGAATGAATTGACACACCTGCTAGGATGAGGAACTGAATTTGATTCTGAGTTTTCTCATAAATAGGGGGAAAAGGAAAATAAAGAATATAATATTAAAATGTAAATATAAATTTACAGCCACATGATGTGACTAAAGAGAAGATACATTTATCCCAACGGACAGGCTTTTGGCACAGCAAAGAATTCAGTGAGGAATTTGTTTTAATGGACTTTTGAATAATAAATCTTAAAGTAAATAATGTTAATTCCTCCTGCTGCTTCCTCCTCCAACACGTTTGTTTGACTGGTGTGTATTTTTGTTGTTGTGTGCTTAAAATTTTGGGTGTAACCAAAGCAGGGATGCTGAATCATCACCTTAGGGTAGAAGGGCTCAGTAGGGCAGGAGAAGCAGTGTAGGCTGGTGGTTAATACAAGGGGCTTTAGCAGTGAGGAACTCACTTCTTTACCTGTGAAATGGAGATAGTAATAATAATAATAGTAAATAGTATCTACTTCACATGGATACTGTGAGGATTAAGGGAGATAACAATGTAAATGTGCTTGGCATGGCAAGTGTTTGAGAAGTGACAGCCACACAGTCAGACCTCCTCTGATTTGGAGCTATCACTTCTTAAACACTGACACAGAGCAAGCATTTAAGAAGTGACCGCCAGCTGGGCATGGTCACTCATGCCTGTAATTCCAGCACTTTGGGAGGCTGAAGCGGGTGGATCATGAGGTAAGGAGTTCAAGACCAGCTTGACCAACATGGTGACACCTGGTCTCTACAAAAAATCAAAAATTAGCTGGGCGTGGTGGTGTGCACCTGTAATCCCAGCTACTTAGGAGGCTGAGGTAGGAGAATCACTTGAACCCAGGAGGCGGAGGTTGCAGTGAGCCGAGATCACACCATTGCACTCCAGCTTGGGCAACACAGCAAGACTCTGTCTCAAAATAATAATAATAATAATAAAAGTGACAGCCCCAAATCAGAGGGGGTCTGACTCCCTGCTGGGGATATCGTGCATTGTTTCTCTCCCTTCCCCTGTTTATGCCCTGTTAAAGAATGAGGTGTGAGTGGCACCACTGGTAATTAAGGATTTTTGTTTGTTTTTCTCTGGAGCTTTGTTTCCTCCGAATGCAAAAAGACTGGGACTTCAATAGTTCCAAATGACAATAAAGCTCAGACAAATATGCTTTTATCTATTTCCCATTGCATGGTGTCCTGCCAGATTTAATTTGAGTAAATCTTAAGTCCTCGTTTAGATTGCAAGTTTCTCCAGGGAAAAGAGAGTGACTTCTCTTCTGTTACCTCTACTGCCCACCTGAATTCCTCCAACGCTTATATTTGGAGCAGCCCAGAATGTTCTAGGCCATGAGACAGAGCAGTGAACAAGCAAAGTTTCTGTTCTCATGAAGCTCAGCTTTCAGTGAGAGGAACAGATACAGCAAGTAATCAAATGAATAAACATGACAGGTTCAGATAATAAGTGTTATGCAGAAAATTAAAAAGAGCCAAGTGACAGAAGACAACTGGGAGTTCATTGATTTATGGATCAGGGAAGGATATTCAAGGAGATAGTACATGGACGAAGCTTTGAGAATAGTGCAAGGAAACCAGCGAAGCTGCCATCCAGAGGAGAGTGTTCCAGACAGAGAAAGAACAACGACAAAGACCTTGAGGTTGAATAAGTGTTCAGAGACTAGGAAGATGGCCTGGGTGGTTGTTATGTGGTAAGGAGAAGGGGAATGGGATCAGCTGAGACCAGAACCCAGAGCTGGTCTAGGAAGGAAACTCTATAAACACCAACAAAGAGATTGTACTGCTAAAAGAAGTTCCTCAGGGCAGGGCCAAGTTCTAATCTTCATGATGCTTCTGGATACCTCCTGTATTTAGAGAGATTTATCTACGTGATGGCTACTGTTAAATCTTGAAAGAAATAACTCCCAATACTATTTTCAAAACATCATCTAACTTGGTTCTCAAATTAACCTTGGGAAGGAAGTTATTGGGATTCCTGCTTTATGAGTGACTGATCTACAATTTAGAGAATTTGACAAATGTAGATTTCAAGTTGTTATGTTAGAATTTGTCTCGGCCTTCTTACTCCAGGCCCTGGGTTTCTTCCACAGCATCAAAGATGCTTCTCAATTCTTTGGAATCCTCTTCTATCATTTAAGACCAGTCTTATACGTGGGTGTACAGAAACATGGGGAATAGGTATCAATACTTTGATTGAATTCATTCAATATGCACTGACGACACTGCCATCACCATTACCACCAGAATAGTATTAACAATAGTTACAATTTATTTAGCGCCTACTTTTTCAAGAAACATGCTAAGCACTTGGAGTACACCATTAGATTTCCTTTGCCCAATAATCCTAAGAAGTAGACATAATTATCACCTTCACTTTATAGATGACAATAAAATGACTGCTCAGAAAGTTTAAGTAAACTTGTCCAAGGTCATACAGCAGGGAGCTGGAATTAATGTAAACTGGAGGCTGGACAACTCTGATGTTTACCTCAACTACATGAACTAGATTAGCCACTGGGGGCCATGTGATGGAATAAGACTGAGTTTATGATCTTGAAATGGTCATACTGTATATGGGGATGTCTCTCTGAAGGGAGCTCAGCCTCTGTTCGCCTGCCCAGCCTGCCCCGGCAAAGTGAGAACAGAGCTTGGTTCTGTTTGACAACTCGGCAAGTTAGCATCTATGGCTGTAAAGGCAGGAGTGGAGGAGGAGCTGAGCTGGAGGAAGCCAAGCAGCACCACATATCAGCACCAGCATCTAGGGAGGGAGAGGGTGAGAATCAAGGACCTTGTGAACAGTTAAGAGGCTCCACCTTGCCATGGGAGACAAGTGGAAATTCTGATTTCCCCAGACCAGACTGTTGAACCACAGTCCAGGCTGTGGTTATTTATATTCCCCTAACAGCCTTGTTTACACAACCTGCCTGGATGCAAATCAGCGCATGGAGGCAGTGGAGGCGGCGAGGTGTGCAGCCGGAAGGGACTGGGGGATTGGTTTTAGTCATGTAGTGTTAACACAGCCACACATGACTGCCCACACTTCTGCAGCTGAGGGAGAGAATGAGAACATGTAGTCCCCAGGACACTTGCCCAGTCCTGCCTGAGCGAGAGATAATGCAAAGAGCGGAGTGGACTTTGATTATCCCAATCCCTTCCTTCACAATCCGCTTCCTTTTCCAGCCCCATCACTCACCCCATCTGCCCCCCTCCCCTCCTGCGTGCACCCTCCATTCCAGTCACTCCTGGCTCTGAATACATCATGCTCCTTCATGGGTTTGTGCTCTGGCTCAGACAGTTTCCTGTGCCCAGAACGCCCTTTCTCTCTCTCTTTTACAACGTGTGTTATGTGTAACTGATGGGGTGCCAGACAGTGTTAGGTAGTACACAGACAGAATTCTTATTTTATGCTAATATTTATTATGTTAGAACTGAATCAATTTAGACAAAGACACTGAATCTATAATAGTACAGGTAGAATATAGATAGGGCAAATAACTTGATGATAGAGTAGAGGTTCTTGCCATTTGGGAAACAATGCTCTTATTTAATTGAACATGGCCTGGCTTTTATAACGTGAGAGACAGGACTGGATTCTGTTTTGATCTGCAGGGCCCTCTCCGACCTTTGAGGTTCACACGTCTGGTTGTATGACCTTCCTTTGCTCTCCGTGCAGGCCATCTGTTGCCTCCTAATGCATGCCCCGTTGTCCCATTTGCCCCACAGAATTCTATCTTTTTCTGAAGCCCAAATTCTGCTGTCACCAGTGAAACATTCCAACTCTTCAAGAAAAACCCCTCCAAAGACCAGCCTCATCTCTCCACTCTCTCTCTCCCTCTCTCCTTCCCTTTCCCTACCTTCCTTCCTACCTCCTGCCCTCATCCCTAACCTCTAGCTACCACTGTTTTGTTTTTTGTTTTTTGTTTTTTTTTCGAGATGAGTTTGCGCTCTTGTTGCCCAGGCTGAAGTGCAATGGCGAATTCTCGGCTCACTGCAACCTCCGCCTCCTGGGTTCAAACGATTCTCCTGTCTCAACCTCCCGAGTAGCTGGGATTATAGGCATGCGCCACCATGCCTGGCTAATTTTGTAATTTTAGTAGAGACAGGGTTTCTCCATGTTGGTCAGGCTCATCTCGAACTCCCGACTTCAGGTGATCTGCCTGCCTTGGCCTCCCAAAGTGCTAGGATTACAGGCGTGAGCCACTATGCCCGGCCCACTATTTTTTATTTTACAATTTTTTCAGTTTGTGTTATATGAATGGAACCATAAAGTATGTAATTTAGAGGGGTTTTTTTTTTCTCAGCATAACTCCCTTGATATCCATTCAAATTGTTTGTTCCTTTTCATTGCTAAGTAGTATTCTATGGTATGGCTGTACTATAAATTTTTTTTTTTTTTGTATATTTTTGTAGAGACGGGGTTTTGCCATGTTGCCTAGGCTGGTCTGGAACTCCTGGTCTCAAGCAATCCACCCACCTCGCCTTCTAAAGTGCTAGGATTATAGGTGTGAGCCACCGCGCCCAGTGCACAATTTGCTTAAAGGACTTATTAAAAGGACATTTGGGTTGTTTCCAGGGCTTGGTCTATTATGAGTAAAGCTGCTATGAACATTCATGCACAGGTTTTTATGTAAATATAAGTTTTCCTTCCTTTGAGATAAATGTTTTAGTTCAATCGCTGAGTTGCATGGTAAGTGTGTGATTAATTTTATAGGAAGGTACCATACTCGTTTCCAAAGTGGCTGTACAGTTTTCATCCCAAGCAGCAAAGTACGAGTGATCTGGTTTCTTCACATCCTTGCCAGAATTTTATGTAATCACTATTTTTTATTACAGTCCTTCTTTTAAGTGTGTAGGGTTATCTCATCGTGGATTTACTTTACATTTCCTTAATAGTTAATGATACTAAATGTCTTTTCGTGTGCTTTTCATAGACATTTCACTAAACAGTCTATGTCCCTTGCCAATTTTGTAATTGAATGTGTCTTGTTTTGTCTTAACTATCTTGTTGTAAGAGTTCTTTATACGTTCTAGATACAAATCCTTTGTCAGTGCATGATTTGCAAATATTTTCTCCCAGTCTTTTACAGAGCAAATTAAAAAAAAATTAAGATCCAGCTTATCAATGTTTCCTTTATCTGTATCAAGCTTTTTTTTTTAATCTAGTCTAAGTACTGCTTGCCTAGCCTTAGTTCACAAATATTTTTTTTCTTATTTATTTATGAAAATTTTATAGTTTTTTTTTTTTTTTTTTTTTTTTTTTTTGAGATGAAGTCTTGCTGTGTTGCCCAGGCTGGAGTGCAGTGGTGGGATCTCGGCTCACTGCAACCTCTGCCTCCCGGGTTCAGGCGATTCTCCTGCCTCAGCTTCTGGAGTAGCTGGGGCTACAGGCATGTACTACCATGCCCGGCTAATATTTTTGTATTGTTAGTAGAGACAGGTTTTCACCATATTGGTCATGCTGGTCTCAACTGATCCATTTTGGGTTAATTTCTGTATAAGGTTTATCCCCCCTACCCCCCTCCCGTGGATATCCAATGACTGTAACACTATTTGTTGAAAAGCCTATTCATACTCCATTAAATTGTTTTTGCACCTTGTAAAAAATCTGTTGGATATATTTGGGTAGGTTTATTTGTGAGTTCTCTGTTCTGTTTTATTAATGTGTCTTCCTCCACCAATACCACACTCCACACTGTCTCAATTACTGTAGCTAGTAAGTCTTAACATTGAATGGAATGATATCTCACTTTATTCTTTGTTAAGAATGTTTTAGTTATTCTAGGTTCTGTGCCTTTCCATGTAAATTTTAGGATAAGCTTGTTTATATCTACAAAAAGGCTTGCTGAGATCTTGATAGGAATTGCCTTAAATCTGCATATCAATTTGGGGAAAATTAACATATTACTATGCCGAGTTTTTCAAAAGAACACAGTACATCTTTATTTATTTAGGTCTTCCTTGATTTCTTTCAGCAGCATTTTGTAATTTTAAGCATATAGATTCTGTACATGTTTTATTAGATTTATACTTAATTTATTTTCTTTGGAGAAATTGTAAATAGTATTGTATTCTTAATTTGTATTCATATGTTCATTGTTTATATATGAAAATATGAATGATTTTGTGTGTTGATCTTATCTCCTGTGATTTTACTGAACTCACTTATTACCTCAAGTTTTTGTGGAATCCTTAGGATTTTCTATGTACAGTCATGTCATTTACAAATAGGAATAATTTTATTTATTTATTTCTAATTTATATGCCTTTGATTTTTTTTTCTTGCCTTATTGCACTGGTTAGAACTTTCAGTTCTGTTTGAATAAGCTTTGTGGAAGTTGACATTTTCTTCTTCCCATCTTAGAGGCAAAGCATTCAATATTTCACCATTATTTATGATTTCTATAGGATTTTGTAGATGTTTCTTTATGAAGTTGAGAGCATTCCCCCATATGCCTATTTTTCTGGGATTTTTTTTTTTTTAGTCAGGAATGAGTCATGGATTTTGCCAAATGCTTTTTCTGCATCAATTGATATGCTCATATGATATTTCTTCTTTAGCCTGTCAGTATGATGGGTTATACTGATTGATTTTTGAGTTTGGGTCCAATCTTGCTTATATGGAATAAATCCCACTTGGTCATGCTTTATAATTTCTTTCATACATTTCCAGGTATAATTTGCTAAGAATTTGTGGATTTTGTGTATAAGCTTATGAGAGATATTGGTCTTGTAGTTTTCTTTTCTTGTACAATCTTTGTTTGGTTTTGTTACCAGAGTAATACTAGCCTCTTAAAATGCTTTTCCTCTGCTATTTTCTGTCAAATATTAAGTAAAGTTGATGTTAATTCTTTTTAAAATTTTTGGAATGATTCTAAAGTGAAACCATCTAGGCATGAATATTTCTCTTGGGGTTCTTTTAAAATATAAATTAAATTTCTTTAATGATTATAGGATGAATCGAATTATCTCTTTCATCTTGGTTTAGTTTTGCTGGTTTATGGTTTTTGAGGAACTCATCCATTAATTCTAAATTGTCAATTTTCATTTTTGTTTTTGGAGCAAAAATTGTTGCTCTTCTTGACAGATGTCTATATCCTAAAATATGTAAAACAAAAGCAAACACAAATACAACACATAGTTTTTCATGTGGATTTTCTAACTTAGCTCTACTGCCCTGATCTCTATCCAATTCCTTATTCATGGTTGATGGTTTGGTTTTCTAGAACAGTGGTTCTCAGCCACTCTTACTTTTGCCCCCACCCCAGGGGACTTTGGCAATGTCTGGAGACATTTTTGGTTGTCACAACTAAAGTAATGGTGCTATTGGCATTTAATAGGTGGAGGCTACAGATGCTGCTAAACATATTACAATGCGTAGGACAATCTCGACAACAAAGAGTGATCTGGGTTAAAATGTCAATAGTGCAGAAGTCGAGAAATCCTGCTCTGCCCTTGCTCCTCCTTGTGTGTTCTGCAGACCAGCAACATCTGCATCATCTGTGAGCTTGTTAGAAATGAGAATCACAAGTCTCACCCTAGACTTACTATCGCTGATTCTATAGTTTACAAAATTCCCAGACAATTCATATGTACATTAAAATTTGAGAAGTACTGCCCTGGGATAATTACTTCTTGTATGAGTTTCTTATTGTAACAAATTATCACAAATTTAGTGGATTCAAGTGACATGAGTTATTATGATTACCGTTCTGGAGGTTAAAATTCTGAAGTGGGTCTCAGTGATCTACAATTAAGGTACTAAAAAGGCCATGTTTCTGTGTTCCAGGCTCTAGGTGAGAATCCATGTCCTTGCCCTTTACAGCTTCTAGAGGCTGCCTGAATTCTTTGGCTCATGGTCCCCTTCTTCTGTCTCCAAAGGCAGTGACATTTGGCCAAGTCTTTCTCATGCTTGTATCTCTTTGGGTCTGGCTTTTCTGCCTCCCTCCTGTACATTTAATGATCCTTAAATGTGACTTCGCTGGGCTCATCTGGATAGGCCAGGCTATTCTCTTTATTTTATGGTCTGTTGATTAGGAAGCCTAATTCCATATACTACCTTAATGTCCCTTTCCCATTCAAGGTAACATATTCACAGGTTCCAGGGATTAGGTTGTGTTATCTATTGAAAAATCATTATTCTGCCTCAAACACTCCCCAAGTAGACTGAGCATTAGAGTCACTCGGAGAGCTCTTTATTTAGCTCTCAGGCTCTAGCCATATCCAACTGAAACATTTTCTGAGGTAAGGGCTGAGAATGTGTATTTTTTTTTTTTTTTTAAATAACAGCATCCTAGGTGGCTCTGATGATCATCTAGGTTTGGGAGTCATTCTCCTGGCACCTCCTTGGGCAGCCAGTTCCCCAGGAGTGTTACTATTATTATTATTATTATTTTTTGCTTTCACTCTCTATTGAGCAACACTCACAGACTTTCCTGGTGCCCTAGTGTGGGCTCTCCCAGAAGCAGACTTTGAGACAGTGCAAGTGGTTTATTGGGGAGGTGATTCCAGGAAGCACTAGCAAAGCAGTGGGGGATGACACAAGGAAGGGAAAGCAGCTACTAAAGGGTGATTATCAAGTAAGTTACTACTGTTGGAAACTTGAGCTTAATACAGATGAGCAAATTTGGGAGCCTGTGTATGGCATGGATTCAAAGTTATCCCATTTGGGACAGAAGTAAGCTGGAGTATTTACATTGACTTCTGTTGGCCCTTGGTCGAGTGATGTTCCTGGGCTGGAAGCAGGGGTTGATTTCCGGCACATTTGGTCTGCGATGTGCACTGCTGTAGTGGTCATTTGTGGCCAGAGAAAGCCTTTAGCAAAGAGAAAATGATGCTAGTGTTTGGAAGCTGAGAAGTGTGCACTCAGGTGATAAGGTCTAGAATGGTATGAACAGGGCACCAACAGCATCTGTTACACCTTGAATGTTGAGTGAAATCTTTCCTGAAGTCATTAAGAACACAATACTTACAGAACGGATGTGATAGAGGAATTTCATTCTATCCCTCAGAATAGGATACTAATGAGGGAGCAAAAATCCAAGCTCCTCTTAGCCTTCAGAGTCTACAGCAATTATTATTCCTCACCTTTGGTTCCTCTTCGTCTCGTCTTTCAGTCCTTGATCTCTTTTTTTCTGAGATGGAGTTTCATTCTTGTTCCTCAGGCTGGAGTGCAATGGTGTGATTTAGGCTCACTGCAACCTCCGTCTCCCAGGTTCAAGGGATTCTCCTGCCTCAGCCTCCCGAGTAGCTGGGATTACAGGTGTGCACCACCATGGCCAGCAAATTTATGTATTTTTAGTAGAGATGGGATTTCACCATGTTGGCCAGGCTGGACTCAAACTCTTGACCTCAGATGATCCACCTGCCTCGACCTCCCAATGTGCTGAGATTATAGTCCTTGATAGTTCTGATCTTACTTTTCCCAGTCCAGAGGCAGGGTCTCACTTTAAATCTTACCACCACCTCAACAGAGCTCAGGGCACAGAGCATGCAGAGTGTATTTAGAAAGTCACAGGATTGGAGTCAAGTGCCCTAATAATACATTTCTTAAGGGATGTTATAAAGTTTTATTGAAATAATGCTAGAAAACTAGCCACCTATGTGCTTTAGATGTACTGTAATCTCTTTAAATGCTAGTTTCTTGTCTTACAAGCCCAAGTAGAAACTGAACAGAACCTTTAAAAAATATATACAGCCATGTATGTCTTTCTTGACCTTTATAATAAAGTAAGTTCTCTTAGTAACTGAGGCCAGATGGCAAATTGGGAATCCTTCCTATCACAATGGGATTACAGAACCAAAAGCAAGGTGAAATGGAATTGTGCCATTGTGCTCCCTTCTCCCATCCATCTTTCCATCACCTGTTTCTTCTCACTCATGTTGCATAAATAGAAACACTGAGGATTTGTTTCAAGTAGTCAGATCTCTGGCCAAGATCTACGTACAGGTGCCGAGTCACATCATTGCCCACAAGCCCTGTGATCCAATGTGAATTTTGGCCACTGATACTGAATTATCTGACCCAGGTGCATTTTTTTCCTTGCAACCAGTGCAGGGACCTTGTATTGCTTCTGAGTTTCAACATGCCCCTCTATCCATTGTTAAGACCTGCCATTGTTCCTGACTTCCTAACCCAATGCACCCTCCTTCTCCTTCTCAACCTGTCTAGGTTTCTCAAAAAATTAATGCAAAGTGGTACAAATTTACAAGCGTGGCACTGAATAATGAATTGGGAAAATGGTGACATACAAGCCACGAGGTTTGCTAGATAGTCTTCATTTTAGCCAGCAATTTTTCTATAGTGTTATTCACAGATACGCAGTTGCTCTTGACATTCCTCACTATTTACCTGAGTCCTCTTTAGCATAAAGCATCCCACAGCTTACCTGAGATTCAATAAATAGGCATGAAAAAAGTCTATCTTATTCAGCAAACCTATTCTCCAAGGTGTTTCTCCCCCATAGAAAATAAAACTTGCATTGTTGCATAGGCGTAAATTGGATCAGAAGCCTTTTGGAATGTTGCTGTTTTTGTGCGTGTCTTATGAACATTCATGCGTTTATCCTTAAGCTAGCCTGATACACATTGTGCTGTGTTAGCTAAATGTTAAAGTCACCCCCGAGTCACCCCAACAGGAGTGATGTTTTTGAGGCAACTTGAACTTAGCATAAGCTTTATATATACAATCAATTCTAAGGAGGCAGAGGCAGATCTATGCTTCTTGCTAAAGGGAGGAAAGTAGGTTTATCAGAGCAGCTCCACTTGAGGGAAACTGCTACTTTTATCAAATCTCCACTCTCCTCCCGGGACTGATTACCAAGCAGGAGTTGAAACAGAGGGCACATGTTTCATAGGATCATAGCAGAATGAATGTGAAGGAACTTTAAAAAGTACACAAAACCCCATTCATTTGTAGATAAGAAAATTTAGGCTCAGAGAATGAAAGATTTCCTGAAGGTCACACAGCTTCCCTTGAATGAGCCCCCAACAGGAAGGAAAGTCTCAGCACATGAGCTCCACCTTTCCCTGGGTTTGTGTGGAAGTCTGACTCTATGCCCCTACTCACAAGGAGACCAGAAAGAATCCATCTTCCTAAATGAGCAGTGTTGATCACAGATAAACATGAAGCCAATGCTCCATTCGAGCTTGGGAAAACAGCCATTTTCAAAAAGATATTAATAAAAGATGTGGCCCAGGGCGGAGTGCAATGGCGTGATCTCAGCTTACCGCAACCTCTGCCTCCCGGGTTCAAGCGATTCTCCTGCCTCAGCCTCCCGAGTACCTGGGATTATAGGCATGTGCCACTATGCCCGGTTAATTTTGTATTTTTAGTAGAGACAAGGTTTCTCCATGTTGGTCAGCTGGTCTCGAACTCCCAACCTCAGGTGATCCACCCACCTCGGCCCCCCAAAGTGCTGGGATTACAGGCGTGAGCCACCATGCCCAGCCAAAAACTGACTTAATGAGTAATAACAATGTCTTTTGTGTCAAGCAACAGCCTTTGAGAAAGATGATGAGCTTGAGCAGTACACTGTTAAATCGTTCTGTTTTCCACCAGAATAGAAAATGTGCTGGGCTACAGTGATGGTGAGAAGGAAGAGTGGAGGCCTCGTGTCATTTTGCCATTATGGTTCAGGAGAAAAATACTGCTGTTGCATCAATAAGAAGACCACACCAGCACAGACACTTTGTGGGTGGAGGAAACAGGTTGGAAGAGGGCACATACACACACTTGTGGAGAAACTCTTCATTCCAGGCGTGTTTGTTTTGAAAATGTCGCAGTACCAGGTCACAGAATTCATGAATAAAACCCCGTCCTTATTTTGACTCGAAAAGAATAGAGATTTATTACCACCCTAACCAGGGAAACAGTATTGACCCACTGGCTATTTGAGATTTTTAGCATTGTGGGCAAGAATATTTATTGCTTTTAATTACCATAAAGTAGCAAGGATCTTGTTTTTATAGATTTTCTCCCATTCCCTTGCTCTTGCTTTGCAGTTCTAGGTGAAGGGAAGAGGGAAAATGCTATTTCAATATTAAGTAAAAATTCTCAGACAAAGATGATAAATTAAAAATGACCAAGGCTTGATTTCAATCTCTTTCTACTTTCTCTTTAGTTCCAGAAAATCAAAATAGTATCATGGATGTTAGGTGGCCGGGTGGTGGTTAAACTGGCACGGGTTTGCTGCATGATCTTCTGCGACTCAGTTAACCTCTCTGAATCCGAAGTTGCTGGACTGAAATAAGGGCAAGAACACACTTGGGTTAAAGAAGGGTTACAATGGTGGTATCCTAAGCTAAATTATTAAATAGAGCTGCCTTTGAGCCAGGGGAGAAGAATGAAAGAACAGACTCTCCCTGGGACTCACTGATTATCTCCTTGAACTGCAGGGAGTTCCTTCACCTCTCTAAGCCTCAGTTTTTCTCGTTTATAGAATGGGGAGAATAATGGTTCCTTTGCAGGGTCATCATCATAATAAAATAGGATAATGGCTTTAAAACATCCTTAGCAGGGTTCTTAGCCCATGTCATTCAAAATGATAATCATTTTTGTAATTGGAGGTCTAGATACAAGATTATCTCTCTCAATCTTTCTACAGACACATGCACACACGCACAAAAAGATAAAAAAGATTCAGTCTCTTTGTCAGATGAGTAGGTTGCGAAAGTTTTCTCCCATTGTGTAGGTTGCCTGTTCACTCTGATGGTAGTTTCTTTTGCTGTGCAGAAGCTCTTTAGTTTAATTATATCCCATTTGTCAATTTTGTCTTTTGTTGCCATTGCTTTTGGTGTTTTGGACATGAAGTCCTTGCCCATGCCTATGTCCTGAATGGTAATGCCTAGGTTTTCTTCTAGGATTTTTATGGTTTTAGGTCTAATGTTTAAGTCTTTAATCCATCTTGAATTGATTTTTGTATAAGGTGTAAGGAAGGGATCCAGTTTCAGCTTTCTACGTATGGCTAGCCAGTTTTCCCAGCACCATTTATTAAATAGGGAATCCTTTCCCCATTGCTTGTTTTTCTCAGGTTTGTCAAAGATCAGATAGTTGTAGATATATGTAACTAACCTGCACAATGTGCACATGTACCCTAAAACTTAAAGTATAATAAAAAAAAAGTCAGCTCTGCAATTTCATGTAAACAAACAAGAATATCATGATCAAATATATCTCCTTAATTTCTATGACAATAAAATAAAAGAATTGTGCACATCTGTCATCTCACATAAATAAAAATGGATTTTAATGAAAAAAAAAAAAAAAAAAAAGATTCAGTCTCCAGGCCAATGTTGTTGGGTTGTGCTGTTTCCAAGGAAGAGTTCTTCAGTTGTTGACTCAGTCAGCTAAGGTCCGTGTATCTGAGTCCACGTGCGGGTCTTGTGTGGACAAAGGAAGGAACTTCTAGCAATTGCAGGCCATGTGTCAACAGCAAATACTCAATGTTATCATGGAGTAAGATAAGCTCTCTTACTCCATGCTACTAGTGAAAAAACTGAACATGGAAAGAGTAATTGGCTCCACACTGGAGGTAAAACACAGTGTTACGTTGTATGAACTCTTAGGTACAGGATCCGTAGGGCGGGGCATTAGACTCAATTTCAATGTTGCTCCAGATGAGCTTGGTCTACCTGTATCTGCTTGCTCAGTGGTGAGCCCTTTCTGTCACCTCTGTCTCCTCACCTGCTGACACCCTCTCCTTCATCTACCCTGACATGGCCTCCATAGTGTGCACTCTGATGGGAGCTGTCACAACATGACTGAGCATTTGCCTACGTTTTCTTGAGAAGTTGTCACCAACCATACAACATCTTGAATTTGCTGTTTCTCTTTTTTTGCTTACTTCCTTTTTTCCCCCTAACTTAGGCATCTGACCTTTGATGTAGGCTCTATTTTCTAGGGAACCTGGGGTATTACAGGAGGCAGATTATCTGCTGAGTGCTGTCAGGTAGAAAAGAAAGTAGAAGTGGCTAAAGCCAGTCCATCAAGGTGGCAATGAACAAAACCAATTCATTTGTTTATTTACTGCTATTATGTGCCAGGCACTTTTATAAATACTACACACAGGTGTCTGAGACAATAAGAACCATTGGTTAGGAGTCAGGGCATTATAGCAGACTACCTGAGCTCCACCTGTCACTAGCATCGTATCCGTGGGCAAGCTGATTTATTTTTCTGGGCCTCAGTCTCCTCTCCTATGCTACTGGGATGATAATAAAACATCTACCTTACAGGGTTGTTATGACGATTTAAATACTTGTAAAACATTTAAGACAATGCTTGGTCCACAGTAGGGTCCCAATAAAAATGAACGTGTATACTATTGTTCTAATTTCATTTGGTCCTCATACAATCTCAAGCGATCCAATTCATTATCCTCATTTTACAGAGGAGAAAACTAAGGCTTGGCAACTGGCTTGAGGCCACACCACACACAAGTAGTGAGAAAAGAGCCAGAATCAATTCATTTACATATATACGGAGCATGTATCATTGATATTCTGTACCTGGCACTATTGTAGCTCCAGAGATTCAAGTTGTAAAGACACAGTCTTTCCCTTCAGGGGGTTTACACTCTAATGAAGGAGATGGGTGTGAACAGACAATTATAATAAAATGCAAAGAGGGTAACAATAGACTTGTGTCCAAGGTGGTAAACAGCTGTGGAGGAAGAGCACCTAACCAAGCCTGGGGGAAGGTGGTGGAGGGAGGTTCACAAGCACCTCCCATATCTCCAGGGATAAGGAGCATGAGGATTGGTAGGGAATATTTGCAGACAAAACAAAAGCTTGGAGGTGTGAAAGCATGTTGCTGCCGGAGATTACAGTGGAAAACAGAGAGTTAGATGTAGTGTGAGTGAAGGGGTGAGCAGAGCCTTGATAGTGTGGGGTGAGCAATGCCAAGGAATTCAGACATTGACTTATAGTCAAACAGAGGCCACTAAAGGGCTAGAAGGAGGAGAATCCAAGGTGTGCTTTTCATGATAGAGGCTGCTGTGGAGGCTGATGCAAGGATGCAGATGAACCACTATGTAAGAGGGCTTGGATTAGGGACACGGAAGGTGTGGTGACAAAACAGGGATTCAAGTAGCACATGTTTAAAAATGAACATAGTTTGGATATGTGGGTCCAGGAAAAGAAGTGGGCAGTGTCAAGGAATATATTTGTGTTCTGCTTGGGTGACAGTACAAAGAACGCTGCCTTCAGGTGTGAGAGAGAAGAAAGAGAAAAACCAGGAATGGGGGCAGGGAATGGGGGATAAGGTAAGTCCACTTTGGGACATGCTGAGTTTGAGGCATCTGGCATATAATTCTGGGGTGCAGGAGAAAGTGCAGATTGAGGTTTAAGGTTGGGGGCTCATCAGGATGTTATCGGGAGTTGACACAGTGTAAATGGATAAAATCAGCCAGGAGGATGGCAGCCAGGAGAAATGAGCAAGAAATCAAGAGCAAAACTCAGGCAGCTGATGTGTAAGGGGTAGGCAGAGGAACTGGATCCCTGACAAATGCAGGAAAGGAGGGGTCCAAGAAGCAAGAGGAGAACAAAGGAAGTACTGGGTTACAGAAGCTGAGGTGAAGAGTTTCAAAGGGAGATTGATCCAGCATCAAATACAATAGAGTTTTTGTAAGATGAAAAACTGAATACAATCATCGGACTTGGGAGAGATGAGGTCATTGGCGACCAGGAAGGGCGAAAAGAGTGAGAGACTCAATGCTGGACATGCATTTTTGCTCTGCCAAATTGCACAGGTACTGTCCTTTAAGTTATCAGAATAGGGGAGTGAGGAATGGTCTCTGGTCAAGTGGTCGAGAGACCTGAATCTCAGTCTTGATTCCATCACTAACTCCTGGGAGAACATCCTCTACATTTTTTAACCCCTCAGTCTCTATATTTGTATAGTAGCACAAGTAACTACTAAAAAGATTGCAAAATGTTTTGATGTCCCCAGGAGCATTCAAATTAAAAAAGTCCCGTAGATACTCTGCATGACATTGTATAACCTTTGTGTAGGGGAAGAACAGAGAATTGACTTGCTCAGGATCTCATGGCTAGTATGTGGTTGAATCTGGGTTGGAAGCCAGATTCTATGAGCCCAAAAGCTCAGGCCCTGCCTGCTGCCCTCCAGAGCCTGAGAACACATGACTTCAGCCTTAAACATCAGGCAGGGTCATATGAATCGTGGCTCTCTACCCAGAGCCTCTTTCTGATTCAGTCATTCAGTCCAATTTGAGACTGCAGTTTTCTTTCCATTTTAATTCAAAGCTAAAAGTCAATTATAAAGACCGTATAGATGAGTGATTATCTTTTTCTTCTACCATATCCTAATTGCCTGACATTGAACAGATTCCTAAACTCATCAATTCTTAGTTTTCTTTTTTATAAGATGGGAAAAATATATATACCTATTCATAGGATAATTGTGAGAACTGCATAAGATAATGTATGTGACTGTTACTTGTCAATGTCTAAACCAGAGTCTACCAATGAATGGAAGTTGTCATAAAAGATCTTTGGATCATTGCTTTCCTTTTCTGTGGGCAAATTCCATAAAGAAGATTTACCCCAACTGATTTTCCACAAAGGAAATAGCAAATTCATGCACACATTTGTGTGCCATTACCCGCCATTAAAGTAGTAATTGTAGATCAGATTAATTTTTTCTGGTTTTGGAACCCCTGGACTTCCCCCTGCCTGATAAGATTCAACATGTAGTGTCTGCATTCACAAAGTGTAATATACACCCACTGAGCATGAGAGAGACTCCTTTTAAGTAAAGGAGAGTAAAGAGGTTTTGGCTTTGTGAAACTGTAAGGAATGGAAATATCTTAGAAAATATAAAAGATATTGATTAAAGAAAATTCCTTCCACCAAATTCCCATATTAACTCACTGATTGCCATCAGTGATAAGTGTCTTAGGTTAAGCACCACTTTAAGAAATGCAGTGACATAATAGATAGCAGGAATTATATTTAAGGGATGGATAGAGCGAGAAAACAAGGATTGTGAGTGCAGAACGAAGAAATTAAGGTGTAGGAAATAGAAAAGGGAAAGATTGAAAATGGAAAGTTCAGGGAAACTGAGAGAAGAGAAAGAGGGAGGGAAGAAAGGAGGGAGAGAAAGAAAGAAGGGAGAAAACGAGAGGCAGAAGCAGAACGAGAGAGGAAGGGACAGTGGGAAGGGAAACAGCAAGAAGGCAAAGCAGGTACTTAAAGGAGACACTTGAAAAGAAGAAGAATGGGTACAGGAAGAAAAGAGGAGGAAAGGGACCAGGATTTATTTTTTCCAGACTGACACCTGCAATAATCAGGCCTGCGATTTGCCTGGTCCACTTTAACTGATGACTTCAGCAATGATTTTTCAAAGCAAGGGGGGCCAGCTGTGCTCGGCTAACTTGCCTGCTTCCTGCTATACCTGCTGGGAAGACAGCAATGCTCTCTGCAGGTTGGAAGAAGACAGAGATACTTCTTTCTTCCTTGCCTAACAACTCACTCCTGGAAATGCTGCTTCTTGTTCTTGCCTTTCAATTGTTTGTGAAGAAAGGAAATAATAAGGGAGAAGATGAATAGAGATTCTTTTATATTTTTACTGAAAATGACCATGGACAGGAAACTTTTCCATGTGAATGGCTCTCTTGTGGGGCTTTACAATTCCTCTGTACCAGCAATCAGCACAACCAGACATCGTCTTCTTTATCTTGGGGACCCCTTCAGAGCTTTGTATGTTGCCTTTTTTTGCAGTGGGGACAAACAGATGTTTGTTATATGAATGGGACCACTTGCCTCCTACCTTTTCAGGCTAAGCAGAGATAAGCAGAATGTGCTGGTCATTTCGTAGGACTTTGACTTGAGTAGACCTGAGCAAGCATTTAACCCAATAAAAGATGAAAACATAAGGTTCAGAGAGGCAGAGGGATTTGCTCTAAGTCATACAGCTAGTTAGGAGCAGAGCCAAGTTACCCCCAGCATAAGGCTCTTTCTCTGGCACATTTCTCTCCCTTGAATTTTGTTGATTAGTCTGTATACTAAGAAAAGTAAAAATTCCTTCCCTTAAAGCAGCTATATCTCACTTATAAATTGAATATTTTCCTGTAGGTTAAATGTTTTCTAAATTTATTTATGAAATACCCAGTCTTGATCATCAGAGGACACCATCTCATTAGCAACAGTGATTCACTGGGACATGGGCATGTGACCAAGCTAAGTAATCAGTGTCTACCATTAGTTCTTTCCTTTGTCAACAACTGTTGACAAAGTTCCTCTGCACCAGAATCACTGAATCGATGCGTTGTGAGTCTTCTGCCTTAGCTGGCAAACATGTCCGCTGTTCCAAGGGAGTGAAGGAGCAAGATGAAGTCCTAGTGACATCACCAAGGCCCTGGATGCAGTTGTTCCTGAAGCCACTCATAACTATCACTGGACTTCTCAGTTATGTGAATCAATGTATTTCCTCTTTGGCTTAAACTGACTTTAGTCACATTTCTGTCCCTTGCTTGTTAGTGGTGTCATTATCATAGCATAAGTTCTTAATAAATGTTATTTCTATTTTCATCACTATTCAAAACCTGTTTTTATTATGTGACTATAGACTTTCCAAGAAATAGCCTTTGGATAAGCACTGAATATTGTGCAGTTTTGCCTATAAGACTAATAAAAAAAGTAGTATCCAGAAAAATATCATTTATTAAATACCTAAATGCTTCTCTTCTTACAGAAGCCATTACTCACATTACTTAATGATTATTATAAAAACCTTTTCAAAGGATTTTCTAATTTATCCTCAAAATGTACACACACACACACACACACACACACATTTTTCATATGCCAATCTTTTTCTTAATGAGCTATGCCCACAAATATTGCAGTTACGAAAACAATAGTTATTAAAAGTCATATCTGCACTACACGCCATCTACCTATAAATGTTTTTACATCCATGATCTCATTTTATCTTTACAATATCCATTTAAGATAGGAAGAAACCGAGACACAGAGTTTGTGAGGCATAGCTAAGAATGGAATGGTTTGTTCAAATAAGACTTAGAGATAGAAGACCAGAGAGTGCGTGACTGTTGATTTGGAAGCCATTCAAATTACTGGGTTTTGGAAATTGATCTGGTTTCAGATCCTTTTCTGGCATCTATTAACGCAGTGACTTTGGTCAAGCTTCTGAGCCTTAGTTTTCTCATCTGTGAAATGGGAATAATAAGAATCTAAGCTTCATAGAGTTGTTGCAACAATTAAAGGTCCTGTACACAGGGTTCTTAGCACATAGTAGGTGTTCAATACCTTAACTGTTATTATTTGGTAGACCTTACCTCTCCACTCAATTACTGACAGATTCTCTGTATTTCTCCACTTCATCGTAGATGTGCAGACAAGACTACATTTCTGCACTCACAGAGGAAATGTGTTTTTACATTCGATAACAGTTAACCTGCCATTTCATTCTGCAGAGCATAAACACGTCCACTTCTCAGTTTAAAAACGATCACTGCTGATTCATGCCTTTGCCTCATCACTTGTTTAATCCCATTTCCCCTTCAGGGGAATGCATTTCCTGCCAGATAGTCTGTTTTATAAAAGCTGTTGTATTTGTGATTTTTTAATTTTTATGTTTCAGCAAGTTGGGCTCTCTCTTTTAAAGAAACATAAAACATCAGCATCTTGGTCCTCAGGACAGTTGGAGCACCAAAAATAGTCAAGGAATAAGCTGAAGTTCTGACTTTTCCAGAGATGAAGGCAGGAGGAGGACTCCTTCTGCTTCCTGGGACCTCTGAACATCAGGAAAGTTGTCTAGTCAGGAGAATGCTGGCCAGACAGGATGCCAATGTCCTGGATGTTTAGGCTAATTTAGCATTTGACCTTGGAGGAAAGGGAGAGTCTTCCTGTTGGACCTCAGTTTGCTCACCTACAAAATAAGGTTGTTGAATCAAATAACCTCTAAGGTACTTTCTGCGCTTGCATTTTATTACTTCTATTGCCAAAATCCTCTCAAGGCCTAAAAGAATTAATTTTAACAATTGAATTTCAGGAACTGTGTGGCTGTGGGAGGGATAATTGGGGGCATGGTCAGTGCCTTTCAAATCAATCTACTTGGTGACCCCCAACTCTGCCTAATTGTCAAGAAGGGCCCTTCAACCAATCTTTGAATAGACTGAACCATAAGTTAGACATGTCCATATCCAGAGGTACATATTAAGTAGAGATGTTTTATAGACCATAATTGCACATGGGCAATACAGTAAAAGCTAGTTCACCTGCCATTCTATAACCAAAACCCTTTATTATCTGGCAAGTTTGAATATGCCCTGTCTACATTTGGCTTTTATGCAAAAGTGAAAAGAAAAAAATTACGAGTCCACAAGCTGATATCCTGGATTTATCTTGAGAAAATACTTTCCTTGATATGTCCTGGGGTCCATATGTATTTAATTCAATTCTGTGCACCTTCAGTAGTCACTTCTATACTATAGTAATGCTATAGAAATAGACTAAAGGAGCTGGAAAATTCTGGAGTGCTGTTGATTCACCAAGAAAAAAGTAAAAAGGCTCAGCTTTAGTGTATATCTACAAAATAATAGCATAAAAATTAGGATCAAGACTTCACCATTTCTTTAAAAATTGTTTTTAAAAAATTTATATGTAGTCACTTTGGGGACCGTTATAACAACTCCCTAAGTGGGAAAAGCATTACTATCTTTAGCATGCAAATGAAGAAACAAAACTTTAGAGAAAAACAATTGCTAGAGGTAAGTTGTTTGACACTTTACATGTGTGATTTCATTTAATTGCTGTAATGATCATGAGAAGTTGGCATTTTTATCTCCATTTGACAGATGAGGCTGGAAAGTCTTGAAGAGGTTAAGAAGAAGGCTCAAGTTCACAGTTTACTAATATCAGAGCAGGGTTTCACATGAGGCATCCTTTGACTCTGTTAATTCATGTTCTTAACTGCTTTCTTACCCTGTCTGGTGACTTGTCCAAGGCTTCACATCCAGTACCATGGTAGAAGTTAAATTCCAGCCCAGTTACTCGGTTTCTTATCTCTGTATGCCATCTCATTTAATACATTGTGCTCTCTCTTACATATTGTGTGCTAAGCTTTGAAAAGCAGTAAGAGTTATATGGCATGCTTTGCATTTCTCTAGTAACCAGAACATTTTTTATTCCTTGGCCATTCCTGATAGCAGAGAGCTTACTTTTAATTTTGTACCAACCAGTAAAGGCAAAAGAAAATGGAAAGTGCATTAGTATTCAGTGTGTTGAGTGTCTGCCTCCTGGTATGTTGTGGTTCCAGGCATGCAGAATAACTTAGCTGGGAAAAAGCCTGGGTAAAATTCATTAATATACTTAGTTTAGCCAAATTAGAAGGAAGCTTCCTTGTATTTTTGGAAGAATGGAGCAGGTTGTGGAGGTAGGGGGTTTTATTCACCTTCTCTAGCATCAGGTCCTTCATCACTCGTAACATCTCTCCCATCCTTCTACTTGTTTCCTTCCCCATCGCCATTTTCTCTGGCCATGTCACCATTGTCTCTTTCTTGAACTGCGCAACAGCCTTCTAACCAGCTTTTCTGTAGCAGCTATTGCCCCTTTTGATGCATTATTTGCACTGTAACCAACGGGCTCTTTTCGAAATACAAATAGGATCATCTCTATCTCCTGCTTAAATCCCTCCAAAGTCTCCCCAGTGCTGGCCCAAAATCCTTATTTTGACTGACTGATAGGGCCTTGCATTCTTTAGCCTTACCTCCCTCTTAGACCACTTCTCATCCCACTCTCTCCCTTCACTTTCTTCCATCTTCTGAATTTCCCATATTCAAAGTTCCTCTCTGCCCCAGTACCTTTGCATGGATCTCTCTTTCCCTGGGGCTTTCAGATTCTCTTTCCCTTTTAACCACAACCCTTTCCAACCCTTGGGAACCTCCACACATATTCCCATTCACTCAGTCATACTTAAGAACCTCTCAAGCTCAAATTTCACATCCTTTTGTCAAGGAATTTCTCCTGATCTCCTTGATTGGACCAGACCATTCTGGTTTATATTCTTATACAGTTCCTTCTCTGCAGCATTCATCCTAATTTTTATTATTTTATTGTGTATTTAGTTACTTGTTTAATTTCTGTGATCCTCTCTATACTATAAGTTCTAGGGCAACAAGGGGCCACATCTTTCTTCCCTAGCTAAATATTCTTTGTGTGTCTGGCACAGGGCTTAGCATACACTAGCTGTTTGATGATGCTGCATTTATTTGTTGGCAGAATAAACAAGTACTCAGGATTATGCGGCTTTACCTTCAACTTGATTAATTCCAGCCCAGCACCCAGAGATCATCTGACTGCCTCTATTGCCCATCTTTGCTCACCATGGCTTCTTCTTTTCCAATATATACAAACTCATTTCCAAGACTCTATTGATTTGAACTTAGCTTTAGTTCTCCTAAAGGTTGCGATGCAAAAATAAAATCACTTTTATTTTTTCATCCACTTACTTTCTTTCTCCCTTTTCAATCCACAATATTCTCCTTTACTGAATCACCATTAGCAAAATGTATCTGACCTATGGAGAAAAAATAATGTATGATTAAAAGAAAGCAATCCTCTTAATAAGTATCTGGACTATCAGGTTAATTTATGTCTAGGTAGGAAATAAATCAAATAGGTCATGCCTCCACAAAAGTGTTGCATTTTGAGAAGGTGCAAACATTTACAAAAACCTTGGTGAAAGACAGACTATTCCCTGATTGAATAGTTGAGGTTTTTCTCTATTTTTTTCCTTTGCAAAGGAAAATATTTTCAAAACATTTTTACCTTCCTAGCAGTCAAAAGGTTGTTAAGCGGCTTCACACATTTTTCCCTCTAGGGTGTTCATATCCACCAAAGTTAATGGATGGAAAATTAATGTTTCTCTCCAAATGTTTCCACAATCACAAAGCAAATAGTTGATTCTGCCAAGATGAGAGTGTAAATCTGCCCTCAGGAAACGGCTTCTGCCACCATTACCCACATCATTCAGCCTAAATCCAGAGACTAGCCTAATTATCATGATAATTAAGGAAATGTGGATTAAGGTACCTCAAAGGCCATACTAAGGATACAACTGACCATACCCTTTAATCGATTGTCCATGCCTCCGTTGTTTTAATATCAGGTAGACTTAGTTACACTTGCATACAACACAATTTTTTTTCAGTAGTGCTTTCCAAATATTGTGACTCAAGTCAACACTAGTTGAAATATTTTCTAGGCAAGTAAAATGGTTTAATTATAAATCACTTTCCAAGAGCTAGATTGCAACTAAAGCCCATATGTCCACAGAATGAATGGACTGTTACCAGTTTATGCATTAGTGTCCTGTTTATGTTTCTGTTTCCAAGGATCATCATTTAATTGGTGTTGATTACAAGGGAGAGCACATCAACATGTCCCTTGAGTAAAATGCAAGATATGAGGAGTCTAAAATTAGCAAATAGGCCGCTTGCGGTGGCTCATGCCTGTAATCCCAGCACTCTGGAAGGCTGAGGCGGGTGGATTGAGAGGTCAGAAGTTCCAGACTACCCTGGCCAACATGGTGAAACCCCGTCTCTACCAAAAAAAAAAAAAAAAAAAAAATTAACCAGGTGTGGTGGTGCGCACCTGTAGTCCCAGTTACTCAGAAGGCTACGGCAGCAGAATTGCTTGAACCCGAGAGGTGGAGGTTGCAGTGAGCTGAGATTGCGCCACTGCACCCCAACCTAGATGACTGAGTGAAACTCCATCTCAAAAAAATAAATAAATAAAATAAAATAGCAAATATATTTTGATTTACTGATTTAATAAACCTATAGAAAATCCATACTCACACAAAGGGTCGTAAGGATAATTCCAGTGTAATAAAGATTTTTGCTGGAGGATTATGTTGTTCCCTGGTCTTTTTTCAATTCTTAAAATTACTACTATTTTTAATTGACAGATCATAATTGTATACATTTATAGAGTACAATGTGATATTTTGATACACGTATACAATATGGAATGATTAAATCAGGCTAATTAACATATCCATCATGTCATTTACATATTTTTATGGTGAGACATCTGAAATTTACTCTTAATCTGAAATATATAATCAATTATTATTGACTATAGTCACTGTCCTGTGCAATCAATCTCAAAACGTGTTTCTTCTGCCTGAAATATTGTACCTTTTGCTCAACAACTCCCCTTTCCCTCCCTCCCCACCTCTCCACCTGCCCTGCCTCTGGTAAACATCATTCTCCTCTCTACTTCTGTGACTTCAACTTTTTTAGACTCCACATGTCAGTGAGATCACGTGAAATTCATCTTTCTGTACCTGGGTTATTTTACTTAGTGTAATGTCCTCCAGGTTCATCCACATTGTCCCAAAGGAAAAAATTTCCTTCTTTCTAAAGGCTGACTAGTATTCCATTGGATATGTTTACCACATTTTCTTCATCCATTCATCTGTTGGTAGACACAGGTTTATTCTATATCTTGATTTTTGAGAATCATGCTGCAGTAACTATGGGAGTACAGGTATCTCTTTGACATACAGATTTCAATTCCTTTGAAGATATACCCAGAAGTGGGGTTACTGAATCATGTGATGGTTCTTTTTTCTGAGAAGCTTCCATATCATTTTTTCATAATGGCTGTACTAGTTTACATTCCTGCCCAAAAGTTATAACTTTGCTTTTTTTTAATTTTAGAGACAAGGTCTCACCCTGTCACCCAGGCTAAAGTGCAATGGCATGATGATAGCTCACTGTAGCCTCAACCTCTTTGGCTCAAGTAATTCTTCTGTTTCAGCCTTCTGAGTAGCTAAAACTACAGGCACACACCACCATGTCAGGCTCTTTTTAAAATCTTTTTGTAGAGGTAGAGTCTTGCTATGGTACCCAGGCTGGTCTTGAACTCCTAGCCTCAAGCAGTCCTCCTGCCCTGGCCTCCCAAAGTGTTGGGATTACAGGCAGGAGCCACAGTGCCCAGCCTCATTTTTTTAATAAATGCCATTTTAACAGATGTAGGATATCTCATTGTGGTTTTTATTTGCATTTCTCTAATGATTGGTGATGCTGAACATTTTTTCATGTACCTGTTGCAGTCTTGTATACCCGTTTTTGAAAAATATCTGTTCAAGTTCTTTGCTAGGGTTATTTGTTTTCTTGCCATTGAGTTGTCTGGGTTTTTTATATTTTGAATACTAACTCCTTATCAGGTACATGTTTTGCAAATATTTTCTCCCATTCCGTGGGTTGTCTCTTCACTTTGTTAATTGTTTCCTTTGCTGTGCAGAAGCCTTTTAGTTTGATGCCATCCCATTTGTTTATTTTTGCTTTTGTTGCTTGTGCTCATATAAAAAAAATTGTTCCCCAAATCAATGTTGTGAATCTTTTCCTTATTTATTTTTTTCTAGTAATTTCACAGTTTCAGACCTTATATTGAATTATTTAATCCATTTTGAGGTGATTATTTTGTTTGCTGTGAGAGAGGATTGAGTTTCATTATTATGCATGTGGATATCCAGTTTTCCCAGCGCCATTTATTGAAGAGACTATCTTTTCCACATTGTGTTTTCTTGGCACCGTTGTTGAAAATCAACTGATCACAGATATGTAGGTTTATTTCTGGGAAATCTATTCTATCCTATTGGTCCATGTGTCTGCTTTTATGCCAATATCATGCTGTTTTGATTATAATTGCTTTATAATATGTTTGGAAATCAGGTGCCCTTATCCTTTTGAACTACAACCAACTACTATCAAGTAACAGTGAGCAAGGAAATAACTAAAAAAGCAGACATTTAATGGAACTTCCTGAGAATTAGACACTGTTCCCAGTGATTTGTATAAATTAACTTATTTATACAGTAACTCACGGAATTAGGTGGCTGGTATTATTTCCATGTTACAGTTGCAGAAACTGAAGCTCAGAGAGGTTAAATGACTTGACCAAGGCCACACAGCTATTTAGTGGAAGACTCAGGATTCAAAAAACATGGCAGGATTCCTTTTGAACCTATCTATTAACCATTAGTCTATAGTGAAAGATAAGTTCTAGAAAAATGAAACGTTAATAGTTCTTGTTGCAGGATCTGCCTTGAATTCTGGTTTCATTTCCTGCCCTAGGGATAGGCCTGGGCCACTTAGAAAAAGCCTAATAACATGGTCCTCTCTATCTTTGGCCCACTTAAGTCCAGTGTGCAGATCTTCTCTAACCAAGCCTGCATTGTCTCTACCCATCCCTGAGATAAATGCATATCCTAAACAGAAGGTGATTCCTGGACCAAAATAAGGCAGCACAAAGAAAAAGAAAAGACTCGTTTGATAGTCCAGTGACCTTTAGGAGCCATGGGATATTGAGCTGGCTCCCACTTATACATGAGAGCTAAATGGTAAGAACTTATAAACACAAAGAAGGAAACAACAGACACTGGGGTTTACCTCAAGGGGGAGGGTGGAAGGAGGGAGAGGAGCTGAATACCTTGGTGACGAAATAATCTGTACAACAAATCCCTGTGACATATGTTTACCTATGTAACAAACCTTCACATGTACCCCTAAACCTAAAATAAAAGTTAAATAAATAAATACAAATTAAAATAAAAAACAAAAAATGTCTCAACAAAAGTGTTTTCAAACTCCTCACACACTTCTGAATTTCTCATGCTGTCAATGACTGTCCCATAGACCTTGCCTCTTAGTCATTGTTATCTGTACATCAGCAGAAAAGAAAACAAGCTTGGCCAAGCCTTATTGCAAGGGTGAGGTAATTTTCTCCTCCTTCTCTTTATCCAGCTCTAAACACCACCCTGCACCGACTTAATGTATGTTTGTACCTTTCGTAATACCTTCTGCTACAGCAACCAAACCCTCATGTCCATATCTGTGGACCTTTGGATGTCATGGGGTCACATGAAAATATGGACCAATCAGAATCCTAGGATATTTTATTGCTCATAAAATATAACCTTTCTGTAGAGCCAGACCAAGTGTCAGTCCAACTTTGTCTGAAGAGAGATTGTCTTACCAAAATTTCATAAATAAAACTTACCAGTCCCCTTTCTCAATTCAATCTTCTTCCCACAAAAATACCATCACCACCCTTATGACAAGGGGATACGTGTGGAGAAGGAATATTACTAGGAGAGTTGGAATTATGAGTTTAATAACTTGATACTTCCATCTACAGAGCTTTTTGATTCCATTGTTTCTAATGACATTTCAAAAATAAAAGCAATAGTAAGACTGCCCATGTTAAGCAAAGCAATTCATTATTTACCTGTATTTCATTCCCCATAGGAGAAAGTAAACATGCTTCCCCTTTATGATATTTTTATCATGCACTAGGGTTTACATCTGGCTCCTAGGTTAGGAAACACATCTATTTAACATAATAAGTCTAATTCAATTACCCAGGAAAGGAAGGAGCAGAAGGAAGGTCATATACATATATGTATATATACTTATGTGCATATACACACATATACATACATACATAAAACCAATCAGTCAGGACCATAATGACTTCAGAAGGGCGGCAGTCAAAAATTCATTGCTTAAATTACTGGACTTCTTTATAGTGAATATGAGTCTTTACAGGTATAACAGATATTATACCTCAAATGTGTCATCATTTGGACTGTTTCTTGATTTCAAAGGTTTCTCGCTAATGAGGTAGCTATGCAAATGTGATGATAACTGACAGGATATTCATGTTATAACAAATATTTATTGAATACTTACAATGCAGAAAACATTATGTTAGGTACTGTTGGTAATATGAGTATGGTTTTCATGTGCTTCCTATCTTTAAAAAACAGATAGTTCAGCAAGGAATATAAAACAAATACCATAAACATGTAGTTAACAAACTAAAGTGTAATCAGTACTGTATGAAAAATATATTTAAGTCGCTATGGAAATTTGGAATAAAAAGAAATCCTATTTAGCTGAGGGATCTTCAATATAATAATAAAAGAGAGAGTTTTTAGCTAGAACTTAAAGCATGTATTTGGAGATGTGAAAGGTATCCCTCCTTTAAAAAAAACAAAAAGAAAAAAAAAATAGCATGAACAGGCCTGATGTCAGGAAATGCAAGGTTCAGGGTGGTATTCCCTGTAGTTTCAACAAAGTAGAATGGGAAATTATGTTGGAAGTGTAGATTGGGGGCAGTTAAATGATAACTTTGAATGCTGAGTTAAGGAATTTGAGCTTTCTGCAGTCAGTGGGACAGTAATAGAACTATTAGAAGAGCAGTATGAAAAGATCAATTAAGCAATACTATTTAATATGGATTAGAATGGAAGGACTGGTAACAGAGATCCATGTTAGGATGAGAAAGAGAAGGTAACTAATATTTGTTGAAGTCCTACTCTGTGCTAGGAGCATGGCTAATCACTTTGCACATGTCAACTCATTTTATTCTCACAACAAATCTGTGACAGTTTTATGATCACCCTCATTTTTATATCTAGGACAACTTAGATGCCATCAGAATTCACACAGTGGTAGTTAGTGTAAGAGGCAATGTTAAAACTCACACTGGTGGGGCTTTTGGCTTGAGTTCCTTCTATTATACTGATTTACTTCAAAAGAACAGGCAAGAGGCAAAAGAAAATGAACCCTGACATAGGGTAGCAGCACTGAAATGGGCGTATGGAACTTCTTTTGTGAAATAGAGATGCTCTCCAGCCTTGGAGCCAGATACAACAGTGCAATTATGACAACTGGGTAAGTAATGAATTGTTTTGCTTAGCACAGACAGTCTTATTGTGGGGTCACATGAAAAGAACTTGACCCTTGTTTAGTTGTGAAAGAAAGAAGTAAAGAATAACTTCTAGGTGCTAAAATGAGTTTATCTAAAGGAGGAAAGCACTACAAAAAATGTAATTAAGAGACAAAGAAAGAGTTGCAGAATTTTAAAGAGAATATGAATAAGTTTCATTTCAGACATATTTGAGGTATCAGCCACACCCGATTTAAAGGATCTAGCAGGTTGTTGGAAATATGAAAACTTATAGCTTAGGAGGATCGTCAGAAATAGAAAAAGAGATTTCAGTGTCACCTCTACAGAGGTAATGGTCCTGGAAGGGATTTTCTTTGTAAAAAAAATTTTTTTGTGGGTACATAGTAGGTGTATATATGTGTAGGTTACATGAGATATTTTGATACAAGCAGGCAGTGTATCAGGGAAAATAGGGTATCTATCACCTCAAGAATTTACCCTTTGTGTTTCAAATAATCCAGTTATACTCTTTTAGTTACTTTAAATTGAACAATTAATTAAATTCTTTTTTACTATAGTCACCTTGTTGTGCCAACAAATACTATGTCTTATTTGTTCTTTAACTATTTTTGTGCCCATTAACCATCCCCTCTTTCCCATATCCCCCACCCCCAACTATGCTTCCCAGCCTCAGATAACCACCCTGCTACTCTCTACCTCCATGAATTCAATTGTTATAATTTTCAGCTCTCATGGATAAGTGAGAACCTCTGATGTTTGTCTTTCTGTGCCTGGCTTATTTCACTTAACATAATGAAGGGATTTTCAAAGAAAAGAATATTAGTGTAATTTTAAGAAATTAATGAAAATAATGTGCTTTGTGGAAGAAAAATGTATTTAAAAGGTAAAAATAAGCAAAACAGGACTGAGCACAGCAGCTCACACTTGTAATCCCAGCACTCTGGGAGGCCGAGGCAGGTGGATCACTTGAGGTCAGGAGTTCAAGACCAGCCTGGGCAACATGGTGAAACCCCGTCTATTAAAAATACAAAAATCAGCCAGGCATGGTGGTGCATGTCTGTAAACTCAGGTACTCAGAAGGCTGAGGCAGGAGAATCACTTGAGTCTGAGAGGCAGAGGTTGCAGTGAGCTGAGATCATGCCACTGCACTCCAGCCTGTGAGTAACAGAGAGAGATCCTGTCAAAAAAAAAAAAAAAGGCAAAAAGGAGTTGGGAAGAGACTATAGATTAATAATAATATGATGGTGGGGGAAAAAAGAAAAAGGGAAAAAATTCTGCCCTATAGGGCATAATCACTATGACAAATTTTCAGAGAGGTCATAGAACTTAAAGACTGAGAAAATGATTGTTGGTGTTGCAATTGGATGACTTTTGACAGATCTTTTTCAGTGTTCAATGATGTCATGTAGCAATGTAGAAATCCAGATTTCCAGAGAGTAAACAGAATAAAAGGCTTTTTAAAGCTTCTTATTAAAAATCTCTAATTGCTTAGCATGACTATGAGGAGTGTGTCATTCAATGGACCTCAAATACTAGCCAAATTTCTATTGGAAAGAGATAGCATTGCATTCATTTTTAGACATTCCTGATGGAAGGCCAGCTGTTGTCCATGGTGCTAAAAGAGTCATCTGGCATTATAATATTGCAGCAATATGACCAGTGTAGTTGGAGTGAATTAGGTGTTTCATTACATACCTCTATTTGGGGGATTTATTTTTCATTGAGATGAGATTTTTCATATATATATTCCATCTGGAAGGTTTTTTCAAGCTCCCCGATGGTTAACGTCTAGAAAGCAATTGCTTTTTTTTTTTTTTTTTTTTAAAGAAATCCCTTGAAACATGAGTATAAGAAATCAAGAAGAGGAAAAAAACAGAAAATAGAAGACATGTTGAAAAGGTTATACAATTTCTTCTTTCAAAATTTCTGAAACCATAAACTCTCTACTCAATTCTACCCCTCCCGGAAACACTCTAACTAAAGCAAATTGGAATTTAGGCATTCTATTGAAGATCGCAATTAAAAAGTGAAATGGAAGAAATAAAGTATGGTTGCTACGAATAATCACAAAGTATTAAAGTGGTTGATAAGTGAGCCACAGTCATACTTCTTTCATGTTCCTCCCTAAAATGCATTTTTGAATCATCAGGAAAACAGGCAATACAGCAATACTATTTCCATAACATTCCCAATGAAGTCAGCATAGCTACTATCCAAGGTCACATAGGTAGGAAGAACTTGGGAGAGTTGCCGATGAATTTGTGAGCTTGGATTGAGTAAATTACCAACATTTGTTTTTCTGTTCAAATATTTAGTAACTTGACTGATTGGAAGACCAAGTTAATTAGGAAAAAAAAAGGTCGGATTCTCATCATGAATGAGTATTCAACCAAATGTAATTAGTAAGTCCATGATGTGTCACAATAGAGAAAGAAGGATAAATAGAACTCACTATGAAGAGCTGAATGAGGCATGCTTGGTTTGTTCAGGAAATGAGAAGAATTTTAGAGAATGGTATAACCATCTACAGTTGTTCAGTCAGTACCAGGGACTGGGCGTTTGGATGCTGTGAGGAGCTGCAGTAAGAAAAACTAGACATGGCCATTTACAAAGATAAGTACTTAATATTATAAATACTTACATAACTCATTACAATGTTAAGGTGATATGCTATGGGGTGCTATGGGAACATATGAAGAGATAATTACCTAATTCCATAGACTACTGGGAGACTTCTCTGGGAAGTGATATCTACATTAAGACCTGAAGAATTCACAAACTGACAAAAATAATATTTGGGGCAGAAAGAAAATCATGTGTGTAAATATGGAAGCTGTTGTGTGGATACACTTAAGGAAAAAGAAAATAAAAAGTCATTGTGGCTGAAGAGTGTGAGAAGGAGAGACGTCTGTAATGATTCAAAAAGGACAAGTGGATCCTACCATGCAGCCACTTCTCTAGACCACATTCATGCACATAAGGCATTGATCTGTATGCATTAAGGGAAACCATTGAGGTGTACATCAGTCATGGTTTGGTCAGAGAAGCAGAGTATTTATTATAGGGACTTGACCTTATGCAATTGTGGGAGCTTGTTATATGGTCATATACAGTGAGGTCTTGCTTCTGTGACTGTGGATGAAGCCTGAAGTCAGCAGGGTGGGCAGTTAGGAAGGGAAGTTGGAGATGAGATAGAGAAGGCAAGAATAAACTGAAACCTGTGAGGATGAACTGCCATCCACGGGTACTGGCTGAGAATCACGTCCGTCTCTCACTGCCTCCAGTCTTCAAGTTTGAAAAGGGAGTGTTTGGCAAGAGAAGCTGACACCCTTTGTCCTGGCCAGGCACACCTGTTCCAGGCATGGGAGAAGCTAAAGGAGGAGATTTATGAAAGCTGGAGGAGCTTGTAGGCCTGGCTGTGACCCCACAACAACTGAGTGAGTCAACAGACAAGCACAACATGCATGATATGTGTTTTAGTCCAAGTTCTTTAAGGAAACAGAACCAACAAGATGAATATGTATATATAGAAAGAGATTTATTATAAGAAATTGGCTCATGTGATTATGGAGGCTGACAGGGGCCAAGATCTGCAGTGAGAAACTGGAGACCGAGGGAACTGATGGTGTAGTTTCAATCTGAAGGTTGGCAGGCTGGAGATCCAGGAATAGCTGAAGCATCAGTTAGTCTGAAAGCAGGAAAAAAAAAAAATGCCCCAGCCTGAAGGCATTTGGGTAGGAGGAGTTCCCTCTTACTAGAGGGA
The DNA here is from genome assembly GCF_000001405.40 of Homo sapiens. Lineage (NCBI taxonomy): Eukaryota > Metazoa > Chordata > Mammalia > Primates > Hominidae > Homo > Homo sapiens. Next base: position 119,707,473 of record NC_000009.12, on the reverse strand, counting down.
GGGTCAGCCTGTTAGTTCTATTCAGGCCTTCAACTGATTGGGCGGGGCCCACCCTTGGGGCCCACCCACATTAGAGAGGGCAATCTGCTTTACTCAGTGTACTGGTTCAAATGTTAATCTCACCCAGAGTCACCCTCACAGAATCATCTAGAATAATGTTTGTCCAAATGTCTGGACAACCTATGCTCCAAGTCAAGTCAACACATTAACCACCGAGCGTACCTTGGGCCCTGTAATAATCTTCCAAAGGTAAAATGAATATGAATGTTTCTTCGGTTCTGCCTTCCAAACTACAAAATATGCCTTCTGGCTCTGCTTGTTCTAAAGTATTCAGTAAAACATATTCTGGAAAATGTGGTGCCAATTCGCCAATTAAGTTGGTATATGCATCTACCACTAAAGGGCTTAGAACAGAGGTGTTCAATCTTTGGCTTCCCTGGACCACATTGGAAGAAGAAGAATTGTCTTGGGCCACACATAAAATACGCTAACACTAAGGATAGCTGATGAGCTAAAAAAGGAAAAATTGCAAAAAAATGTTTTAAGAACGTTTACAAATTTGCACTGGGCTACATTCAAAGCTGTCCTGGGCCACATGCAGTCTGCGGGCCATGGGTTGGACAAGCTTGGTTTAAAAAGGAGTATGTTGTTATCAGAACTGAATGTAAGAAAGATTACACTATGGACAGTATGAAGAAAGTGTTAGAGTGAGTCGAAAGTAGATATTTTCATCTTCCAGTGGGAGAAGGAATTAGGATGGCATTATGTGATAGTAGTCTTCTATTACGTCATATGGCAGAAATAGTCTTAGGTGGAGCATTTCAGTCAGAGATATCAGAGATAGGAGGTGTCCCATCACTGAGAAATATTCAAGTATAAAAAAAGATAATGTCCTCTCACAGATGCTTCAAGGTCATTTTTTAGTTGCATGGATATTTGGGCTAAGTGATTGCTAGGTTGTTTTCTAACTTTGAGCCTGTAATTCCTGTTCTTAAGGCATTTTCGCATATCACAAACAAGTAAGGCTATCACATTGAAAAAAATATAGAATAATTTAAAGTATTGGGTTGTGAAGCAAAAAAAAAAAAAAAAGAGAGAGAGAGAGAGAATAGGCAGATGATACCATGGACAGTGAGAGAGCTGAGGTATGTGTATGAGGAGTAGCTTAAGGGATTCAGTGAGGAGGTGGAATTCAAGTTGAGCATTTGTATATCGATAGGACCTTGTTAGGTAGAAAATTTGAAATGCAAATTCTGACATCATCCTCCAGCTTAATTGCTCTAAAAGTGCTCTCAGGATAAAGTCCACACTCATTAACATGGGTCTAAGGCCTTGATGGATATGGTCTCTACCCCGCTACCAACCTCAGCTCGCACCACTCTATACCCAACACCTGCTGTTATTGCTATGCTGACTTTCTCTTATTTCTTGAAGTTGTCAAACTCCTTTCTATCTTAGAGTTTGTCTGGAAGTTTCTGTTGTGGCCCAAAATGCTCTTGCCCTGCTCTTTATCTGCATGAATCTATTCATGGTTCAATCTCAGGTTCACTATCCTTTCCCAGGGAGGGTGTTCTTGTTTCTTTCTCCCCACCTCTGAACTTGGTTAACCCCCTAGTTATATAAAATTATTGCTTCCTTTGCCTCTATTTCATCCCACTGATCATAACTGCAATCCCATAGTTATTTTGAGATCATTAGTTTCCTTACACTAAACTGTGAGGAAAGTGAGGTCAAGTGCTGCATCTCCATCACCTCACACGACATTTTAGGGTTGTTAGGAATTTTTTGAATGAGTAAATGAAGGAGGAAGATAGACTTTTTGAATAATGAAATACTGGGATCAGTATCTATGTATATTAGTCATTTAGTTTAAGGGGAAAGGTGATATCAGCTTTTGATGCTGAAAACATCATCTTGTAATCCTTTCAGCTCTCTCTATTGAAGCCAAAGCAGTTTTTATTTTGGATCTACCAAACACAGTCTAAGCGTCTGCAGCATCAGAATAAACTGAGCACATCACTCGGCATTTCATATTTTCCTTGGATTGCCCAGGAATAGTTCATCATTTTCCTGCTCTCATACTTGAACATTGCTTTGCAAACATCTGCTCTGAGTCCAAATTCCTAGGGAAACAGGATTTAAGACAACATTGTGTCTCTATTTCTATGTTTATCTCATTTGCTCTCTGAAGACTTTTTCCCTTGAGTTCCCACAAGCTAAGAACATTCTGCAAATCCTCATCTGGGAGTTGGTTGTAGAAGGAGTTCAGGGTAAAAAAATCTCTTGTCTGGGGTGCTGAGAGTTTGGCCTCATCCCAAATACTTATGCCTTCTCTGGAAGAAATAAGAGAAGCACTCTGCATCTCTTTGGTTTAATCTGAAGAAAGTCAGGGAGTAAATCAAGCAATTAGTTGGTGAATAGAAATGTCTATTTGAGTTTTACAGTCTATAATTCCTCTTTCAACTAAATATAAATATAACATGGACAAAGAACAAGGCAGGCAGTTTTTGATTCTGTATGATGGAGCCAGGGAAGGCTTTTGCAGAGAAGGTGTCATTTGAGATAGAGCTTGAAAGATAAGGAAGATTTTACCATACAGTGGAGAAGTAGAGGCATTCCTTTCAGAGAAAAAAATCATGTTAAGAAAGAGGACACTGGATGTGTGCAGGATGGATAGGGTGAGATTAGGGGGATAGTAAAAGCAATGGGTTAAAAAATGTACATCTTTTTAATTATGATTTCTGCATTGGGGATGGTGAAGACAGTTTCCTCACCAGGTATGGGGCTTGTGGACGTTACTTGTCTGTAAACAGCCTCAGGAGTGAGGTGCCATGTGAGCCCACCTGAATCTCCCTTTTCTATCTCTACTGAGTAAGGGTAGAGCACCTAGCTTTCAGACATTATCCTTTCTCTCTTTCCACCTCCTAGTTTGACTCATTCTCTAACCTTGTAGGAAGAGAGTCTTCCTGCATCTTTCTGACATGGACAGGTCAATTTCTCTTCTTTTCTCCTTTTTGTTATGTGATCACATCAGTTATCGCAAGAGTGAAGAAACACTATTTATCCCTCTAGGTTGACATATCAAGAAACTTTGCAGAGCTCTTCTGTTATCAGTTCCAGTGGCTAGGCTATTAAATCTTTTGCATTTTTCATGTAAATTATGATAGCTTTATGAAAAATTATGTTGTCTGAGTAACAGCAAATGATTATGTAGAACTTATATTTTCTAAGCATTTTACAAATATTAACTCATTTAATCTTCACAACAATAGCTCATGGCTATTAATACCATTATCACTGAAATCTTAATTTTATAGGTGGAGCAATGGAAGCATAGAGATTAAGAAACTTGCCCAGGATTTCTCAGATAGTAAGTGTGAAAGCCAAAGTTTAAACCTGTGTGTGGCTTCATCATCTGTTCTCTTTGCCATTAAGTCACCTGCCTCTCCATTACTATTTTGTCTCCTTTCCAGGATATGACTCTTACTCTTTTTCTTATATTTTTGCATTGGTTAATATCTTTTATGACAGTGTTGAACATTAGGGGTACACCTAAACTTAAGGATGATTCTTACAGTTTCATCATTAAGTGGAACGTTCACTCTCCCAGTAGGAATTGCATGCATGCTAAGACTTTCCTTGAAAAATGGAAACAAAACAAACCATGATAGTGATTTCGACTAGTCGCTGAAAAATCAGACTCATGCAGGAACTGCCATAGTTAAATCCACTTCTTATATGCTTCATGCCTTTTTCGTTCCTCTATGACTTTACTACTTTCTTTCATAGTAAGTGTATATTTTCTAGTGTAATGTTTTAGTTCCTTTAGTTTTTTCCCAATGTATATTTTTGTTATTTTCTTAGTGTTTGCTCTAGGGCTTACCATATATATCTGATAGATGGTCTATTTTTTAAAGCCCCTTCTTGGTTTAACATTCTCTTATTTTAAGACTAGAAGCAGCAGGCCTACTGGGCACACAATCACAAGTGCTGAAGGATGACGGAGGTTCATTTTGTGTGCAAAATCACCCTAATTTTGACTGAGAATATAGTCATCTTCATTTAAGAGTTATAAAATTCCTTATTTTAGATTGGACCTTTAGGTCTTACCTACAATCCTCAAGGAGGGCAGAGGATCCAATATCAGTGTAACAACAAGCTTGCTGTCGATATGGTAAAATTTCCTTAGTTTTCATGTTGGTAACTCTGAATTTATAATTTCCTTACACTCTCTATGAGTGAAAGGATTTGCTAAGCAAATGTATAAAGAAGCAGCAAGGGAGAGAGTTTACCTACTTACCTAAACCAATAGCTTTTAATAAATTGAGTACATGGTTGGCAAGTAAGCGGATGCTCTTTATGAAAAATGAGCTATATCTATTCATTAAAACAGAGTTGATGCTAGGGATGCTATCTTCTCAGGCGATCCTTCAAGGGTCTTCTCCAATGCCACCTCCTCTGTAAAGTCTACCTCTGTTATTAAGAGTAAAGAACAGAACACAGACTCTGGAGTCAGAGAGAACTGGGTTAAATCGTGTCTCTACTCCTTGATAATTGAGTGAGTTTGGGTAAGTTATTTAAACCCTTTTTACCCAAAGTGTGACCCTCAGACCATCAGCATCATCTGGAAGATTGTTAGAGACTTCGAACCTCAAATCCCAGAGACCTGTTGCATTTAAAAAAGATCATCAGGTGATCCATTTGCACACTGAGTTTTGAGAAACATTGGCTTAAGCTGTCTAATCCTTAGATTTTCATAGGGTGGTTGGGGAAGGTGAAATGGTACAGTTATGTATAGCATCTGTAACAGGCTGGTACAGAGAGGGTTCTCCAGAAGTGGTGGTTTTTATAACTATGGTCGTCATTAATGTTTCTGTTGCAGTCATTGCTCAGTTCTTTCCTCCCCAGCCCCCATCACCTGAAGGCATGCACTGCCTTTACTCTGTAGATTGGAACCTAGCCCAATCCATGGCAAGGAGATTTACAACCTTCTCTGAGCCAGCTTCCTAGTCTGTAAAATGGGATGAGCATTCCCACTGAGAGGGTTGCTGTTAGGATTAAGTGAGGTGATGCACAAGATGGTTTCCAGATGCTGGGTGCCAGGCTCAGCACTTTGCATCCATTCTTAATTACATTTCATTAAATCTTCACACTGCTCTTATGCAGTGGAAAAACATTCAGAGAGGTGACAGCATGTGTTCAAGGAAACACAGCTAGTAAGTGGCAGCACTTTGTACTCAAATCTGGAGTAAGTCTGAGTCCAAAGCCTTTAACTACTTGGTTCTGGGCATTTCCTGTGGCATGAAAATTGTGATGCCCAACAGCCAGAGGTCCTACAAATTATCAGGTGTCCCCTGCCATGAGGAATTATCAACAACCACTGAGTGGTGGGCTTTGACTTTCTACCCTGTTGTGCCCACCCCAGCTGGAGGCAGCTATTTTGCTTCCCTGCCCACTTGGCTGATACCCTCTGACCAACCCAATTCCCTCCACCACCACCCTATTTTTTTCTCCAATGGCTCAGATGGCCAGATTCAGAGTCAGTTGCCACAGAGAGTCAGGTGTGACCGCTCTTGTTAAGGAGCCAGCACCTGAGCTAATTATAGTAATTAAAGCTTCCTATTTACATAACACCTCTCAGGCAGAAGGAACACAGAGCTGTTTTCCAGGGCTCTGTAGAAGAAGCTGTCCAGCTCCTCACACTGCTGTGTTTCTTCTTCCCTGGAGACCTGGAGCAGAGGCTTGGAAGTAGCATATGTCTCTGCCACATTGAACCACCTCAAATACAGAATGGGAGGAAGCACTGCAGATCCAGATAAACATCAGACAGGCCTCCAAAGTATCTAGAAAGTGGGTTTCTTGTGGGACCCAACAAATCCACAGCCTGAACCTACTCACTGCCATATTATTCAGCGGCTCTTGTATAATGAGTGTCTTGCATTACAAGGACAACTTTCTATCAAGTTTTCTATCATTGCTATGTATCTTATGTCCATAACCTTTAACTTTTATGAGAGCCAGATGAGGTAGAGACTATTATTTCCATTTTACAGATAAGAAAAATAAGGCTTAGAAAAGATAGGTAATTTAATCAGTGTCATACAACTAGTGAGTGGGGTAGTTTATTTTTCCACCCAAAATATGTGGAATTGCAAAGCCCATGAGTGGTCCACCACACCATAATGCTTTCTGAAGTTCACCAATCACCTAGTGCTTCCACCAGTACTTACTGTATGTAATCTTATGATGTGGATGGATATTACCTCCATTTTGTAGATGAAACACGCACACATGTGCACCTGCACTCATACACACACCAGATTCAGAGAGGCCTCACCCCTTTTCCCTGTTCATAACTCTAGAGAGTGGTGGACAATGCTTCCAAGCCTAGGTTGTTATTTTTTTTCCACCACAGCTTGCTGTTTCCCTTGGTCTAGAAGTTTTATTCAACTAGTATCGTCTTTTAAAAAATTAATAAGTGATTAGTGATGCCTTTAATAGATATTGAATGGGCACAAATCTCATGTTATTTATCACAGAAGTGATACTTTATTTATTCCCATCCCAGCAACACTGGCTATATCCAACATGCATGATTTTTATAAGTGAAACCCTATTACCTGATTTCTGGTGTAGAGGTCAGTCCATGGTAATCTCTAACTTATTAGAGAAGTTATTTCTCCTCTGCCGTGAGTGAATCTTTACCTGTTGACATAAACCTACTTATTCAGAACCACACAAATAGCAAATGGCAAAGCTGGGTGTCTGAATCAATGATCTTTCCATTTACCTATATCTGAAATAAATATAAGACTCCATGTTGGCCTTCACTCAGTCAATAAGTAGTTATAGAGAGTCTACTGTATGTCAGGCACTGTGCCAGAGTTTGGTATACAGACCTAAAGGAATTTGGCAGAGTTTGGACCCTCCTTGGAAAGATAAACAATAAGCAAGTAACAAAACACATATACGAATCCAAGTTGAAATCGAGACTGAGAAGCAACAAAGGAGGGTGCAAGGGAATAATGGGGGAGGTTATTATGTACAGTTGGAGAAAATGTTTCTAAGGAAAAGAACATTTAAGCTGAGACATAACACGTAAGAGGAGCCAGCCTAGCAAAGATTGGAGGTTAAAACATGCCAGACTTACAGAACCATATATGTGAATTTCCCAAGAAGAGGAGTTTGGAAAGTTCAAGGAGCCGAAATGAGGCCATGGTGGCTGGGGCTCGGTAAGAGAAGGACTGAATGGGAGAAGATGAGGGAAGGTGGAAAGATGTGCAAGGGGAAAATGATGTAGGGTCCCGGAGAACATGGCAAGGACTGGGATTCTACTTCAAAGTAAATGTAAATTACATTTTGAAAAAAGATTACTCTGGCTCCTTTTCTCAGGATGAATATAAATTTCTTTATATTTTAAATTTCACAGTGGAGAAAATACTGGACTTTGGAGTCAGAATGATCCAGGTTTAATCCTGCCTTAGCCAATTATTTGCTGTAAATCCTTGGTGAGTTACTCATTCCCTGCTGAGCCTCAGTTTCCTCATTAGTGAGGTCGGGCTAAGTAAGGCTGCAGTGGCAACAGCAACCAAATTCCCAGCATCTCAATGGTTTAATACAACAGAAACTGATTTTTGCTTAAAGTCTACTGCAGACTTCGAACAGCTAGCCAGGGCAGGCTCCTCTGTGTATTGGCCCAGCATTCCAGATGCTTCCATCTGTGGCACCTCCAGTTTGGTACATGCTCCCACCACTAGCTGTGCAGAGTTTGTCACCACGATAAAAAAATTTCCTCCCAGTAATGAAACCCGTCACATGTGCTCACATTCTATGGGATAAAGCAAGTTACATGGCCACTCCTAACCAAGGGACTGGGTAGAGGTTATTTATTCACTAGAAGACAGGGGATTCCAGATTTCATGACATAGTGACCATAATACATTTTTTACCCATAGGGTGGCAAATGTTAGAAATGATATGTGCAAAGTGCCTATTCCATGTCTGACATAATATATGCTCAATGAATGCTTATGATTGAATTCTTGGTGCTGTTCCTCCATGGGATCTCTTCCAGAGAGCTTCATATTAGGTACTATGATGGTCTAAACATGATAGAACAGCCTAGTATGGTAGGAGGGAAATATGGAGTCATCACACACTTTAGATCAAGGATCAACAAACCATGGCCTGTGGGCCAGACCTGGCTGGCATCTGTTTTTGTAAAGTTTTATTAGAATACGTTCATGACCATTCACTTATGTATTATCTGTACCTACTTTTCACACACAATGGCAGAGCTGAATAGATGCAGCAGAGGCCATTTGGCCTGCAAAATCCAAGATATTTACTATCTGGACCTTTACAGAGAAATTTTGCTGACTGCTGCCTTAGATGATCTTTCTAATTGCCTGCCCCACCCCATCCCCACACCTACCCATCATTCTGAAATATTCTCAATTCTCTCCTTAATTAAACTCAATGTAACATTTTAACCTGCAGTCCACACTCTTATCTTAATCCTAACTGTATTTTCATGTTGTTTTCCCCACATAATTAAAAGAGAAAGAAATCAATGAGGAACTTGAATTCAGCCTGTACTTCTCAGTTTTCTTCTCTTTTCAATGGCACTGACTATGATGTGAGCATTGAAAGCTAAACAGCAAACTTCCTCCAGAACCAAATCTCTGATCCCCCATGGGGGGATAGCTGCTGATAGCTGCCACTCCCTCTTTCTTCTTTATTCATGACACCAGTTTCACACGACAATTAGGATGCCACTTTTCACCTGTTTATCTCTTGACATGAGCACCGTCTAATGGGGAATGGATCCTGCAAAGATCAGGGGAGTTTGTCAGCAACTGTTTAATATTTTTTTAAACCATGTTAGGTGGGGAAAACCTTCCATAAATCCTGTCCAAAAATACTTTATAGAGTCCATCTGTCCACAATGGATAAATCAATTGCTCTAAATTAAATTCTCTAAACCTGAAAGGTCTGGGTCTGGTACTGGATTTATTCAGACTCTAGGAAAACAGTAATTTTCTAAGTCAACATCCTGACCCCACTTGAGTCAGCTACTGATCATGATAAAGCCTTTCCTCACCACTTGCTGCTCCTTTGAAGGAGTGAGACACACATCCCAGGGAGAAAAGTACCCAAGTCCAAGGGACAGAAACTAATCAAGATGTGTCAGCCGAAGCAGGAGGCACACTGTGTCACAGACATCTACTGCCGGGTTCAGAGGCTGCTGGCCCCTGCCTGGTGTGAGCATGTCACAGCCAGGAAGCTGCAGCTGGCCCGTTAGCTCCTCTGCTCATCAGTGCTGATGGGTCATTAATTAAGCCTCCTTTCTTCACCTCCCACCGGTTTCAAGGGCATGATTCTTTGTCCTGTGGATCCCCTTGTGTCCTGCTGTTCATTCTGTCCCATAAACTTCACACAATCCAGGATCTGAGACAGGTGTGGCAGCATTATCCGGTGCTGACTCTGAGCTGTGACTCCGGAGGTAAACTTTGACAGGCATAGCTACCCATGTGAAATCACTTTAGCCTCCTAAATGCCCCTACCTCCCATACAAATCCACTTTTCCAGCTTAGAATCAGAGCTTGGTTGGTAGATTTGATGTGTGATCATCTGTTTCTACAGCTGGAATAAAAGAACATTCCATATTGATATGGTTTGGCTCTGTGTCTCCCACAAATCTCATCTTGAATTGTAATCTCCACTTGTTGAGGGAGGGACCTGGTGGGAAGTGATTGGATCATGGAGGCGGTTTCCCCCATGCTGTTCTCCTGACAGTGAGTGAGTTCTCACAAGAGCTGATGGTTTTAAAGTGTGGCACTTCCTTGCACGCTCTCTTCCTCTCCTGCTGCCATGAAGACATGCCTTGTTTGTTCTTCACCTTCTGCCATGATTGTAAGTTTCCTGAGGCCTCTCCAGCTATGCAGAACTGAGTCAATTAAGCCACTTTTGTTTATAAATTACCCAGTCTCAGGCAGTATCTTTATAGCAGTGTGAGAACGGACTAATACACACAGCACGTGGCTTGAGTTCTTTTTTTTTTCTTTCTTTTTTGAGACGGAGTCTTGCTCTGTCGCCCAGGCTGGAGTGAGTGCAGTGGCGTGATCTCAGCTCATTGCAACCCCCGCCTCCCAGGTTCAAGCAATTCTCTTGCCTTAGCCTCCTGGCTTGAGTTCTTTATAGGAGAGAGGCTGAAACTCTGAGCACTAAGGTCACACAGCCAGTCAGTGGTGGAACCGTTTGTCTCCTCTTTTATGTTTCTTCATCCCAATAAGCTAAAGTGTAACTGCTCCCCCAGGAAAAAGATGGTTTTTGTTAGCTTGGGGATTTTGAAAAGTGAAAGGCTTTCACAGTGATGGGGAATCAAAACACTGCAAGGAATGTTTAAGATCATCTAGGGTCAAGCTTCTCCAGCTGGGAGTTGTGCTCCCAGTAGGAGTCCTTGCGATGCTCCAGGATACAAGTAGAGCCATAGGATGTGCACCTTATGCTTGGGCTTCTGGGAGCTTCAGTGAGACCTGGAAAGATTTCATATTTTTATTTTTGAATTTTTAAAATTTGTATAAACTTATGGGGTACAAGTGCAATTTTATTGCATGCATAGATTGTGTAGTGGTGAAGTCAAGGCTTTTAGGCTATCCATCACCCAAATAAAATACATTGTAACCATTAAGTAATTTATCTTCCACCCTTCTCCCACTTCTTCTTTCTACTGAGTCTCCATTGCCTATTATTCCATACTCTATGTCCCTGTGTACAAATTATTTAGGTTAATAGATGATTGAGTAAAGAAAATGTGGTACATATACACAATAAAATACTATTTAGCCATAAAAATAATGAAATGATGCCTTTTGCAGCAACATGGTGAGATAGGAGGCCACTATCTTAACTGAAACAAGACAGACACAGAAAACCAAGTATTGCATCTTCTCATGTATAAGGTTTTGTATTTTTATTTATTCATTTTTTTTGAGACGGAGTCTTGCTCTGTCATCCAGGCTGGAGTGCAATGACACGATCTCGGCTCACTGCAAGCTCCACCTCCTGGGTTCACGCCGTTCTCCTGCCTCAACCTCCCAAGTAGCTGGGACTACAGGCGCCCACCACTATGCTTGGCTAATTTTTTTTTTTTTGTATTTTTAGTAGAGACGGGGTTTCACCATGTTAGCCAGGATGGTCTCAATCCCCTGACCTCGTGATCTGCCCACCTCAGCCTCCCAAAGTGCTGAGAATACAGGCGTGAGCCACCACGACCAGCCAAGGTTTTGTATTTTTAAAGCCCTCTCTCAGGGCCATTCTAGTCTCCCACGCCGTGATCGAAGTAGTTCCAAGGATTGATGAATTTCCTTTAGGAGATATTTTGAGATAAGGACTCACCTTACTCCCTTGCACAAATTTGCCACTACACTGTAACCACAATTTGAGGCTCCCCGGAACTTGAAGTCCAACATGAAATGGTTTTGCTGTTCCTTCTCCCCACCTTTATAGATGCTGGACACCACTTCCTGAAGCATTAGTTTTATTGAGTGCTTTAGGAAGAAAAATTAAGTAATTTAGCTAATGTGGAATTTAAGACTTGTATATTCAAGCAAGGATATAGTCTAAAGAAGACTGCAAGAATTTTAAACATAAAACAAAAACATGTGACTTCAAAGAAGCATCTGTGGCAGGCCACTTTATTCACTAAGCCCCTCCCCAGATCTCCACTTCACTTATTCTCTGCAGTTTACCTGCATTGTAGGAAAAAAAAGTGAAAACCTTAGACTGATATAATGATTCTGTTTACAGATGAGGAACCAAAGACTTGGAGTTTAGTTGACTTGTCTTAGAAGCTACATCAGATACTGGGGAAAGCTTGGGCTTTGGGATCCAGAAGACTTGCTTTTAACTTGTGCCTTTTTCTACTGAGTGACTTTGGGCAACGTTTTAAACCTCTTCCAGATGGTATCTGCAACTGTAAAATGGCTTAAGACAAGATCGTGTAGATAGTTTTTATAATATAATAATGTAATTAAAGTATTATTTTTAATTACATGCAAAATATCTAACACTTAGAAGTTTCCCAATAAATGCTAGGTACCTTTCCTATGTGGCAGAGGAAAGACTACAACTGAGCTCTTTAACTTTTTTTTCCTTTCAATAAGTCAATTCACTGGATGCATTTTTCTATATTTTTACGTATTACTGCTTATTCTTACATTTAGTTTGTCTTGATTGTTAGAGGTGGTAGAGTTTCTGTTTCTATTTTCCACATACATTAATTCCCTTATCCTGAGAATTCTACCACTGGTAGAGTAGATTTCTACTCGTTCATCTTTTAAATTGCAGCTCACATCCTAACTCCCTTACAAAATGTGCCCCCTCTTTCTCCCCTGCCCCAAATCCCTGTTATCACCCACCTTCTCAGAGCATTTTGTACGTTTAACACTTACATGTTGTGTTGTAGTGATCTCTTGTGGGTCTATCTTTCCACCTGACTATGAGCTTGCACGGAGCGGGGACTGAGCCCACTGCCCTTCTGAATCTTTGCCCCTAGCATTGTGTGTTTGGGGTGTGTAGGTGCTCAATAAACAGATGAATGCGTGAACAGATAATAGAGTTTATCACTTTGCTCTGCTCCATTGAAGGGAGAAATTAAAGTCTAAACTTCCCCTCAGTATCTATGAGAAGGTAGACCCTTAACTGTAGGGGAAAACCTGAGACTAAAAAGTGAAGGTGCCTGTGACTAGCCTCCCTGTCATCTTAGTAAAGAGCAGTTCCACCCCCACTATTCTCATGACCTATCCAGCCCTAAGTTCATTTCTATCCTACCACACACTGACCTTTAAGGTTGTGGTTCCCTGTGTAACCCGCCCGCCCGCCAGTTCACCTCCCCTGCAATTAGCACCGCCAACTCTGTCTTAAAAGCCAGGCCAAGACCTGGAGTAATTGCCGCTCGAGATTCCTCCTGACACAAATGTTGACATTCTGTTGGCATAACTTGCAATAATGTATGCAGATTGCATCCTTCCAGGGCCATAATTATTACTTCTTGGCAAGAAATAGTCAGGTTATTCCCTGGCTTGATTTCTAGGAGCGAATTTCACTTTCAGAACCAGCTTGTTTAGAGAAATGAGAAGGAAAAGGAGAGAGGAGTCAGTGGGATGCACTCTCAGAGAGCAGAGATGCAGGGTGGCCAGGTCTGGGCTGCAGGAGGTAGCTGGATGGCAGAGAACTAGGGCAAGGGGTCCTGGATGACTCTGCTACCAACTTGCTGTAACTTTTGTAACATCTAAAGCTGAGTCCCAGGAACACGTATTTTGTAAAATCCTCAGATTATTCTAAAACACAGTAAAGTATCCCCAAAATTAAAGGCTCCCTCAACCCCTCTTCACTACCGTGAATAAGGAATTCTGATAAGGGATGAAGGCATAATGAAATCCATAGGGACAATGGGTTGGCTCACAGTACTAATGTAGAGATTTTTATGGACCAGGTGAAAAAATTAGAAGCTATTGATTTTCACCACTTACTTTGTATTCTGTCATTGAGAAAATGCATTTATCATGTGTTGGAAAATATTTTCAGCTCTTGATCTTTCCTTGTTCCAGTTAAGTCACCAGTTCTTTGCATCCTTAGGATGGAGAATTCTTGGCTCTTGTACTCTGTGACTAGAAACTGGCCCAGGTTCTATATTAAAATAAAAAGACTGAAACAGATCCCAATACTCTAACAAAGTCTATCGGCATGTAAAGTTCTTTTCAGTCTATTTTATAACTTTTAAAATTAATATATTCTAGAACTGGAATTTATTCTATTTGAGCTCATCTTCAGATTCACTGAGATCTTAGGATCTTTTTTAATTTCCTTGTACTTGGTTATTTTTTTCTTTATGGATGAGAAGGTATGTGATGACGTCTAGCTTGATACCTGGCATATAATAGGTGCTCAAATATAAAACCGTTAGTTGAAATGGAGTGGAACTTTAGCGGGATTGGATGATCATTCCCCTCAAGAATAAGACTGCTTTGCATTCTTTAATTTTTGTCTCATCTTCAAGCCTCAGAGGCAACAATCTGTGTAGGAAATAGTGGCCAAACCCTGAATTACTCCCAGAGAAAGAGATCATCTGTCACCTATTTGTGCTTTCCCCCTTGGGTCTTTGGAGAAAGAAGTGGAGTCAGAGAAGTGAGAATGACAAACAGCACCTGGCCTGGATCCCCGTTCTGGAGAAAATTGTTCCCAGCTGAATGTTCAGGCCACTCTTGTCCAATAAAGACTCATGGGTTCACCCATAATGTGTGTGTTTTTTCCCAAATGAGGACTGAAGGATGGAAGTACATCAAGTGTTCTCTTCTCCCTCCCTTTTCTTCTCATTTTATAGAAACCTCACCACACCATAAACTCTGCAGGATGTCTCCCTTGGGGCCTCTTCTTCTCTTCCCACCTCCATCTTCACTGCAGCCTCCTGGTTTCCGGCTGCCACTGCTGCATATCTGTTGTCCAAATGTGGGAGGCAGCAGAGCCAAAAGCCCTCACTAAATCTGCTCATTAATTTGCTTCATGGCTAACTCCAGATGCAGCCAGACCCATCATGAGACGATGTTTCATTTGGTGCATCGGCCATTCCACAATGAAGGGAGAATCTTTGAGGTCTCATGGCTACCTGGGCAAAGAACAGGGAATAGATAGTGCCTCCCTCTACTCCCCAGGGTTTAGCTCTCTCAGTGAAATGGAGATTGAACCAACGGGACCAAACACCACCTTTCTCAGAATTATGTACACCAGACTTCCAGAATTGGATATTTCCACCATCCTTTTCTCTAACATGTCAGTCCCATACTTGGAAATATCTGGTGGATCTTCAGCAATTCTGCTACTGAGTATCTACCCAAAGGAAAAGAAGTGGTTATATCAAAAATACACCTTCATGCACATTTTTATCGCAGCACAATTCACAATCGTAAAGAGTGCCCACCAACCAATAAGTGGATAAAGAAAATGTGGTGTATGTATGTATGTATGTGTGTATATATATATATACACACACATATATACATATATGTGTGTGTGTATGTATGTGTGTGTGTATATATATATGTATACGTATATATACACACACACATACATACACACAGACAAACACACACAAAATCATGGAATACTACTCAGCCATAAAAAAGAATGAAATACTGTCCTCTGCAACAACTTGGATAAAACTGGAGGCCATTATCCTAGGTGAAGTAACTCAGGAATGGAAAACCAAATACTGCATGTTCTCAGTTATATGTGGGAGCTAAGCTATGGGTACGCAAAGGCATACACAATAGTATAATGGAAACTGGGGACTCAGAAGAGGAGAGGGTGAGTAGGGGCTGAAGGATAAAAAAATCACCTATTGTGTACAGTGTACACTAGTCAGGTGACAGGTACACTAAAAGCCTAGACTTTGCCACTTTACAATTCATTTATGTAACCAAAAACCACTCGTACCCCTAAAGCTATTGAAATAAAAAAAGGGAAAAAAGAAACATCTGGTGGCTCCTCATACCAGCCAAAGAATAAAATCTGCACTACTGAGCATAAGCTGCAAGAACCTTCATGTGTGACTGCAAACTTTTCTTCCAACCTCATATGCCTTTAGCTTCTGTTCTTACTCCCTACATTACAGTCAAATCAGACCCTTTCTTACACTAACATGTGCCCTTTGCGTTCTCAACCACATGCCTTTGCAAACCTAATTTCCTCAACCCAGAATGCCCTCCCTAGACCTTACCATTTAAGTCTATCAAAATCCTACATAAAAGACCCAGGAAAATGTCATGTCCTCACTATAAAACATTCTTATTTCCTCTAATAGAAAGTAATTCCCTGTTATTATTTTTTCTCTTATCCTGTTCAACCTGGACTTGGAGTTGTATAATTGTGTTTCTTAAAAGTCTATCATTACAGGACTGTAAACTCCTCAAATAGAACCACTTCTTATTTATCTCTCTCCTCCATGGTACCTAATATGGAATCTTTGAGGTGTTCAGGAAATACTTAAATTAAATACCATTCTCTGCTCTTGTAGGGACCTAATGTATATGATAGGCCATGCCAGGACTACTCCAACGACTAACTCTAAAAAAATATGTATTTTTCTTAGGGTCACCATCTTGGAGGTTTGAAATAGGTTCAAGGTCTTTCCAATTTTTACAGAATAACTTAATATGAATCATCAAATTGTCTTGGACTTTTCTGGCAGATACCAACTGAACTATCCTGCAGGGGTTTTACACCTCATTTTCCACCATCTTTGTGTCCCATATACCTAGAATACTGCTCCCTAATGATTGTTTTATAAGGTAGCACATGAGGCCTTTTAATTTGTCCTCTGGCCTCTAGCCTGAGCAGCAATGAAGCCATCCCTGAAAAATGGCCCAGTCATATTTACCTTCTAGAGCTTAAGCTACACCATCCATTCTCCCCTTTCCTTCCTGTCCTAGTAAGTAGATAATAACATCAAACATACTTTATTAGAAGAAAAAAATTCCTGGAACCTCACTTCTTAGAGATTCATTTACTCATTCTTACATTCAATAAATATTAATTGAATATATACCATGTGATTATTAAATATTCTACCCTGCAGTTTTCTGAAGAAAGCCATTTGGTGACTTTGGATTGTCTCCAGGATAAAATTAAAATTTCTTGTCTTGCCACCTCTCCAATAGTAAATACATTGCCTCCTCTACAATCCACCATAGACAACTCTCTATGCTCACATTTTCTTGCCTATAAGCGAATGCATCTGACATTTCCCCTTCCCCCAATTTTCCTCACCCCAGCTCTATCCAGTTTCACTATTCTTCTGACTGAATCCTACACTTTTCTTTCAACATATAGGACAAATCCTTTACAAAACCTTTACTGAGTCCAAGAACTGGGGTAGTGGCTCCTCCTTTGTGTTTCTATAGCCCCAGTTATTTTTCTTTATTTTATAACACTTAACCACAAAATATTATAATTTCTATTTGCTTGCTTTTCTCTCCCATTAGATTGCAAATCCATGAGGAGAGTAATCAATTTTTGTTTTTCCTGGTATGCTTAGATTGAATACCCGACCTGTAAAGAGTAGGTGCTTAGAACATTTACTTAACAGATGAATACTGGTTTCAGTGCTATCCTAACAAAGCAAATATGATAAGTCATATCCTCTGCTTCAGGAAGTTCACATCTAGTGGGAGAAGCAGAATTTAAGCAGAATAATTATAATACATTGTGATAAGTGCTACAGTGGAGCCTAAATAAATGGAAGGCTAGCAGGTACCTGGCAACTTCTCAGGGAGGAGAAGGAGAATGGTGAGTGGGTTGTGTTTCAGCTCAGGATAAAAATTCAGCACCACGAACAGCGAAATTGCATTCGTTAATGGATGTGTGCAGAAGAGCCCAGGTTCCTATAGCAATCTATGCATCGATCCCCATCTACAGCTTTTATTCCTGTAACCCAAGTGTCCTTATGAGGTTGTGTATATTTTTATGAGTATCCTTCTACATCCAAGGATGCACTGCTTATCCCTAAATGGTTCAGCCTCCCACTTCCTAGTTGCTTAGTTTTATTCTGAGCATCCTCACTCCTGCAATGTTCAGATACACACTTCCACTTTATCCTGGTACCAAATATTGTTTTAGCATTTGGGCATTGTGTGCTGCCCACCTGGTTGTATGCCTATGGTGTATTTCAGTTCTCTAGGCTGTGGAATGGGCATAGGAGAAGGTCTGGGAAAAGGGATTAATCTCTGAAGTTACAGCCAGTGTTTTAAAAACATGGTTTTATTTCATGCCTCTGAAGTCCTGATGGATAGAACAGCTCCTGGTCATGAAAGGGAATCCCAAAGGTACCCCAGATCTCAGTGACTTTGAAAAAGATGATTCTTACAGTAATCGAGAGTCAGCTTTTTTTAGTGTTACCTGTCATGTATTTGGCATCTCCAGACCATTTTCTGTGCCAGGGACTATATAGAGGAAGTTCAAAAGCCAAAGAGACCAAATTTCTGCCACATATAAAATTATCATTAAAGTATAACATATTTATGAGAATTCTGAGTTCTGCACGAGACATCATGAAGCATGTGTCAATTTTATGTGTAGGAGTATATGTTTGCAGAAAAGCCTTGCTGGAAAATGAAGGCAGAGCTCTGTCTTAAGGGATAAAAAGTCATACAGGTGAAGAGGTAAAAGTTGCTCCATGAAGCAGGAAGTACAAAAATAAACTGACAGAGGAAGGGAGCAGTGAGGTGTATGTTGTTTGTGTATGAGTGTGTGTGTGTGTGTGTGTAAGATACAAGGAGCTCTGTCATATTGGACAGTACTATATGGTCAAGAAGTGGAAAGAAATGAGTCTGAAGAGGATGCTGGGAGCCATTTAATGAAGGGTCTATAAAATCAAGCTAATTAGTTTGTAATTGATAACAAGGGTAATGGGGACCCACTGAAGGGTTGTAAGCACGGGGATACCTGGCCAGATTTGTTTTATAAAGGTAACTAGAGAGTGAGCCTCATGCTAAGTCCATGTCTCTCTCTTCTGTGCCTCTTAAAAGTCACATCTCTCCAGAATTGATATAATCTCTCCTACACCTAGTCCCTAAACCCCCATGGTAGTTCTCCCCCTTTCTGGGTAGAAAGGGAGAACAGCTGGTCACCATCCCACTTGAAAACTATTCTTGAGATGTTTCCCAAAATGTGCTATATGTCTCATTCAAATTGGATTTATTCTGGTTTCCACAAGCAGCGCCCTAGTTAGCTGTTCCATCAGAGGTTCCTTGATAGATGCATTACAATCTCAGGAATTCGAGATGCATTATATGATGACATGTATAGGATTATTTTTTTCCTTAAACGCTGAATGCAACTATCCCTCCAGCTAATCAATTAAAACTATCACCATCCTTGCATCTTTTAATTCTTATATAAACATTGGAATTTGTTCATTTTACAAGAAACTTTCTTTTGATCCATATAAAAGAGCTTTGCAGGGAAGGCAATTTAGGAATACTATACACATTTAACACATGAGGAAAACAGACATATGAGGTCACTGGAGACAATGGAAAGAAGACTGGATTGGGAAGCAGGGTACGTAAGTCCCTGTCCTGACTTAAGTATCAGCTAGCTGTGAAATATTGTTAAAATGAGAGCATACATTTATTCTAAGACTGCAAAATAAAGGACTTTTATTTTATTCATATATTTAACATTAATTTATTGACTACCCTCTTTGTGCCAGAAATTGTATAGACAGAAGTAAAAGAGAAAGAACTATCCCCATGGAACATACATTTTAGCAAAGGGAGTTAGACAAGAAACAAATAAAAAAAGTAAATACATAACACAATATCAGACATAAGCACAACAGAAATCACAAAGCGTGGTGATAAGACATTAAACTAGAGAGTGCTATCTTCGATACAGTAATAAGAAGTTCTCTCTCTGAAGAGGTAATTTTTAACAGAGAACTGAATTAAGACAAAGGATGAGCCATGCATAGACCCAGTGAAAAGAATTTCAGGCTGAGCAAACCCCAAGTTCAAAGTACCTGAGGTAGGCATGTGCTTGACATGCTCTTGGAACATCAAGGAGGTCAGTGTGGCAGAGGCCAGATCATGTAAGGAAGGTCTAGCAGGCCAGGGTGGGAACTTGGATTATGCACTAGGGTGACAGGAAGCCATCAGAGGGATTTGAAAAGGGAGTGACATGATCAGATTTAGCTTTTAAAAACACCACTCTGGCTGCTGTTGGATAGTGGGACATTCACTGGAAAGGGATAAGAGTAATAGCTTTGCAAAGAAACACTCTTCAGAGGCTGTGCCTGTATAAATGATTGAGCCTAAGTGAATAATGAGGGTTGTGGTCCCTGCAAGTCCTAAATTTCTCTATGTTTTCACAAGCTATGCATGATCAAGCAAGGATTGGAATTCAGCTATTTTGAATTGTGGTCTCATGTGCTCTCCCTTCCAATAAACTAGATATGGTTCAGATGAGCCGGTTTCACCCTCTGACCTATCCTAAGCCATCCAAGGGGATTCTTGTTACCACGTTGTAACTGAGTATTTTAGAAAAAAAAGTTGTGAATATATTTTGGAGTGCTCATATTTCTTTTCTGAAAGTGGGATACGAATGAAGGGGAACATCACCATTATTACACCTTTCCTCATGCTGTTTACCCTGCCCAGAATGTTTATTCTTATCCTGCTTATCCTTCAAAGCTCCAGTAAAATAAATTCTACATCTTCAGGGGTGGGTTTTGCAATCACTAAGGCCCACAGTCACCTCATTATATATCAAGTGCCTACTCTGTGTCAGTTTTAGGTGCTGGAGATTTAGCAGTGAAGGAAACAGACATAGTCCCTGCCTTCAAAGAATTTCTTATAATAAAACTGATCATTAATATGCAAACAAATAAGCCAGGTAATATCAGACAGTGATATATCAGGGAGGAGGAGTGTGCCATGAAAGAGAGTTCCTGTAAGAATACTTTAGATAGATTGATCAGGTAAGGTCTGTGTCTGTCCAAGTTTCTTATCTGTTTAATGAAAAGTAATAGTCACAAGATTGCATTGAATGAGATAAGCCACATGAAAGTTCTTAATCTATTTTTTTTTTTTTCGAGACAGCGTCTCGCTCTGTTGCCCAGGCTGGAGTGCACTGGCGCGATCTCGGCTCACTGCAAGCTCCGCCTCCTGGGTTCACGCCATTCTCTTGCCTCAGCCTCCCCAGTAGCTGGGACTACAGATGCCCGCCACCACACCCGGCTAATTTTTTGTATTTTTATTAGAGACGGGGTTTCACCATGTTAGCCAGGATGGTCTCCATCTCCTGACCTCGTGATCTTCCTGCCTTGGCCTCCCAAAGTGCTGGGATTACAGGTCTTAATCTATTTTTTGTGAATCGTAGGTGATTAATAAATGTTACTAGAATCTGAATGAGAGGCAGAACAATAACAGGTAGTGGTAGAGGGAAGAAAAGAAGGAATGAGAGAGAAAGAAAACAAGCTCTATATTGGTGCCAGAGGTATCTGCGAGAGCACATATTGTCAAGCAAATGTGTCCTATTTCTGCTTCTACAAAATGTGTTTCTGCAGCAGAGTGACGGTGGGATGCAGAACAGCCTCTGTGAATGGAGCTATGGAGCAGGTTTTCAGTGTGTCCCCACAGAACCAGTCTTCCTGCATACCACGGGGGACCCAGATTGCTCATTGGTGATGGGAAGCAGGAGAGGTGAAGAGGTTAAGTGTTGTCTCCTCTGTCACCTTAAATTATCTGGGGTTTTATATTCTATGGAGAAAGTCGTGAGAGGGAGACTCTAATTTCCTCCAACAATGATTCCAGTTTCCAATTAATATGCTAGGAAGAGAAAATAGAGATACTCCTCTGGGGAAACTGTCATTACTTGGTGGCATTTGTTAAAATTAGCCGATGGGCAGCCTTCTTTTCCCCAGTAGAGACCATGAGAATCTCACATCTGCATTCATCCCTCTACCTGCCCCCCACCCCATCATGTTCCGTGGCTGAATAAAATGTGACTTTTCTCCTAGCTAACTGATGTTCTGTCTCAATATCCAAAGCAGTACAGGCTTAGCAAAGGAGATGGTGTCTCATCTTCCTTGCTGTTGGTTCTGATGAAATATCCCCAGATAGGCTGATAACTTTTTAAAAGGAGGGTGGTTAGGATAGGGTCCAGCGTACATTATGCTTACCAGGCCTGAACCTCTATCTCTGGTAGCTCCTAGTTAGAGAGGGAAAATGAAGGAAAGAAGGACGGATGGGGAGAGAAGCCAGGCTGTGGCCACATTCATTCACTCACTCACTCTCTCACTCTCACTCTCTCACCCACCTATCACTCACCTATCCACCTGCCTATTTATCTTTTTTTGTTTTGTTTTATGAACTGACCTATTCATTTATTTACTCATTTAGTCACCCACTTTATCTGTCAGGGTTCTTTGTTTACAAGTGACTCAACTTGAATAATTTAAGAAGACAAAAGAGAGGCTATTGAAGTGATGCTGAAACAGCTCATAGTCTGTAAAAGCTGAAATGATGGATATGGGTTGGATTTTGTCCCCCTCGCTCCAAATTTATGCAATCTTATTTGGAAATAGTATCATTGCAGATGTGATTAGTGAAGATAAGATGCAGTTATACTGAAGTCTGCTGGGCCCCTACTCAATTATGACTGGTGTCCTTTTAGCAAGGGAAAATTAGGACATGCATAGAGAGAAGTTGATGTGAAGAGACACAGGAAGAAGATGGCCATCTACAAGCAAAGGGGAGAGAGGTCCAGATCATATCCCTTCCTCATATTCCTCAAAAGGAAACAACTCTGGCGACAACTAAATCTTGGACTTCCAGCTTCCAAAATGGTGAGACAACAAACTTCTGTTGTTTGAGCCACCTAGTTTGTGGTACTTTGTTATGGAAGCCTTAGCAAAGCAACCCTATGCTACATGTATAAGAATGAGCAAAAGCAAACAAACAAACCCCAAACCCATGAAACAAACAGGACACCTCCAGGAACCTCATCAATTAGGCCTCTCTGATCTTCCCTGCCGAGCTCACCATGAAAGAACTCAGCTCCCACTGTCTTCTGTCTCATGTGTCTTCAATGTGATCCCCACAGCAAGAATCTGAGTGGCTTAACTTTAGTCCAGGGTCTCTGCTTTTGTATCAGTTAGCCTTAGCCAGTACAGAATGGAGTGGCACACACATAGCCACTGAGGAATCTCCAAGAAGTTGGCAGAAACCCAAGTAAGATTTACTAATCTCACACGGAGCACCTGCTCTGGGCCTAGGTCTAAGCTGAGTTCTGGGAAAACTGTTCTCAAGCAATTTTTCTTTTGTCTGTGTCTGATGGAAGAGACAAGATATGTATACATTTAACTAGATAGAAATGGAACCATCGTCTATAAGTGATGTAGGCATAGGAATAGAAGTTCACAGATGACTTTTACAGGAGTTCAAGTCAAAGTTTTATTAAGAAGTGGTACTAAATTAAGACCTTGGGGCCAGGTGCTGTGGCTCGTGGCTGTAATCCCAGCACTTTGGGAGGCCAAGGTTGGTGGATCACTTGAGTGATGAGTTTGAGACCACTCTGGCCAACATAGCAAAACCCAGTCTCTCTTAAAAATACAAAAATTAGCCAGGTGTGGTGGTGCATACCTGTAACCCCAGCCACTCGGGAGACTGAGGCATGAGAATTTCTTGAACCCAGGGAGGCGGTGGCTGCAGTGAGCCAAGATTGTGCCACTGCACTCCAGCCAGGGTGACAGAGTGAGACTCTGTAGTAAAAACAAACAAACAAACAAAAAATTTTGAGGTGTGGGTACAATTTGGATGTGAAGATATTAGGAGAAGGATTTTCATATGGAAAGAAGACCACAAGTTAGACATGGAAACAACCAAAGGATTACTCACGATGGAGGGAAGGAAAGTCTACCTACCAGGGGCTAAGTGACACAGAACAGTGTAAGTTTATTCATTCAGAAACACTGTAGCCAGATCACAAAGGCTTAGGTTGCTTGGCTTTGGGGCTTGAGCTTTATTCAGCTGATAGTGAAGAGTCAGCGTATGCTTCTGACAAGGGCAATGCCATGATTATAGCTGTGCTTTAGGAAGATGAGGCCAGCAGTAGTGTGTAGAATAGATCAGCTTGGGGGAAACCAAAGCCAGTGATATTAATTAAGAGTCAGCCTAGCTTAGGTAAATAGCCTAGAAGAGAGGATGAGGCACTCAGAAAGAGGTCAGTCCACTTGACTAACACCTTCCTGCCTCTGTGACATTGGCCTTGCTGAAACTACCATGTGGAATGTCCTATTCCCATCTTCTCCCCCTTCCAAAGCTCCATGGGTCAACCTTATCCATGAAGAATTCTCTGAGTTTCTCAGCTAACATACATTTCTTCCTCCTCTGGACTCCTGGTGTTTTATCTGCACCGCACAGCTCTTCATGGGGTCCAGAAAACTTTCATTCACAAATTTATTTGTGAAATAATTAGCAAATGCTTACTGTGTGCCTTACACAGTACTGGGTGCTGGGGCTCCAGAGTTGACTGGCCAGCCACTGTTAATGTCCAGAAGCTATTTTTGTCCAACTTCAATCTCTCCCTCTAGACTGCAAGATCTTTGAAGAGAGAAACCATACCTACTTCTACCCTCAGTGACTCATGGTGCCTTGCACAGTGCCCCAAACACAGTGTGAACTCCTTATGTATGGACTAAATAAATGACTAATAGCAAGGCCTTTTTATTTCAATTGAGAGTTTTATTTCACATTAAACATAAAAATGCACAAATATATACTCTGTGACCTTGAATGCAGCCACTTGCCATTTGCTTGGGCTGAGCTTATAAAATAGAAAGGGTAGGTTGATTGATTCTTTATCTTAATTACAAATCTTTTTATGCTTTTCTATGCCTATAATATTATATTATGTACCTGAAATGTCTGCATACAAGTACCTCTCAATGGTGATTGAACATTCAACACTGAGCTCGGAGGAGCGACAAATAGCCTCATTATTCCTTATGGCATCTTGGAGAGGCGGTTTAGAGACAGGCATCATTTTCTATGCTTCCTAAGTGAAGAAATAGAGGCCCAGGTAGATCTGGTGGCGGACTGAGGTCACAGAGCTACTTTCACTTTAGAATCCAGAATTTTTTCATGGTAGATCTAGAAAGGTCCTGAAAGACAATCAAGTGTAGCTCCCTATTTACAGATGGGGAAACTAAGGGCCATGATAAAATAACTCAATATCCAGAGTGAGTTAGTGAAAGTTTTAGGACTGAAGCTGTTTCTCCTCTTCTGGTCATCAAGAAAATCTCACTCCACACCCTTCCTACTCAACAACCAGAAGTTAATAACTTCATTTGCCTGTGGTTTTAGTTACCTACACCCCTACCTTCTGTACATGTTTTTATCCTTCTCCCCACCTGCAGGTCCCTAGGGGTCCCTTATTGGCCCTAGCTGCTAGTGCCAGGGAAAGACATGGAATCAACCAATTGATATTAAAGTGTTAATGACCTCAAATTTATAGACTGTTAAACATTTCAAACTCTTTCACTCAGCCTTGCACTTAGTGAAGGGATTTCTGCACTGTATCTTTAACAGGTGATCATCCAGGTTCTGCTTGCTTACCTCTAAGACAGTGAACTGACTACCTTTTGAGTCAGCCCATTTCATTCATGGATGACTTTTACCTTTTGATGGACACATAGAGGGGAACAACACACACTGAGGCCTTTCAGAGGGTGGAGGGTAGGAGGAGGGAGAGGATTAGGCAAAATAACTATGGGTACTAGGCTTAATACCTGGGTGATGAAATAATCTGTACAATAAACCCCCATAAGGCTGGGCATGGTGGCTCACATCTGTAATCCCAGCACTTTAGGAGTCCGAGGTGGGTGGATCACCTGAGCTCAGGATATCGAGACCAGCCTGGCCAGCATGGTGAAACCCCATCTCTACTAAACAATACAAAATTAGCCAGCATGGTGGCGCATGCTTGTAGTCCCAGCTACTGGGGAGGCTGAGGCAGGAGATTCACTTGAACCTGGGAGGTGGAGGTTGCAGTAAGCAGAGTTGCACCACTGCACTCCAGCCCGGGAGACAGAGCGAGACTCCATCTCAAAACAACAATAACAACAACAAAACCCATGATACAAGTTTACCTATGTAAGAAACCTGCACTTGTACCTCTGAACTTAAAAGTTAAAAACACAAAAAATTTTAAAGTTAAAACTTGCCAAGAGGCCTCTATCCATTGGACGTGCAGAATAAATTTGCTTCTTATCCACATGGAAACTTTTACAGTATTTGAAGACAACTGTCAAGCTTCTTAGTCTTTGCTTTTCCAGGCTAAACATTCCCATTTCTTTCAAAAGACCTTCCAGTGACATGGGTTCTATCCTTTCATGATCCAATGCACTTCTCAAGAGCTCAGTCTAGCCTTTCAATGCTCCTTTCAAAATATGATCACCAGAACTGAATCTGCAACTCCAGTTGAGGTACGCCTGTGGCTTCACTTCCTTTGTTCTGGTCCTTATGACGTTATTATTACTGCCTACTGCCTACTTACTTTGTTGGTCTATGAACTCATGTTGAACTGGTGGCTAAAACTGCCAGCTCTTTTTCATACAGACCATTACAAAGTTGACTTTTTCCAGTTAGCTGTAAGAAGTTCTTCCAGGGTTGTTTGCTTTCAGAGGGACATCTGCATAGTTTGGATAACATTCTACTCTGAGGAATGGCTTTCTAATGGCAGCCATTTAGACACCGTGACCCTGAGGAGAGGTACTTTTTGACAGCAGTTGTCCTTTACTACTTTTTCTTCTGTTTCTCCTCTTTTCTATCCCCCAGCCTTCCTTCATTCACCCTCCTTGTGCACCAGAGGAATGATGGGAGAGTCCACAGAGGCTTTGAAGCCTTTTATTCAAGTCATCTTCTCAAACATGGCAATATTGGTTCCAAAAAATATGTAATTAGCCATAAATCCATGTAACTGTCTCCCAAGTGGCCTCAAGTCCTGCATTGCTCACAGTCATAGATTTTTACAGATATTTCATTAACACTGGAAGATGGCACTTCCTTGCTAATGATTGCCTAACATTTAATAAACACAGCCCAAGAGTTTTACGACCTGTTAACTTGCAAGTGGCAGTAATTAACCAAAAATGATAAATAATTAAGGCCTAATTACATGGTATCAGTCATTTCATTTTCCAGCCTGTGCAGTAAGTGGGTTTGAACTGCCTAACAGGGCTCTTTCTCCATCTCTCTGTCATCGTCTGAGTAAGGCAGGGGAACACTGGGGCCGCACATGACTTTATGAGGAGATGAGAGGAAAATTGGCTCATTAGATCAGTAATTGGATTGTTTCCCTCTCCAAAGCCCCTTCCCATGGAATTGGTCGTGTGCCCTGGGTTTGGAATAAGTAAGAACAAATGGCCACACATGAGATCCCTGGCTTCTGTGAGTGGGACTGAGGAAGAAAGGGGCTGTTTGGAGAATGCAATCTATGAGGCATAGAAGAAAAACATGGCCATGAGAGGCAGGCTATTGGAGCTCTCCTTTAATAGTGTGTGGTGCTGCAGCAAGATACTTCCCCCTCTGGGCCTCTTACGTGTGTGTGTGTGTGTGTGTGTGTGTGTGTGTGTGTGTGTGAAAGCACAAAAAATCGAGGGGATGACTAATTGAAACATCCAGAAGTTAAACATTTTCTCATGTGGCTAGTACAGTTGCCTCCAAAATATCATCAGAATCTCTCTTTATCTCTCAACTAGGCTTATTTTGTGTTGACTTCCTTAAGAGATTGAATGTCCCCTTGTATTCACACGTGGCTTCCATCACATTTTGGAGCCACTTTATTGCAGGTTCATGTGCAGAGGAAAGGTGCAGAGCTAGATCTGTTTTCTCAAAATGAATAACAATTGAAATAAATATGACAGTGGTGATGAAGACAATGGAGAAGAAGAGATTAAAGTAAATATTTTTGAACACTTCCTACAGCCCAGGCAATTAGAAAAAATGTGTTATACACGTTATCTGATCTAAGCCTCACGGTAAGGCTGGGAGATAGGTGCCATTGCTATTCTCATTTTATAAATAAAGAAACTGGTCTAGAGAAAATCATTCACTTAGCTACAGAGTGGTGGAACTGGGGTTTAAACACCACTGTGCTCACTCGCAGATATGCATGGTAGTTAGAGTGCTTTGATATTTGGGACTTCATCAGGCACTCAACAAGAATCCTGTAGAATGGGCGTGAGCATATCCATCCTCATTTCACAGATGGATCTGTAGGCCCAGAGATGAAAAGACATTTGGAAGAGGTTATACCCAGACACATGGCACAGCTGCTTCTATAAAATGAGGCATTAGATGAGATAAGCAAGTTTCAAACTGCGATCCTTTGTCCTAAATTACCTTAAAGGGTTGTCCCCAGGGAAAGGGGGCTGGATAGAGGTGGCCCTTAAAGCCCTCATTCTTCAAGTAAGTCAGGGCAGCTCAACTTTTGTCAACTTTCGTATCAGTGTTTTACTTCTGACTTCTCTTGAAAAATAGCTTGCTGTTGTTAAAAGAAGAAAAGGTATGATGAATATTCCAACTTATTAAGGTCCCTTCAAGCTCTTGACTGCTGAGAGTCCATAAACATTTCTTGGGCCTGTTCATTAGGGCCAACTCCCTAAGTCCTTGTCCCACCCTGAGAAGGGGCAGGGGAGAAACACCCAGCATCTGTGGTTTCATTGTTAAATAGATGGTAGGTAAGTAAGCAGGAGAGTGGATTTTGAACTTTTTCAGGGTACAGCACTGCAGATGGAGGAGGACTAGATTCAGGGAATTCCTGCGATTGGCATAGAGGTTTTCCTCCAGATATTAGCCTAAGTTATCAAAGATGTAGTCACAGACAACAGCCCTGAATCCTGGCTCTGTTACAGATTTACTCGAGGACACCAAAGACATCATGCTGTCTCTTTAGGTTTCAGTTACATCACATTTAATTAGTTATTATAATAGTTTCATTTAATGCATCTCTTCCTCTCCTAGACTTTAAGTCCCATGACGGGGAGGGAGGCTTGGCAGTCCTGGCATTCTGTGCAGGGCCCACACTTAACTGCTCAATAGGTATTTGTTGAGGATTCATCTCAAAGGAAGGGGTTGTGCCGTGATATATGGGGTCCTTCTCAGCTTCAAATCCTCCCAGAGAGTGTGGACTCTAGTGAGTATGGATAAGTCTTGGGAGTTTTGTTAATACTGTTAAGTTGGGGTGAAGCCAAACAACACTGAAGGAAGAACTGGGAGCTCCACTCCATCCTCACCAGATGAAGGAAATGAAGGAAGCGAGTGGAACCCAGACATGGCCTGTGGTGCTGATGCTGACAGTCCTTGGGCGTGGGGAGGTGGTGAGAGAGGATCAGCATTCCAGTCCAGAGAGGAGCAAGTTCTGGGTGCCTCTGAGACTGATCCCCACCACCTCTCACCAAGTTCTAGCTCAAGCTCAAGACCGGGTGAAAAAAATGAGATAATGATAGGCCTTCAGAGGATGAGGCAGTGCATCCGTCTGTCCACCTGCCTCCCTGGGATCCTGAGGCCCCAGAGATGAAAGGCTCAGTTGCGTATTATGCATGAGGGGTTGGAAGGAATTGTGCTGCTTGAAGTAAACAGCATCTGTTGCTGAGTTCATGTGAGGACTGCAGCTTGTCCTTGGGAAGGAGGCTAGGAAATATTTTGCTTACCAAGAAGCTGGGGAAGTCCACGACAAAGATCTCCCCTAGTTTGCTTCTCTAAAACAGACACCACCTGATCCCTTTAGGAGAGGAAGGTTGGACAGTGGTACGGTTAGAGTCTGTGCAGAGAATTCCAGATGGTCCTGGAATCTGGCTCTGCCTTTGTTATGAAGGTGCTAGGTGACCTTGGGTGGGCTGTTATCACTCTCTGGTGCAATATTTGTCAAGCGAGAAGACTAAAGCACGGTGTTCCTCTACCTTCCAGGAAGCTAATTAATAACTCAGCCTGGTAGAAAAAATAAAATTCTCCCACCCACACCCCTGTTTCCTCACTCTGCTACTGTCAGCCTTAGCTTCTCTCTAGGGGAGTGGGACTGACAGATGGTGGAAAGAAACAGGGAGCAAAGGGGGCTTAAGTCTATTTTTGGTTTCTCTTTTTAAGTTCTTCAAGGAACTTCAGGAACAGCACTCTCTGCTCTGCTTTCTACTTGCTCTATATTTCACGCAACTGCAAAGATGTACATTCTCAAGTGCTAGAAATACATGTGCACATACATTCACACATAGCATTTCCCAACGCACGTGTATGTTGGCTCTAATTATTATTTATTAATTCAAATTAAAATCCCTTATCTTGACATTCAAGACCCTTTGAATTATCACCTTGTGGATTCCTTCCTGATGCCTCTGGGTCTCTCTATTCATAAGGCTTTCCATTGAATGAGAAGAGCCAGACAAATAAATAAGTGAAGACAATGTCAGCAAACCACCCTTCATGACATGACCCAGAAGCCGTTCCCTCCAGGAAGTCATCTCTGGTTTATCTTCATGTTTCCATAGCTCTCTCCTGGCCCTGTGATACTGATAATTACACTGTACGGTGATTTCTGCTATAATCTGTACTGCCAATGGTAAGCTCTGTAATTGCAGGGACACATCTATCCTTATTTGCTAGCACTAACATAATCTTGGCCACATCCTGGGTTCAAGATAAATGAAATCTATTCTTAGGCTGTCCCGCCAAGTGCAGTAGCTCATGCCTGTAATCGTAGCACTTTGGGAGGCCAAGGTGGGCAATCGCTTGAGCCCAGGAGTTTGAGACCAGTCTGGGCAACATGTCAAAATCCTGCCTCTAAAAAATACCAAAAAATTAGCTGGGTGTGGTGGCACACACCTGTAGTCCCAGCTACTCAGAAGGCTAAGGTGGGAGGATCACTTGAGCCCAGGGAGGTCAAGACTGGAGGGAGCCATGATTGTGCCACTGAATTCCAGCCTAGGCAACAGAGTGAGACCCTGTTTCCAAAAAGAAAAAAAAAAAAAAAAAAAAAGAACTCTCCCAAGCGCTGTACCATCTACTTCTCTTTTGGAATAGGCACCCCTCTCCCAAGTCAGAACACCCACAAAAATAACTGTGACTTCTGAAAGGAATGTTCATCTGATCCTACGTAGGTTTTTATTTTGCTTGTATTAATTCTCTCAATGGTTATCATTTTCCAAGTAAACAATCTAATGCTATCTTTCAAATAAATAATAAAAGTGAAATAAAAATACTATCTCCAGTCATTTCCACAGCGGTTCACATTTTGAAAAGAAGCTCATCTATTCTGTTATAGAAACAACCAACCTGGTTTCAAAGGAGATCCAGCATCCCTTAGAGAGACTGATACTTGTTGGACTTATCTCTACTCAAGTTCCAACTCGATTGTCTTATTGTCTAAAGCCTCTTTCTCTCAGCACAGCCCTCACCCTGTATATCTTGATATTGCCCCATTAAATATTTACACCAAGATTCATTATTTCTCCATTAAATATTTATCAGCTTGTGAGCCTGTATCAGACGATATATATTTCCTTCTCCAGCAATAGTCTGATAATGAAATCCAAAGTCCAGGAGTTTCAAGGCAGCCTATATTGTTTACTTTCTGTCCTATCCCCAGAAATCTAGCCCGTTATTCACAAAGCCATTTGACTGTCTGCCCCTGCTGTTCCTCTTTGTCAGGTGATTCCTGCCACCTGTGGATTCTTCAACAAAGGCAGATTGGTTTCTTCTCCAAGGTGGAGTGTTGGAATAGGCAGATAGCCTACGGTGCAATCCCAGGTGTTCTCTGGGAAAGGCTGGCAGTGAGCTCCCTTTTTAAGTGAGATTTATGGTCTGAGCATGCACTGAATTCTGTGACATTTAAGGACAGAATCCAAAGACAGAGGGGACTTTTTTCGGGGGGGTGGAGGGAGTGGTCCATGAAAGTAAAATATTGCCATGCCCATGGATGGACATTATAGGGAAATAATATTTCTCTCAACAGAAGCCTTTTGGGTCTCTATAATGACCAGGATGGACCAGAAGTCATTATTACAGTTAAAGGGTTATGGGACTCAACCTTCACATCACCTTTTCCCCCAAGCCTCCCTTCCTTCATAAAGCCTCTCTAGATTGCATGGAAAGAGGTGACCTGGGCAAAATCCTCTTCTGAGTGTACCACAATGGCACTGTGGGCTGTGCATTGGGAATGGAGGTAGGATAGTGAGGACATTTGCAGTGTGGATTTGGGGTCAGAGATGCTGGGTTTGGTACCCACTTTTCCCCTGTACTGACTCTGTGACCTCCATCATGCTATTGACATTCTCTGACCTGCAGATTGAGGGCTTACTATGTGCTGGGCACTCTCATAATCACTTCACTTATATTATCTTATGGAATCTCCACACCGAGATGTCTCTTATCTCTGTTTCACAGATGACAAAACAGATGCTTAGAATTTATACGACTCTCCCCAACGTCAAGCAGCTTGTCAGAGGCAGAGTTGAGGTTTGAACCTAAGCACTCTGATTCCAGATCTCCCATGTCAACTAAACTCTGAGCCTGAGTTTGCTGATCTGAAAGTCAAGGTACTCATACCCACCTCGTGGTTGTGAGGGTTGAATGAGATAGTGTACTTGCCACAGGTAACCCCACAGCTGAGGCAGAGTTCCCAAGAAATGCTTGCTGGTGCTAGTAGTATAAATCATCACTGGTATAATAATAATGTTTTAACTGAGTGATTTGTCCCTTGATGAAATGGATTCCTGAGCTTTGAACTTGTTCAGGAAGGCTACAATCAAGTTAGTCACAGTAATTGATGGAAGTTTGGTAAAAGATATTTAAATATTAATCAGGGGAACTTTAAGATCCCTTAGGCTCTGTAGTCCCAGCACTTTGGGAAGCCGAGGAGGGCGGATCACAAGATCAGGAGATGGAGACCATCCTGGCTAACACGGTGAGACCCTGTCTCTGCTAAAAATACAAAAAAGTTGGCCGGGTGTGGTGGCAGGCACCTGTGGTCCCAGCTACTCGGGAGGCTGAGGCAGGAGAATGGCGTGAACCTGGGAGGCGGAGCTTGCAGTGAGCCGAAGTCGCGCCACTGCACTCCAGCCTGGGTGACAGAGCGAGATTCCGTCTCAAAAAAACCAAAAGAACAAAAAGCAAAGATCCCTCAGGCTCGTAGCTCTATGATTCTAAGAATGAAGCCCTAGGAAAGTAAAACAGCACTTAAGTCATTTTACCTTGGGTCTCCTCCAGCAAAGGCAGTACTCTGGGAGGAAATTTGGCTCCAGAGACCTCTTCTCCTATTCTTCTGCTACAGCTGACCTGAGCATTCAAGTTGCCCTTTTCTGACCCAGGACTGTCTTTTTCTGTCCTAACTAGCTCTGCCCTTTTCAGCATTCTGTATGCAGGAATCTACCTTCACACCCCCAATTCTAATAAAGCAAAGCCGTTCTGGTCAGAAGTAGAGCCTGTACACTGAAGCCCATCTGATTTTAGAGTAATTGATATTAGGATGTTGAGGAAGTAGCACAATTCCTCACAGGTGCTATGTTGGGTTTTAAAGAGGGCTGCTTAAACATAAAGAGAATCTTGTTTAGGGGGACCTTTAGGCTACTTTAATCACACGTAAACATTTGCCCTATTTTGAGTGTGTGAAGGATCCATTTACTAAGTAAAATTTATTGAGTGTGTACAGTGTAGCAAATGAATGAGGCTACAAAATCACATGTGATTCCCATTGAATCATATGTAAAGTTTATAGTCTAAAGAAGAAAATTTTTGGCCAGGTGCGGTGGCTCACATCTGTAATCCCAGCACTTTGGGAGGCCAAGGCGGGCAGATCACAAGGTCAGGAGGTCAAGACCATCCTGGCTGACAGGGTGAAACCGCATCTCTACTAAAAATGCAAAAAAATTAGCTGGGCGTGATGGTGGCGCCTGTAATCCCAGCTACTTGGGAGGCTGAGGCAGGAGAATGGCCTGAACCCAGGAGGTGGAGCTTGCAGTGAGCCAAGATGGTATCACTGCACTCCAGCCTGGGTGACAGAGTGAGACTCCATCTCAAAAAGAAAAAATTTAATTGTGGAACCTTAGATTGCAATAATCATGACATCCACTTTGAGTAGGAATCTGTAGAAGAACTTCAAATGTATTAAATCTAATTCTTTCAAAAGCAAAGTTGTTTTATGTGGTGACTCTTATCTCACGAGAAAAGCCAGCCTCCTTTAATTACTTAGAGTTAAATCTCAAGAAACATTTAAAGTATACCTGTGTTAAAAACAAGAGGAAATTATATATTCTCACATAAATATATAGCCAGCATATGATATTTAACTCTTTAGAGAAGAAAACATCTCTTTTTTGTTCCCTGATGAATGAGTTGATTTTTACTTTGACACGTGCTAACTGGCCAGGTGTGCAGTGGGATAAATGAGACAATGTATATAAAACTCCTGGCATTATGAGTAAGTTCTCAAAAATACCAGTTCTATTTAATCTAGCCAACTCCTCCATCCTCCCACCCTGGAATCCGTGTCCTAAATATTTTTACTTTCTAGTTGTCCTGCAGTGGGAGCAACTTGAGTACTGAGAACTTCCACATCCGGGAAGAAGACATGTCCTTGGATCAGCATTAGAAACACCTGGGACCTTATTAAAAATGTAAATTTTAGGGCTCCACTCCAGACTTACTGAATCAGAAAATCTAGGGGTGAACCCCAGGAAACTGTGTTGTAATAAGCCTGCCAGGAAATTTTCGTGCATATTCAGGGTAGACAACTGCTGATCTACATTATGAAAACCCATTCTTTCCTTTGTATATTTTTTAAAGTTATAGGGTACGTTAGTCAAACACTGCATGTTCTCACTTATAAGTGGGAGCTGAACAATGAGAACAGATGGACACAGGGAGGGGAATAACAAACACTGGGGCCTGTCAGGGGTGGGGTTGGGGGAGGGAGAGCATTAGGAAAAGTAGCTAATGCTAATGCATGTTCGGCTTAACACCTAGGTGTTGGGTTGATGGGTGCAGCAAACCACCATGGCACATGTTTACCTATGTAACAAACCTGCACATCCTGCACATGTACCCCAGAACTTAAAATAAAAATACATATATATTTTAAATTATACGGTACAAGTGCAGTTTTGTTACGTGGATATATTGGGTAGTGGTGATGTCTGGGCTTTTAGTGTAACCCTCACTCAAATAGTGTACACTGTACCTCTTTAAAAATAGGTCTTTTTAGTGCACCCCTTTTCCCCCATCCCATATCAACTACTAAAACACCTTAAAAAAACCAAACTGGCAGTAACATTACTGAGCTTTGCAATGGCTGCTATAAGGCACTGAAGTCACGAAGGCTTCTTCTCCATGATTACACGTTTAAGAGAGCAGTTCATAGCATTCAGAACCACCTGGCAACCCACTGTTTTTTCTCTCCTACAGACTGCCAAGGAGGCAGTTATCACTCAGACCTACTGTGTTTTCATTAGCTCCTCTGGCCCCACAAAAATATGAACTGCAGTTTTAACACCATTTACTTTTCTTGGGACTTGGAGTCAGGAGAGGAGGAGAGGAGAAGGCAGAGAAATAACCTCTTTCTATGTAGCCAAATTTGTGTAATTCCTCAGGCACACTCTTCAGCCATATTTCAGCATAAACAATGCTTTCATCTCAACACACAGACAACTAAACACTGTTCTGATTGCCATTTATACCCCATGCCTCTAGCATGGTGTCAGGCACATAGTAGGTGCTCAATAAATACTTTTGAATAAAGGAATTGTACTATACTTTTAATTATTATCTTCAAGGAAAGACCAGAAGCACATGAAGAAGCTGGTAAAATTGTTCTTTTTTTGTTTTTTTGGTTTTTTTTCCTCAGGCAAGGTCTCACTCTGTTACCCAGGCTGGAGTGCAATGACATGATCTTGGCTCACTGCAGCCTTGACCTCCTGGGCTCAAGTAATCCTTCCTCCTCAGCCTCCTGAGTAGCTGGTACTACAGGCCTGTGCCACTATGCCTGGCTAATTTTTTTTTTTTCAGAGAAGCGTGTCTCACTATGTTGCCCAGGCTGGTCTCGAACTTTTGGACTCAAGTGATTCCCTCACCTCAGCCTCTCAAACTTCTAGAATTGCAGGTGCAAGCCACTGCCTGTAATCTTTTGAGAACAAAGAGATTCATCACCAGTAGCTGACCTCTTCAAACAAGTCAATTGCTTTTAATAAATTGAGCAGATGTCTATCCTCCAAATAAAATACCAATTCCTAAATAGAAATGTCAGCATAGAATTCCATTTGCCAAATGTTGATTTATATAACTTATTGTACCTTCATTCTGATAGAGGGAATTTTTTTTTAAAAGATGATTATTCATGGTTATTATTTTTAGGGGAACATAGTAGGTGTATATGGAGTACATGTGATATTGTGGTACAAGCATACAATGAGTAGCCATCACATCAGGGTAAATGGGGTATCCGTCACCTCATTTATCGTTTCCATGTGTTAGGAGCATTCCAATTCCACTCTTTTAGTTTCTTTAAAATATACAATAAATTATTGTTTACTATAGTAAACAATACTTGTACTATCAAATACTGTCTAACCATATTTTTGTACCCATTAAGTATCTTCACTTTCCCCACTCCTCCATGCAACCCTTCCCAGCCTCTGGTAACCACCCTTCTATTCTCTATTTCTATGGGTTCATTAAAAAACAAATTAGATCCCATGAATGAATGAGAACATGTGATATTTGTCTTTTTGTGCTTGACTTATTTCACTTAACAGAATGTTATCCAGTTTCATCCATGTTGTTGCAAATGACAGAATTTTATTCATTTTATGGCTGAATAATATTCCATTGTGTACATGTACCACATTTGTTTATTCATCAGTCTGTTGATGAGCACTTAGGTTGATTCCAAATCCTGGCTATTGTAAATCATGCTGCAATAAACAGGGGAGTGCAGATCTATCTTTGATATACTGATTTCCCATCTTTTGGGTATGTACCCAGTAGTAGGAATGCTGGATCATATGGTTGCTCTATTTTTAGTTTTTTGAAGACTTCCAAACTGTTCTCCATAGTAGTTGTACTAATTTGAATTCCCACCAACAGTGTATGAGGGTTCCCCTTTCTCCACATCCTCATCAGCATTTGTTATTGCCTGTCTTTTGGATAAAAGCAGTTCTAACTGGGATGAGATCATATCTCACTGTGGTTTTGATTGCATTTCTCTAATGGTTAGTGATGTTGAACATTTTTTTCATGTACTGGTTGGCCATTCTCATTTGAGAAATGTCTATTCAGATCTTTTATCCATTCTTAAATTGGATTATTGGATTTTTTCCTTTCGAGATATATGAGCTCCTTATATATTCTGGGTTTTAATCCCTTGTCAGATGGATAGTTTGCAAGAATTTTCTCCCATTCTGTGGGTTGTCTGTTAACTCTGTTGATTGTTTTCTTTGCTGTGTAGAAGCTTTTTAACTTGATGTGATCCTGTTTATCTATTTTTGCTTTGGTTGCCTGTGCTTTTGAGGTTTTACTCAAGAAATCTTTGCTTAGACCAATGTTCTGGAGAGCTTCCCCAGTGTTTTATTTTAGTACTTTCACAGTGATAGGTGTAATTTTATCAAAATGAAGAGTTTAACAAAGCAAGGAACTATAGATTCTGTTATCATAAGAATATGTTTTTTAGGTTCACTAAGAGCACAATTGTTTAGAAAATATAATCTCTCATATTTTAAAAAGAGGAAATGAGTAGAAATAAATGGAAACTTTTCTACCTTAAGGAGTAAAATAAAGCATCCAACACACACACACACACACACACACACACACACACACACACACACACATATACATACACATATACATACACACTTTTTTTTTTTTTTTAAGAGATAGCTGCTGGGATTGACTTTGTTGAGCAATTTAGAAATCATGTACATTCACAGTGGAGTCTCCAGTTGTGATGCCACCAAGCCCTTCTAGTTAGTGAGATGCCAAGGTTTTGAGACCCACTGCAGGAAGGCCCTGTGAGATGGGAAGAGTTTGCTTAAGAAGTCAGATAGGCACCAGTGTAAGTATAAGTAAATAAATGAAATTAGAGGAAACACTCCTAGGTACATTCTTGAGATGATGGGCTCACTCTTTACCCAGGACAGAGCAGATCAGCATTTTCCCTAAGTATATTCCTGGGAGAAGTTCATTCTTCTTGAAATAATCTGCAGCAAAAGAACTTCTGGTTGATTGGATTTGGGAGACTCTCCCCATGTTGGATAGCCACAACATGTGCATGTGCTTAATAAAAGCTTATAGAAGCTCTGCAGGAAAGACTTTTTCCTACCCAGTGATTTTCAAATGTAATCAATCAGTGAAACCCTTTGCATATGTACCACCAACTAATAGTCTGCAGAACTGGTTAAATCCACTGAACACACTTTGGCAAACAAACTATATCCTGGAGTCATTGATCTAAGTTAATATCCTTGGGAAAAAACCACTTGTACCTGGAAAAGTGATGGGATTACAGTTTCACCTGTTTGTATTCTTCACGCAGAGTCAGGGCTGCACCCTATCCTCTTTGTGTTTGGAATTTCAGAATCTATCTCACAGCACCTGACAAACTGTAGGTATGCAATAGAACTTGAGATGAGTTTGGTACGCATCGGTCATGAAACAGAGACCATGAACTCCTCCTCAGCACAGAGGGCAGGTATGTTTCCTGAGCTCTGGCTGCTGCTCCTCAAAATGGATTTATTTTAGAGAAGAGTGATTAAAATGGCCAAAGGGAAGAAAGGGATTAATTACATCTTCTGGAGGGAGAATAACACTTTGTTTCAGAATGGTGAAGATTTATAGGAAATAATGATTAATGAATTTGGACAGCACTGAACACCTACTTTGTGTGAAGCACTGGGAACAATATCTAGATGAATGTTTGAGTTCCTCCATTCTCTATCTCATGTGCTGCCCAGTGTCTATAAGATTGCCAAGATAACCGAACACTGCATGTTCTCACTCATAAGTGGGAGTTGAACAATGAGAACACATGGACGCAGTGGGGGAATATCACACACTGGGGCCTGTTGGGGAGTGGGGAGCTAGGGGAGGGATAGCATTAGGAGAAATACCTAATGTAGATGACGTGTTGGTGGGTGCAGCAAACCACCATGGCACGTGTATACCTGTGTAACAAACCTGCATGTTCTGCACATGTATCCCAGAACTTAAAGTATATTTAAAAAAAAGATTGTCAAGTTGAACGGAGAATCATGCTTCACATCTTATTTTATAAGCTTTGATTTAATAAAAGAAATAACTGCCACCATGTGTAATACACACATTGACTTTATTTCTCCAACAAATAGACCGAGAAAAAAAGGAGGTTCACTGGCAGTTCATAGCAGATAGGATTTGGGAAAAGAGTTCTGGTATTTTGCAATCATATCAGACAGAACTAACCTATTATCCTCTCTTTGTGGACTCATCAAAAACTAATCCTAAAATTAGAAAAAAACATGGAACAAGACTTATGTTCTTCCCACTATTTGTTTAACAATGGAAGCAATTGTAATGGTATACCCTCATTAAAACTTCCTGTTACCCATAAGTAAAAGACATACAAGGCTCTTCACTTAATTCTCAGAACCATTTCCTGTCTCTTCCCCTTTATGCAACTCTCTTTGCATCCAAGATTCATTGAGTTAACTCTATTTTCATTACAAGGGACACTCTTCTTTGTCTTAATGCATGGTGTATGCTTTGCTTGTAAAGCCCATGTGATAGTTAATATTGAGTGTCAACTTGATTGGATTGAAGGACGCAAAGTATTGTTCCTCCTGTGTCTGTGAGTGCATTGTCAAAGGTGATTAACATTTGAGTCAGTGGACTAGGAGAGGCAGACCCACCCTCAATCTGGGTGGGCACCATCTAATCAGCCGCCAGCACAGCTAGGATGAAAGCAGGCAGAGGAAAGTGTAAGGACTAGACTGGATAAGACTGGCCTCCAACTTTCTCTTGTGCTGGAGGCTTTGGACTCCAAGTTCTTCAGCTTTTGGACTCTTGGACTTACACCAGTGGTTTGCCAGGGGCTCTAGGGCCTTTGGCCTCAGATTCAGCCTCAGACTGAAGGCTGCACTGTCAGCTTCCCTACTTTTGAGGTTTTGGGACTTGGACTGGCTTCCTTGCTCCTCAGCCTGCAGACGGCCTATTGTGTGACTTCACCTTGTGGTTGTGTGAGTCAATACTCCTTAATAAACTCCTTTTCATAAGTACATCTGTCCTATTAGTCCTGTCCCTCTAGAGAACCCTGACTAATACAGCTCATCTGGTGAACTCCTCCTCAGTCTTCAAGACTTCACTCCAGTGCCCCCTCCTCTTCAAGTTGTATGTATTTTGTAAGACTCACACTCTTCTAGCTAGAGGGGATTTTCTCTTCTCCATCCTACTATAGTACTTTGCGTATATCTCCACTCAGGGGTCATCCCAAGCACTGACTCATTAGAATGGTTACTAACTCTTGATCTAGAATAGGGTCATGGTGACCTCTGCTGGACCCTGAAGTCTGAGGTGGGGAGAGGATAGGGTTGGCAGGGACAGTGGGTGACACTGGAGGCTACTGATGGGTTCCAGAAAGCGGGTATTTATAAAAGCATTTCAGTATTTTATCAACTTGTATGGTCATACCAGTGCTCACTATCTCAATATCAGCTCTGCTTCTACTGTTTCTCATCACATAGATTTAGAATTATTTACTTGTCTGCCTTCCCCATTAGACCAAGACAGAGACTTTGGGTCTTATTTATCTTTGTGTCTCCAGAGCCTAGCATGGCGCCTGGCATGGAGCAGGCCTATTGATCTCTGAGAAGAACTTAAGGGCTTTCCCTAATCAATCAAGAGGAAAAGCATTTCCCTCCACCTCAGCAGAGAAGGAGCCCTGAACTTGACTGGTCATATATAAACTCACTGATTGTGCTGGGATTGTTGTTGTTGTTTGTTTTGTTTTGTTTTAGGAAGACTTTCTTTTGCTATTTTTTTTTTTAAGACAGGGTCTCACTCTGTTGCCCAGACTGGAGTGCAGTGGCAAGATCTTGGCTCACTGCAACCTCCACCTCCTGGGTTCAAGCGATTCTCCTGCCTTAGCCTGCAGAGTAGCTGGAACTACAGGCATAAGCCACCACGTCTGGCTAATTTTTGTATTTTTAGTGGAGATGGGAGTTTTGCCATGTTGGCCAGGCTGGTCTTGAACTCCTGACCTCAGGTGATTCACCTGCCTCAGCCTCCCAAAGTGCTGGGATTACAGGCATGAGCCACCACACCCAGCCAATGTGATTTTTAAAAAATGAGTTATTATGGTGTTAGCTCACTGTTTAATTCAGCTTCCTAGTTATGGCAGGGGTGGGTTGGACCAACTTTTTCTTACCTCTTAGTGGTAAGATCCAAGGATTAGCTTCAACTGTTACAGGTAATGAAATAGAGTGGACCCCATAATCTGGTTTTATCTAAAACTCTTTAAGACTAATAAGATTAGGATAAAAGAAATTATTGGGTTTAGCTTCCTAGAGTTTTCAACATTGAGGTTTTGGGCTAGAGCCAGAGTTAACAGTAGTGTCACTTTGCTTTATATTTTATCAGACATTTTGTGATCATGGATTTGGTGCAGCATTTGAAGGTTCTCAAGTTTCCTGGTCATAATACCTGTTTCACACTACCTTAATAGCACCGAAATATTTCCCCAATATCTAACAAAAAATAATATATATTAAAGAAACAAAGGAAGAAAGGAAGGAAGGAAAGTAGGAAGGAAGAAGAAAAGGAAAAAAAAGGACAGGTTGAAGAAGGAAGTCATCTGTCAGGCATCAATGAGCTAATGGACAGACTGAAATGGGGGTGCCATCTGAGAGTGTTCTAACAGCCACTAAGCCAGGTCTGATTTTGGAAAACAATAAAATTTTTAGTGGTGAAAAAATAAATCTTGTTTTCTCTGAGAGACAGAATATTGGTATTCCTTTCAGAATCTAGGAGCTTTTAGTTCTGTTACAGGGTAGTGTTTTTTTCCCAAATAATATTTTCAACATCATAGCCCTTGGCTAACATTGACTGGCCCAGATATCTCATTTTCAGGTTGGCAATGCACCCCCTCCCATGCAGAGCTAAACGCAAGACTATTGAAGGGACATTGCACCACAAACCTGGTCCTGTGGTGTCCGGTTAATCTGTTTGCTTTGTAAGGTTGGCTGTGGGACATGGGAACGCCACAGTTTTGTGGAGCTGCTAACGAGCAGAATTCACTTGTTGAGTCAGTAATAGTGGACCAAAGGGGAAGAGAATCCAGGGATCTGACAGTGAACAGATGGTAAAGTTAGAGGCTGGATTTGTTCTTAAATAGTTTAAAGTTTAGCAGAAAAAGTAGCCAGACACATATGAAATTCAAGGTAGGAAGAGATAAAGAGTCACAGAAAAAAATTCAAATAATCTACTAGGGAAATTCCAAGAAGGGAAAGAGGGGCCTCATATCTTCAGAAGGTAGACAGTGAGATTGAAAAGGGAGTTCAGAAAGGTGGAAGCATTTGAATAGACTTAGGGGAGTAAAAGATACTGAAATAAGTGATTTTTTGGTGAAAAGGGCACCCTAGATGAAGGGAAAAGCATGAGCTAATGCATGAACTATGAAAAGTGTAAAATATGTTTAAAATGTTGTAATACGACTGTTTGAAGAGCGGGAGCTATTCTGAATGACTTTTTCTCAGAAGAGTGATAAGGTAAGAACTATATGTTGGAAAGTCTTCTTTAATTGTAGCCAATATATGCATCTAGAAACCAAGATGAATCTAAGGGAATTACTTTAAATAATGAGGAGATGATGGATCGATAGATTCATAGATACACAGATAGCCAATTACAATATAGAGAGGTGGAATATTGAGAAAAATGGTGGTTTGCCATAGTGTAGCAGAAAAAGCTGTGATTTGAGGAAATTTTTGTTTAAAATTACAGTTCATATTAACTTCTTGAGGTTTGGTTTTCTCATTAACAAAACAAGGATATTTTAAAAAAATGATTCTTAGGGTTATTTTGGGAATTTTGGTGTATGTTAAAGGATGAAACCCATAACATAGGTAATTAATACATTTTTGCTTAATCCCAGTCTAAATATCAGATGCTTAAAGTTTAGACATCAAGAATGTCAGCATTAGTAAGAGTTACATGAGAATTATTCAGCATCCAATTCATTCCATTCATTCTCTACAAACTAATTGAAGACAAAATGTTGAGTTTAGTTCTTCAAAGACTAAAAATATTTCATTAAAAAGACCACCTGAAGGAAGATACAGTTATTGAAGGCAAATAAACTCATGGGAAGAAGAGGCCGGCAAATCCCTTGGTTATGTCTGTACAGCCAAGATTAGGCAGCAGGCATACTTCTTTTTGAAATAACCAAACTTAGGCAACACCCAAGGGCCCATGACTCCATGATTAACATGATCTGTGGCCCTTTTAATATTATTCCAAATTTATTTGATGGGATGAGTCCACTTGATTCCATTTTCACATCCAGAATTGAAACTTCTGAGCTCTCAACCAACAAAGACCCAAATGCTTCTTTTCTTAATTAGTATAATGAGGCTTTTGGCTTCTGCTTTATGACAAGTAAGTGAATTTGCCCTTTTGGTGACATGTCCTTAAAGGAGTGATCTAAAGGCTTGTGCAACAATCCCTTCAAGGTAGAAGGCCATTAAAAACAGTTGTCCAACTATGAAATTGGTTATTGATTAATATCCCAACAAGAAGATCATTACATTATGAAAGAAAGGGAAGCAACATTTATGTTCTTGGCCACATCTTACTGAGGGCTTTAAATATAGAACATGTAGAATTATTGCTACTTGAGAAGAAGAATGATAGTTAGAATGTTCACATGCATTTAGGAGAACTAAATGGCCATCTCCAAGAATGGTCATCTGGAATTTAGATATGTAAGTGTGTATGTGCGTGTGAGCGTGTGTATAAAGTAACTAGTCCCATTCTGCCCTACTCTGGAGTTAGATCCTGACATTTATTTTAGTACCAAATTATTTTAGAACTTGAGTTTTTCCATCATTCTCTGCATCACCACAAAAATAGTATATCTGCCTGGGGTACATTGTGAAATGTTTTCTGGAACAAAGTTCTAACTTTTAGCAATAAAATGCATTGTGACCAAGAGGACTCTGTAGGAATTTCCATGACAGCACTGAAGAGGGAGTGAGCAGTGACCTTGTGGAATTAGGAAGACTTTTCCCAAGGTAGTAACATTGGAGCTGGGCTTTGACAACAAGTAGAAATTTGCCCAGGAAAGGGGACTAAAAGACATTTAAGTAAAGGAAATAGCATTATCTAACAGATAGGTGCAAAAGATGAGGGTGTTACAATACAAAAAGAACCTGAGTACAAACAGCTAAGAAACTTAATGTCATCTTGGTGGTGAAGGGAGACCTTCCTTTGTAGAAGAAAGTCAGGCAAGGAGTAGTGAGAGAGTTAGATTGCAGACAGAGGAACTAGCAGATGGGGAAGG
The DNA here is from genome assembly GCF_000001405.40 of Homo sapiens. NCBI lineage: Eukaryota > Metazoa > Chordata > Mammalia > Primates > Hominidae > Homo > Homo sapiens. Next base: position 119,663,340 of record NC_000009.12, on the reverse strand, counting down.
GTCAAGGAGAAGTCATCTTGTCTGAGAAAGGGAAATTCTGTCAGCTAGCCTGAAGCATGCTATGCAGAAAAGTGAATGATGCAGGATGAGCTGAGAACAGTAGCTAAATGATCATGAAAGGTCTTGCAAACCCTATTGAATAATTTGGATTTTGTGTTAAAGGCAATTAAAAATCATTAAAGAATTTTAAGCAGACAGATATGATCGAAGATACGTGATTAAGAAAAATACTCTGGTTGTAAGGACAATGGATCAGAGTGAACAGAGACTAGGGGTGGGTTGACCAGTCAAGAAACCCTCTGAGTAATCCTATGAGGTGAGTGATGAGGAATTGGAATAGATGATGAGAGTGAGATGGAGCAACGTGAAATATGGAGGTGGAAGCAACAGAATTTGTATGCATATGGCACAGAAGAGCCTGCTGTGTATGGGGAATGTCAAATGGCTCATTATGGATTGAAAACAGGGTCTATGAGGGTTTGAGAGGGGAGATGAACTTGCGAAGGCAAGTTGGAATCAGACTATAAAAGGCTTTGAATGTTCTGAGGAGTTTGGCCTTATCATCAGGATTTATGAGCTATGCTCTCTAACTTCCTGTGTCTTGGTAACCTAAACTGTTCTAAACATCTATTATAGGCTTCCAATTTCATTAGCATTTTAACACATTACTACATTTTCATCCTTGAGCGGCCAAGCATAGTTATATCTTCATATTGGAGAGTAAGTCATCATCAGACAATCCAATACTTTCCACTCCATAAGGTTATTTTCTCGACATTTCCCATTGTGTAATCACCAGCTATCTGCACAGTTCATGTTGAGGTTTCACTTACCCACACTGGCAATTTCCATATTGTATCACTGCACAATAGAGCACTCAACGTGGGATTACAGAGTGTCGGAGCTGCAGGTGATCACTGAGAACAGTCTAGTCCAATCTCTTTATTTTATAGTTGGGGTTCAGAGACTTGAAATGATTGGTGCAGGAAAATGCAACTATGCAGGTTCAGGTAAGATTCATTTGAACCTTTCTCCCAGCCACAATTCCTGGGAAAGACAATGTGTGCTAGGCCCTACTTGGGTCAGCTGTCGCACCTTTGTCTATCTGGGACCATGGAATAATAATTCTGGCTGAATAATCTTTGGGAAGTTTCCTACCAATCTACTTTGTCGCCCACCTTTCTGCTCAAAGTACATAGCTTTCAAACTATTCTCCACTCTCTAGTGTTGGGGAAATTTTAAGTGAGCCATTGAACCCTTTGGGGAGAGTATGAGCAGAGTCCTTGAGAAGTAACAATGGTCATCAATATTTAGTAGGGCTCTAGAAGTGCCAGCCACTGAACTAAGTGCTTTTAGCTGCGATTAACACATATATTTCTTATAACCACCCTACGAAGTAGGTACTATTATTTATCCACTTTATAATGTCGATACTAAGGCATTACCAATCTGCACAGTGTGAAATTGTGATTACATGGTGGTGCCAGAATTTGCACCTAGGCAGTTGGATAATCCAGCCTTATACACTCTTCACACCACACAATAGTGCTGATAACCACTATGCAACAAAGCATTTAAAGCTGAAATGGTGATGCCATCTCATCACACATTTGTATAAACATTTGCATTGCCAGCTAATTTCTTGATTTTAGAAGCTTATTAGAGCAATATTTATTATCTCCAATATTTCTGCATTGGAATAGTTGACTTCTATGAGCTTGCAATAATAAATGGACAATCTTGTGGAGTTGGGGCTGGGTGACTGTGCCTGGGTCATTTAGAAGCCAAAGAGATGAAAGTAGCCTGCAATAAAAGAGGAAAGTGAAGCTAATCTGAAGCTGTGACCTAAGGGAGAGAAGTGGCCCTAATTTCTGATGGCTTTTCAGTCTGTGAGTACACTCCTTTGTGAAGGCCAGTTGAAATTTATCTTCCTAGCTTCTGTGGGCTACCTTGGTATCCTGCCTCTTTGTTCTAGAAACTTTCACCAACTCATCCACAACATTCTCATTTCAGAACAGTGGAGTCACATGGGACCAAAATTGGCATCAGGAGCCTTTCTTAGTGATGTAGAAAAGGGACTAGTTCTCAGAAAAGGGATTTTGAATCGGAGCATCCCTCAGATGTATCTATCACACAGCATACATAGTGACTGTCCCACCTCACATAAGAGTAGAAGCGGAAAAGCACTGACATTTAGCTTACTGCCAACTGCTGCTGGAAACACAGATATGGATAATTTATCTACGAATAACATTAAAAAGGCAGGCTTTCTCTTGAGGCAATACTCTGGAAATGAGGGAGATGTATAATAATATTAGTCAATTATCCTTCATATCAGTGAAGTATTTTTTGATTTTTTTTCAGGCATTGCTGTCTTTCACAATGATCTTATAATATAGTATTTTTATTTTACGCGCAAAGGCTTATAAAGATGAAGTAACCATTCAAAAGACATGCAAATATTGGGAATAATAAATACTATCCTAATAAGCTTCAAATATCAGCAAATTGATAGGCAATGCCAATGTGAATGCAAATGTGTAATGACAACGGTATTTCAGTTTTGGATACTTTGTTCCTGGGAATTAGTATCATGGTAAATTTTCTCCCTGCTTTATTTGTGAAGATCAAATAGCCCTTTATATTACTATATTAACTTCTAATCTGTTTTTATCCAGGGAAATAGAGTTAGTAGATTGGAAGTAGATGCTTTAGGAAGTCACATCATTCGTGGTCTAGCCATGACTGCCAGCATTCCAATCCTATCTAGTAATTCATTACCTCCAGATATTATGCCCATTAGATAGGAACAACAATAACTGAATATGTACAGGGTATTTGTTTTGTGCCAGTCACTCTTCTTGAGTTCTTTATGTGTCTCAAGCTGATCTAATCCCCTTACCTCTGAAATTGTCCTTTCAAATTCCTCCTGAGGGCCATCTAGTACTCCTTATCTATGCCTCACAATCTCCTCTATATCTATTATCCGTTTTACTGATACACTGTAATTATACATTTTTATGGGGTGTAACTTGATGTTTCAAAGCATATACATGTTGTATCATGATCAAATCAGGGTATTTAGAGTATCTATCATCACATGCATTTACCATTTACTTGTGGTAATATATCTATTATTTCATTTTGAAGCATACTGCTCTCACCCTCTTGCCTTACTTGAAATGTGTCTGCCCTGGAGGTGTTGTGTCTCCTACAGCCCTATGGGGAGGCAGTTTTTCTCTCCTATGTGACATACTCCCAGACCAGTAGTTGGAGCAGCTGGATTTCTTCCACGTATTGCTCCTTCTCTGCCTTTTGCAACAGTTTGTGTTCTTTAAGATACACAAACTGCTTTCTGTTTTCTTATTGTTGTTGTCCACCAACATTCTCATCATTCTTCAATTGACTTCTTGGGTCACAGTCTACCTGTCTATGCCTTTGTCTATACTCATTCTTGGAAATGTCAAAAAGCCACGTGGCCAACTCATCTAGCATTCACAATGATCTCTGTTTCTTTACCACCTTACTTCACATGAACTTTTCTTCCATTCCACCTCAGCCACTTACTTGCATGGCCATACTTTAGATCCACATCATTTAAAACCACCCTATCTTCACAATCTCCCTTGCAAATATCCAGTTTCCATGACTCTCAGTTCATTGACCCCACCACTTTAACTTTCCATCAACACCTCCCCCACTTTGTTCTTTCCTCATCACACTTGGATTCTGCAGGTCATCGTTACACCCAAAATATCATAAAAGCCCTCAATGCTGGTGTTCCTCACTCCTTCATATTATTTCACATCCAGATGGAACTCATCATAAATACCTCTTAAGTGCCTGTGCACAGGCATTTGACAAATTCTAGAAGAAACCTCAGTCCTCAAACCTCAAAGGTGACACAAATCCTGGACCAGAACCCTCCTACATTTCTCTGGTCGTCTTGCTTCTGAAGACATGGAGATCACTACGTTCAGCCTTCTATTCTTTGAGATATGGTCACCATCCGCTCCTTCTCAAGTTCATCAATACTTCATTAATAAAGGACACAACCTCCACCAAATATATAAGCCTGCATTTGTCCTTTCTCCTTGCCTCCTGCTACAACCAAGGAAGGCTTTTCTTTTTTCATGTCAGAGGTACATCCTTCCACAACGGTCTCTGATTCAACCTCCTCTCACTTCCTCACTTCTTTCTGTCTCTTTACCCACCTTGCTCCTGTATTATCAACCTCTCCTTCCTAGAGATCTCTTCTCTCCCCATACAAACATACTCTGCCATTTTGTCTCTCAGTTCACTTTCTTCCTGAGTTCTGTATCTCTCACTAGTTACCAGCTTACTTCATATCTTACCATTCACCAACTTCAGAAAATGTTTCTACTCATGTCAACTCTCCTTGAACTCCCAAGCACTCCTCAATCCACTGCAATCTGGCTTTTCCCCAACAGTCCACCAAATCTGCTCTTGTCAAGGTCAATACTAATAACCTCAATTTTGTCAAATCTAATGGTCATTTTTTTTCTGTTCCTATCTTATTAAATGTCTTAGCACCTTTAATCAAAGTTGTTCACTTTGTTCTTGAAATAATACCTTTTCTCTCTTTCTGGCTGTTCTTTCTTGATTTTCTTTGTGTGGTTTATTCCTTCTATCTGATGTGTAAATGCAGGAAATTCCCAGGGTCCATCCTCCTTCCTTCTCCATACACCTCCCTTTGAAAAAGTTATCCAAGGGCCGGGTGCAGTGGCTCATGCCTGTAATCCCAGCACTTTGGGAGCCCGAGGCAGGTGGATCACGAGGTCAGGAGTTCAAGACCAGTCTGGCCCATACAGGGAAACCCCGTCTCTACTGAAAAGACAAAAATTAGCAGAGCATGGTCATGGGTGCCTGTAGTCCCAGCTACCCAGGAGGCTGAGGCAGGAGAATCACTTGAACCTGGGAGGTGGAGGTTGTGGTGAGCCGAGATTGCACCATTGCACTCCAACCTGGGTAACAAGAGTGAAACTCCATCTCAAAAAAAAAAAAAAAAAAAAAAAAAGGAAAAGAAAAAAAGAAAAAGCTATCCATTTTAATTTCTTTAAATACCATCTGTATGCTAATAACTCCTAAATGCAAAACTCCAGCACAAATTGCTCCTTGAATTTGCTCCAGATTTATATATCTGTCTACCTGATGTGTCTTTTTTACATGTCCGAAAACTGAATAATCTTGTTCTTTCTCTGTCTTCCCATCTTATTAAATGTCACTACTACCATCCAGTTGCTGAAATCCAAAACCTTAAAGTTATGCTTGACTCTGCTTTCTCCTTAACACTCAAATACTTATCAAGTTTTCTGTCACTTCTACTTATAAAAGGATTTCAGGTCTTTCCTGCATGCTATCCCAGGCCTCCATCATCTCTCTCTTGGACCACTGCAATGGACTCTCCTACTCTGATCTTTATCTAATCCCTTCCTCATAGAATGGTCAGAGGATTACTTTAGATACATAAGCATACCAAGTCAGTCTTCTACTTTAAATGCTTCAGTGGCCTCTCTTCATATTTAAAATAAAGCTTACCACCTTCCACCCTACATAATCTGGCCTCCAATGACTTATCTCACATTATCTTGTGCATTTCCTCTCACTTCTAGACCACAGAGAAAGGGCTGGGCCCCAGAATAAATTGCAGGGTGTCTACCTAGCAAAGGTGAACTCTTTTGTTATTCCTCTTCACTAATCTTTGTTCATTTTCATCATAGTACTTATAAGTTATAATCATAAATTAAACATTTGTTTATCTCCTTCATGTTTTCCCTCTCATTAAATTGTAAGCTCCATGACTGCAGGGTTTATGTTTGTTTTTGTCACTAAGACGTCCCAACAGACAGACAGTTGATATTTTATAAATAATCATTGAGTGAGTAAATGTTGATACAGAATAATGATAAGATATAGAAGTAGATAAATTGCATATTTGATGCCAAGAAAAATCAGTGTTTAGACTGTACTTTGTGTAACCTCAAAACACATTTTGAGTTAATTCTAAGTTTCATGCCACTACCTTAAGCCACCTAATATATTAAAAGGACAAACATGATTACTGGTGGTTTAGTATAATCATCATCACTGTCATTGTTGTGGTTACCATCACAATCATCAGCACTTTATGGAGCATATTTACTGAGTTCTAAGAACTGTGCTAGGTATAAAGTCGAAAAAAAGGTGACACATTCCTTGTCTCGAGTATATTTATGAAAGAGAAAATAGAGAGACATTAAAAGCCACACAAATACATACAGAAGTGTGTCTCTGTGAGTTGGACTTTAAATCAGGTTCCCTTTGATGAAATAGAAATGAGGACAAGTGGATCCAGGTACTTTGGCATGCAAATATTATCTTCATGTACTAAAAGCAGCACTTTAAAACCAGAAAACAAAAAATTAAGTCACGGTCTCTTGTCTCAAGGAATTCATATCCTGGAGAAATTAACTCCAGCATTCTTATTATATTAATCTACACTCCAAATAGAGGATGTATTTCTGTTTTTATCCGTAACATCGCTGCCAGATTAATAAGAATTTTCAAGATGTTAATGGATTGATTTCAGCATAATTGTAACTATATTAATTCAGTGCAATTACCTCTCAGTAAAATTTAAATGAAGCTAAATTGAAGAAATTAGAAATATTTGAAATCTCTAGTTGGAAGCCTGAAGGCATTGTAACCTTGCCTATTTTCCTCTCAGAGCATCCATTGGCAAGCTCTAGGAAGATAGCAAGTACTTTTCTTGCAAGTTTCAAACCCTACCAGCACTTTAGAACTTAGATTGAGCAAACCAATCTAGAGGGAGTAAAAAGCCCCTGAACTGCCCAAGAGTTGAACAAGTGTGCCCAGTCACTCAACACATGTTTGAGTGCTATACCGCAAGCAGATGCCACAAGAAAATATGTCGACATAGGAAAGCTAACATACGAGTATAGTTCAGGCTGAGGCTATAGAAAAATTGAAAAAAGAATCTCAAATGGTACCATCTTAACAAAGAACTCTTTATTAGAAGGATCAACATAATGTGGTAAAAAAAAATGTCTAGACTTAGAGGATCAGCCCAGACTTAGAGCCCAGACTTAGAGGATCAGCTTTGCCGTTTATTGGTTGTTCAACTGCAGTCAGGTCACTGTGTCTCTTGTTTCTGTTTTCTAATGATGCCTGCTCTTCTTATTTTGAGGTGCAATTGTGAAGATCAAATAAATGTTGAAGCACTTTGTCAACTATTGAAAACTTCACAAATGTAACTAAAGGGGATGTTTGGAAAAGCACTTCAAATTGTAATTAAATAAGTGAAAAGAATCTGGTAGCAAAGACTTTTTAAAGACGATGTCAAATTTATGAGGACTGGCTCAAATATATTCCAGAATCCTCTGGTATTGTAAATACATGTACTTAATAAAGAATGTTGACTCAACTCTTTTATTGCAAATCTACCATGTGCAAGTCTTTATGCTAGTGTCCGTGACAGCTGGTAAAATACAGAATGTTGATGTTTCATGTTCTGTGCAAGTTCAGAATCAAATTGGAAAAGAAGGCAAGGTAAAGTAATATTTAAATGCTTGCATTGTGGTAGATGTTCTGCATACTAAATTTCACATAAATATTGTGATAAATTAGAGAGGATTTTTTTTTCTATTTTACAGATGCAAATAAAATCAGCAGATATTAAGTGAATGTCTAAGTTTGAAGTTCAAATAAAAAATTAGAGTGATTTTTAAAGCCATATGCTTCCTGCTATACTCAGTGCCCTCTACAAGTTAAAAAAAAAGTTATAAGCAAAAATATTTAAAAGTAGATATTAACTATCAAATCAGTGTTAAAAGCAATAAGCTCTCTGCCTATCTTGCATTGTGTGCCTGGCTTGCACCTTGCATGGCTGTTTTCCAGGTTTCTGTTCAAATATCACATTCTCAGGCAGAACTTCCAGCCCATCATATGTAATGTCAGGTCTACCTCCCCCCACTTATTCACATGTCCTATTATATCACTGTGTTATTAATACCAGAATGTCTATCACTCTCCTCAATTTTCTTTTTATATTTTTCCCTTTATTAGAGGATAATATAATCATTAGGAGTACAAAGTATAGACCCGTGCTGCCTAATAGAAATGTAATGCAAGTTACATGCAACTTAAAATTTTCCAGTACCTGTATTTTGTAAAGGTAAAAAGAAACAGGTAAAATTAATTTTAATAATATATTTTTTTGAAACACTGTAAGTACAAAATATTATTTCAACATGTAATCAATATACGCAGAAAATCAATAAGATATTTACATTTTTTTATACTAAGCCTGCAGAATTTTTTGTGATTTTACACTTACAGCACATATCCATTTGGACTAGCCATTAGCCAAGTACTCAACAGTCAGATGTAGCCAGTAGCTATCACATTGAAAGTCCAGCTATAGAGTAAGACTGCCTGGGTTTCATCCCATCTCTGACACTCACTAAGTATTTAACCTAGAAATTAAGCTCCACTAGAAAAGGGACCTCATGTGCTTTATACATCTCTCTAACCCAAACACCTCTGTAACAGAGACAGCCAATGCAGTAGAAGATATCAATTGCAGCCAATGCTCATGGTGAGCATCCTGGAACAGGTAAGCTTTCAGCCTAATCTTGAAGTGTGAGTTAGATTCAGACATGCATAGAGAAGGGAGAGAGCAGATTTAGAAGTTTCAGAGGCATGGGCAAGATTAATGACAAATGACCTTGTTCATATTTAAAAAACAATACACAGAATCATCTTTTGTATGAGGAGATGGATAGGCAGGATGCTTTACATCTATCTATAATTAGCTGCTTTTAATTGATTGACACTGCAAATTTTGCTGAGTGATTGTGATTCTGAGTGTGGAATTTGGAATCAGGTCTAAGTTTGAATCCCAATTCCATCTGTGTGGTCTTGGTGGACAACGTATCGGATCTGTCTGTGCCTGAGTTTCCTTATGTATAAAATAAAGACTGTTAATCTTTAAACATTTAAGGATGAAATAAGATATCACGGCAAAGCATTCAACATATAGTATGCATTTAGCAATGTTAACCGGTGTTTCTGATCCAACTGTCATTGTTATCTTACTAATATTATTATGTGAATGAAAAGAGAATTTGAAGCCTTCAGTGTGAAGCTACAGAATCTGGTCTTCATGTGTTAAAGCTTCCACAGTCATGTTTCGATCAATGCTAATTTGCCCCTCAACCCTTCCTCGACTCCTCATCACTTGTTGATTAAAACCTAAACTACTTCCCAATGAACTTAGATTCTCCACATCTTGGACTTCACCAACACCATTTTCCTTTAACTCTTTACATACTACAGTCTAGCCATACTGAACCACTTAGAATCTCCTGAATAGCCTATACTATTTCATGAAACTTTGCTTTTGCACCTGTCATTCCTCTGCTTTTGTCATTCAGCTGTCTGTATGGAAATCTCTTGCATGCACTCCTAAATCCATACCAAATTTTCCATCTCTGAAGGAATACAGGAATATGGGGCCACATCCTTCATAGAAAACATTTTGTAATGCAATTTCTTATTCATATGTCAATCCCCCATCCCTGCCACTGGATTGCTATATATTTGAGGGAAAAAACCAACTTCTACTTACCTATGCATTGTCAGCATGCAGCACAAAATATATGTTAAATAAATACAGTGTTTGTTAAATAGATGAATGTCTGTGCTTCAGGCAATTAGGAACTCTTGAAGACCGCTGGACTACTAAGGAATTTTTCTAAAAATATATTGGGACTACTATAATTTAATTTTTAAATTTTTTGAATGGCTTTTGAATTGATTATCTCAGAATCCCATTCTTTCTGAAACAATTACTGCCAGTGCCTTGCATATCAGAAAAAATTAAAACCAAATCCAGCTTTCCTGTTGTTCATCTTCCTCAGCAAAGCATTAACTGCTTCTGGCTTATAAGGTGGGATTTCCTAATTGTGCTTAAATCTCCTATCTACTGCTGGTCATAGATGTACTAACAAATGAAAGTTTCTGTATAGGGGGAAAAAAGAGAGAAAGTTTTGCCTCTTATAGCAGGGAAATAGTTTGAGGCTATGTTTTAATTAAAATGAATATCTGCGCTATCTTAATGTTATTGCCAGTTAAGTGTAGCAGGGTGATTTAGAGTTCTATAACACAATTATACTCTGGTAATGAAGCTCTGCAGAATTATCCTCGGAATTTAGAATGCAAAAGGGAGCAGTAGCTCTCATTTGTAACCATGTTACAGCCTTTATTGTTACAGTATTTTCTGTTTTCTTCAAAGATTAACTCAATCGTATTTAAGTCTCTGGCTACATTACAGAGAGGGAGAAAACGGGCAGTGGAAACGGTTTTACTGTCTGTGCAGCCCTTCTTAATGCTCTACTGTGAGGACAAAGTAGTAAGGAAATTTCAATGTAGCATCACCATTCATATTGTTCTGGCCTTGGCACTCCTGATTAAGCTCCCCTCAGACTGGTCCATGCAGTTTTTGGCTGATTCACTAGGGATTGTGGGATGTGGACACAGAGATTAGAAAGCAAGCCAGGGAAGGCTATATTCCAACTAGAAGAAAGGCAAGTGTGTGATCTGTGCTGTCTGTCCTTGGTTCTGAATACTCCTTAGACAGTTGAGGTGGGATGATGGCTGATCTGGCTCCAAATAAGTATTAATAGTGGTTAAAAATGTGAAATCTGGAAACAAATCCAAAATCCATCATATATCATTCATGGGACTCCAGGCAAGTTATACAACCTATTCAGGTCTCAGTTTATTAGTGTGCAACATGAGATAGTAGTAGAAACTACCTCACTGAATTGTTTTAAGGGCTAATTAAGAGATGGCAACATGTAACTTAGAAGAGCAACTAGTGCTTGATAAGTTCTTAATAAGTAATAGCTAACTTAATTACTAGAAAAAATACTCTTAAGCAACAAGTTTAGAGCTTTGTTTTTCTCAGGTGGTATCATCTGAAGTTTGGGAAGAAACTAAATCATACATGTGTAACTTCTCTACACTCGGATTTCTTTGAAACACTCAAAAATAAATTTATTTCAATTTAATTCACATTTAACATCTATTACGTGCAAAACCTCATACTGTGCATTTCAAGTAAAACAGAGATGAGGTATATGTTGGTTTTGTCCCTGAGGATCTTACAGCGTTATAGGGAAAGATAAGCATGCACAAAGACATTCTAAATAAAGGAATATGATGGATGATAATACAAGATAAGGATTCATTTGTCTCGGTTAGGGTGGATTTTAATGAAACAGTGACAGGCAAATTTAGCCCAGGGGGAAAAATAAGATTTTTATAGGCAAAAATATTGGGAAAGGGTTCCAGGTTGGGAAATAATCTGGACAAAATTTAGATTCACCAAAGTGCAGGGGAGGATTAGAAAATGGGAGAAATCTATTGTGATTGTAGCATGGAGTTTGTTGATTTAGAAAGAGAAGAGGAGGCCTGTGACATGGATGATTTTGCAGTGATCAAAGTCAAATCATTTTGGCTGGTGAAAAATGCAGGTGAAAGTTTTTACATAACTCTGTAGAAGTTGAATTTTTTGCTTGTTTGTTTCTGGTTTTTTTTTTGACAGAGTCTTGCTCTGTCGCCCAGGCTGGAGTGCAGTAGCAATCTCGGCTCACTGTAAGCTCTGCCTCCCAGGTTCATGCCATTCTCCTGCCTCAACCTCCCAAGTAGCTGGGACTACAGGTGCCCGCCGCCATGCCTGGCTAATTTTTTTTTTGTATTTTTAGTAGAGACAGGGTTTCACCGTGTTAGCCAGGATGGTCTCAATCTCATGACCTCGTGATCTGCCCACCTCGGCCTCCCAAAGTGCTGGGATTACAGGCATGAGCCACCACACCCAGCCTCCTAAATTATTTTTAAACTGCCACTGACCCTTTTAAAATCAGCATACAGCACCAACCTTCAAGTTAGCTTTGTATAAGCTAAATAAAGGCACTCTAATGAGTTCACACAGAAATGCTTTTCTCCAGTGCATATGCTCTGGGAGGAGAGTTATAGCACATTTCTTTCCATGCCATTGAATGGATGGAGTTAGTAGTGATGCCCCTAGATATTTACATCACAAATCTCTGTGGTGTCCACCCTCCAGTCAAATGATATTAAACCAAGATTTCTCAGTGGTTTACAGTGATGTCAGAGGGTGTAGTCTAGACACAATCAAATCCTGAATTATAAAAAAATTACCCCAAACCCCCCAAGGCAGTGGCTGGGTAGAGCATCTCAGCTAGACAGCTGTTGGCAACAGCACATATAAATTCTGTTTCCTGGATGGAAGAACACAATCATTTGTCTAGAGAAATCTCCCTGAGCTCTAAAATGGACATGCTGTAAATAATTGGAGCATTAATGAATTACAGTGAGAATTTACTTATCTTGTGGGGACTGCCTCCTGCCTTGTTCTCCACCTGAAAACCATTTCCTTTATGGTGATTTGAAGAATCTCAAATGTTCTAAGTTGGCATATGAAAATATATGGTAGTTTATCTTACTTGGAGTACTCAAAGCATTCTCCTCTCCCACAGAAGCAGTCTTCTCTGCCTAGCTAGTACTATATGACCTGGCAGCCTATGGTCGAAGCCGATTGGACCTGATAGGTATACAATGAGGAAACCAGCCCAAAGGGTGGGCTCTGCCATTCCAGTTCTCTCTCCTGGAAATTTGGAACTGGGATACAGATGAGTCAGTGAGATAAGGATCAGCAGGTACTTGTCCACTGGGCAACTCAGACTGCCATCTGTGCTAAGTCCATGATGAATGTGGCACAAGTGAAAGACTTGGCCAAGGAATATGGGCTCATGAAGAGAAGAATGCAGCAAACAAGCAGAAAGAAACAGACATGAAAAACCAAGTGGCCTTGGAGAGAAAATGAGAAAATACATGTCCTACTTTCTGGCTCTGAGAGTCAGATGCACTTCCTGTTCCTGAGCAAAGGAAAGAACCCTACAAAGTTTTCCAACACTTTTCATTGCTCTCTTGTTTTACTTATGCTAGTTACCGTGCTGCTGCTAAGGTGTTCTCTTTTTAATAAATATTCACATATGCTCTTATACTCTTAATAAACTTTCATTTTAATAAATAACATAAATGATTTACATTATCTATAAATAACATATATGTTATTTATATATTTCAAGGACATATCTAGCATATATCCCTGAAAAACTAGCTTAAGAAAACATGGTCTAATTTCGTAACTCCGTTAGAATCATGGGAAGCCAAAATCATAATAACCATTTTACAGACAAGGAATTTGAGACTCAAAGAGGTCAAGTGACTTCTCCAAGGTTATACAGCTGTAGAAAGCTGAAAGGAAGGCTTAAATCCAGTTGTTCAGACCCTTTACCATCTTGACAGCTGACTGAGAGAAAAATTGTGGAAGACTCCTGAGATCTGGCCGTGTGATGTGCTTCCAGAGGAGTGAGCGAATGAGGCACGGGGAGACAGCGTGTAAGAATGACAGTGGGCCACTTTATTTTCTACCCGGAGAGATTCAGAGATATTGTAATCAAGGGAAAAGTTATCACCACATCATTTGGGACTATCAGAAAAATTGTGAAAGACTTTAAAAAGGGCAAAAAGGTTATTGGAGGTTCTGCCTAGTCTACTCTTTTGGCTTATAGATATTGTCTTTATGTTGGGTTATATTTCATTGTGATTGAGCTATCTTACCACTTCATAAGTCAAGGAAAACTAATATTAATGCAAATGATGATTGTCCTCTAGGAATGCAAATGTGTCCAGTGGAAGATATGATTGAATACTGCTCTCTGGATATTGATCAATTTTGCACCTATTTGTAAATCTATGTCAGCCTCCTGGTTGCCTATGTATGTTCCTTAAATTCTCCCTTTAGTGGTTTGCAACATCTTATTGGTTCCCTCATTAATTCATGAGTTAAATAAAATATTGACATGTGTTCATTTCATATTTATGTGAAAGTCATGGTTTTATCTTTTGTTAAAATTGTTCTTAAATAGGACAGATCTGCCTACTGCATTATACAATAAACCCAACTAGGTATAAGCAACTGTTACAGGGGAATAATCAAAAGCTATCCTTGGTTTCACAGATGCAATCAGACCAGAAAGAACAACAAACCCAACTAGGTATAAGCAACTGTTACAGGGGAATAATCAAAAGCTATCCTTGGTTTCACAGATGCAATCAGACCAGAAAGAACCCCATGCACTAGATGGAAGGGAGCGAAAAATTAGAGCTATGAGAGACAAGAAAGAAAGGCTTCCCTTTCTGCTTCCAGGAGCTGGTTATGGAGCAGCAAATGCTACAGCTGCTTTAGTGACAGCTGAGCAGCCTGAGGAGGCAGCATGAGGGAGTGGACAATGTGACCAGGAGACTGGAGAGCTGAGATCTTGGTCCAACTCTGCCATTAACCAGCTGTGTGACCTTGGGCAACTCACTTAACCCTTCTGTCTGCCCATCTGCAAAATGAGAGGCCAGAACCAAATTATCTCCAAGGTCCATTCCAACACTAACTGGCTATGGTTTTGTGACTCTAAAGACACTAGGTGGTCATGGCTCAATGCCTCCTGAGCAATTCTTAGCTCTGAAATTAGCAGGCTTGTGGTAGAAGCCAAGGACTCGATGGTCTGTGGAATCTGGAATGAACTTCTCCCTTGTAAGCTTTTCTTCCATCAAAAATAATGGTCTCTGGCTAGGAGAAGAATATTGGATGGGAAACACTGAACCATCCATGTGAAAGAACTCAAACTAAAGAAATAGACTTTTTACAGGATATATTTTTAAATCACTTCAGCCTACTGTAATAGAGAATATATTTTAATTGCTTCACAAAATAAAATTGAAAGCCATAAGTTGAGAAAAAAAAAAACCAATGCTTTTGAGAGGTTTTGCTATTCACTGTTTACTTTTACCTAAGTTTACCTAGAATCATCCCCCCACAATTCCCAGAGTTTAACTAGAGTTTGGATTACTTTTTTTTTTTTTTTTTTTGAGATGGAGTCTGGCTCTGTCGCCCAGGCTGGAGTGCAGTGGCGCGATCTTGGCTCACTGCAAGCTCCACCTCCCGGGTTCCCGCCATTCTCCTGCCCCAGCCTCCCGAGTAGCTGGGACCACAGGCACCTGCCATCATGCCCAGCTAATTTTTTGTATTTTTAGTAGAGATGGCATTTCATCTTGCTAGCCAGGATGGTCTCATTCTGCTGACCTCGTGACCCGCCTTTAATATGACAAGGGATTAAGCACCAGTTGAAGAGCTGGATAAGATGTCCTCTAATGCCCCCTATACCACACCTAACCCAAGTATTATGATTAGAAATAGTTCCTCCTTGTTTCCTCTTTTATCTCACCTTCAATTCCAGTGGCTGTGCATTGAGCTTGGAATATAGAGACTTTTGTTCGGAAAGTCACTTCTTTCTAGGACTTATTCTTGTACCTGTAGAATGAGGGTGTTGGCTTTGATATGATTAAGGCCCTCTAAGTTCTGAACTTTGTTAGCACCTACAGTGTGCCAATGGTCTGACAGGAGGGCAGAAAACAGAACTTAAGGACAAGATTCTTGACTTCATGGAGTTTAATTTCCCAGGATCACTTCTGCCCATTGATTTGTGCCTGTGAATTCAAAAGGATTTTATTTGACCTTGGAATCTATTTGCATGTTTCTAGATTGCCTGGAAATTCTCCTTCCCCAATCCTCTGCAATTGTTTTTGAGATATGCAATTGATACATTTCTACAAATGTTTCCTACACATGACATCTAATTCTCCATGGTTCAAAATGGTATTCTATTCCATTTTGTGAAGATCAGTGGGGTGAAACCTTAGACTTTTCAGGGTATGAACAATAATAAAAGAATTTATAAAGTAACAACAAATATCTGGTTTTGTCTCAATCCGAAGTAGTAGCATGATTTTCATCAGATAACCTTATCATCCAATGTCACAAAGTAGCTAAACCCAGGAGGTCTGGAGTCAGCCAGAACAAGACCACAATTTATACTCCTCTCGTTACTAGCTATGTGACCTTGGGCCATTCCTTTACCTCTCTGAGCTTGTTTTCTCATCCTAGAGTTTTCTATGAATTAAATGAGAAAGTGCATGTAAAGCATTTAGCACAATATCTGGCTCACAATGAACACTCAATAAATGATAGCTATTATGAGAGTTAATAGCCAATAGCATGAAGAGTCACAAGTCACCAGAATGACTCTTTTTCCAACTAGTCATATTTTCAAAATATGTTGATCCTAGACAAACCATTTTACTCTTGTAGACTTCAGTTCCTCCATCTATAAAAATGAGGAGATAAATGAAGTGTTCTCCAAAAGTACACCTTTTAGGAAAAGTGTTCTATAATCATGAAAGCAAAGGGGTTTCATTACATTCATCACTTCTGTAAACTCCAACGGTTGATAAGTCAGTTTTCTGGGATGTCTTCTTAGAATAGCATAATGATTAAAAGCACAGATTCTGCATCTAAATTGCCTAAGTCTTCATCCCAGTTTCTAGTTTATTTACCACGTATGGCCTTAAGCAACTTACTCAATCTTGTTGTGCTTACGTTTTCTTATCTGCAAAATAAGAATAATACAAATACTTACCTCATAAGATTGTTGTGATTACTAACTGAATTAATCTATTAAAAGCTCCAGGTGTCTCACATGGAGTGAGTGCTATATAAGTGCTTATTTGTTGTTATTACATTGTTGTTGCTGCTGCTTCTATTTTGAAGGATTCTGAGGTCAATTCTGAATTCAAGAGAAACAAACACTGTGATTGGCTAGCTATGTCTAACAAAGACCTGGAAGAGGAAATGGCAACATATGTGATTGAAACAGGAAAGTGCTACCAGTAGGTCATTGGGTAGGTCATTAGCTCTGGAGGAGAAATGGTGTGACATGCTATACAAAAATTTGGCTTCATTGGAGGAGTTTGGAATCATTTGAGAGATTAGAACCAGGCTCATGAGGGAGAGGCAGAGAAGGAGAAGAGAGCTTTCTTTCTTTTTCTTTCTTTCTCTCTCTCTCCTTTTTTTTTTTTTTTTTTTTTTTTTTTTGCATCTCTGGTCTTGAATTACAAGTGGCAAGACATGGCATGTAAGGCAGGGCTGCACAGAGAGAAGCCTTTTGGGACAGAAAATATGGTAGAAATGGTTGCATCCTCAGGTCTTTCTGGAAATTTCCAAAATATATTGGAGCCCACTACAAGGCCTTATTTTTGACAGAGCCTTTTTCTATTCCAAACATGGAAAAGATTTAGCCTCTCAATTCACTAATTACCAAACTGGGTACAGTGGTGAGCTTAAAACTCCAATCCTAGTTCTGTGGCAGGAACAGTGGTGTGTTTTATTTTTTCCCATTTTCTTTCAAGGAAATGTGAATTCTAATTCTTATTTGTCACTTGCTGATAGTGTTAGGGTAAATTAAAAAAAGTTGTTCCTAAGTACTTGGTGAAACTTTGAATTTACAGTGAAGCTTCACTAATTTGGTCTTGTGTGTGTAGTTTGGGGGAGTGTAGTTTTTGGAGGAGGGCATTCAGAAGATGCGATGCTTTTAAACCCGCAACTTCAATAAAATTTTTTCAAATAGAATCCCTTTAGTGAGAATAACCATTAATGGAATACTTATTACAGTTCTCTGTGGTGTTTAATATTATTATTCCCATTTTTCAGATGAGGAGTGAGGGAATCAAGGCTCAGGAAAATCTCTAACTTTCTTAGGGTCTGTGTTAGTTACATATTGCTGCATGTAAAATGACCTCCAGACCTCAATAGCTTAATCGATACTCATTTATTATCTCTCATAAGTCTTCTCAGTTCAGTGGCTCTGCTGATCTGAGCAAGGCTCTACTAATCTTGGCTGTGCTCACTCATGCCTCTTCAGTTAAGATGGCAGGTCAGCTAGGAACTGGCTGGTCTAGGATGACCCCACTCACATGTCTGTCGTTGTCTGGCTGTCAGCTGGGTGATGAAGGTGACTGTCCCACAGTTTTCATCGTCTAGAAGGTGAGCCTAGGCTTGCCCTTATGTCAGTTGCAGGATTCAGTGCACATGTGTGCAGAGAGAGAGAGACAGAGAGAGGAAAAAGAGGAGGAAAAGGAGGAGGAGGGGGAGGAGCAGCAGGAGAACAGCCACTATCTACCTCAAGTTCTCCTGAGCCCTAGGCTTGGAACTGGTGCAGTGTTACTTCTACCACATTCTATTGGTAAGTTCAGATTTAAGGGAGTGGAGAAACAGACTCTTCCTATTGATGGGAGGAGCTACAAACATTACAAGGGCATAAATATAGTGGGAAGTGAAGACTTGCAGCATTTTTTGGTTTGTTTGTTTGTTTGTTTGTTTTGGTAATCTATCAAACACAAGTTTGTATCAAGAAAGTAAGAGTTAATCCCTGACTAAGGGTTACTCCAGAGCTTAAGCTTTTAACCAACCAGCTGTGTAGATTCAACACATTTGTAATTAGTATTGGAATTGCTGGCAGCCTTGTCTTCTTGGAAGGCTTCATCTCAAAGATTTTTATTTCAACTATGGAGGAGAGGGTTAACTGTTAGGTACAGCTACTATAGTATAAACAACTTTCTCACACTGATAGATTCTCTTCTATGTCTTTATTTTTCCAAAGTAAGAAAACAAAAACAAATACAATTGACAAGAATCCCTGTAGTCTGGCAGAGCTCCATGTAGGAGGACGTGTGACATATTAAACCAGGGTTCAGTCATCAGCATGGGAAGAAAAGGCACATGTGTCCTTTCAGTTGATCTCTGGATTGGGATACCAATTACCAATCGATCTTTAACTTCACCTGGTGAACGAGCCTGTCTTACACCAAAGTATTTACGAGAAAAAGAAGACACTGTTGCCAGAAAATGGCCTTATTCTTTTCTTACGGTGGAACTAGCCATTAGGAAGTACAGTGTGAGAGGCACAGGTGCCTCTACCATGGGAAACTCAGGGTTTTGGTGTCTTGTATGCAGGTGTTTTGTTCTTATAAAGATAATTTCAGTTTAATTATCTCATTTAATTTTTAAAAGCATTCTGCAGGGTACACAGAATAGAAATTAAGATTCCCTCAACAGTTGAGGAAACCGAGGCATGGGAAAAAGAAGGAGATTCCCAACATTGTAGCTTAGAGATGAGCTGAATAGAAGAAACTTGTAAACTTAGAAACTAGTTGGGTTTATTTTTTTTCTGACTCCATTACCTGGGGATAGAGACAAACGACCAATTCGCACTTGTTCTTGTGCCTGCGGAGGCAGCCGGGTGAATAACAGGCAGGTTAAAACACCCACATAGAAAAACCTTCAAACGAGAGGTTGCAAAATAGCAATCTATGAGCCATACCTTCCCTGCTGATATTGTATCTGAATCATGCAGTGTTGAAAAACAAATACTTTAAAAACATTTTGAAATTATGAGGTTTTCTATAAAAATCTGGATTTTGTATTCTCTTGAAAGATAAAATCTAGAAATACTGGGCTCACTCACATTCCTATATGTATGGTAACAACACAGCAGAGTGCAGAAAAGACAGACTTTGGGATGGCCATTCCCTCTGTAATTTCCATAGTCTCCATCTGGCCAGGTTTACCTTGTTCCCCATAGGCATTTATATTTACAGCCACTTTATCAAGTGACACTTACAAAACAAACAAACAAACAAACATAATCACACCTTGAGATTCCATTGTATTTTTGTAGGAACGTATTTCCTCATTCTGTAGTTGAGAACTTTTCCCTCCACCTTAATATGATAATTATCAGAGCAAATTAACTCACCTCTGAATAACAGGCTGCATGCTTCTTCATTCTGATCCCAGCCTGAGGTATTTGGAAGGGCTTCCTCTAAGAGACATGTATTAGTCTTTTCTTATGTTGCTATAAAGAACTACCTGAGGCTGGGCATGGTGGCTCGTGCCTGTAATCACAGCACTTTGGGAGGCCAAGGTGAGTGGATACCTTGAGGTCAAGAATTCGAGACTAGCCTGGCCAACATGGTGAAATCCCATCTCTACTAATAATACAAAAATCAGCCAGTGGTGGTGGCACATGCTTGTAGTCCCAGCTGCTCTGGAGGCTGGGGCACGAGAATCACTTGAACCCAGGAGGCAGAGGTTGCAGTCAGCCAAGATTGTGCCACTGTACTCCAGCCTGGGTGACAGAGTGAGACTCCATCTCAAAAACAAAACAAAACAAACAACAACAACAAACAAAACAAAACAAAAACTACCTGAGACTGGGTAATTTATGAAGAAAAGAGGTTTAATTGACTGGCAGTTCTGCAGGCTGTTATAGGAAGCATGGCTGGGAGGCCTCAAGAAGCTCGCAATCATGGCAGAAGGCAAAGGGAAAGCAAGCACATCTTAACATGATGAATCAGGAAAGAGAGTGAAGGGGGAAGTGCCACAGCCACACACTACCTGACTTCAAACTGTACTACAAGGCTACAGTAACCGAAACAGCATGGTACTGGTACTGAAACAGCATGGTACTGGTACCAAAACAGAGATACCGACCAATGGAATAGAACAGAGCCCTCAGAAATAATGCCGCATATCTACAACTATCTGATCTTTGACAAACCTGACAAAAACAAGAAATGAGGAAAGGATTCCCTATTTAATAAATGATGCTGGGAAAACTGGCTAGCCATATGTAGAAAGCTGAAAGTGGATCCCTTCCTTACACCTTATACAAAAATTAAATCAAGATGGATTAAAGACTTAAATGTTAGACCTAAAACCATAAAAACCCTAGAAGAAAACCTAGGCAATACCATTCAGGGCATAGGCATGGGAAAGGACTTCATGTCTAAAACATCAAAAGCAATGGCAACAAAAGCCAAAATTGACAAATGGAATCTAATTAAACTAAAGAGCTTCTGCACAGCAAAATAAACTACCATCAGAGTGAACAGGCAACCTACAGAATGGGAAAAAAATTTTGCCATCTGCTCATCTGACAAAGGGCTAATATTCAGAATCTACAATGAACTGAAACAAATTTACAAGAAAAAAACAAACAACCCCATCAAAAAGTGGGCGAAGGATATGAACAGACGCTTCTCAAAAGAAGACATTTATGCAGCCAAAAGACACATGAAAAAATGCTCATCATCACAGAGAAATGCAAATCAAAACCACAATGAGATACCATCTCATACCAGTTAGAATGGCAATCATTAAAAAGTCAGGAAACAACAGGTGCTGGAGAGGATGTGGAGAAATAGGAACACTTTTACACTGTTGGTGGGACTGTAAACTAGTTCAACCATTGTGGAAGTCAGTGTGGCAATTCCTCAGGGATCGAGAACTAGAAATACCATTTGACCCAGCCATCCCATTACTGGGTATATACCCAAAGGATTATAAATCATGCTGCTATAAAGACACATGCACACGTATGTTTATTGCAGCACTATTCACAATAGCAAAGACTTGGAACCAACCCAAATGTCCAACAAGGATAGACTGGATTAAGAAAATGTGGCACATATACACCATGGAATACTAAGCAGCCATAAAAAATTATGAGTTCATTTCCTTTGTAGGGACATGGATGAAGCTGGAAACCATCATTCTCAGCAAACTATCACAAGGACAAAAAGCCAAACACTGCATGTTCTCACTCATAGGTGGGAATTGAACAATGAGAACACATGGGCAGAGGAAGGGGAACATCACACACCAGGGCCTGTTGTGGGGTGGGGGGAGGGGGGAGGGATAGCATTAGGACATATACTTAATGTTAAATGATGAGTTAATTGGTGCAGCACACCAACATGGCACATGTATATATATGTAACAAACCTGCATGTTGTGCACATGTACTCTAAAACTTAAAGTATAATAAAAATTAAAAAACCCATCAGATCTTGTGAGAACTCACTCTCATGAGAACAGCAAATGGGAAATCCACTGCCATGATCCAATCACCTCCCACCAGTTCACTCCCCCAACATTGGGAATTACACTTCAACATGAAGTTTGGTGGGGACACAGAGCCAAACCATATCAAGACGTCTCCTGAACTAAGTCTTGAGAAGTAGGTAAGAGTTAGCTGTGTGAAGAAGAAAAGGCAAAGACATTCCAGGTAGACAATTATATGCTAAGCAAAAGCAGAGAGACTTGCAACAGACTGTGTATAAGAGGAAATCCAAGTCAGCTTCTTTTCCTGGAGGAAAAGAGTAGCAAGAATTGAGACCTGACAGATGAATGGTGTCTAAGTCACACAGGCCCTGTATGTCATGTGAGGAAAGGTGACAATTATTTTATAGACAATGGAAAAACAGTTAAGGGTATTTAGCAGAAAATGAATTTATCCAAACAGCTAAGGGTATTAAGCAGAAGATGAATTTGTCCACAGAATGACATGGATATTTGCATTTTAATAGATTATCTGGTGGCTATGTAAAGGATGAATTTAATGGCAGGCAAAACTGGAAGCAAGGAAACCATATCAAAAGTTACTGCAAGAATCCAAGTAACAGGTCATGAGGGACTCATTTGAGAAATCCTATAGGAAGTAAGACCAGCAAATCGAGAGATATATTATTTGGACATTTATTGAACACTAATTGTGTGTAGAATACTATGGGAGAAATTAACTGTTTAGTCCAACTTTCTATGTAATGCCTCAATTCCCAGTAAGTGGTTCCCCAATCTCTGATTGGATATTACCAATGGCAGGGAGCTAACGCCCTCATGCCATAGTCAATTCCTACTTTAGTTATTATAAACTACTTTCTTATATTGCTTCCTTATATTGAACGAAAATTTACCTCTCCTCTCCCCCAGATTTCTGGTTTTGTCCTCAAGCTGCAGTGACAAAAGTTAATCCCTATTCTGCATAATAGCGTTGCAGGTATTTGATGACAGAAATCATGTTTCTCAAAATTTCTGCCCTTTTCAGCTAAAAAGTTATTTAGTATTTTGTAGAATTCAATGCATCCTCCACCTGCCCCCAGAACACATGTTCAAATTCTACCCATTGTTTAAGTCTGGCTTCAGTGTCACCTCATTGCCTCTGTGTCATGTATCTATGGATAGATTCCAACTTCCAATGGGCTTCTTAAAATGTAGCACTCAGAATTGAACCTCATTTTTCTGAGTGGTCTAACCAGCACACATTTATTCGGACAGGCTCTCTTCTCTTCCATCTTTTGGGATACAATGCCATTACTAATTCACTTAATGATACAAAAGGCCAGAAGGTTCTGTTGAGATAGGATTGTACAGCAGGAGTGCTCAGCATCTGGTGCTGGAACCAGCAGCATCAGCATCATCTCAGAGCTTATTAAAAATGCAAATTCTCAGGCTCTCCCCTGATCCGATTCAGAATCTGTGGGAGATGGGCCCAGGAATCTGTGTTTTCAAAAGCTTTCAGAGTAATTCTTGCACATGCTAAAGTTTGAGATGCTGTAGAGGATCTTTAAGCATGTGTTTAAGGAGCTTTTAAAAGACCAGGTACTTATCTTTAAATAAATGCTTTGCCTTCTCTCAAATACAGGCTTAAGAACCTTTCTTAGGACCATGGACAGTGCCAGCATACGATGAACATTATTAAACGCTGGGGAAGGGAAACACCACGTGGCTAATTAAGTTTCACAATCCAGTGGTTGTGAGAAATATTTTTAAAAAAATAGAAAAAAATAAAAAAAGAAAGAAAGAAAAAGAAAACAATATGCCTTTGGTCAATCCATCACAAAGAGGACTGAGCTGCTGACCTTTTCATTCTGCCTGTGCTGTGTGCGCAGCAACTCTGTAACCTTTTCCAGCTGGAATAGAAAGTTCAATTAAGTTTGTTGGCTCAGAAATCTGCCCGTGTCCCGGAGAGCAGATTAGGCACTTAGGGGCTGCAATTATCCATCTGCTGCTTCTGCAAAACTGAAAAGAATGCACACGTGCCGTACCTATCTCTGGGCATATGCAGAGGCGGATATGTGCATATCTGTATGCATGTGCACACGCGGGGGCTACAGACAGGCAATGGCTGCAGCTGAGAAATTCAATCGTTTCCAAATTTGGGTTCTTTATGTATTGTTGGTGATGATTTTTTAAGTTAGACAAGAGCCTGATAGTTGGGACCTGCCCAATTCCTGGCCACCACATTCATCCTCCCTTTATAACTGAGTCTTCTGACCAACACCGTGGACCTTTCCCAGGTTTGAGGGCAGAGCATGGCCTTAGTCATGACTAGCGGCACTTACTGAAGCTGCTTTCGATATTCAGGTGACTAAATATCAAAGCCTACCTTGCTTGGGAAAGTAATATGTGTAGTGGTTAACAGTACTAGCTGCAGAAGTTGTGTCTGCATCTCAGCACAGCAATTTACAAACTGTGAAAACTTGAACATGTCTTTTTAACTCTCTGAGCTTCAGTTTCCTCATCTGTAAAATGGAGATAATAGTATTAACCTCACAAAATGGCTGCGAAGATTAAACAAGGCACATATTTCATTTTCTGGTACATAGTCTATTGAATAAATAATAGCTATGTTTCTAATGATATAATTGAGAGTTACTTTGAATTTAGGCTGTGGTTTGATAGGTGGATCTTTTTTTTTTTTATGACAGAGTCTTGCTCTGTCACCCAGGCTGGAGTGCAGTGGCATGGTCATAGCTCACTGCAGCCTTTATTTCCTGGGCTCAAGGGATCTTCCTGCATCAGCTGCCCCAGTAGCTAGGGCTATAGACATGTGCCACCATGCTCAGTTATTTTTAATTTTTTAGTTGAGATGGGAGTCTCACTACATTTTCCATGCTGGTCTCCAACTTCTGGCCTCAAACAATCCTCCCACCTTAGCCTCCCAAAGTGCTGGGATTACAGGTGTGAGCCACAGTGTCTGGCCACTGGGTCTTTAAATTTCTCCTCTAACACCTGTGTCCTATGTCTAGAAACTGGGGAACCATCTTCCCTTGCTTTGACAATATCTGTAGTGCCTCACTACCTCTAGGATTATGTCCTGTCTGTTCTCTTGTCATAATCTATGGTCTTCTCTAAATTTCACAACCATTATAGCACGTTCTAATGATTATTCTTAGAAGCCCAGGAAAGTGAGCTTTTAAAAATGTAAGTTAGATCTAATCACTTTCCTTAATCTCATTCTATTCCCAAGCATAAAGCTCTCCAATGGCCTTCCATAGTATTTAAATAAAATCCAGACTCCTTGCAGTGGACTATAATGCCCACTACAATCTGTCCCTTGCCTAACCTCATTTTGTATTTATTGACTTCTGGCTCACAATTCTCAGGATACAACAGCTTTATTTTCAGGCCCTTAAATATACCCAGATTCTTTTAGCCTCACGACTTTTGCACTGCTGTTTTGTCTGCCTGGGGTGCTCCTTCCCTGGGTCTTCCC
Source organism: Homo sapiens (assembly GCF_000001405.40). Lineage (NCBI taxonomy): Eukaryota > Metazoa > Chordata > Mammalia > Primates > Hominidae > Homo > Homo sapiens. The sequence continues at coordinate 119,637,943 of NC_000009.12, read as the reverse complement.
CTAGACCTTAGCATCCATGGCTCTTTCTCACCATTTAGTGCCATCTCCTTGGAAGGTCTTCCTGGATTACCCTTTCTAAATTAATCCACAGCTGCCACCCCACCCTCCAGTCACTCTTTATCCAGATTCACAATTTATTTTCTTCATAGTTAACTTGTTATTGATTTGTTACATATTTATTATCTATCTCCTCACCACTAAATTATAGTCTTCATGAGAGGAGGGACTTGGTTTGTTCTGTTTTACACTTTGTCTCCAGTACTAGAAAAGTTCCCTACCTGCATAAAAGGTGGTCAATTTAGCATTTGTCAAATGAATAAATTAACAGGCCCAAGCCTAGGGCCTGGTGCCCTTCTTTGATGACATTTGCTTGGGTCATACATTGTTCTTCATTTCTGGATCCCATGTTGCTTGCTTGGCTCAGACACATCCCGCTTCTTCTTGGATCTCCCCAGTCCCGACCACCTCACTAATTCGTTTCTAGGTAATCAGCATCATGGTTCCTGAATACCATGTTTTGCGTGCTCTCTTCTTAACCACTTTTGCACATAGGTGTCTGTATGCCAAACACAAAGTCAACTCCAATTGGTACATCTGGAACAATATTCCTAATGAAGCCTAAAATTCTTAAGGAAGTGATATTTGCTTCTTGTCTACCCCTGCAGCCTCACCCTGCCCCATGCTGCCTGAGATATTGAATATATAAATGGAAAATGGCCAGACCGCATTTGGCAGTTGTATTAGTCCATTTTCATGCTGCTGATAAAGACATACCCAAGACTGGGTAATTTATAAAGAAAAAGAGGTTTAATGGACTCACAGTTCCATGTGGCTGGAGAGGCCTCACAATCATGGCGGAAGGCAAAAGGCATGTCTTGCATGGTGGCAGGCAAGAGAGAGAATGAGAGCCAAACTAAAGAAGAAACATCTTATAAAACCATCAGATCTCATGAGACTTATTTACTACCACAAGAACTCTATGGGGTGAAACCGCCCCATGATTCAATAATCTCCCACCAGGCCACTCCCACAACACATGAGAATTATGGGAGCTAAAATTCCAGATGAGATTTGGGTGGGGACAAAGCCAAACCATATCAGCGGTAAAACTCTGACCCACAACCTCTGCAGCAATCAGCCCCAAATGGTCAGGATTTGGTTAATCCTTGCCACTTCCTTAATTTTTGCCCCAACTTCTAAGTCAAGACCAACCGTAGAAAGTCAAGCACTCTTCATAAACCAGTCATATAGGATGCCTGTTTCTACCTTTTTGAGCCAACAACCTCCACTCAGAGCACCTGAACCCTTCATTTTTTCCACTATAAGCCTCTCCCACTCCCCTGCCTGCTTTTGAGTCTGTCAAACACTAGTGATGTTGACTGACTTCCTTGCTATAGAAGGTTCTGAATAAAGAACCCCTGCCTCTTCTCATTTGGGTTGTCATTATTTATAAACACATGTATGGTCTAGGTATCTACTGCTGCAAAACCAATCATCCCAAAATGTAGTGGCTTAAAATACTCATTTTGCTCATAATTTTGATGTCAAGAATTTAAGAAGAGGTCAGCTAGGTGGCTTCTCTCTGAGCCATCTGGTATCAGCTGTGCCAGCTGAACCTGGAGGATGAACTTCCACCGTGGTTTCTTCTTGGTCATGGGTGAAGGCATGTCTGGTAATTCAGTGCGCTTTATCTTTCGTTTCACTCCATGATGTCTCATTCTTTGGGGTCCTAACATGTGATATTCTCAGGGGAGCCATACTTCTTGCATGGAAGCTGGCTTCCAAGCGACAAGAAGCATGTGCTGCCAGGCTAGTTAAGAGCTACACCTAAAATGGTCCATGGCCATATCCATCATATTTAATTGGTCAGATCAATCATGGGACCAACTGGGATTTTAGGGATGTGTGGTAATAGTCTCCATCTCTTAATGAGGGAGGGCAACACTGTATTATGGGAGAGCATGTGGGATGGGAGATATTGCTGTGGCTGTCTTTGAAAATACAATCTGTCGTGTTTCCCCTTCCTTTCTGTTTTCCAGCTACACTAGTATGACTTTGTTACCGCAAATACATGACGTTCAGGATCTTTGCACTGTTACTTCTGCCTAGAATGGCTTCTTTCCAAATCCTTGTCTAGTTATATTTAACTTCCACTGCAAATTTTAGCCACAATATCACTCCTTTCATATCCTTGGGGGAAATATTTCTTGATACTCCCCTTCAAACCCACACGCAGAAACTAAATCAGATCTCCCCAATTTTCTTTCTTAACAGCATTTGTCAAAGTTTCAAATTATGATCTTATACTATTCCTGAGTTAATCTCTATTTTTTCTCTTCCCCACGTGTGGATGGAAGCTTCAGGGGAGCAGGGTCTGAGCTTCTGCTCCTCAACATTTTACCCCAGTGCCAAGTAGAGTCCTTGACACATAGTAGGTGATTAATACATTTTTGTTAAATAAATCAGTGCCTGAACTTGCTGTTAGGGACTTGCGCCCATTGAAGAAGTCAGTTCATGGGCAAATTACACTTGCTTAATGATATCAAAATGTAAAGATTTTCAGCAATTATTGTTGTTCTCATTTAGTCCCTCCTGAATATTGACCAAGCATGCTAAAGGCTCCAGGTCAGTCTAATAGAGTGAAAATGGCCTTGACTTTGTCTTCAGGAAGACTTGGGCTTGAATTTCTATGCTTACTAACTGTGAAGTTAGGGGATTTATTTAACATTTTTGACCTTCCTAATTTCTCCATCTGTAAACTAGGAATAATAATATATAGCTTATAGATCTTCTTAAAGATTATGTTAGATAATAATCACATAATTGTTAGCATAATGCTTGATCTAATAATCACCCCCAAGGTTTAAACTTTACACAAACAATTGAAAATGGAAACTTTAGCATAATGCCTTACCCTTTTTCCTTGATATAGCCTATTGGCACTGGATGATGTAATTTTTGCTTATACATGGTATTTCATCTTTAGTCTGATTCTAGTGTACTTGTTAAAGTAAACTGGAAATATTTCACTATTAAACACTTTAAAAATTCAAACTGACTTATAAAATCAGCATAATTGATTTATTAACTAAGAAAAAAATTTAAAAATGGTCTTCTATGGCTATTTCAGCTATTAACTTATTCATTCACTCACTTTTTTTTATCATTGAGTAGAACAACAAAGAAAACATTTTGAAGGGGTTTCCTTATTTGAAGGGACTATAATATATTTTGGAAATAAGTGATGTTTAGGAAAACTAAGTTGTTTGGGAATAGTAGAGACAGAACTCTAAAAAATCTTCTGGCACCAGTGATTTACATTGCATCAGACTCCACAGACAGAATTTTATTACACACATGCCAGGGACTTTACATACATAACCTGCAAGCATGTTCCCATTTTAGAGAGGAGGAAACTGAGGGTCAGAGAGAAAACAGTGCACAAGCAGTAAATGGTGCAGCAAGAATTCGTATCCAATTTTGTGTTAGTATTAGCAGGTGCTCTTTCTCCTCTGAATCCTTTCATAGCTTTTTTCCAGCCATGAAGAGATAGGCAAAGCAATAGAGAGCTATCACAGCAGGGAAATTAATTTCAAGTTGCCTTAGTCATTGCTGTCAAACTCGAAAGCCCCGACATGGATTAGCAGCCTGTCCACTTCCTCCTCTGAGAGAAACTACCAGTCATGCTCGTGCGTGACCAGGGTGGCACCCCCAGAGCCTCTGCCAGCCCCGCCATCAGACAGGACGTGTCTGGGAAGAATAATTTGCAGCCAACTGCTCTGCCATTCAGGTCCCCATCTGTGTCAATTGAGTAATTTATGGACGCACTTTTTCCTGCACTGCAAAGGAGATGCACAGGACCTTTGGAAATAATTCAATCGCTTTTAAGGAAACACATTTGGGGAAATTATTGTTAATGCATCTGAGTAAGAGGTGCTCAACCCCAGCAAATATTTCATGCAATTATAGCAAAGATGAGACAGTGACAACCAGTGACCATCAATCATTCCCCAGATCAATAATAACCATGGAACATGAAATCAAACCTAATCAACACCCTGTGATGAAAGAACAGGGCCTCTTTTCTTTGCTCACAGGGTCAAAGTCCCTTGAAAGGATTGGCCTGGAGTCCTTGAGATTGTACAAAATGCAGAAATAAACATAAAAATATGGGCCTTAGTATTAAGCAAGCCTGGGTAAGACACTATAAATACTTGCTCTCAATATTGAACAAAATTATATAATATAGTAATTAACACTCACTGTACACTTTTTCTTGATACCATGCATTATGCTAAGAACTTAATCTATTCTCTCTCATTTAACTCAAATAATACATGTGTGGAGTATGCGCCAGTATGTCTTCTTTACGATGAGGAAACCAAATCTCAGAGATGGGCTTGCTTACTTAAGGTGACATTCACAGCAATTGACAGAACCAGTACTCAAATCCAGTCCTGTCTTACCAGAGATTTAGTAATTTTTATGTTGGTTGCACATTAGAATCACCTGGGGAGATTTTTGAAATAGTCACTGTCTGGTCTCCACCCACCTTACAGCATCCGAATCATCACCCTTTGAGGGTGAGGATTCGGCATGTATTATTTTAAGCAAACATTTTGATAAGTTGTAGCAGACATACAGAAAAGTGCACAATGATATGTGGCACAGCATATTGTCACAAAGTAAACACACACCCATGTAGCACACAGTTCAAGAAACAGAACATTATCAGCACCAGAAGCATGCTGGGGGCCCCTTGTACCCTTTTCCAATCACTACCACCTCATTCTGCCACAAGGATAATCGTTATCCTGATTTTAAACAGCAGATTTTTTTTTTTGAGATGAAGTCTCACTCTGTCACCCAGGCTGGGGTGTAGTGGACCGATCCTGGCTCACTGCAACCTCTGCTGCTTGGGTTCAAGAGATTCTCCTGCCTCAGTCTCCCAATAGCTGGGATTACAGGCATGTAGCTTGACGCCCTGCTAGTTTTTGTTGCTGTACTTTTAGTAGAGACGGGGTTTTGCCACATTGGCCACGCTAGTCTCAAACTCCTGACCTCAAATGATCTGCCCACCTCAGTATCCTAAAGTTCTGGGATTACAGGTATGAACAACAGGGGACTCAGAGCCCAAGAATGAGCAGGAGTTGCTCCTCCTGGGCCAGAGGTGCTGCTCTGTCCTCGCCATTTCTAGGAAATGATTCCTGCAAGTAACTGAATGACGGGCCAAAGGATTCCAGAATGTCGAATCTTACTCCTTAGAGTTATCCCTTTATCCTGGTCTCCTACTTGAGACTACCAATGGATGGGCCCAAAGGGGTGGCCAAAATAGCCACAACAATGATTAAAGAGTTGAAAGTAGAAAAAAATAAAAAACAGCAGAGATTTATTTTTCCTGTTTCTGAACTTTATATAAATGAAGTCATACAATCGGCATGCTTCAGTGTCTAGCTTCATGTATTTATGGGATTCATCAACATCGTGGAGCATATTAGGGATTTGTTCATTCTTGTTCCTATAGTGCATTTCATTGTCTGAATCTATTACAATTCTTTTAGCCAATCTGCTGTTGATGGACATCTTTCCCATTCTTGGCTATTATAAATTATGCTTCTACTAACATTCCTGTATCAATCTTTTGCTTATCAAAAGTGTTTTCCTTTCTGTTGAGTGTCTATTGAGGATTGGAATCGCTGGGTCACAAGCTATAAAAGTCTGTTCAGCCTTACTGAATCCAGGCATGTGTTCTTTTAAAAGTTCCCAGGTAATTCTAATGCACAGTGAGGGTTGAAAAATCCTGCGTAAGCATGTACCACTTCCTTTATATAGAATTTAATTGGTATTGCTTTATGGAACAACATAATAAAGTCATACTAAAGTTCTAGGTAGAATATTTTATCATCTTACTAAAGAGAGCCCCTTCTGCTCCCTCTAATCCTAAATCTTATTTCCCTGAACCAGGGCTTCCTAACTTTTTAATGTCTAAGCCTCAAAGGCTGGCTAGTCCTGGAAGAGAAAAGAGACTGGAAGCTTGTGTCTTTTATTCTTGGAAACAGGAAGATTTTTGTCATTGCAAAGGAGCGAATAAATCTAATAGTATCATTTTGGCATGGAAATCTTTTAGTCATTGAAGACCCATGAAAGGAACCAATGGTGTTAGGAGAGATAATAAATACACAAAGTGCTTAGTACAGAGGCTGGCCCTCAGTAAATGGTGTTGTAATTATGATTATGATTATTGCTATTATCAGTAGCAGCCACAGAAGTGAAAATATGCCAGCGTTGTGGTTTCTTCATGAAGCAGACCTGCTCAGTCATTTGTGAATACTCATACGTGTACTATGGGCCAGAATCCGTATATGGCACAATAAATTCAGGGAGGAACAAACCAAGCTGTCTTGAAGGCACTCACTGTCTACCATTGTCTAGAGGGTGAGGGTCAACTCCAACTTGATTTCACTCTACTTCTTGTATTGAGCTGCATCTCAGCTCGTTCTGCCCATGAGTGCCCTATGTGGTAGAGAAGGCTTGCTTAAAATGGTAGATGACTCAGAGAAAGTCCATCCCCACTGTTCCTGGAACATGGAAAAACAAATACCTGCTAAGCATGGGCCATGAGCCTTATTTCATGCCTGAAGGGATCTGCACACATAGATCTCCCCCAGACACTGCCTGCTTTTGTCAGGGTGCTTCTAGTCTCAAATGAGAGAATAACAAAATTTGGCTCAGGAAGAAGAGGGTGGAAGAGATTTTGGCTGAAAGTTTCTGCGCGCACAGGAGCCCAGGAGAAAACTGCACCACTAAGCCTCCAACAGGGGGAAGTAAGCAGCTCCAGGAATGAATGGGCCCATCTGTTTTGTCCTTTGATCTCTGTGTTTGCGTTTGGCTCTGACCGTCTATCTTTTTGTCTCTTTCTACCTCTCTCACATTCTCTGTATGTCATGGGTCCTCTTCATCTGTCTATGCCTTTGCTACTTTCTCCCCTCTCTTTTCCAGATTTCTGTCTTTACTCACAGTCTCTGCCTCAGAACTTCAGCTTGCACAGGCCTTTGGCTTGCTATGTCCTTAAATCGATCTCAATTTCGTATTAGGGTTTCTGGAATTCTAGTGTCCCTGTATATTTGCAATTTTCTTCTGAGACTCTTCATTCAAACTTCCAAAAGCATCTTATTGGCTCAATTAATTGTTTAGTGCTAGCCACTTGAATCACAGGTTGAATCACTGGCATATGGAAGGGTGTCCTCTGTGTTAGGGGCCTAACTCCAACATAATCTGCTCTAGCTAGAAGAGGGTTTCTTCATCTGATCTACAAACTGTTCAGTTACAAGATGGGCAATGCGTTTATATATGTTGTGTGCCATAGGCAATGAAACACAACTTAAAAACCTGTTAATCTTCAGAAACTTGAAATCTTTGAAACTTGCTTGGCCAGGGGCTCCTGAAAGCCAGAAATTTTGTTTTAGACCTCTTTGAATATCCAGCTATTTGTTCATTAGGCTCAATAAATATTTTTGAAATAAATTAGTTTACTTCTCTATACACTGCCTCTTTTATAAGTGTTGATTCTCTTCATGTCCCAAGACTAGGGTTTTGTTCTTTCACTTACTCATTCAACAGATATTTACTGAGCATCTACTTTGTACAGCACACTATTTTAGACACTTGAGATTTAACCATGGATAAAATAGGCTAAAACTCTGCCTTGTGGAACATAATAGTAACTACTAAGAAAAGTGATAAAGTAAGGTAATGGGATAGCGATGAGGAGAATTATTTATTTTTCAGCTTTTATTGAGGTATAATTGACAAAAATTATATCTATTTAAGGCATGCAATGTGTCTTTTCCAAGCTATTTTATACAAATAAAAAATTGTATATATTCAAGGTGTACAATATGATAGTTTGACATACATATGCAATATGTGCTAGTTACCACAATTAAAGTGATTAACACATCTTCCCTACATGTAATTATCATTGTGTATGTGTGTATGGTGGGGGGAGGAGGGTTGAGGACACTTAAGAACTGCTCTCTTAGCGTACTTCAAATAAACAATACATTATTAACTATAGTCACCATGCTTACATTAGATGCCCAGAACTTATTCATCTTATAAGTGAAAAAGTTTGTAACCTGTGACCAACATCTCCCCATTATCCTCACCCCCATTCCCTGACAACCACCATTCTATTTTCTATTTCTATGAGTTTTTTTAGAATCCACATATACATGAGATCATATAGTATTTGTTTTTCTGTGTCTGCCTTTATTTCACTTAGCATAATCTTGTCCAGGTTCATCCATGTTGTCACAAATGGCAGGATTTTCTTCTTTTTTAAGGTTGAATAATATTTTATTGTATATATATACCACACTTTACCTATTTGTTTGTCAATGGACACTAAAGTTGATTCCTTATCTTGCCTATTGTGAATAGTGCTGCAATGAACATGGGCTTGCCGGCTCCAGACCCTCTCAGTGGCATTCTAAGGGCAGTCCTGCCTGTTCAGGGCTCTTCCATGCCTCCAGTGCAGGCCCACCAAACCAACCTCTATTCCACTGTGGGTTTTGACGGGGCCCTGCAATCCCTCTTAATACTTTCCCATATACATTTATACACACACACAGGTACACACACGTATACACATTGTGAAATGATTACTGTAGTCAAGCTAATTAGCATATTCATTACCATGCATAGTTACACAACATTTGTGTGTATGTGTGTGTGTGTATTTAAGACCTACTCTCTTAGTAAATTTCAAGTATGCAATACAGTCTTAACTATAGTCACCATGATGTGTATTGGATCTCCAGAGCTTGTTCTCGCTGTATAGCTGAAACTTTCTACCCTTTGACCAACAGAGGGAGACTATTTTAGATAAGGTGATATGAAAAGCCTGGTTTGAAGAAATAATGTTAAGTAATTAATTGAATAAAAGTGGGGAACAGACTTGTACAAATTGAAGGAGAGAGCTTTCCATTCAGAAGGAACAAGCAGTAAGTAGGACGAGCTACCACATACAGGTCTGTAAGACAGCAAGATGGTGGGATAGCTGGGCTCTGATAGGGCCTCCAGTGATCCTTGCTTCGGGGTATATCTTCCCTTATATAGTCTCCTTCCATCCACCTTGATTCAGAGTTAGTCTGTGTGATCAATAGAGTATGGCAGAGGTGACAGTGTAACTTCCTTTAATAGGTAAGAAGAGGCACTGGCAATTCTGCCTAGGTGTCTTAGATCACTCACTCTGGGAGTAGTCAGTGCTATACATGGGAACACACAGGAGTCCTATAGAGAGGTCCTTGTGGAGAAGAACTGAGGCCTTTTGCCAACGGCTTGCATCAACTTGCTGGTCATGTGAGTGAGACACCCTACAAGTGGATATGCCAGCCCCTATCAAGCCTTCAGATGAAAGCAGCCTCTGTGGACAACTTGACTGCAACCTCGTGAGAGACCTTGAATTAGAACAGTTCAGCTAAGCTGCTCCCAAACTCCTGACCCACAGAAACTGTGAGAGATTATAAATATTTACAGTTTTGAGCCGCTAAGTTTTGCAATAATTGGTTATGCAGCAATAGATGGTAACTAAAGGCAGGCAGTGAATCTAGAACAGAGTGAGCTTTGGAAGAATGCTAAGAATTAGGTTAGAGAGGGAGCACATGTTAATATATACAGCTCTGTAGGTTATGATAAGGAATTTGAATTTATTCTGAATTTGATGGAAAACCATTGAAGGACTTTGCTCATAGAGGTGGCGTTAGGTTTTAAAAATATCATCCCAGACTACTGAATAGACAATCAAATGTGGGCACAAGAGTGCAGGCAGGGAGACCTGTTAGATGTCTATGTAGTTTGTCCAAGTGAAATGTGATAGTGACATGGACTTTTCAGGCTCTGTTTGAATGGTTGAATCGATGGAATTTTCCGATGGATTGGATGTGAGATGTGAGGAAGTAAAAGTCATGGTGAATTCAAGGTTTTTTTTTTTTTTTTTCTATCAGAAACTGGGAGCAAAAGATGCCATTGGTGGAGGCGAGGGTCACAGTGGTGGTGGTGGTAGTGGGGGCAGATTTGAAGGTTAGAGAATGTAATATTTAGAGATCAATAAGAAGAAGAGGAGCCATCCATGAAGACTGAGAAGGAATACCCTGGGAGGTAGGAAGAAAATCAGGGGAGTGCACAGTCCTAGGGGCCATGTGCACAGTCCTAGGGGACAGTGCTTAAAGAAGCAGGAGTGAATAACTACATGAGAGTGTTTTAGTAAGATGAGCTATGAAAACTAAGCCCCAAATTTGGCATAGTGAAGATTTTTGATAAACTTAGGGATAACGAACTGTCTTGCAGATACACTTATAAATTAATTAATCCCAAAGTATATTTTGCTAGGTTTTCTTTTCTGTGCTTTGAGAAAAGAAATGCAGCCACAACTATTAGTCCCTTGTCTGTCAAGTTTATGCAGTGATCTTCATTTTGTGAATCTCCTCCATATCAACTGACCTATCAATGGCAACTGAATCTTCACCCTTGGAGAATTGTAGTTACTAAGAACCTGTCTTGCATTGGAAGTTAAGAATCCTAAGTGTCCCTGGAGGAGCCAAGATGGCCGAATAGGAACAGCTCCGGTCTACAGCTCCCAGCGTGAGCGACGCAGAAGACGGGTGATTTCTGCATTTCCATCTGAGGTAGCGGGTGCATCTCACTAGGGAGTGCCAGACAGTGGGCGCAGGCCAGTGGGTGCGCGCACCGTGCGCGAGCCGAAGCAGGGCAAGGCATTGCCTCACCTGGGAAGCGCAAGGGGTCAGGGAGTTCCCTTTCCGAGTCAAAGAAAGGGGTGATGGACGCACCTGGAAAATCGGGTCACTCCCACCCGAATATTGCGCTTTTCAGACCGGCTTAAAAAACGGCGCACCACGAGACTATATCCCACACCTGGCTCGGAGGGTCCTATACGCCCACGGAATCTCGCTGATTGCTAGCACAGCAGTCTGAGATCAAACTGCAAGGCGGCAGCGAGGCTGGGGGAGGGGCGCCTGCCATTGCCCAGGCATGCTTAGGTAAACAAAGCAGCCGGGAAGCTCGAACTGGGTGGAGCCCACCACAGCTCAAGGAGGCCTGCCTGCCTCTGTAGGCTCCACCTCTGGGGGCAGGGCACAGAAAAAAAGACAGCAGTAACCTCTGCAGACTTAAATGTCCCTGTCTGACAGCTTTGAAGAGAGCAGTGGTTCTCCCAGCATGCAGCTGGAGATCTGAGAACCGGCAGACTGCCTCCTCAAGTGGGTCCCTGACCCCTGACCCCCGAGCAGCCTAACTGGGAGGCACCCCCCAGCAGAGGCACACTGACACCTCACACAGCAGGGTATTCCAACAGACCTGCAGCTGAGGGTCCTGTCTGTTAGAAGGAAAACTAACAAACGGAAAGGACATCCACACCGAAAACCCATCTGTACATCACCATCATCAAAGACCAAAAGTAGATAAAACCACAAAGATGGGGAAAAAACAGAACAGAAAAACTGGAAACTCTAAAACACAGAGCGTCTCTCCTCCTCCAAAGGAACGCAGTTCCTCACCAGCAACAGAACAAAGCTGGATGGAGAATGACTTTGACGAGCTGAGAGAAGAAGGCTTCAGACGATCAAATTACTCTGAGCTACGGGAGGACATTCAAACCAAAGGCAAAGAAGTTGAAAACTTTGAAAAAAATTTAGAAGAATGTATAACTAGAATAACCAATACAGAGAAGTGCTTAAAGGAGCTGATGGAGCTGAAAACCAAGGCTCGAGAACTACGTGAAGAATGCAGAAGTCTCAGGAGCCGATGCGATCAACTGGAAGAAAGGGTATCAGCAATGGAAGATGAAATGAATGAAATGAAGCGAGAAGGGAAGTTTAGAGAAAAAAGAATAAAAAGAAATGAGCAAAGCCTCCAAGAAATATGGGACTATGTGAAAAGAACAAATCTACGTCTGATTGGTGTACCAGAAAGTGATGGGGAGAATGGAACCAAGTTGGAAAACACTCTGCAGGATATTATCCAGGAGAACTTCCCCAATCTAGCAAGGCAGGCCAACGTTCAGATTCAGGAAATACAGAGAACGCCACAAAGATACTCCTTGAGAAGAGCAACTCCAAGACACATAATTGTCAGATTCACCAAAGTTGAAATGAAGGAAAAAATGTTAAGGGCAGCCAGAGAGAAAGGTCAGGTTACCCTCAAAGGGAAGCCCATCAGACTAACAGCAGATCTCTCGGCAGAAACACTACAAGCCAGAAGAGAGTGGGAGCCAATATTCAAGATTCTTAAAGAAAAGAATTTTCAACCCAGAATTTCATATCCAGCCAAACTAAGCTTCATAAGTGAAGGAGAAATAAAATACTTTACAGACAAGCAAATGCTGACCGATTTTGTCACCACCAGGCCTGCCCTAAAAGAGCTCCTGAAGGAAGCGCTAAACATGGAAAGGAACAACCGGTACCAGCCGCTGCAAAATCATGCCAAAATGTAAAGACCATCGAGACTAGGAAGAAACTGCATCAACTAACGAGCAAAATCACCAGCTATCATCATAATGACAGGATCAAATTCACACATAACAATATTAACTTTAAATGTAAATGGACTAAATGCTCCAATTAAAAGACACAGACTGGCAAATTGGATAAAGAGTCAAGATCCATCAGTGTGCTGTATTCAGGAAACCCATCTCACGTGCAGAGACACACATAGGCTCAAAATAAAAGGATGGAGGAAGATCTACCAAGCAAATGGAAAACAAAAAAAGGCAGGGGTTGCAATCCTAGTCTCTGATAAAACAGACTTTAAACCAACAAAGATCAAAAGAGACAAAGAAGGCCATTACATAATGGTAAAGGGATCAATTCAACAAGAAGAGCTAACTATCCTAAATATATATGCACCCAATACAGGAGCACCCAGATTCATAAAGCAAGTCCTGAGTGACCTACAAAGAGACTTAGACTCCCACACATTAATAATGGGAGACTTTAACACTCCACTGTCAACATTAGACAGATCAACGAGACAGAAAGTCAACAAGGATACCCAGGAATTGAACTCATCTCTGCACCAAGCGGACCTAATAGACATCTACAGAACTCTCCACCCCAAATCAACAGAATATACATTTTTTTCAGCACCACACCACACCTATTCCAAAATTGACCATATACTTGGAAGTAAAGCTCTCCTCAGCAAATGTAAAAGAACAGAAATTATAACAAACTATCTCTCAGACCACAGTGCAATCAAACTAGAACTCAGGATTAAGAATCTCACTCAAAGCCACTCAACTACATGGAAACTGAACAACCTGCTCCTGAATGACTACTGGGTACATAACGAAATGAAGGCAGAAATAAAGATGTTCTTTGAAACCAACGAGAACAAGGACACAACATACCAGAATCTCTGGGACGCATTCAAAGCAGTGTGTAGAGGGAAATTTATAGCACTAAATGCCCACAAGAGAAAGCAGGAAAGATCCAAAATTGACACCCTAACATCACAACTAAAAGAACTAGAAAAGCAAGAGCAAACACATTCAAAAGCTAGCAGAAGGCAAGAAATAACTAAAATCAGAGCAGAACTGAAGGAAATAGAGACACAAAAAACCCTTCAAAAATCAATGAATCCAGGAGCTGGTTTTTTGAAAGGATCAACAAAATTGATAGACCGCTAGCAAGACTAATAAAGAAAAAAAGAGAGAAGAATCAAATAGACACAATAAAAAATGATAAAGGGGATATCACCACCGATCCCACAGAAATACAAACTACCATCAGAGAATACTACAAACACCTCTACGCAAATAAACTAGAAAATCTAGAAGAAATGGATAAATTCCTCGACACATACACTCTCCCAAGACTAAACCAGGAAGAAGTTGAATCTCTGAATAGACCAATAACAGGAGCTGAAATTGTGGCAATAATCAATAGTTTACCAACCAAAAAGAGTCCAGGACCAGATGGATTCACAGCCGAATTCTACCAGAGGTACAAGGAGGAACTGGTACCATTCCTTCTGAAACTATTCCAATCAATAGAAAAAGAGGGAATCCTCCCTAACTCATTTTATGAGGCCAGCATCATTCTGATACCAAAGCCGGGCAGAGACACAACCAAAAAAGAGAATTTTAGACCAATATCCTTGATGAACATTGATGCAAAAATCCTCAATAAAATACTGGCAAACCGAATCCAGCAGCACATCAAAAAGCTTATCCACCATGATCAAGTGGGCTTCATCCCTGGGATGCAAGGCTGGTTCAATATACGCAAATCAATAAATGTAATCCAGCATATAAACAGAGCCAAAGACAAAAACCACATGATTATCTCAATAGATGCAGAAAAGGCCTTTGACAAAATTCAACAACCCTACCTGCTAAAAACTCTCAATAAATTAGGTATTGATGGGACGTATTTCAAAATAATAAGAGCTATCTATGACAAACCCACAGCCAATATCATACTGAATGGGCAAAAACTGGAAGCATTCCCTTTGAAAACTGGCACAAGACAGGGATGCCCTCTCTCACCACTCCTATTCAACATAGTGTTGGAAGTTCTGGCCAGGGCAATTAGGCAGGAGAAGGAAATAAAGGGTATTCAATTAGGAAAAGAGGAAGTCAAATTGTCCCTGTTTGCAGACGACATGATTGTATATCTAGAAAACCCCATTGTCTCAGCCCAAAATCTCCTTAAGCTGATAAGCAACTTCAGCAAAGTCTCAGGATACAAAATCAATGTACAAAAATCACAAGCATTCTTATACACCAACAACAGACAAACAGAGAGCTAAATCATGAGTGAACTCCCATTCACAATTGCTTCAAAGAGAATAAAATACCTAGGAATCCAACTTACAAGGGACGTGAAGGACCTCTTTAAGGAGAACTACAAACCACTGCTCAAGGAAATAAAAGAGGATACAAACAAATGGAAGAACATTCCATGCTCATGAGTAGGAAGAATCAATATCATGAAAATGGCCATACTGCCCAAGGTAATTTACAGATTCAATGCCATCCCCATCAAGCTACCAATGACTTTCTTCACAGAATTGGAAAAAACTACTTTAAAGTTCATATGGAACCAAAAAAGAGCCCGCATCGCCAAGTCAATCCTAAGCCAAAAGAACAAAGCTGGAGGAATCACACTACCTGACTCCAAACTATACTACAAGGCTACAGTAACCAAAACAGCATGGTACTGGTACCAAAACAGAGATATAGATCAATGGAACAGAACAGAGCCCTCAGAAATAACGCCGCATACCTACAACTATCTGATCTTTGACAAACCTGAGAAAAACAAGCAATGGGGAAAGGATTCCCTATTTAATAAATGGTGCTGGGAAAACTGGCTAGCCATATGTAGGAAGCTGAAACTGGATCCCTCCCTTACACCTTATACAAAAATCAATTCAAGATGGATTAAAGATTTAAACGTTAGACCTAAAACCATAAAAACCCTAGAAGAAAACCTAGGCATTACCATTCAGGACATAGGCATGGGCAAGGACTTCATGTCTAAAACACCAAAAGCAATGGCAACAAAAGCCAAAATTGACAAATGGGATCTAATTAAACTAAAGAGCTTCTGCACAGCAAAAGAAACTACCATCAGAGTGAACAGGCAACCTACAAAATGGGAGAAAATTTTCGCAACCTACTCATCTGACAAAGGGCTAATATCCAGAATCTACAATGAACTCCAACAAATTTACAAGAAAAAAACAAACAACCCCATCAAAAAGTGGGCGAAGGACATGAACAGACACTTCTCAAAAGAAGACATTTATGCAGCCAAAAAACACATGAAAAAATGCTCATCATCACTGGCCATCAGAGAAATGCAAATCAAAACCACTATGAGATACCATCTCACACCAGTTAGAATGGCAATCATTAAAAAGTCAGGAAACAACAGGTGCTGGAGAGGATGTGGAGAAATAGGAACACTTTTACACTGTTGGTGGGACTGTAAAATAGTTCAACCATTGTGGAAGTCAGTGTGGCGATTCCTCAGGGATCTAGAACTAGAAATACCATTTGACCCAGCCATCCCATTACTGGGTATATACCCAAATGACTATAAATCATGCTGCTATAAAGACACATGCACACGTATGTTTATTGCGGCATTATTCACAATAACAAAGACTTGGAACCAACCCAAATGTCCAACAATGATAGACTGGATTAAGAAAATGTGGCACATATACACCATGGAATACTATGCATCCATAAAAAATGATGAGTTCATGTCCTTTGTAGGGACATGGATGAAATTGGAAATCATCATTCTCAGTAAACTATCGCAAGACCAAAAAACCAAACACTGCATATTCTCACTCATAGGTGGGAATTGAACAATGAGATCACATGGACACAGGAAGGGGAATATCACACTCTGGGGACTGTGGTGGGGTGGGGGGAGGGGGGAGGGATAGCATTGGGAGATATACCTAATGCTAGATGACAAGTTAGTGGGTGCAGTGCACCAGCATGGCACATGTATACATATGTAACTAACCTGCACAATGTGCACATGTACCCTAAAACTTAAAGTATAATAAAAACAAACAAACAAATAAACAAACAAACAAAAGAATCCTAAGTGTCAATTTTTGCTTTTGCTGCAATTGCCTTTGGTGTCTTCGTCATGAAATGTTTGCCTGTTCCTATGTTCAGAATGGTATTGCCTAGGTTGCCTTCCAGGGTTTTTATAGTTTTGGGTTTTACCCTTAAGTCTTTAATCCATCTTGAGTTGATTTTTTTGTATATGGTGTAAGAAAGGTGTACAGTTTCATTCTTCAGCATATAGCTAGCCAGTTATTCCAGCACCATTTATTGAATAGGGAGTCTTTTCCCCATTGCTTGTTTTTGCCAGCTTTGTTGAAGATCAGATGGTTTAGGTGTGTGGCCTTATTTCTGGGCTCTCTGTTCTGTTCTATTCGTCTATATGTGTGTTTTTGTACAAGTACTATGCTGTTTTGGTTACTGTAGCCCTGTAGTATAGTTTGAAGTCGGGTAACATGATGCCTCCAGCTTTGTTCTTTTTGCTTAGATTGCCTTGGTTGTTGGACTCTTTTTGGTTTCACGTGAATTTTAAAATAGTCTTTTCTAGTTCTAGTTTCTAGTTTCTAGAATCTCAATGGTAGTTTAATAGGAATAGCATTGAATATATAAATTGCTTTGGGCAGCAAGGTCATTTTAGTGATATTGATTCTTCCTATCCAAGAGCATGGAATGTTTTTCCATTTGTTTGTGTCATCTCTGATTTCTTTGAGCACTGTTTTGTAATTCCCCTAGTAGAGATATTTAATTTCCCTGGGTAGCTGTATTCCTAGTTATTTTATTCTTTTTGGGCAGTTGTGAATGGGATTGTGTTCCTGATTTGGCTCTCGGCTTGACTGTTGTTTTATAGAAATGCTAGTAATTTTTTTACGTTGATTTTGTATCCTGAGACTTCACTGAAGTTGTTTATCATTAACAAATGGAATCTAATTAGACTAAAGAGCTTCTGCACAGCAAAAGAAACTATCAATAGAGTAAACAGACAACCTACAAAATGGAAGAAAATGTTTGCAAACTATGCGTCTGGCAAAGTTCTAATATCCAGCATCTATAAGAACTTCAACAAATTTACAAGAGAAAACCCCAAACAACCCCATTAAAAATGGTCAAAGGAGATGAACTGACACTTCTCAAAAGAAGACATACATGCAGCCAACAAGCGTATGAACAAAAGCTAAACATTATTGATCGTTAGATAAATGTAAATCAAAACCACAATGAGATACCATCTCACACCAGTCAGAATGGCTATTACAAAAAACAAAACAAACAAACAAACAAAACAGATGCTGGCAAATTTTCGGAGAAAAAGGAAACACTTATACACTGCTGGTGGGAGTGTAAATTAGTTCAACCATTATGGAAAGCAGTGTAGCAATTCCTCAAAGAGCTAAAAACAGAACTATTATTCAACCCAGCAAGAACTACTATTCAACCCAGCAATCCCATTGCTGGGTATATACCCAGAGTAATGTAAATCATTCTATCATAAAGACACATGTATGCATATGTTCACTGCAGCACGATTCACAATAGCAAAGACATGGAATCAACCTAAATGTCCACAAATGATAGACTGGATAAAGAAAATGTGGTACATATACATGATGGAATAATATGCAGCCATGAAAAACAATAAGATCATGTCCTTTCCAGGAACATGGATAGAGGTAGAAACCATTATCCTTAGCAAACTAATACAAGAACAGAAAACCAAATACTACATGTTCTCACTTATAAGTGGGAGCTAAATGATGAGAACATATGGACATATAGAAGGGAACAACACACACTGGGGCCTACAAGAGGGTGGAGGGTGGGAGGAGGGAGAGGATCAGGAAAAATAACTGATGGAGACTAGTCTTAATACCTGGGAGTCAAAATAATCTGTACAATAAACCCCCATGACGTGGGTTTACCTATATAACAGACCTGCACATGTACCCTTGAACTTAAAATAAAAGTTAAAGAAAAATAGTAATCTTAATGTCTATTGGAAAGAAGAAGAGCTAAAGATAAGGGGCCAGGTGGAGCAGGGGTCAGGTAGTAAACCCTTGGTTTAATCCTCTGGGCCTCATGGAATCATGGAAAGTTGTCCTATAGGTATTTTGTATTTTCACTTTGTACTTTATTAAGCCACTGGTCAATAGAGAGTTGTAAAGGTAGGAAGGAGATACGAACCGTATTTAGGAAACTGTTGTGACAAAGTCGGTTTTGGGTCATAGAGTTGTTAACTAGGAATAAAGAAATGTTTTTGCTAGATTTTAGGGACCTATAAAAAGTGTAGGAAGTGGAATGGGGGTGGTGGCATCAGGGGATTTGTATGATTAAGTAAAGAATCACAGATCCAAGAAATTCCCTTTCTTCTGTACTAGAAAATTTGAAAGACAGGCCTATTGTAAATTTCTTGCCTCAGTTTCTCTAGCTGAAGACGCTTATTGCCTCAACCTCTGATGTTTCCATCACAGGCTTCTCTGAAAGAGGTCAAGAAAGCCCCTGCCTCTCGCCTCTGCAGATAGCCATCCAGTCCCAGAGGAAGCGGCTATTTATGCAGGTGAGCAAAGCAAACCTGAGGAGGAAGTGAAGTACATCTCCTCCTCTCTGCAACTCTACAGCTTTTTCTTCTCTTATTTGGAACTTTGAAATAAGATTACATACATAAGGTGCTGGCAGTTAGCAGGTGCCCAGCTAACACCACTTATCAGAATTGGTGTTGTTTGCCTTATATTCTGTGTATTGGTTCCCTTCCTTCTGGACTTATCTTCCTACCAGGTGAGAGCATCTTGAGGGAAGGAGTGTTTTTTATTCACCATGTATTCCCAAAGCCTAGTGCAGTCTTACATAGTAAGTGCATGAGGCTTAATGCTGAATTTAAATTTAAACTCAGTGTTTGTCTCTGTGGCTGTACAGTCTTTGTACCTCCCCACAAAGCCCACTGATTTTAATTAATTTTGACTTCTCAGGGGGTAGTAAGGCAATGTGGTCATTCATTCTTTCATTCATTTAATTGCTATTAGTTGGTCATGCTAGATATTGCACCCAAGTGAGAAAGACAGACATGGCTCCTGCTCTCTCAAAGCTTACAATCTAATGCCGTAGCTCCTCCACCAGATTTACCTTAGGAACTTTAAAAAAATATAACTCCCAGGACCACATTTCTATCCTATCGATTAATAAGTGTTCATAATGGGGACTGGGGAATAGCAAGTACTCCTGTGTGATTCTGGGACCGTCCCTTTGAATGAAACACAGAGTTATGTCAGAAGGAATGGCATATGTATTATTCCTGATTCTACAACTTACTTTGGGACCTTGGGAAAGTGTCTTAACCCACCTGACCCTCAGTTTGTTCACCTACAAAGTGAGAAATATGTCTCTCCTTCCTACCTCCAAGGGCCGATGTGGGGAGAATATGAGATAATCAATAGTTGTGTGCTTGGTATACTTTGCATTTCTATATACAAGTTATAAATCATTGTTATTAGGTATTAACCAGTATTTAGGACTTACATGTAGCTGAACCTTACTTACTAATTTAAAAATACATTACTGGAGCACCTACCATGCAAAAGTTAGAGTCCTTTATCTCTCTTGGACTCTGGATAGGGATTCACTAAATTAGCTGTAAAATTAGTGGCTGATGACATTTTAATGTAGTACCTCTCCAAGTACATTTGCATTTAACATCTTGAGGAAAATCATGAAATAATATAATTGATAATAATAATAGCAATCATTTTATGGAAATTTTATGATGTGCCAAGGTCTGGGCTAAGCGCTTTACCTAGAGCTGAAAAGAACTTTTGGAACTGTCTAATAGAGGCCACAAATCAATGTATATTTGATCATTTTTTTAACTTTAATCGTATTTTAAAAGTCAGTGCAACTAAGAACAAGACAAATTCAAGAGAAATATAAAAATCGTAATCTATTGTCTCACAAAAGATTGACAGCAGACACCACTGTCACCTGCTTGAACCCCTAACTTAGGCTGAACCCTCCCATTTCACTGATTAAGAATCTGATGCTCAGAAAGGTGACATGGCTTAGGGACAATCCTCACATCTGTCTGAGCGCACTGGCTTTTATATGAAATTGCCTCTTCCATTAAGCAAACATCACATTCTCCAGTTCAGTCAATTAACCTGGTGCCTCAGCCTTCCACCAAGTTGTCCACCACAGGCTGAGCAAAGCCACCTCCTTCATAGTGTGAACTGCCATGATCTCCAGCCCTTGGTGTCTCTCAGAAGTCTCCCTCAGTCTCTGTGTCTTTCACGTGTTCTCTCCTCTGCCCCAGTGTGCATCACAGAGATATGTTCTGTTGGGCATAAACTCCTGGCGTTTCCGCTCATGATCTCCTCCTCACCTCATTAGCCACTTGGTACCCTTTGTCTGGAAGATGGGTTTCTGGCACAGCAATTTAAGCAGTCAATATAATTGGAAGATTAGGAAAGACCTGGTGTCTCAGCCGTCATTTGAGAATAGGCTGAGCAATGGTCCATTTTAAAGCATATTCAGGCTCTCAATTTCTGCATATTTTTCACAGTTCCCAAACTCTTCTAAACTGTTGTGACACCACTGGTCCCTTCATGTGTTCATGTCTGTGTCCAAGCATTGCTTCTGCAGAGAGCCCTTCCTGACAGTCTTGTCCTTTGTGGCCCTCCATTGATTCCTGTGACTCTGTAATATGTTGGTGGATTGACTACCAGCCTCAAGTCCTAATCTGTTTTTGTATCCATACCCTTTGCCATGTAGATCTGGCAATTTCTCACTCTAAATGGGATGTGGCAGACAGATTGTAAGGTATCCCCAAGACCCGACCTCTTGGTATTCACGCCTGTGTGTAATTCCCTCCCATGGAATGTGGGTAGGACCTGTGTCTTGCTTCTAACCAATAGAAGATGTCAAAGGTGATGGGGCAAGATTACAATGTGAATGTGATTATGTGAATACATTTTGTCATAAAAGACACCATCTTGCTGGCAGACTCACTCTCCATTGCTGGCAGTGAAGAAGCAAAGCTGCCATGAAGCATGGCCATGTTGGAGAAGCCCATGTGCAAGGACTGCCAGCAGCATCTAGAAACCAAGCAAGAAACTGAAGTCCTTCGATTTACAGCCACAAGGAAATCAATTTGGTCAATAACCTGAGAAAGTTTGGAAGTGGGTGCATCACCAGTTGAGTCTCCAGATGAAAACAGAGACTTGCTTGACACTTGAATTGCAGTCTTGTAGAGAATGCAACAAAACCTTGTTCAAAAACTTGACCTGCAAAAGCTACGAGATCATAAGTGTGTTTTTGTTTAAGTTGCTGTTTTTGGTCATATGTTATACAGCATAGTAAACTAATGTGGCATATTTCCTTACTTTTTCACTTTGGGTTTGGCTGTGTGACTTACTTTGTGTCACAGAATTTGGCAGAAATGCCATCGTGCAAGTCCCATGCATGACTGTTAAGAGGTTTCATATGTTTTTGCCTGCTGGCTTAAATTTTTGTCTTTGTTGGAAGAAACATATGCCCAGGCTAACTCACTGGTTTCAGAAACAGGAAGAGAGATATGAAGAGATATTCCCCAGATAACTCTAGCCTAGACTGATCATTCCCCAATGGACCTGCAGATATGCAAGATACACATGCTCTTATTGCTGTATGCCACTGAGTCTGGATCAGTGTGATTCACTGCGTATCTGGCAGACCTGAGGCAGAAGCCCAAGTCTTCTGACTCTTAGCCAGTGAATTTTCACCTGCACCATATTTTAGTAAAAAAGCAACCAAAACTAAAGGCTGGTATTTATATTTGCATAATACTTCAGGGTCTGGAGTTAGTTAGAATGTGGGATTTATAGAGAAGAGTCATGAAGGCATTCTTTAAAATAGTTAAAATTATGTACTAAGTTTTATGTTTTGTGCATTTAGTGGAAGACATAATCTATAATGGTGCTTCATATTTTAAAAGGGATTCACAACATTCCACCTGTTTAAGAACCACTGATATTAATGGAAATCATATTCTCCCTTGTTAAGTCCAGGGAATGGTATAGTTCACTGAAGAAACATAATTTCCAGACCCAAGTCATTTCTCTTCCTAAATCTTTTAAAAATTTTTATGGATTCATTTTTGGTGCTTTCAGGCAAGACACTATTTCTTTATACCCAGGCATTTTATTTCTCAGTTTAAAAATAACAATACCCCCTAAGGAGAGTGATTATAATAAAGACATTTTAAAAAATCCAAACACCAAGACACATTAAGAATGTGAATTCTGTTAAGCTATTTCAGTTCTCTGACTCTGAAAGATATTATTTGTCTCTACGTGAGTATGGCAATTTGGTAGGAAACATGTGTCTCCACCTCTGCCCCTTAGTGTTCTTAGACTCTAAGTTGGGAGAATCATAGCTGTATTGACAGGGTTGCTGTGAGGATTAAATGAACTAAAATGTGGAAACATGTTTGGCACAAAGGCCACAGTAACTGTTGAAAGTTATAATACATTACACTTTACACAGCCTCAGCTCGACTTGCAACTCTTCAAAGTGGGAAGACCCACCTCTTCGTCTCAAAGAGGTTACGAAAGGAGTAGCAATGGGCTGTTTGTGGACTATTCATCCATACTTCTCCCTTTGGGAGCAGTATTATATTATACATCTAGAACTGTTACTTTGGAGTGTAAGCGGCTATTGTGGTAAATACGTTGAAGAAGGAAGGACCCAGGATGGTTTAACAATAAAAGTAACAATTAGCATTTTTCTTGTTTTGCTAAAGACTTAGAGTTTAAGAGGCACTCAGAGAATTCTCAAATATTAAGGAGACTTAAAGATAACTAATCCACTTTTCTCCATTCCCATTGACAGTGCCCTAGTCTCAGCCATCAATCCATCTCTTATCAAGAGCAATTAACTGCTCTCCCTGCCTCCAGTCCTGTGCCCCTTTAATTTATTCTCTTCACTGCAGCCAGAATAATCTCTCTAAAATACAAATCAGATATATTCTCTTCAAGGCCTTCAGTGGCCCTTCAATGACTTTAGAATAAAGACCAGACTTCGTAATATATTCAAAGCTGGGCATTTTCTTCTCTCTCACTCCACCCCTCCTCATTCTCTGTATCTGACACTTTAAATTTCATCTAATTCTTCCAGCCCCTCCTAACTCTCTCTAATGGAGGTGGTTGAGGGAGTTCAGTACATTTTATTCCTTTATTTCATGCCTGGCTCTGGAGGCAGATGAAATCAACACAGGCTATCAGGATATCACCCTTCTAACTGATGATGCTGTAAAAGAAACAAGTGGTGTTAGGACAATTTGCCAAAGGGGCTTCTAATCCTTCATCCCTGAATTACATGGAGTCATCCACCCCCATTCTCGGTAGAGCTGAGTGACCACTTGTCTTCCACAATGGAGAATTTTCCCTGTCAAAACTAGGGCATGGAGGAGCAGAGCAGAAAATCTTTGAAACTTGGCGGGTAGGCAATGATTTCTTAGATTGGACACAAAAAGCGCAAGTTATAAAAGAAAACAAATCATAAATTGTACTTAATAGAACTACCACTCTTCAAAAAACACCAGTAAAAAATGAAAAAGCAAGCCACAAACAGGAAACAATAGTTGCAAAGATTTACCTGATAAAGAATTTGTACTAGACTATAAAAAGAACTTTCACAACTTGTTAATAAAAAAATAAACAAGTTAAGAAATGGGCGAAAAATTTCAACAGGTGTTTCACCAAAGAAGAGATGGTGACAAATAAACACTTGAATAAATGCTCAACATCATTAGCCATTAAAGAAATACAAATTAAAATCACAATGAGTTGTTACTGTATACCAATTATAATGGGGGGTGGGAGACTAATATCAATAGGCGGGTATGTAAGGAAACGGAGACTCATATTGTTTATTGGAACATAAAATGGTGTCGCCAATTTGGAAAATATTTCGTTTTTTATAAAGTTATACATGCACTTATTAGATGTCTTAGTTTGCTAGGATGGCCATAATAAAATACCACAGATTGGTATTTTATTGGCTTAAACAAAAATTTATTTTCTCATAATTCTGGAGGTTAGAAATCCAAGATCAAGGCGTTAGCAGGTTTGATTTCTCCTGTGGCCTCTTTCAAACTACATCTTCAATACAAATTCTATCTCAAATACAGTCACATTCTGAGGCACTAGGGTTTAGGGCTTCAACACATGAAATTTGCAGGGACACAATTGAGCCTCTAACACTATAAGATCCAGATATCCAACTTGGGTATTTATCCTAGATGAATAAAAACATATGATCACACAAAGACATGTATCATAATGATTGTAGTGCCTTCATCGAACGTCAAAAACTGGAAACAACCCTGGTGTTCATCAACTAATGAATGGATAAACAAGATGCAATGTACCTATAATATGGAATTCTACTCAATCATGTAAAGAAACAAACTATTAATGTAAGAAACAACATAAATGAATCTTAAAAAGCATTATGTTAAGTGAAAGAAGTTAGACACAACAAGCTACATGCTGTATGATTCCATTTATATAACATTCTGGAGAAAGCAAAACTATAGGAACAGAAATTAAATCAGTGGTTTCCTGGCACTGGGGCTAGGGGAGGGGAGTGAAGGCAGAGGTGCACATGGGAGCTCCCATGGATGATGGAAATATCTACACCTTAATGGAGTGGTGTTTACATGACTTTTTGTTTGTCAAAACTCACCAAACTGTACACCCCAAAATGGTGAATTCTACTGAATGTAAATTATATTTAAACAAATCATACTTTAAAATCACAATTAAAAAGAAAAAGAGAGAAACTGATTATGGACCAGAGGCTTATGAGCTTGCTCAAAATCTCCCAAGAAGTTATTTATACAGATTTAACTTGCACTTAGGACCCTGTTCTTAGTATAATCGTTGTTTATTGAAATGTTAAGGAAAAAAATTGTCCCACCCTACAAGCAAAGAAACCTCATTAGCCACCTTTTCTGAGAAGGAATGACAATGACAAGAACCCGCCGACCACACCACTGCCCTTCAGAGTCTGCACTGGCGACAGTCTTGCAAACTGTAATCTGGATAGGGAAGGGCCTCTAGGAGAAGGGCATGTTCATTTGAGAAACTCTGTGACTTTGCATTCTACTCTTGGGGAAGTCACATACATTTCACTGCTACGCTGTCTAATTTCTCCAAATGTGACGCTGCACACGCCTCAGTCTCTCCACTCCTAGGGAGTATAAGAGCCTTGAGTTCATCAGAGTCATATCCAGTGCTTGTTTAAAAAGACAAAATAATCGCTGACATTTTAAAGATGCTTATCATGTGCCACCCACTGTGCTAACAATTTACGGGTGTGATGAGTGCCCATTCCATTTCCCAGACAACCCCATGTGCTAGAGAGGCTGGGACATAGTAGATGTGGTTGGTGTCCTTTCCCTTTCCCTTCACCCTGACCACTTCAATGCTCTTGGCCTGACTTCCAACTTCCTGAACTCTTCCTCTATTA
This sequence comes from Homo sapiens, assembly GCF_000001405.40. NCBI lineage: Eukaryota > Metazoa > Chordata > Mammalia > Primates > Hominidae > Homo > Homo sapiens. The sequence goes on along the minus strand of NC_000009.12, from coordinate 119,611,839 downwards.
AAACCTATTTTTCCCAAATATGCAGCGGGATGAAAATAGCCCCACTGCACAATGATTAACCAGAGCTGGCAAATCTCCCAGCTCCCTGGCCTCATGGGTGAGATAACTCTGAAGTCTACACTCTCCACTGGCTTCCAGAATTCCCATAGAGAGTTTACTCCTCAGGTGCCCACCCTTTACTGGCTGCCTTCCTTTCATCTTTCTAACTTCTCCATTCTACTATTATGGGGAATTGCTTCCTCATATAAACTACTTGTACTCCAATCCTTACCTCCTGTGGTCTGCATCTAAAGTAACCCAAACTAGGAGCCACATGGCACCTTGAAGAGTTACTGCAGTAATAACCATAAGAGCCTGTTGCCAAAGGAAGCTCAGAGATCTCATGTGGAATTGAATTAAATTCTTTAAAACATAGAAATAATGTTCTAAATGTCAAAAGGAATAGAGTTCATGGACAGTTGCAGTGAAAGGAAGAGAGTTCATGGAGAGTTGCAGTGCAGAGGAAAGGCTTCTGGAAGTGGTGAGAATTCAGTTCAGCATTTAACCCTGAGTTAGAGTAGAGGTGTCCCTTTAGTTGCATAGCAAAATCCTGTGGCTGAATTGTTGTGGTTGAAAGAAGAACACAGTCATGACACTGGTCAAGGTGAGCAGGTCCAGGATGTAAGCCATGGCCCAAGGTGGACAGATTGAATCTGCCTGGAAGTTTAGCTTCCTTCCAGAATACCACTGCTCTACAAGCCAGTCCTCCTCCTTTCAAGAACTTGAAAGAAAGCAAATACATTGTGTGGCCAGCTCATATGATGATATCTGACAGGTAGCCCCAGATTCCTGAGTGTCTCCAAGCTCCTTGCCAGAACCAGGGTGAGCAGCAATGTCTGAAAAATATAGTGGCTCCAGGAGCAATTTCTTTATGCTGATTCCAAAGAGATAAACTCGAGGGATGATGCACCAAATATGATTACCTTTGTGAGCATCTTTTGCATGTGAGTAATAATACCTATGTCATGGGACTGTCATGGATAGTGGCAAAAGGGTGATCTTGTACTTGGTCCCTAGGCTTGGTTCTTGGAGGAGTGACCTGGTCCCCTATGTCAAAACCATAAAATGAAGACCACGATCTCTACTTCCTAAGGTAAAGATTTTTATGAGCGGCTGCATGTCGAGTGCCAAACTGATGCTCACTAAGTACCATTAAATTGCAGCCTAAAGGCATATGGGGAGGGCTAGACTTGGAGAGAAGTGGACAATGTCTTTTTCTGAGTCACCTCTCCCTACTCATTTTACCCAAGGCCACAGCTTCAGGGTGAAGGAATATTGGTCCTGAAGCTAATTAACTTGCATTTCAGGGCTCCACAAAGCCCAGAATTTTGTAGTGATACTTTGACTTATTTTTGTTAAATAGGGCTCCCTCTCCCAACTGAAAAAGCTTTGGTCTCTACTAACTGGATCCATTTCTGACTAGCAGCAAAGGTTGTTGATGGGAATATTCTCTGGGCTCACCTTGGAGTACAGATGAAACTAAAAAGTGAATCCTGCCAGAATCATCCCCATAGGTCCACTGGACCTTCTTTTGGTCTCCTCTTCCTTCCTTTATCATATTCTCCTCTGTACCTCCCTTGCATAACAGAGTCACAGAATGTTCAAGCATGGAGAGCAGCAAGTTTTACTTTCTGATAAGAAGGAAGGAAGGAACGAAGGAACGAAGGAAGAAAGAGGAAAGAGAAAGAAAGAAAGAGGAAAGAGAAAGAAAGAGAAGGAAAGAAAGAAAGGAAGGAAGGAAGGGAAGGAAGGAAAGAAGGAAGGAAGGAAAAAAGGAGAGAAGAAATAAAAGAAAGAGAGAAAGGAAGAGAGGAAGAAAGAGGAAAGGAAAGGAAAGGGAAGAAAAGGAATGGAAAGGAGGGGAAGGAGGGAGGGAGGAAAGGAAGGAAGGAAGGAAAGAAGGAAGGAAGAGAAAGAAAGAGAAATGAAAGAAAGAGAGAGAGAAGGAGGGAGGGAGGAAGGAAGGAAGGAAAGAAGGAAGGAAGAGAAAGAGAAAAGAAGAAAGAAAGAGAGAGGGAGGGAGGAAGGAAGGAAAAAAGGAGAGAAGAAAGGAAAGAAGAGAGAAAGGAAGAAAGAGAGAAAGGGAGAAAGAAAGAGGAAAGGAAAGGAAGGGAGGGGAAGGAGGGAGGGAGGAAAGGAAGGAAGGAAGGAAAGAAGGAAGGAAGAGAAAGAGAAATGAAAGAGAAAGAAAGAGGAAGGGAGGGAGGAAGGAAGGAAGGAAAGCAAGAAGGAAGGAAGAGAAAGAAAGAGAGAAATGAAGAAAGAAAAAGAAAGAGAGAGAAAGAGGGAAGAAGGAAGGAAGGAAGAGGAAATTTGCTCAGTGGCTGGATCAGGATAGAACTTAAGTTTCCTGTATTCTGTTCAGAGTGCCTTTCTCATACTGTGCCTTCCCCCGCTTTCCTTCTTTCCCCCCTCTTTCCCTCTCTTCCTTCTTTCCTTCCTTCCATTTATTTCCTAGAAATAAAGAAGTTTTATCTTTTCTCTACAAGGAAGTAACTTCATGAAAGTGGCCGACAAGGGACAAAGAGCTGTCTAATTTTTTTGGTGTCCTGCTTTGGGATTCAATTGTTTTCACTGGCCTTTTGTGCTCTTAGTTTATGAAAAATCAATAGTTTAATATAGAAAAAAAAAGTCCCCTGGCTATCTATTTAGAGCTGTATTGCCTTCATTGCAGGAGTCTGTCTCTGCCTGCCTGCCTGCCAAGAATCCCTAACTCAGATTGTCTTGTGCAACTTCGGCCCAGCACTCTGGAGCCAATCCACCAGGTGCAGAATGATAATAATAATAACACCAGGAGCAGAACCCACACACATGTCCATGGCTTAGCACTTCTCAGAGGCTTTTTATGCATAATGACACTCATGTACATAGTTTACACTCAATAAATGCTTAACTAAATTGCTTCAAATTGATAAATACAGTGCCCAAATAGAGTAAACGCCATTATCCCTATAATAGTAAAAGAAGCTGCTATGCATTGAGTGTCTACTGTATTTCTCAGTATTGATATTAGTTTTATCTTTTTTTCAGGATATTCATCTAGGGAAATAATTATTACCCCATTTTATAGATGAAGAAGCTAAAGCTAAGAGTTGGTATGACTTGCCCAAGGTCACTGTGGAAGCACAATTGGTATAGCAGCATCCCCTTAATCTGGATAAAGCCCACATTTTCTCTACTAACCCTTAGGCTCCCTTCTCTTAGGGAGTGATATAACCCAGAGAGACTTAGTGCTGATCTCCTAAACAGCCATGCTTTGAATCTTTTCCCTTGTTCTTTCCCCAATCTCAGATGTCTTAGTCCGTTTGGGCTGCTGTAACAAAATACCATAAACTGGTTAGCTTATAAACAACACAAATTTGTTTCTCACAGTTCTGGAGATTAGGAAGTCCATGATCAAGGAAGATTCAGCATCTGGTGAGGGTCTGTTTTCTGGTTCATAGATACGGCCTTCTAATGGTATTCCCGCCTGGTGGAAGAGGCAAGGCAGCTTTCTGGAGCCTCTTTTGTAAGGGCACTAATTCCATTCATAAGGAGTTTACTCTCATGACCTAATCACCTCCCAAAAATGCCTCCTATTACCATCACATTAGTGATTAGATTTGGGCTCTTACATTTTTGGGGGAGCACAAACATTCAGACCATAGCACCAGACCACAAAGACTGGATTAAGCAATGTGCACCCTTCAATGGAGGGCCACAAATTCTCAGGTTCTACAGTGGCCCATGAGCTGTGCTCTGACTCAAGATGAGGCAGGCCCCTGGGTTCCTTCCTGAGGAGTTTGGACTTGGGAAACTCAGGGAATGAACCAGTTGGTAGCCACTTCAAGTGCTGGAAAGTCTTATAAACACTGTGGCTGGGGCAGCCCTCATTGTCAATGCTTAAAATTAGACAGAAGCAGCTTGGAGATACTACCTAAAGTAATTTATATATTCAGTGCTATTCCCATCAAACTACCATTGACATTCTTCAGAGAACTGGAAAAAAAACTATTTAAAATTTCATGTGGAATCAAAGAAGACCCTGTATAGCCAAGATAATCCTAAGTAAAAAGAACAAAGCTGGAGGCATCATGCTACCTGACTTCAAACTATACTACAAGGCTACGGTAAGCAAAACAGCATAGTGCTAGTACCAAAACAGACATACAGACAAATGGAGCAGAACAGAGACCTCAGAAATAACACTACACATCTACAACCATCTGATCTTTGACAAACCTGACAAAAACAAGCAATGGGGAAAGGATCTCCTATTCAGTAAATGGTGCTGGGAAAACTGGCTAGCCATACGCAGAAAACTGAAACTGGATCCCTTCCTTACACCTTATACAAAAATTAACTCAAGATGGATTAAAGACTTAATTGTAAAACCCAAAACCATAAAAACCCTGGCAGAAAACCTAGGCAATACCATTCAGGACATAGGCATGGGCAAATACTTCATGATAAAAATGCCAAAAGCAATTGCAACAAAAGCCAAAATTGACAAATGGGATCTAATTAAACTAAAGAGCTTCTGCACAGCAAAAGAAACTATCGTCAGAGTGAACAGGAAACCTACAGAATGGGAGAAAATTTTTGCAATCTACCCATCTGGCAAAGGTCTAATATTCAGAATTTACAAGGAACTTAAACATTAAAAAAAAAAAAACTCAAAAAGTGGTCAAAGGATATGAACAGACACTTCTCAAAAGAAGACATTTACTCAGCCAACAAAAATATGAAAAAAGCTCAACATCACTGATCATCAGAGAAATGCAAATCAAAATCGCAATGAGATACCATCTCACGCCAGTCAGAATGACAATTATTAAAAAGTCAGGAAACAATAGATGCTGATGAGGCTGTGGAGAAATAGGAATGCTTTTACACTGTTTTTGGGAATGTAAATTAGTTCAACCATTGTGGAAGACAGTGTGGAGATTCTTCAAGGATCTAGAACCAGAAATACCATTTGACACAGCAATCCTACTACAGGGTATATACCCAAAGGAATATATATCATTCTACTATGAAGACACATGCCACATATGTTTATTACAGCACTATGCAAAGACATGGAACCAACCCAAATGTCCATCAATAATAGACTGGGTAAAGAAAATGTGGTACCTATACACCATGGAATACTATGCAGCCATAAAAAGGAATGAGATAGTTTCCTTTGCAGGGACATAGATGAAGCTGGAAGCCATCATCCTCAGCAAACTAACACAGGAACAGGAAACCAAACACCACATGTTCTCACTCATAAGTGGGAGTTGAACGTTGAGAACACATGGACAGAGGAACAACACACACCAGGGCTTGTTGTGGGGTAGGGGGTGAGGGGAGGGAACTTAGGTCAGCAGGTATAGCAAACCATCATGGCACATGGATACCTATGTAATAAACCTGCATGTTTGTCGTATGTATCCTGTTTTTTTTAAGAAGAAGTAGAGAAAAAAAAAAGAAGCTTGGAGAGTGACAGAGACGGAAAGAAAGTGAGCAAGAAAGAGAGAGAAAAATGTTATGCAAGTCTATGTGTCAGGGGTGGGGGGCTGGGGGGGAGAGAGGCATCATGCTACCTGACTTCAAACTATACCGCAAGGCTACAGTAAGCAAAACAGCAAGGTACTGGTACCAAAACAGACATCTAGACCAACGGAGCAGAACAGAGACCTCAGAAATAACACTACACATCTACAACCATCTGATCTTTGACAAACCTGACAAAAACAAGCAATGGGGAAAGGATCTCCTATTCAGTAAATGGTGCTGGGAAAACTGGCTAACCATATGCAGAGATGGCAGGGGCGGAGAGAGGGAGAGAGAGGTGGCCAGCCTGCAGCTGCAGCCCCCAGCTGTTCCTTCTGAAACCTGGTGTTTCAGCATTTCCTGGAGGCCTAAGGAGATGCACTCTTTGAAAGTAACCTTATTCCCTACTTTCTGATAGAATTGGAATTAAGAAGCCACATCCAAATAAGTGACTTGGCTAAATTCAAAGAATGAGTCCATTGTGGAGCCAGGAGAACCCCAATTTTCTGAAACCAGCACAGTGTCCCCACCACCAAGCTGGGCTTGGATCAGCAGGCTGCAGCCCACAGGCCAAATCTAGTAGCTGCTTGATTTGTAAATAAACTTTTATTATAGCATAGCTACACTCTTGTTGGTATATTGTCGATGGCTGTTTTCAGGCTACAATGGCGGAGTTGGGTAATTGCTACAAAGACGAGATGACTCACAAAGCCTAAAATATTTACAGGCTGAATATTTACAGAAAAAGTTTGTTGACTTCTGCATTAAACCCAAGGAATTCATGGTACAAAAGGACAGGACTTGTGTTCATAACTAAGGTCACTTTAAGGTTTTATAGACCCTGGACATTCTTATTTTGGGAAACTTTGTGAAATGCCTTCACACCTTACATTACATATATTTCCTTAAAATTTAAAATGGACTACCGTTGACATAGTTAACATAGTGTTACATTTTAGAGATATTAAACTCTTGATTTTTACTTTACAGGTTGCATTTGTGTGTGTGTTTTGAACACACTATTTCCTTCTCCCCTTCCCCACAGAAGCTCATGAACCCTTGAAAATCTCAGCTTCATGCTTATTCCTATAGGCCCTTGTAGATAAATTGGGCTGGCTCATGCAACTTAAATGTCACTCTTTCCCTTTATTCTTTCAATTCTATTGTTTTTAAGACCTTCACTGAGGCATAATTTACATGCCATAAAAGTCAATGATTTTACAGTTTTGACATTGAATTGTACAATTCAATGATTTTTAGTAAATTTATAGAATTGTGCAACCATTACTATAATCTGGTCTCCATCTAATTTTAAGGCAACTTTAGATGTTATCTTGTAGTATACCTTTCTTTCTAAATAACTTATCATCCTTCCAAGATGTTATGCTCCTTGAGGGCAGGCATGATCACCTTAATCCAGTATGTCTTCATATTAACTTGATTATATCTACAAAGACCCTATTTCCAAATAAGAGCACATTCTGAGATTCTAGGTGTGCCTTAACTTTGGGAGGACATTTTCAGCCCTGTACAACCATCATCATCATCATCGTTGTCATCATCGTCATCATCATCATCATTATAGAAGAGGAAATAAAAAGTGCCTGGTAAATTCTAGCAAAGCATAAGTACTCAATAAAAGGTAGCCTTTAATAATAACAATGATAACACCAATAATAATAATAATAAATAAGACAAGTATATATAATATCTAGTATCATGCTTAACATGTAGTAGGACTGTTCATTCTCTTTTTCCCCAGAGCACCTAGCACATAGGGATACACACAGTAGGGTGCTGAGTAAATATTGGTTGAACAAAGAACACATTTTGGTTTCTTAGTAAAAGCCCCACCATTTGTCTCCAAGAAATTGACATCTGATGTGGGCTGGAGCAGCCAGTGGGGCTGTCCCTGTGAGCAGGAAGTGTGAGTGGATGATGGGCAAGCTCCCCACTGTAGACGCTGACGGCCACTCCTAATGAGACAGAGTGAGAAATGAGCTTGGTCCATGGAGCTGGAGTTTAATCCTTCCTGAGCCCACAGGGTCCCAGTGCAGTGACACCAGCTGTTTTCAGATTCCTTTCTGGAAAAGCCACATTGGCTTTTGTTTAAAAGTACAAGGGGGTACCCTTAGGACCCAACCTAGCCCTCTCAACACAATCTCCAAAATAGCAAGGCAGAGAAGGGAATGGGAGGGCTTGGATTCCAAGCCTGATTCTGCACCCAGGATTTGAAGGGCCATGTGCTAGTTCTTTTCTATCTATGACCCTCAGTCTCTTCATCTGTGAAGCAGGCACAATTTATATACCACACTGAGCTGTCTTGAAGATTAATGAGATAATGAGTATGAAGAAAATTTTATAACCTGGAGAGAAATGTAAACATGTTATCTGTCTAGCAGTCTCACCCTACCAGATCTAAGCTTTTCCTCCCACCTGGCAACTTTCCTGGCTGTTATGGATTGCTTGTTCCCTGTTCATCAAACTGCATGCTTAGAAAAACATACAAGACTGATTTAAATTCTGATATACATGAGTGATAACCTCAAGTATTACTTCCTTAGGGGTTTCTTCCCAAGAGGGACCAAAACCTTAAGCTAGATACATTTATTTATTAATTCATTCATGCATTTATTCATTCATCTATGCATTTATTCATTTGTTCTTAGATCTAGCATCCATTTAGCCATTATTTATTGAGCACTTGTTCTGTGCCAGGCATTTCCTAGGTACAGAGATGAATCCAGGAGGGACTCAGTTTTCATGATTCTCACAGGCTCAGGTGGGAAGTATGATATAAACACCAATAACTCCAAATAACCACAGGGTTTTGTGATTTGGGGCAAGTCTTTTCCTCTTTCTGGACCTCAGTTCCCCATCTACAATATGAGACTATTGTAACAATTGTCCCTAGAAAGGTCTCCCTCCTCTAGCTATCTAAAAAAAAAAACTGTGTTATTGAAAAAAATGCTGAACTGGGAAGCAGAAAATTCCAGTTGTGATCCTAACTCTGCCACTAACTCATAGTGTGAACCTGGAAAGGCCCTTTCCACTTGGTGTGCCTCAGTTTCTCTGAGTGTACATGATGAAACAGGTTAAATAATTTCTAAGACTCCTTCAGCTTGGAATCCTGAAGTTTATAAAATCACTCAGCTCCTTCTCTGAGGTTCAGTGACACAACAGTAGCAGCTGAGCAGATTCAGAGGAAGACACTGAAGGAAGACACAAGGATGGAGCTCCTGGAAGCCTCATTTGTTGGCAGCCATTCCCTGGGATGATTAGCATCCTGCTGGGACTGGTGATCTCTGTCTTCTGCTCTCACAAGCTGAGCATGAAAATGTTCGAGGCAGACAACAGGCATCTTCTTTCCCTCACTGAGGCTATCCTGACATCACATCTGTGTGTCTTAACCCAGGTGATGTGATCAGGCAGGATACAGGAAGGACTTCAACAACCTGTGGTGTAGGGAGTTGGAGGGGACCAGTGGATGGAGATCAGGCTGAATCAGCCTTTCCAGAGAGGAGTTTGTTGTGGTGGTCAGCCCCCTACTATGGATTAGTGTTTTGTTTCGGCAGCTTTTTGTAGCCAAGGAGGCCCAGTCCGAGAGGTGGGGCAGGAGGCTGTTAGGAGGAGGGGCAATGGGTAGGTAATGCTAGCTGATCAGCAGACACACAGCTGCCGATGATCAGGCTAATACAGCAGTTCCCAAGCCAGTGACGGAAAACTGGGTGAAATCTCAACGAACTTTGAGAAAACTTTTTTCTACTGTCTGGGCTTGTGAAGCCCTCATCCTTTGAGATGCCTCCAATGACCCAGTGGTTAAAAGCACCATCTTGAAAGTCATCCTGCCTGCATTTGAATTCTGTTTCTCCCACTTCCCAGTTGTGTGGCCTTAGGCAGATCTCTTAACCTCTCCATGCCTTAGCATCCTCATCTATTAAATTGCAGCAATAATTCAGGTTGTTAAAGTCATTAAGTGAGTTGATGCTTATAAGACACTTAGAATAGTGTCTGGTGCATAGTAATCATCAAGAAACTGTAAGTTCTATATGACGTGGTGGAGAGAGGAAAATACTGCTACTACTAATACTAAGACCAATAATAACAACAATAATAATAGCTCCCTCTTAGAACTTCCCAGGTAGTAGCATGGTCAGGGTTTTCAGAAGTGGTCTTACAACACAGAAACCCAATTAGCATTCTCAAGTTGGAAACTTTTTTCTCTTATACAACATCTGTCAGCACCTCAGAAAATGTTCAAGCCCAACCCACTTATTTTAGAGATGGAAAAACTGAGGCCCAGGAAGGGGAAGGAGTTGCCAAAGGTGATTGTGTCTAAGTTTTGCACATAGAGCCACAGCAGTAATGGTGTGCCTGTGTCTCCCAGGCTGAGGCAGCTGAAACCCAGGAGTGGTCAGACTTACTAGAAGAGCTGGGAGAGGAGCAGCCCTGGGCTGCCCAGAGGAGAGAGGCATCCCTCTTCCTGCATGATGAGTACAGGAGGGCTGCTTAGAGGATGTCACCTCCAACCTGAAATCTGAAGGATGAGGAGCTGTCAGGTATAGGGTGGTGGGGAGAAGCACAGGAGAGAGAGAGCAGAGTGTGCTCCAGGGACTGAGAGAGGTTCAGTGTGGCTGGAGCACTGATGCTGTAAAAACTGAACTTAGATCTTGAAAGCATCTCAGGAAACGAATGACCAGTACTCCAAGTTCAGTTCAGCAATGAACTCACAGAGTAACCTGGGTTGAGCTTTCAAGCCTCTCAATGAGGAACATTTTCTCTAAATGCTAGGCTTCTTTTAGTTCTCTGGTTTGGTGGAAGCCTCTCTATGGTATTTTCAAGTTGCTGCATATGTTTGCTCTTTACACACTCTGCCGCCTTTGGGCACTGAAGACTGAATCTTGATTTGAGTGCAATCAGACACCCATCTGGGTGAAAAAAAGGCAAAGATGATTAGATGTGTACTCCGGGGGGAATTTTTCTCTTTGCCCTTGTTGCTTTGCACCACCATTTTTCCCAAGTATATTTCAAAAAGATGTGATGAGTAGAACTGCTGAGAGGAAGAGGCTGAATAGATGGCCAGAGAGATTATATTAGAGAAAAAACGATCCGTGTTACTTTTAAGGTTAATGTGAGCAGATAAAAGCAGGTTAATCTGGAAAATAAAATTACAAGTATGGAGATAAAAGAGGGATACATTAATGGGGACAGGGTGGGGAGTTGTAAGGGACATTTAACAAAGAGGAGGCAGACAGGAGGAGCTGGAGGGATTAGATACAGGTCCTTGAAGTTCATCAGGAGAGATAACCACCTCCAGGCTGCCTGGGATGGGAGCTGCTCCTTGAATGTATTCCCTCTGCTGGGCTCCTCTCTCCTATCCATCTCCACCATGCAGCCAGAGGGGTGATTCTAAGACACAGGTAGGCTCCCTACTGTCTAAAATATAAGGTCTAAATTCTCTTAGTTGGGCACCAAAGATGCTTTACCATCTGGCCTCTAGCTGTCTCATCTCCCTGTGATAGTTGTCCCTGACCACATAGTGTACCTGGATGCTTCCTGAACATTTTGCATCTCCCAGTGCCCCTGAAGTTTTCTCTCTGGACAAATAATCGTATTTCTCTACTTGGTTGCTGTTATAGCTTGAATATTTCTCTTAAAAAGATATGTTGAAATTCTAATCCCTAGAGCCTGTGAATGTGGTCTTATTTAGAAATAGGCTGTTGGAAGGTGTAATCAAGTCAAGATGAGGACATACTGGATTAGTGTAGGCTCCAGCAATGGCTGGCATTCTTATAAGAAGAGAGAAGAGAGGAGATACACACAGTGAAGAAAGCCAGGCAGTGATGGAGGCAGAAATTAATTAGAGTGATGCAGCTACAAGCCAAGGAACATCAGGAATTGCTCGTGGCCACTAGATCCTAGGAAGAGACGAGAGAGGATTCTTCCCTAGAGCCTTTGAATGGGGCATGGCCTTGCCAATACCTTAATTTCAGATGTCTAGCCTCTAGAACTGTGGGAGAATAAATTTCTGTTGTATTAAGCCTCCTGGTTTTTGGTATTTTGTATCAGCAGCCCTAGAAAACTATTACAGTTGCTTTTGTTGTTGTTGTTGTTGTTTGTTTGTTTTTTGTATTTTCTCCCTAGTGGACAGCTGTCATTTTTGTCTGCTCAGCATCTCCTCTCATCCTGGGGATCAGAGTGCCTAAATTCCCTTTGTGAAACTGACCCTGCCCTATTTCAGCCAAAGAGTGGATTAGTGACCTGTTACACCATTCAGGCACTTCCTCTTGGAAATTTGAACCTTAAAAGCAGAGTAGCACCCAATGGATGAATGACTGGAGCTAGGTTCTTTTTTGGCTTTGTTCTGAAGAGACTGCCCACATGTTCCTTCTCCCTAGGTCTCTGGAGCAGCCTCTGTTTCCCCCTTTTCAAGACCACATTCTTTCAATAATTTTTGTTTGCTTGTTTTGTTTGTTATCTTCTTGAGTTAGGCAGAGCTGATTTCTGTTGTTTGCAGCCAAAGAACCCACACATCATGCAGGCCCCAGCTCAAATTGTCTCTCCTCTCCAAAGTCTCCCCAGGCTCAGGGAGGCAGGTAGGCTCTCCTCTGTGTCCCGGACACTTCCCATGTGCACTCCTACTCTGGCACTCACATGGTGATCTGTGTGTGACTTTGTGAAGAGCTTCCCCACCTTTCACTTCAAGAGAAAGGACTAGGTTTCTCTTTGTATCAGTAGTTCTGGGGAAATTAGAGGCACTCAATTAATCAGTGTTTAATGGTTGAATGAAAGATTCCTCTCCAGAGTCTCCCATAGTGTTGTGCATGCATTAGGTGCTATGAAATGATAAATTAATGTATTTAACATTATCTCCCATCACAGGCCCCATAGAACACCTTCCACAATTCAAATGAGACCAACACTAATATGCTCCAAAGCCGGGAGTAGAATGAAGGCAGTAAGGCATCCTGGGAGGCAAAATTTAAGGAGATGCTCACTCTCGTGATCATAGTGGTGCAATTGCTATCCTTGAGTGTTTCCTTAAATTTAGAGCCTTTTTTTTTTTTTTTTTTTTTTTTGAGACGGAGTCTCGCTCTGTCGCTCAGGCTGGAGTGCAGTGGCGGGATCTCGGCTCACTGCAAGCTCCGCCTCCCGGGTTCACGCCATTCTCCTGCCTCAGCCTCCCAAGTAGCTGGGACTACAGGCGCCCGCCACTACGCCCGGCAAATTTTTTGTATTTTTAGTAGAGACGGGGTTTCACCGTTTTAGCCGGGATGGTCTCGATCTCCTGACCTCGTGATCCGCCCGCCTCGGCCTCCCAAAGTGCTGGGATTACAGGCGTGAGCCACCGCGCCCGGCCAAATTTAGAGCTTTAGTCCCTGCCCAGATATGCTCTCTTATTAATTAAACTATTCAATATCCTAGAGCTTTGACATCAAATTCTCAAGAGCCTCAGCCTAATAACCCAACCACTGGTTGCATTCTTCCATTTCCTTAAGCAAAGGACAGATATCTGAAAATATGTGATAGATACAATGGGAAAAACTCTAGACTAGGAGGCAGGAAAAAATGAGTTTTATTTCTGTGCTTCCTTTTAATAGTGTGATTTCAGGGATTTCAATTCCATTGTGTGTCAATTCCATCATTTCTAAAATGGGAGTTGAATTATGTCTTATTATTATCATATTATGTTATAAAAATTAACTAGTATGTTTAAAGTAGTTAAAATATGAGCTCATAGAAAGCATGACATAAATGGTAGTTGTTATTATGGTTGCTTGACTGGCTTCGTGATTCTGTGTTAATGTCTTTTTTTGTTGTCTTCATAAAATAGAAGGGAAAATACTCATGTTCAAAACTTACAGTATTATCGTGTATCTACAAATTTATTTTATTTATTATTATTATTATTTTTTGAGATGGAGTCTCGTTCTTGTCACCCAGGCTGGAGTGCAGTGGCATGATCTCGGCTCACTGCAATCTCAGCCTCCCGGGTTCAAGTGATTCTCCTGCCTCAGCCTCTTGAGTAGGTGAAATTACAGGTGCCCACCACCACACCCAGCTATACAAATTACAAAAAAAAAAAGGAAAGTAAAAAGTATGGAACATTATATCTGTTCCAACAAGGATGTTTAGTCTGCAAAAATGAGTTTGGGTTCAGATATTAACTAGAGATTCAAATCTCAACTCTGACACATATTTGCCTTATGATTGTGAGTAAGTCAAGCTAACTTCCCAAGACTCAATTCAGTTATCTTTTAATTAAGGATACTAACAGCCCATACCTCATAGGGTTTTATGGGAGTTAAATGGAGTTATAGATGCAAGCACTTTTCATAGATTCTGACACACAGGTAGTGATCAATGAAAAGTAATTGTTATCATTATTGTTGTTGCCAATGTTTCTGTCAAAGTGAGGGTTAAAAGGCAGTTGCCTGTGACTCTGGAAGGTGATTTATAGAAGCCCATGGTTCTCGTCAGCAGGCACGAGAAGGATATCAATCGGTGAAAGTAAGCTGTAAGTGAAAATTGAAACTGTCAGATGGTGTGGACTCCCTGCTCAGTCTCTGGCAGTTTTTTCTCTCTTCTTTTAATTAAAAGTTTTTGTCTTCTGATGTAGAAGTGGAATAAATCACTCCTGACCTTAGCATGCTCAGGCCCTATCTGGAGCTGAAGCCTGCCATTGTGGGCTCAGATGTCTTCCTTCTGGGAAATCCAGCCCTGAGAACTGCTTCCTAAATTCACTCCATTGGCAGGACACCCAGGGCAAGAGTTACAATGGCTTTGGATCCTGACTTGAGTTTAAAACCCAAATTTATGACTTCATTCATGTTGGAGTTTGTCTGGTTGTTCTCAGACACAGTTTTCTTTTTTAATAAAATGAAGGTAATCTTGTTTGTTTTAAAAGGCTTTTTCAAAAATTAAATCAGAGGAAGTATTTCTAGCACAGAAACTCCTTGATGAAGCTTGACTCTCTTCCCCTCATCCCGCCCTCATCCTAGTCTCATACGCCATGTTCTCTGCAAACATCTGACATTCCTAACCTTATTAACTAGCATTGTCCACTTAAGGACAAAGTATGGCCCCATGCTTAAGAGTATAGACTCTGGAATCATATTGCCTGGATTTGAGGCTCTGTTCTAACATCTATTATGTGACTTTCATCGAGTGAGTTAACCTCTCTGTTTATCTGTTGTGGCATTTAAAACTCCCCAAATTTAGCAGTTTGCAATAACCATTTTATTTTGATCACAGTTTTGTGGATAAAATACTCTGGGGTCAGCTGGGCAGTTCATCCTGAATCCACATGGCATCAACTGGAGTGCCTGGGGTGGAGGAGTAGCTTCTGAGAGGTCTTGTTCACGCACGTGCCTGGTGCCTCAGTGCTTCTTGACCTGTGTGTATCTCCACGTGGCAGCTCATGCTCCAGGCCCTCCAGACCCCATGGTCTGGGCTTCTCACGGAATGACAGCTTCAGGGTTGTGGGATTTTAATGCAGTTTTTCAAGGTTTTAAGAGAGAAATTGTTCCAAAAAAGACTTCTTATGACATACCTTCAAATTCCATCAAAAGTTACATCATGTATGCTGCATTCTTCTCATTGAGCAAGTCATTAAGATGGCCCAGATTCAAGGATGGGAATTTGACTCAATATATCTCAATGGGAGGAACAGCCAGGAATTTATAACCGTATTTAACTTACCACACCCTTTAAGCCTTGACTGTGTACCTCTTGGAACTTTTGGAGAACTAAATGAGATAATGAACAGAAAGCAATTAGCATAAAACCTGATGTATAATAATCAATCAGTGAAAGGTCAGCTGTAATTATTAGTTGTCTCTGCTCTAGCCAAACCTTCCTCATGGCCATTACCTCTTCTGCGCCTCCTCTCTCCCTGATACACATATAAATTGGAGTTTCTTCCCCACTCATGAAAATGCATATGAAAGATGAATTTAGGAGAAGAAATGGGATATTCCAGCTTGGGATATTGCAATCATTCAGGCCCGAATGGTGATAGACGTTGTGGGAATGAACAAACTGGACAAGCTCAAGAGCTATTTAGGAGTTACACTGATAAGAACTCAATTATTGATTGATTGTGATTAATTAATTATTTAATGAAATGTATGCATAAGAAAAAAGGAAAGAGATAAATCAGGAATATTCCCATATTGTTGACTAGGGTGACTGATTGGATGGTGGTGTTTTCACTGACAGAGAAAACACAAAATTAAGTTCTTTTAGCCACTGCTTCATTTTGTTAAACACTTGTCTTTCCCATATCTGGGCAGCATGCAGGCATCCTAGAAATTTAGACATTGCTCTTTCAGTAACAGGGGGCCCTTGAAGCTTATTGATCAGAGGAGTGACATGAAACAAGTTGTTCCTTAGGAAGATTACATGGTTCATAGTGAAGTAAAACAGATGACTCTACCTTGTGTCATTTTGGTCTGTTCATGTCTAAGACTCTTCACTGTTGCTTACATGACCTCATCTTTTGCATGGATAAATTGCAATCCTTGTTGGAAAATTTTGACTTTAAAAGAAAGTAAAAACAAAACGGCTTTGTTTTCTTTCCAACTAAATGAGGAAATAGACTGCCCAAACTCCCAGGGGGAGGGTATCTGCTAACTTTGTTATTATTATTCAGATATTCTGTCTCTCTGTATTTCCATCAGCTTACAGTGGCATCCCACATGAAGACTGCCTATCATGTTGCCTTGTGTACTCCATTCAGCTTGATCTTTCCTTATCATCTTTGGTTCAAGTCATTGATCATAGCTCTTTGCACAGCTTTTGGCTTTTCCAAACACCCTCTGGTCATGGAGAGCTCTTCTGTGATATTTGATCTTCCTTGTGGCTCTAATTGGTGCCAAACAGGTGTAGTTTCTCCATAAAATAAATGCGTTGCAGAAGAACTCTGTAAACAGCACATATCACGAAGCCATGAATTCAGATGCAACATGAGGCGCAATTTCCTCCCCTCTCCGTAACTGCTTTATTCTAGTATTTCTTAAATATTTCAACAATATGATCCCACGTTTTATGCCATTAAATGTTTAGATTCCACATGAAATACTATAGTGGAGTATTACTAACAGTAATAATAATAGTAACAATAAAAACAGCAATGAAACTGATAATAATAAAGATTATAGGCCAGGCATGGTGGCTCACGCCTGTAATCCCAGCATTTTGGGAGGCCAAGGTGGGCAGATCACGAGGTCAGGAGATCGAGACCATCCTGGCTAACACGGTGAAACCCCGTCTCTACTAAAAATACAAAAAATTAGCCGGGCGTGGTAGCGGGCGCCTGTAGTCCCAGCTACTCGGGAGGCTGAGGCAGGAGAATGGCGTGAACCCGGGAGGCGAAGCTTGCAGTGAGCCGAGATCGCGCCACTGCACTCCAGCCTGGGCGACAGAGCGAGACTCCGTCTCAAAAAAAAAAAAAAAAAAAAAAAAAAAAAATACAAAATTATCTGGGCTCAGTGGTGCACACCTGTAAGCCTAGCTACTCAGGAGGCTGAGGCAGGAGAATTGCTTGAACCCAGGAAGCGGAGGTTGCAGTGAGCCAAGATCATGCCACTGCACTCCAGCCTGGGCAACAGAGTGAGACTCTGTCTCAAAAAAAAAAAAAAAAATAGTGACAGCAACAGCCAGCTTTAAAGTGTGCTTGTTACATACCTACTGATCATTGTATTAAGAAATGGCTATATGATTATCTCACTTAATCATCATAGGGGCCCTGTGCAATAGACCATTTTTATGTGCATACTACAAACAAAACTCAGAGAGGTCAAGTAATTTGCCCATGGTCAAACAGCTAAGAAGTAGTAAAGCTAAAATTCATATCCAAGCTTTTCTGACTTGGTTTCCCTAGTTAATAGGAATATTCACATTATATTGTCCTGGAAGTTTTCTTGGATGCATTGGGTTTGACCTGAGCTTCATCTTGATGATGGAGGAGCTGCAATCTAGACTGGTTTACTTTACTAAGCACTGTACAGAATCCTGACATCCTATTGGACGGAATATGATAGGAATATATTAGGCAATTAAAACGTAAATGTTTCCACTTAAAGAGCAAGTTGTGGAACACACAGGGGACTTGAGATCCATCACATTGGAATTCAGCAGTAAAGGTAAGAGTTACAGGGTATGGTAATAAGTTGCAGACCAAGGGAATGGCTGAGTAGCAGTGATTTAATTACAGATAGTGGGATAGGCTTCATTCCCTGCTCTGCTAGTGACACAGGCAAGTGGCCAGGGCTCTGGAGGACAGGTGACAATCAGTGCTATTCACTAGGGCTCCAGGGGAGATTTGCACAGACTTCTTGTCTGCACTCTTTTCTGGCCAAAATCTTAGACCCTATTCATGAAATTATTATGCCACAGGTGTCAGGCAGGAAATGTAAGGAGTGCAGAGGACCAGGTATAAGAGTTCTGTAAAGCAGGCCAGGTATGAGAGAACTGGGAAGTGGGTCAACCTGAGAACACATGCTCTTTCTGAAGGGGTAGCCTCCACTTAAGCTCATGGTTATGTATGGTTCTTTTCATAGAAGCTAGATGTCAGGATATTTTCATGAAATTTGCAGATTTAGGAATGTTAAAAAATCAGAAATAGAGAAAAAAGTCCTCTGGTCAAGACATCCTAACATCTCATGGCCAAATAAATCCCTAGCATTTTTGGTTGGAAAGACAGAATTTATTCATATATCACTTCTTCCAGGAAGTCTTCTATATTAGTTTGCTAGGGCTGTCATAATGCAACACCAACTGAGTGGCTTAAAATAACAAAAATGTATTCTCTCATAGTTCTGGAGGCTCAAAGTCTAAAATGAAGGTATTGGTAGGGCCATGTTCCTTTTGAAATCTGTAGAGGAATCCTCCCTTGCCTCTTCCTAGATTCTGGTAGTTTTCTGAGCATTCCTCAGCTTGCAGCTGCATCACTTTAATCTTTGCCTTTGTCTTCACTTGGAGTTCTGCCTTTGTGTGTCTGTGTCCCCGTGTCTCTTCTCCTCTTCTTACAAGGATACCAGTCATATCAGATATGAATTCACCTAATGAACTCATCTTAACTTGATTGCATCTGCCCAAATAAGGTCACATTCACAAGAACTGGGGGTTAGGACTTGAACATATCTTTTGAGGGGTTACAATCCAACCCATCCACTTTTTATGGCCTCCTCTCTCCTGTAGACTAGGTCACATATACTTACACATTAACCTGTGTTATTATTAGTGTCATGTCTGCCTCTCCTCTAGACTGTAAGCTTATGAGGCAGGAGCTGTGTCTGTTTGGATAGCCATTATAGCTCCATAAGAGTGGAGATGCCTAGCAGGTGTTTTATAAATATATCTGGGATAAATGAATGAGTGCAGAGCCCACATTATCTGGATGTTGCCTACTCCCTCAGCCTCATCACTCTATTACTCTATTCCAGCTGCACTGGTCTTTTCATTTCTCTCGTCTGCCAAATGCCTTCTTAGCTCAGGGGCTTTGCCCAGCCTGTCACCTCTGCCTAAAATGCTATTCCCGGACTCTTCTTTTGGTCAATGGCTCCTGCTCATCCTTAAGCCTCAATGAAAATATAACTTCCTCAAAGAGGCCAGCCCTAGATACTTCTCTCCGCATAGAAATAAAGCCATCCCAATTTTTTGTCTGTTCTATTACTTAACAAAACATATCACAATCTGTAATTACATGTTTATTTTTGTCTTAATTTGATTGGTGTCTCTATCTCATTACAATATACATTCCAGGAGGGCAGGGATCATTCCTGAGCTACTTGAGCTGCCACATCAAAACTTGACCACCCAGTAGGCATTCATAGGTGATTGGTGAATGTTACTGTTAAAAGTTCTGTGGCTGTTTAGAAATGCTATTTTACAGTAATGATATAAAAGACACTGTCCCTGCTCTTGATCCTAAATAGGGAGAAGAATATGTAGGTGAGTATATTAGGAAAGTGCTATAAAGGAGGTGGCATTGCCACATCATCACCAACATCATGGGGCTTTAAAATCATAGCCCAAGGTTGAATTCTGGCTCTGCTCATTAATAGCTCTGAGACCTGAGCAAGTTGGTACTTAATGCATGATAGTATGAAATAAAATATTATTTCATCTCCTTCTCCTCTTCTTCTTTGCCCCCATCCTTTTTATCTGTTGAATAATGTTTGTTATGGGACCCAGAGGGAGATAAATACTTTGAGAGAAGAGGCTCTGGAGTTCTTTACAGGAGAGACATTTATGCTGGAGGGGTATGGTCATGAAGGATAAATAAAAATTTAGTAGATGAGGAGGTGCATTTAGGGAACAGAGAGTATTCTGGGCCAAAGCAAAGGGTATATGCCAAGGAAAATGAAACTTCCCTCAGGGAAGAGTTTTAAGGGTTGGTAATAGTTGGTGTGGCATTCAAGGGCAAGAATACAGTGCAGTTCAAACCATGGGGTTGTCAGAGAACAGAGTGACTTGCAAAGCAGGTAGCAGCTGGGGGTGCTGGGACATGTGAGGAAAGGAGAGAGAGATAAAAATATGAAACTATTTTGTGAAGGTCCTTGAACCCCAGTGTAAGGAGTTTGAATCAATGATGTGGCCGTGTGGAACAGGAAGAGTTAGATTTAGAAGATATTTCTCAAGTGGAATAAACCAGAGGCAGTATTTAGCCCACACACTTGGGTGTGCAAGGAATAGGACTTTTTTCTCCGTTTATAACTGGACATAAATTCTACTTCAAGTCACCACTCTACAACAGGACAAGAGCTTATCAGGTCCCTGCTGAATCCCCCCATCTTTTTGACCACAGGTCTCTTTGGGTTGATCATCTTTTCACTCCATACTTGTGTCATCACCCAGAAGTGTTGTCATCATTTTGGGGTAACTCTAGTAGACTGTCTCAGTGCCATCTCCCCAGGCTGTGGGGTCTTGTAAGCTTCTAGGTTTCTACCCAAGAAATATAAGCATATTTACTCTCCATTCTCAGAGTCTCTATGCCTATGATGGGTTCCTCTAATTCCTTGGTTACCTCTGAGAAGATAGAGCCAAGCACAGCTTCTTCAATAGTAATATCCAACTCACTTAATTTGTTTCAATTTTCTTCTTTACTCTTCCTCCAACTTGGGTTATCATTGTTAATCTCGTCATTAGGAGTTAGGGGGAATTCTTTCTCTAACTCGGAGTTCCTAATAGGAGGTCTTATAGATTCTGAATATCCAGGAACTTGAATGAAAAAAAAATTCATCTTTATTTTTACTAATTTTGAATGTAAATTTATTATTTCCTTCCTTCCATTATAAATGTAAGCAACAAATACATTGGTTTTGGCAATGCCTGTGACTTTGTCACACAGAAAAATGACAGATACTTTCATAGCCAATTATAGTCATTGCAGATATTCTGAAATACTGTTGATTTACATTATTCCACTAAAATTATAGTATTCGTTGTGATACTGTGTTAATTAACATGTTAGTAAATAAGTAGATATATTACTCTATCACAAAATTTTAAACTATTTTAATGAGTGTATTCCAAAATAATTAGTTTCCTCTCTGTTTGTATCTATTTTGTTAGGAAAAAAATTGTAAGAAAAACAAAGGACTTTGAAATGGCAACAAAATGAAAATTAGTTTCCTTTGAGATGCTGGACAACCTTGAGTGCCTCCTTTGGTTGTCCGACTCTATAGTGGACTTCATCTTTCATTGCCTTTGAGCTATTTTACAGCTCTGAACTTGAGAAAAACTGAGAGCAATGCAAATAATTCTTTCCCATAGAGGTGAAATTTGCTTGTTAGAGGTACAATTGATTTCCCCAAACTCTCCACTTATGGCATTTCCCACTTGCAAGCAAGTTTTGCATGTATGAATGCATTCATTTCAGCATCACTGAGTGCCTACATATTTCTGCTCTTTGAATTCCCCTTCGAACCAGTTTGTAACATCTAACTGATTTTCCTCATTCATTAACAAGTTAAATAAAAACTCTGAAACATGTTCACTTGATATTTGTACAAGAGTCATGATTTTACCCCTTGAAATTATTTTTAAGATGGTTTATGCACGTAAAAACATTATGCGAAGAACGTATCCATAGGCATCACTACAATGCCAAAGGGGTTCATGGAACAAAAAAAGGCTAAGTTACCCAGCATTTAGTCCCCCTGAGTACCCTCTGGACCCTAGACTTGTGACACTCGAAAGACTTTTCTTTTCTTCTGCAGTACTATACCTTTGCCAAAGCAATGCAAGCCACATGGTCCTGCTACTGCTTGTGAGAGGGAATGGTCACACTGGGAAGAAATAGAACAAGGGTTGGGCAGGGGCAGATAGAAGAAGGAGAAGCATTGACTAAGACTTCAGAATCATTATCTAACCACCTGAAATAAGGCATTATCATTTTCATCTGACCAAAAAGGAAGGGACTGAGGTTTACAGCCATGTTAGGAGCTTTGTCTAAAGTCACTCTAGAACCCCAGTCACCATTTCCCATAGACAGTATTTCCAGGGCATTTGGTGGGTTGGGAATGGGGGGCAGTGTCACTGGCCACTCTCTTAGCAGAAAGGAAAGCTGGGGAAAGGCAGACTACAGACAGAGCATCTTTGAGCATGTGGTTGTTTAGGCTGAGCAGGCATTTGGCTTTTTATTGTAGCTGTCGTTTTTCTCAGTGGGGCCACGGCAGGGAACTGTCAAGCTGGTTCCCTATTGTACACATCAATGTAGCTGTGTTGTTGCTGGTGTATTTTTTTTTTAAATCACAAGTCTGGGCCTCCTGGTAATAGACGAAACATGAGCTGCTGCTTGCCTCCTTCCCTCTGTGGATGTCATCATTGTAATCAGGGAACAGGTGGGTACAGACGATTAATAGGGTAGGAAGTGGGAGGAGGAGAGGGGATCTACTCAAGGTTACAGGGGGGAGAGTTAATTTGACCCGAAGCTCAGATGTACTGTCTCCTCCAGCAAAGCTGCCACAGCGGTTATCGGTGGGAACAGCCTCTCTCCAGCCTCTCATTTCCAGTCTAGGCATGCTTGAGAAGCCATTACCATATTTATAGAGCTACCTGGCCCCACGGCACACGCATGAGAGGGTTAGAAAGACCTATCTATTTTTCCAGCTGTGCTGCTATCCTCAGCAGCAAGGCTGGCGGGGGATAAGGGAGGGCCTCAATCCCAGCATTAGAAGGACAGAAGAAGATTAGGCTGCAGAGGCTGGCTCGAGAGAAAGTATGAGCTGGCCTTTTGCTTGCCCCTTCCAACCGGTTGGGCTGAGTCAATGTGGCCAGCTTGGGATCTATCAACTCTGAGAGGTGAAGACTGGTGGACACCTGGTTAGGGAAAGATTTGCTGGGAAGCTAGTGTCAATGTCTACTCCCTTCTCATTCCCAGGCTGGTACCCTTATTGAAATTCAAAGCTGTCAGTGGATAGGGAGGACTCTGGAAGCAGTACCTGAAAGCAGAAGAGCATGAGCTGAAGGGTCAAGGGGATTTTATTAGTTGTATAACCTTGGGCAGATTATCTAATTTCTTTGAGCCCCGTTTTAGTCATCTGCACAAAGGAGCTGATAATGGATTGTTGGGAGGAAGTCATTACGGACATAGTTAAACGTGTCTTAATAAATGCTACTTTTCCTTCCTTGATTAGACCATTCTGTCTGACACTTAAGTTTTGACTTACATCACTGCACTATACTATGCTTTGTTGTAGTGGGGTCACAAATGCCTGTATAATAAATTTATCCATTGTTCACTACTATGCCTCCATTAGCACATGTTCTCTCTCTCTCTCTGTCTCTCTCTCTCTCACACACACACACACACACACACACAGACAGAGACAATAGTATTTTTCTTCTGATTACCAGCTGTGGCATGTCCATCCTATTCTTTACACCAGTAAAGTAGCTCTGAATCTTAGAATTACAGTTCCAAATAAGGGTACAGTGATATTTCTGATTGCTTGTGTCTCCTGGCACTCCACGTTTCCATGACCATCTGGTCATAATGCCAAGGTTGCAATGACAGCAATTAACAGCATGTTTTATTCCCTGCCTTCAGTTCAGCTAAAAGCCAAGAGCATTAATAGCAATTAGATAATCTATTTTACTTGTTGCATTTGTTCTGATTGGCTAGCAAGGAAAGGATAGCAAGTATCTTGAAGCAAACTCTTAGTTTTACAAGAACTCTAAAACTGAGTCAGAAAAGAAACTATGAACTCACTAAGTTAGGACTATTTTTGAGTACTGTTTACATATTTACACTCACCCCTTTCTCTTTTTTTTTTTTAAATAAGGAAAATAGATTCCAGGCAAGAGCCTCTAATTGTCTAATTAGAGGTGCGAGTAATATATTAGTTAGGGTTCTACAAAGAAATAGAACCAGTAGAATAAATCTATATAACTAAGAAGAGATTTATTATAACATATTGGCTCACTCATTTGTGAAGGCAGAGAAGTTCCACTATCTGTTGGTTGCAAGCTGAAGACCCAGGAATGCTGGGGGGTAGCATAGTTTGAAAGCCTGAGAGTAAGAGAACCAATGGTATAGGTTCTGGATATGAAAGCCCGAGAACCAGAAGCACTGGGGACAAGAGAAGAACGATGTTCAAGTGCAAGTGGTCAGGTAGGGCAAGGTTACTTCCATCTTCTTTATCTATTCAGTTCATCAATGGATTTGATGATGCCCAACATATTGGGGAGGGCCATCTGTTTTACTAAGTCCACCAATTCAAATGCTAATCTCTTCTGGAAACACTCTTACAGGCACACCCAGAAATAATGTTTAACTAGCTGTCGGGACATCCCTTGGCCCAGTCAAGTGAAGGCATACAAACCATCACAGGTAGGAATGCAAAATAGAGAAGTCAGGATGAGGGAGGGCTAAATACATTCTCATAAGGAAGAAGTGGTGAAACTGGTGAGGGACACACACAAGGAGGGAGAAGACAGCCAGAAAAGGTATAGGAAATAGGCTAAATGGAAAGGTGATGGTGCTAATGGCTGGAAAGGAAAGGGGAGGTGACAACTGCTAGTGAGAAAATAACCAGGGGAAAGATTAGGAAGTTTTGGTGTGCAGTATGCAGTGTAACCACATTCTCTTCCTCTCCATAATCAGCGAAGTCTATATTTTTTCATCAATCCTTGGGAAGATGGGAGTGTGAGTGTATGTGTCTGGATGTGAGAACTGCAGAGACTGGACCTGAGGAATTTGGATTGTAGTTGGGTTAGAGGTACATATTACTACAACGGCAGAACTCTAGCCTTTGACAGCTTACCTGGAGGGACTTTGAAAGTATGAGTTTCATCTAGCATTGACAAGAAAAGGAACTAAGAGATATCCATGTTGGTGGCAGCAGAGTCCTCAGCCCACAGCTCAGCAAAACCTGCATCTCTGCTACATTCTACTAGTTTATTAAACCTAATATATCTAGAGCTGGTAAACAAAAAATTGGAAATATTACTTTTACTTCTGGGAACTCGAAATCAGACATGACTTCTCTTACCAGCCAGGCAGGAGGTGAAGGAAGAGATTTGTGCTTTCAGAGACCCTCAAATTAGCATAAACTTCTCCATCTACTCCCACAATATACAACATATATATGCAGCTGTAATGCCCTGTCTATCCAGATATATTCATTTTCTCAGACCTATCCAAATATATTCATTTTCTCAGACCCTATTCAAAGTCTGTTCTCCATAAACGATGTCGCAGATACTAAGCTCTCACCAGGCTTTCAGTTCTCTGAGCAGCTACAGAACTGATGGTTGTTAGACCACCCATCCGACTCTCATGGGACTGACACTGTTTTGTGTCCCTCTCTGTCCTAACTTCAGTCTAACATCCCAGCCTTGTTTTCAATGACTACACTGCATGCAGGGAAGACTTTTTGTTTTCTAAATGACATACCCCCCAAAGAGGAAGTCTACTTATGTCTTTGTCTTTACAAAGATTTTCTCAATAGTTTATATTGAATAATGAATTAATGTTTGAGTAAGACACATTTGTCTAAAATAACCTCAAGTAACATGAATTGTGCATGTTTGTAGAGGTTTATAGAGGCCATGTGACAGAATCAGTAACAAATGAGGCAAAGACCTTTAACATAGATTCGGTGATTATTCATGGCGAGTTGGCAATTGCACATGTTGGATGTCATTGTAAACGAGTCTTTTAAAGATCACTCCAAAGGCAATACAGCAAATTCTGGGAAGATAACGTTGATGAGATGGCTTTTGCATCTCCTTAAATCACCACTAAAATCAGAACTGGAGTGTCAAAACCAAAAACCTACTGATAATATTTATGTAAAATAACTATATTATCAATGTAGCTTCTAAGCATCAAAATCATTCTGATACTATGCAGATCTGAAAATGTTTGAAAGAGATGTGTTGAGGACAACACGACATCACTTTCAGACCTGTATAGTATTAGCATCTGGAAGGGGAAACACAGAAGGGTGAAACAGGTTCTCTGATGGCCCTAAAAGCAGAAGAGCCAAATCTCCATCCGATATTCAATGCAAGGCAGGGGGAAGAATTTGGAAGCAGCATCTTTATCTGCTACGGTTTTGTACACTCTTGTATGCATTGCACTGCAGACATCCCCAAGAAGGTCTAAAGGGGCTGGAATAGCCTGAGTTCAATGAGCTTTCAAAAGGATCTCCCTAAGCTCCATTCTAGGACAAACTCCCACATAGGTGGGAAACTGCAGGAAACAGAATCCAGATTAAGCTGGATAGAGACAATAGAACAAAAGAAAGAAGATAAAAGTGGGAGAGCTCAGAAAGCACAAGGCTGTTTTAGGAAACAACAGAAGAGAATGCTCTAGTACTATGAAGCTAGAAAATCTGTTTTGACTCATTTCTTCCTCCGAAGAGCTCAAGAAAATTAATTTCACATGAGAACAGGCAACAAAAAAGGATCAAGTTTGAGTCCCATGCAAATGTATTAATAAAGAAGATTGAGAATGAAATCTCTATTGGCAATCTACTAACAATAAAACACCATAAAAATTCCTACAACACAGATGGAAACTGTAGCCTAAAACTTCGAAATGAACCAAAAGAAATTAATGAAATTATGGAGAGATGAAAGAAAAACATAAATCAGAAAAATAAGAAGTTAGTAATGAGGTTATAGAATTCAAGAAAGAATTGGAAATAAAAACGTCATTTCAGAAATAAAGATTAAACTGGAAAAACACACAAGCGAATACATAGAGGAGACAATGCCTTATGAAATAAAAGTGAAAAGGAGTAAAATTTTAAATATCAAAACAAGTGACAGATGAGATTTAAAAATATTTCAAAGTGGCAGAAATAGAAGGTAAGTAGAGAACAACACACACACACACACACACGCATGTTGTATATAATAAGAGTTCACAGAGAAGAAAAAGCCAAATGAATCAAAATAACATTTTAAAGCAGCTTTCCTAAAATTAAAAACGAATAATGAAAGATTGAAAACCATACTGAAAAAGAACACCATATAGTACTTGAGAAAAATGACCCAGAATGACCAATGCTAAAACATCCTAAAACATATTCTGGGCTCTGAGGCAAAAGGACTAAGTCACTTTAAAAAGGAAAGAAAATCCGATTGTCGTCAGACTTTTTGACAGCAACGCTTTATGCCAGGAGACAATAGAGTGACATTTTTAAGATACTCAAGGAAGGAAAATATGAGCCATATATTATAAATCTAGCCAAACTTACTTTCAAGTATAAAGACTGCAGACAAACTGCTATCAACAAGCAAGAACTTAGGAAATATTGTTCCCAGGAGCCTTTCCCAAGCAAACTACCAGAGAATGAAAATGACTAGAGAGATGCTAACAGAAGGCCTGGTGGCAAGCTTTAAGTATATACCTGCCTGTGGTACTAAGTATAAATAATGGTTATAAGGGAGACACTATAGGCTATAACACCTATATGCCCTGAAACTGTAGAAACAGTGCATGTATTTTTAAAAAGGAGGTAAAGGATAGAGCATATGAAAACTATATTAAGCTTATGAGGTCTTTATAGTTATTAACTATAAGTAAATAAATGAGTAAAAGGATCTTGTTTCAGATTAGTTTCTGGGATATAAAAAGGTGAAGAAGATGTTTCTAGCAAATTTCAATATTATTCATAGTACCAAATTGTACATTGGCAGTGGGGGAGACAAGAAGTGTTATATAAAGGTATACAGAAGGTAATTAGGACAAAAATACAAACCTTCCTAAGTGCTCCACTCCCTTCCCCCAGAAAAGCCTTAAAAAGATAGAAATACATAAAATAAATTATATTGTAGAAAAAAAGTTGCCTAAAACATAGTATACTTATAATACTAGATAATATGACACAGCACAGGACAAATATAACAACCATATCAATAAATGTCAGGGCTTAATTCACCTATTTAAAAAATCTAGTTTCTCTAACAAAACAAATTCTATACTCTGCTATCAATAAGAGATACAGCAACCTAAGACTAAGAGAGATAGGTCAAAAATAAAGTAAATTTTTAAAAATAAAAATAAAAGAATATATATCAGCCAAATGAAAATAAAATAAATCAAAGATCAGATGGTTGTAGATGTGTGGTGTTATTTCTGAGGCCTCTGTTCTTTTCCATTGGTCTATATATTGGTTTTGGTACCAGTACCATGCTGTTTTGGTTACTGTAGCCTTGTAGTATAGTTTGAAGTCAGGTAGCATGATGCCTCCAGCTTTGTTCTTTTTGCTTAGCATTGTCTTGGCTATACAGGCTCTTTTTTGGTTCCATATGAAATTTAAAGTAGTTTTTTCTAACTCTGGGAGGAAAATCAATGGTAGCTTGATGGGAATAGCTTTGATTCTATAAATTACTTTGGGCAGTATGGCCATTTTCAAGATACTGATTCTTCCCATCCATGAGCATGGAATGTTTTTCCACTTGTTTGTGTCCTCTCTTATTTCCTTGAGCAGTGGTTTGTAGTTATCCTTGAAGAGGTCCTTCATATCCCTTGCACGTTGTATTCCTAGGTATTTTATTCTCTTCGTAGCATTTGTGAATGGGAGTTCACTCATGATTTGGCTTTCTGTCTATTATTGGTATATAGATATGCTTGTGATTTTTGCATATTGATTTTGTATCCTGAGACTTTGCTGAAGTTGCTTATCAGCTTAAGAAAATTTGGGGCTGAGACGATGGGGTTTTCTAAATATACAATCATGTCATCTGCAAAGACAATTTTACTTCCTCTTTTCCTATTTGAATACCCTTTATTTATTTCTCTTGCCTTATTGCCCTGGCCAGAATTTCCAATACCATGTTGAATAGGAGTGGTGAGAGAGGGCATCCTTGTCTTGTGCTGGTTTTCAAAGGGAATGCTTCCAGCTTTTGCCCATTCAATATGATATTGGCTGTGGGTTTGTCACAAATAGCACACCTGATTAAAACAGGCAATGGGGAAATAATCCCCTATTTAATAAATGGTGTTGGGAAAACTGGCTAGCCATATGCAGAAAACTGAAACTAGACCCCTTCCTTATACCTTATACAAAAATTAACTCAAGATGGATTAAAGACTTAAACATAAGGCCTAAAACCATAAAAACCCTAAAAGAAAACCTAGCCAATACCATTCAGAACACAGACAAGGGCAAATATTTCACAACTAAAACACCAAAAGCAATGGCAACAAATACCAAAATTGAGAAATGGGATCTAATTAAACTAAAGCACTTCTGTACAGCAAAAGAAACTATCATCAGAGTGAACAGGCAACCTACAGAATGGCAGGAAATTTTTGCAATCTATCCATTTGACAAAGGGCTAATATCCAGAATCTATAAGGAACTTAAACAAATTTACAAGAAAAAAACAAACAACCCCATCAAAAAGTGGGAAAAGTATATGAACAGTCATTTCTCAAAAGAAGACATTTATGTGGCCAAGAAACATATGGAAAAAAGCTCATCATCACTGGTCATTAGAGAAATGCAAATCAAAACCGCAATGAGATACCATCTCACGCCTGTTAGAATGGTGATCATTAAAAAGTCAGGAAACAACAGATGCTGGAGAGGATGTGGAGAAATAGGAATGCTTTTACACTGTTGGTGAGACTGTAAATTAATTAAACCATGGTAGAAGACAGGGTGGCAATTCCTCAAGGATCTAGAACCAGAATTACCATTTGACCCAGCAATCCAATTACTGGCTATATATCCAAAGGATTATAAATCATTCTACTATAAAGACACATGCACACATATGTTTATTGTAGCACCATTCACAATAGCAAAGACTTGGAACCAACCCAAATGTCCATCAATGATAGACTGGAAAAAGAAAATGTGACACATATACACCATGGATTACTATGCCGCCATAAAAAAGGATGAGTTCATGTCCTTTGCAGGGACATGGATGAAGCCGGAAACCATCATTCTCAGCAAACTAACACAAGAAGAGAAAACAAAACACCACATGTTCTCGCTCATAAGTGGGAGTTGAACAATGAGAACACGTGGACACAGGGAGGGGAACATCACACTCAGTAGTCTGTCAGGGGTTGCAGGGCTAGGGGAGGGATAGCATTAGGAGAAATACCTAATGTAGATGAAGGGTTGATGGGTGCAACAAACCACCATGGCACCTGTATACCTGTGTAACAAACTTGCATGTTCTGCACATGTACCCCAGAACTTAAAGTAAAAAATGAAATCAAATAAATCAAATAATGTTTTGGGTTTTTTTGTTATTTTATTATTTGTATAACAAAGAAACCCACACCCATTTGCAGCCAACTTGCATTTCCCTCCAACCCCCTAATCCTAAGCAACCACGAATCTTTTTGTTTCTATGGATTTGCCATTCTGCATGATTCATAACAACAGAAGCATATAATGTGAGCTCTTTTGTGACTGCCTTCTTTCACTTAGCATAATGCTTCCAAGGCTTATCCATGTTATAGTATATATTAATACTCAGTCCTTTTTATTGCCAAATAATATTCCATCATGTGGTTAATTCATTTCATTGGTTGCACAATTCTGTGAATATACTAAAAACATTAAGTTCCATACACCAACTAGGTGCATTATATCTTAGTGAAGCTGTTACCAAAAAATAGATAAATAAAATAAATCAGGATTCATAATCTGAGGAAAGGTAGAATTTAGATAGGATGACTAACTTGTCCAGTTTGCCTAGGACATTCCTGGTTTTAGCACTGAAAAATCCCACTACAAGAAATGCTAGAAGGAATTAAATTCATAGCAGTATCTAATGTATCTAACTCAAGCAAAGATGCATAAAGTGGACAATATTTAATAATATTTAGAAGGCCTAAACCAGATAATCAGTAAGTTTCCAAACTTTAATAACTCAGAATAAAAGTTGTTTTCTAGTGTGCATAGAACATCCACACATTTATGTTTATTTTAGGACAATATGCATGTCTACATACACGAATACACCCCTGCAATAAATTCCATAAAACAGAAATAATAAAAATTATGATAATATTTGAAAAAAGTAGAAATATATAAAAATTTAAAAAAATGTGTCTCTACCAACATATTTAGCAACACAGTTACTAAACAAACATTGAGGAAAGAAAAATAAAATTATAAAATTATTTGAAAAAGCTAATAACGGTGAAAATATAACACAAAAAATCTATTTTTTTGTGAAGCCAAAGCATTTTCTAGAGAAAAATATCATAGCATGAAATTCCTATACCAATACAGTCTTTAAAATAAAAAATATAAAACACCTAACTCAGAAAAGCTAGTAAAACTGCAAGAAAGTAAACTCAAAGAAAGCATAAAAAAGGCATTAATAAAGATAGAAATTAATTAAATAGAAAGCAGAAAAAATGGAACTAATAAATAAATCCCAAAGTGGTACTTTGAAAAAAAAAAACAATAAAATAAGCCACTAGCAAACCACGAATCAAAAAACTAAAATGAGGAAAATATAGAAATATAAAACTTAAAATAAGGTATAAATAACTATTAAAAGAAAAAATCTTAAGAGACTGCTTTGTATGATCCTATGGAATACATTTGAAAAGCACATGAAATTGATACTTTTTAAAGAGAATTAGAACTTGGCAAAACTGAACTCAGCAGAGACAGAAAGTCCGAACAGACCAATTACTGTCTGTTCTAGAGGAGTTGTAGGAGAGACTGGGTTACCAGCTGTCAAATACGTTGTTCAGGGAAGTTATTTTTGTTTCTGAGACAGAGTCTCGTCTCACTTTATTGCCAGTTCGGAGTGCGGTGGCGCGATATCGGCTCACTGCAACCTCCGCCTCCCGGGTTCAAGTGATTCTCCTGCCTCAGCCTCTCAAGTAGCTGGGACTACAGGCATGCACTACCACGCTGAGCTAATTTTTGTATTTTTAGTAGAGACGATGTTTCACCATGTTTGCCAGGATGGTCTCGATCCCCTGACCTCGTGATCTGTCTGCCTCAGCCTCCCAAAGTACTGGGATTACAGGCCTGAGCCACAGCGCCCGGCCAGGGAAGTTTTATACTGGCTAGAAAGTTAAGGACTAAAAGTCCTTTAAAAAAATTTCTAGCCTAATAATTATTTTATCCGTGGAATAATTGGCCAAAAGACAAAAATAACAATATTTTTGTTGTCTCCTATCCATTTTGTCTTCCCTCCAAATAGTCTCATTCTGACCTTCACCTAGACTTTCCTGGGTCCATCCCAGGACATTTCGTGAATAGAATGTGTTTCATAAATTCCAATAATTTTGGAAATGATTGCAGACTTTAGACATTTCTCTCCTATGTATTAGAACATATATATCCTATGACACATCACCTCAAAGTCTTTAAAGATGCTAGTGTATGACAAATTATGATCTTGCGAATCAAGAAAAAAAGGATAATATTTTTCTTCCCAGGAATTGTATGGTAACAGAGATCTTTAATGCCTTCATTGCTAAAGACAGAAGTACAGAATTTTAGAATTTGAACAGCTCAGTGTCCTCATCAAAGAAGAGGGGAAAAAACATTAAGGGAATTATCGTAGCAAGTAGACACTGGGAGTCAGGAAGGAAACCTTGGTTTCAGCTCTAGATCTCCTTCTCAGAAACTGTGTCATCTTGTGAAAAGATCAGCTCTGCCAGAGAACAGGAAAAGGACAGGAAGAGAGGCACACACACACATGCACATACAAAAGCATTGTGTTAGAAATGAGAAGTCCTTCCAGTATGAACAGAGAACAGGAGATGTTATGGAGACTTGTAGGTGGTTTGGGGTCAGCCTGTGAAAAATATTGAATGTCTCATGAAGAATTTGACCTTAGTCTGGTTTAAAATGTGTTTTCACTGAAGATTCTCTAGCAAACTAGTAGCATGTTTAAAGCAGCATTTGATAACAAGAAAAAGGACACTTCCAAAGTGGGGGACAGATTTTCTTTGACAAAGACTAGGGCCTAAGAGATCAAGTAGGAGGCTCTAGCCCAGGTGAGAGGTGATGAGGTCCTGACTTAGGACAGGGACCGTATCAATACTTGTTTGGTTGTGAGAACACGTAGACGATGGAGTGATTGCCTGGAGGAGACAAGAGCCGGGGATCAGTTACACACTACTCTGAGATTGTCAGTCTAGATTTTCAGGAGTACTTTAGGGAGGAAGTAGAGTATGCTGGTTAAGAACATAAGGTTGGCATAAAACTTAATCTCATTTGATTCCTGGATCTGCTATTTAATAAATACACAAAATTAGGGAGCTGCATCTCCCCTTATAATCTCAGTTTCTTCATCTATAAAATGGTAATGACAATAACAGCAACTTCATAGGATTACTTGGAGGATTCCATAAGAAAATTCCTAAAGGAATTTAGCAAAATGATCAGTACATGGAAAATGGTCAATAAGCATTACATGTAATTATTAATTACTAGATAACATATGGAGGATATAAAGTAAAATGGGTTTGAAGGTAACATTTTCTAGAAGTCAATTTTTCTTAGGCAAAACCAGAAAGTTTTTTAGTTTTTTTTTTTAATTAAAACAGTGTTTCAGTTGCTCCCCTGGCTTGACTAAACCAAGGTTCTGAATGTCATAAGACCTGTTTCCATCTCTGTTTCTGCTTTTCTCTTTGTGCAAGTTTTGTCCTCTTGGAAGGTTTTGTCTCCATGGTGAGGAGCAGGGTTATGAGTAGTCTGTGGCTGTGTACACCAATTAAGGGCAGGTTCCCTGGGGCACCATTTAAGATTTTCCAGGAAAAGATTCTGATCAGTCCCTTGTGTCCAGGCATTCACTCCTGGCACAATCAGTTGCATCCAGTGGGTGGAGAGTGGAATCAAACCCTCATTCTTTCTCATGGTTGGAGTGGTGGAAGAAGCATTACAAAAATAAAAGGTCTACTTGGAGACCTGTCGACTTTGCAGAGCTGACTTTACAATTTTGCGTAAGTGGTGGCTACACCTCCTCTGTCTATTCTTTCTTTTCTGGGCATAGGAACTGAAAAATGAGCCCTCCTTCCCCACCCCACCACCTTGCCTCTCACTGTACTCCCATCCTAGGCTCAGGTGGCCAGATGACATCCTAGATACTTGGGCATCGGGGGGCTGCAGTGGTTCAGGCATGCCATCTGCCTGGGCCAGCCACCCTGCTACCACTTGAGATTCTGGGCAGAGCTGTGAATGAACACATTTCAAATGCTATCAATATTTTATGAATTTCCATCCTCTTACTTTAATGGGGAACTGTAAAAGCATTTAACCATATTACACCCCATCTCTCAGACACTGCATTATTCCAACAGAGCTGTTTTATTAGAGTCAACCACCAGGGTAGTTGAGATGCCTTTATGACCCCTTCCCCCTTAATCTGTCCATCTGCATATATGTAAGTCTGTTTGTCTGTCTACCAACCTATCTGCAATGCATGTATATGGAGCAAATAAAACTAACCAATAGCAAAAGGGGCATAGCCTTGGTAATGCACCTGTACATGCAGCAACACGTATGTGCACCCATCCATACACACATGCTAATACACTAAGAATTGCTTCATCTCCTAGTGTCACTTAACTGCACTTATGCTTTAAAAGGACTCTCTGGCTTTATGGACTTCCCTTGGGTTCTCATCTAGAACAATCGCTTCCTTGTCTTCTGGAAAAACATGTTCAGGGACGCATCTTACCTGAAGTTTAGATATCTGAAATTAATGCTTGCATGTCCAGGTATTGAAGTCAGATGAACTTGGGCTTCACAGCTCTGTTCCACCATTTACCTTTATGATCTTGGGTAAATCATTTGACCTCATGGAGCTCCTCTGTAAAAGGGGGATTTCATACCTTTCAGGGAGTAAGAAAGATTAAATGAGAGAATATATGAAACTGCTTCCCAAGGTACCTGCACAGCAAGGTTCCATGATGCTTTTCTCTATGCACTTTCTAGGTATCTAGAACTTTTGGCCAGAACATGCAGTTCTTCCTGTCCTGACCTACTGGAAATAGTTTCTGCCTGCACCATACACCCGAGCAGTGCTTCCTTCCCATCACAGCTTGTCCTTTTCCCCAAACCCCGCGTTGCAGCTAGGTCACCTCCTTCAGGACTTCCCCCAACCCTCATCTCCTCTGGGAAATCTCCCTCAGTCCCACCAGCTCCCAGGCCCTTCTCTGAGCTTCCTCATCACCACCCACTCTCTCTCCACATGGTCACATTTATCTCACCCTGTTGTAATTGTCTTTCCCCTTATGGATGACAAACTCTTTTTTTTTTTTTTTTTTTTTTTAGACAATGTCTTGCTCTGTCACCCAGGCTGGAGTTCAGCGGTGAGATCATGGCTCACTGCAGCCTTGACGTCCTGGGCTCAAGTGATCCTCCCATCTCAGCCTCCCGAGTAGCTGGTACCACAGGTGTGCGCCACTATACCCAGCTGATTTTTGTATTTTTTTATAGAGATAGTGGTCTCTCTGTGTTGCCCAGGCTGATCTGAAACTCCTGGGCTCAAGTGATCCTTTTACCTCAGCATCCCAAAGTGCTGTGATTACAGGTGTGAACTACTGCAACTGGCCTGTCAAACTCTTTATGGGTAGAGTTCAGATCTTATTTTTTAGCACAACTAACAATGCCTTCAGGATCTGAGCTCTGCCAACCTCATCTCTGCACAGGTTTATTCTAATCACCGTCCCCTTCTTTGTCTATATCACATCCAGCCACCATTCTGTTCAGCACTTACTCTGTGTCCCACAGAGTTCTAACCACTGTGTAGGCAATAGCTCATTTAATCCTTATGCCAACCTTATAAGATAGGGACTATTGTGATCCCTATTGTACAAATGAGGAGGCTGAGGCTTGGGGAAGGTAGAAAACTTACACAAGGTTCTCAATTAGTAAGGGACAAAGCTCAGGTCTGAATTCTGGTAGCCTCATTCTGAGCCTGCACTCATCAGCACTATAAACCATTCCCCATTTACATCTACTCTATACCATTGATCCAACAAAACTGACCTCCACGCAGCTCCTCTTATCCATGCCATGTTTGATCTCAGTTCCCTGCCTTTGCACATTCTAGCCCTTCTTTCTGGAATGCCCTCTGCCTTCCCTACTTATCTTCCACTTGTCCTTTATGAGTCAGAACGCCTGCCTCAGTGCCCTGTGTTCACTCTGCATATAGCACTTATCATAGTATATCAGGACCTATTTACTTGCCTTCCTGCCCATTAGACTGGAGGCTTCTTGAGGTAGTGGCTATGACTTACTCATGTTGAATCCCTGGTACCTAATGTAGTTCTTGGTCCTTTGGGGGAAAATTAGTACCAATTTGTTGAATGTGGCATTCCTAAGATCCGAAAAGCCTTTCCCAAAATTGTTATCTTTTTTAACCCTGACTTCTATATATATATTGTACATGTAAATCTCTATCTTTGATAAGATGGTTATCTACATGCACAACTAAGATGCCAAATCAATTTAAATCACTGTTAGATCTACTGTAAAATAATGTGTTTCTGTCTGAATTGTTCAAGGACTTACCAGGTGAGTCCTGGGACTTCAAAGCCAAGGTGGTGCTTCTACAAAGTGTTCTGGGTAAGGGTTTGGTATTTCATCGCTAATCTCCTCTGGAACTCACTGAAGAGGAAACAATGCTTATATGGAAAATGGTAAAATGGGGGAACAAAGGTACAGATTTTATGAGTAAAAATATGTGGGCCCACAAAGCACTTTCCAAATGGCCAATCATCTTTGCTAAGAGATGCTGGTATACAAGGCCTGCAATCACAAACTTAAGTATTCTATATTCCACTGATCTAAATGGTAGGGTCTGCATAACACACTTTGAATCTACTTACTCAAACAGGCTCTGGGACAAGGACTGTCATTCAGGAGGATGGTAGTCACTAATGGAGAGGCAGCATGGGCTCAGATATGCTTCATCTTCAAAGCAGTGACTCTGCCCACTAGTTAAATGAAGCCCAGTGAATATCAGGCTTTGCTATTTAGACCAGCAATTTCTCTTCTGGAGGGTGTGTGTGTGTGTGTACACGCATATGAAGTGGGGTATTCTTTTCAGGTTGAAATACCAGACAGATGGTAGAAAGTTTTCCCACTTGAATGCATTTCAAGTGACTCTTAAGAGTAAAGAATGCCAGAGCAATGGGTCTGAAACAAAGTTCCTTGATGGGCAATATTAAGTGTTAAGGTGGGGAAATCAAGCTAAGATATCAAAGGGCAGAATCAGAAGACATATAGTCTTGGAATAAAATGGTAGCTGATGAGTAATGAAGAGAAGGTTCTATGTATTTTCTACAATCAGCAGTCAAATTTGCCTTGTCATCTTTCAAACCAGTAGATCAAGGTCATTGGCAAGGATAGGGCTCACGGGGCACCCCAGGAAAGTCATGGTATTCTGAGTTGATGGGTGAGGGGGACCTTGGCTGGAGCTGATCTGCCTCTCATTGGCTCCTGTTCTCATCCATCTCAGTGGGTCTGGCATGCCATCTGGGTGGGATATCTAAGCTTTCTTCCCCTCTGCAGTTCCCTAAGCTTCTCTATCCTTAGCATGAGAGTGAAGATTATTTCTGACAAAGAAATAAAATCAGCTGCCAAGCCCCATCAGGCACCTGTGTTCTTTCCCTCCTTATTTCCAGCAAAACCATTCTCCTGTGCAGACAGCAAACATTTCGGCCTCATGATAAACCCCTGTCACTCTGACGCCCTGTGTCTCACTGTTGACATGATAACTGAGTATGTGAGACAGACAGTGTTTGTCTGATGCTGGAGGCTTTGTAGTTGAATCACAAGACTGAGATGAAGGAGGCAGGTTAGGGCTGGGAAAGCTGGGAAGCTGGGGCCTGGGATCTAGCCTCTTCTGCCCATCCGCTTACCAGGCTGATGCAGCAGCAACAAGCCGCCTTGGTCTAGGAGAACCCCATTCCATTGTTCAAAAAGTTTCTAGGTAAAAAGTTTCATCTCCGGGCCTAAGGGTTTTCAGTAAAACATCTGGTTCAACTCACTTGAACACACATTTCCTGAGATGATCCTACTTGGTGCCATGCAAAAGTGTTTGATGCTGAGAGGCTGCAAAGAGGAAGAAGAAGAAAAAGGAGAAAAAGAAAAAAAATTATAATGGCAGCTCCCCTTGAGCAAACATTATTTGCCAGGTTCTGTGGTTACTACTGCATACAAATTTGCCTTTAATCGTCTTGGTAATACTATGAGTACAGTATTAATAGTCCCATATTACAGATGAAGAAACTGAAGATCTGAGAGGGGGAAATAGTTTGCTAAGCTCCCGCCAGTGATGAGTAACAGATCTGGGACTCTTATTTAGGTTTTTTTGGTTCCAGCACTTCTACTGTTAACATTTATGT
The DNA here is from genome assembly GCF_000001405.40 of Homo sapiens. Taxonomy (NCBI): domain Eukaryota; kingdom Metazoa; phylum Chordata; class Mammalia; order Primates; family Hominidae; genus Homo; species Homo sapiens. The sequence continues at coordinate 119,573,459 of NC_000009.12, read as the reverse complement.
TCTATTTTCTCCAATGAGTCCAGCAGGCTGGAAAGTTATATATATGCCACCCTTATATATAGAGCCTATAATAAAACAAAGTCTTATTATAACCAAAAGGAAGAAGCACAATATATAGCATTGATAGGCTGGCTTTGAACTTCTTCCTTTCCTAATAGCTGTGTGAGACTACAAACTCCTCTGAACTTCAATATCCCCATTTATAGCATGGAATAATATCTCTGTTGTGGAATTATGGTGGGGATTGAAAACGATAATATATATAAGTGTACCTAGTTAACAAGTGTGCATCTTATTTCATGCTAAGCCCTTTGATGCAAACTCGTTTGATTCTAATAACCTTGAGCAAGATGCTATCATTATTATTCTTATTTTACAAGTTAGAAAACTGAGGCTTAAAGCGGACAAGTAGTTTGCCCAATGAAGTTAATAAATCGCTGTGTAGGAATTGAACTAAGTTCAGTCTGACTCCCAAAACCAATCCTAAGTAGACAAGTCAGGCTTCATTGGTAGATAGGATGGCTTAATATCTGTCTGAAGATTACTAAGGACTACAGAATATGCTCTTTCGCCGTTCCAGGCTGTCTTCTTTGACAGGAGAAATGATTGGGGAAGGTGTGTTATTTTGTTGACTTCATAAGAACATTTTATTATACATAGAAGATTGTTTGGAAATTGCTCCTAATATTCTCTTTTGAATTATTGATGTATATCAATTGCATACACATTGAAAGAAAATAGAGCCCTCTTTTTGGCATCCATGAATGTTTCCATAGCTTATGCTTCAGAGTAGAGCAGGTTCAATTACCAAAGATGTTTTTCTAAAAGAGGTAGATTAATACCAATTAACAGGTCGGGATAGGAGTTGAGACCTTAGCCAGTTCACCGAACGAGTTGTGATTCCATGTCATCTGACATATGCATAATTACACACACCAGGAAGCATCCACCAATGCACACATCACAATAAATGTGTGCTTAATTACAAGTCACCATGCATATATGCTTAATTACACATCCTGCTACCTGCAGGATTAATTACATGTCGTATTACATGCACACAATCAGAAGAGGTGACATTTGATGACATTAAAAGAGCTAGGAGAACATAAAGGAGCAATTTTTAAACAGTTGCATAATGTGTGTGCTTTTTTTTCTTTCCACAGAAGGCATCAGACATTAATTTCTAGTCAATCAATCAAGAAGCACTTATTGAACCAGCCCTGTCAATTTTACTTTTATAGTGTCTCTTGTATCGATCCTTTCCTTTCCATTTTCATGATCACTAATGTCATCTCTTGCCTGACAGACTAAGGTAATGGGAAGGACAATGCATTCAAATGTTCTCTCTCCTAACCCTGGGCCAGCACCTTGGTCCAAGGCACTATCGTTCGCACCTGCATTACTGCAGAGGTCCCTAACAGATCTGCTTGTTCCTCCTGGGTCTTAAACTCTCCACCCATCACTAGGCAATGTTTTGACAACTCAGCTTTAGTCATCTAAATCTTATCTAATGATAAGATTACCTTATCAATGATTTAACCTTTTGCTAGAACAAAGTCCAACATTCTGAAAATGAACTACAAGGCTTCATTTGTCTTGGCCCCTGCCCACCCAGCCCACCTCCCCAAGCCTTTTGTCATTCTCATCCTCCATCTCTAAGTCTCAGCGACCGTGCTTTCTTCCCATCCTTCCAGCAGACCATAACTCCTCCTACCTCAGGATCACTTCATACATATTGATCCTTCTGTCCAAAAAAAGTCCTCTTTTCACTCTATTTATCTAATTAAATCCTGCCTAACCCTCAGATCTCAGTTCAAATATACCTTTCCCAAAAAAGGTTTCACTAGTGCTTCAGATCAAGTTAGTTCCTGCTTTTACACCCTGTACTTTACCTTCCTAAGAAATTATCACAATATACTGTTTAAAATTATCTATGCAGTGGTTTTTATTAATGTCTGCCTCAGTCATTTTAAGTTCCAGGAGGACAATGATTGGGTATACTTTATTTTCCAATATGCTCTTATTTCTTAGTAAAGTGCCTGCTACATAGTAACCTTATATATAGTAGGGTTGTCAGATTTAGTAAATAAAAATACAGGATGATCAACTGAATATGAATTTCAGATAAACAACAACAATTAAATTTTAATATAAGTATGTCCCATGCAATATTTAGAACATACTTGCACCAAAATTTATTTATTGTTTATCTGAAATTCAAATTTAATTGAATGTCCTATAGTTTATCTAATAATTCTGCCTTTAGGCTCTTAATATTTAATGGTTAAATGAATAAATGCATGAATAAATAAATTAATGGTTAAATGAAGGTTCAGGAGATCTTGGTTCTCATTCAGTTCTGGTTTGTTTGATCCTCATCAGCCACTTCACTTATCTCGACATAGACAATGAGGGTCAACGATGTATGCCTAAGACTCCTATAATGCTGACATGAAGTGATGGGAAACTATGTCAAAAGACAACTTATGACCCGGGAGGCGGAGCTTGCAGTGAGCCGAGATCGCGCCACTGCACTCCAGCCTGGGCGAGAGATCCAGACTCCGTCTCAAAAAAAAAAAAAAAAAAAAAAAAAAAGACAATTAATGATCCTGTCTTCCATTGTCATCTCCAGGCCAGCCCTTTGTTTCCAGAATTATCTGACTGGCTAAATTATTCCATTCTCCTTGTCCAAATTCTAATTATCTCTCTCTCATGGCCATAAACAGAACTTAAGGATACCCTTTTTTTGCATGTTCTTCTGGGTCCTTTGTAATCTGAGACTGTTGCATTTTGGATCTAACAGGCAGGACTGGGGCTGATATTTAATATTAAAATTTTTAAAAATCAAAATCAATGCAAAAAGTCCATGATGAACAAAATGCCAAAAGTTTAAATAAAACAGAATCAGTATTACTGATTTTTCTTTTTGCCTCAGGCTTCAATATGCTTTGGCACAGCAATTTTTATTTAAACTTCTGATATTTGGCCCATCATGGGTTTACTCGCATTGACTGTGATTTCTTAAAATATTGAATTAGTGTATTATGTATCTTGATTACTGGGTATTTTGGCATCCCCTTCCATTTTGCTCCCAATGCAAGTGTCTCACTCACCCCACCCTAGTCCCAGCATCAGAGGAGCCAGCTTTTCAAAAAAATTTTATTTTATTTTATTTTAAGTTCCAGGATACATGTGCTGGACATGCAGGTTGGTTACATAGGTAAATGTGTGCCATGGATGTTTGCTGCACCTATCAACCTATCACCTAGGTATTAAGCCCTGCATACAGCATGCCTTAGCTATTTATCCTGATGCTCTCCCTCCCCCGCCTCTCCAACAGGCTCCAGTGTGTGTTCTTCCCCTCCCTGTGTCCATGGGTTGTTATTGTTCAGCTCCCACATATACACCATGGAATACCATGCAGCCATTAAAAGGAACAAGACCATGTCCTTTTCAGGGACATGGATGGAGCCGGAAGTGATTATCCTCAGCAAACTAACACAGGAACAGAAAACCAAACACCACATGTTCTCACTTATAAATGGGAGCCAGCCTTTAGAAGGGAAGATACAGTGGAGAGAGAGCCATGAGTCAGATATACAGGGTCCAAAGTGCCATGCTGAGGGTTCAGAGTTTATCCAGTGGACAAAGAGGAATGGAGAGGTTTTGAGCAAGACAGGAACAGATTGTGCCTTGAGTGTTAGAGAGCATTACGCTGGCTACTGGCAGTGCTATAGAGAACTGGTTGGAAGGACTGTGACTGAGGCAAGAAGACCATGGAGGGAGACTAGTGTAGTGAGCAGGGAGATAGAAACCACAGCCAGTGCGATGGAAATGGACTGACTTCACGTGCTTGGAGGGAGTAGCTTTTCCTTTACCTCTACTTCTTGGCTCTTCTCTGCTATCTCTTCTCTATTGAGCTTAGTGTGTCTTGTAGGAAAAGAGCAGGGAGGAAGAGAGAACAGGCGGCTGGCTTGTTAGCTTCAGTAACTAGGATTCTGACTACATGGATGCTCCCTGATTTATTTGCAGACCTTCTGGGCATTTTCCCAACCCCTACATAAATTAGTTCTCCAGAGACCAATACATCGAATATCATACTCATTGTTCCCTGCATATATGTTCCCAGAGGTGGGCCAACAAATTCACTTTCTGAAATGATCTGGAAAAGGACTGTGTTATTGACACTGTCTCCTGTCATATTTGTATTTCAAAAAGCTATGTGCTCAGGAATCCATCATTTCAATTAAAACTCATCTAGGCCTCCTATGAAAGAGAAATATCAATATTGCAGAGTCCCCAACCCAGGAGGATTCACGTTTGGCTTTCAGCTTGAAACCATCATGGACTTGCTGTGTGGGCTTGAAAACATTGCATGGGTTTTCTGTGCTTCAAGCTTACCATTGGGAGGGAGCTTGCGGTAGACAAATGGGCCTGAGCTATGGGATTTAAAGCATGATCTTGCTATTCACCAGTGGTGTGACCTTGGGCAAGTTGTTTAGCTGTTCTGAACTACATAAGCCTTCTCTTCCTGTCAAAGAAGGAGAATGATGATGCCCTTCCTTGTAGGGTGGTGATGAGGATAGAAGGCATTAATACCTGGCAAGTGCTTAAAACTTAGCAGGTATTCAATGCATGTTACCTCTCCCCTCTCTGCTATGGTTAATAGAATTGGGTAATATTTTTAAAAAGTGCCAAAAAGAGTGAAATGTCATTTTTTTTTCAGCTGGTAAAAACTAAGTGAAATTGCGTGCCAATATATACTGATACAATGAATAATTTTGGAGTAATTTTACAGTTTTGTATACAGAATGCCAAAATTCAGTATGACAGTGCATTTCAGTGAGGTGGAGTCATTCAAGCTACTTGTAGTGCCATATAGGAAAATGTTTGTGTTTGTCTTAGTAATGTTTTGTAATGGTGTAGTTAAAAATAATAGTTTTTGTCCAGGCGCGGTGGCTCATGCCTAAAATTCCAGCACTTCGGGAGGCCGAGGCAGACAGATCGCCTGAGCTCAGGAGTTCGAGACCACCGTGGGCAATGTGGTGAAACCTCATCTCTACTAAAATACAAAAAAATTAGCCGGGTGTGGTGGCACATGCCTGTAGTCCCAGCTAATTGGGAGGCTGAGGCAGGAAAATCACTTGAGCCTGGGAGATGGAGATTGCAGTGAGCTGAGATCACACAACTGCACTCCAGCTTGGGCTATAGAGTGAGACTTGGTCTCAAAAATAAATAAGTAAATAAATAAAAATAATATAGTTTGCCATCAATGATCTCTTTTGATAATTTCAGAGATGTGGTGTTCAACCATTGTGTATTATGGTCCTAAATTTAGATTCCAAGAATAGGTATACATATTAAGCCATTGTTATTTCTTGGTTATTCAACCTCATTATCCCTTTAATGTTTGTTTGTTTATTTATTTATTTATTTATTTATTTATTTATGTTTAATTTTTTTTTGATTCGGTGTCTCGCTGTGTCGCCAGGCTGCTGGAGTGCAGTGGTGCGATCCTGACTCATTGCAATCTCTGCCTCTTGGGTTCAAGCGATTCTCCTGCTTCAGCCTCCCGAGTAGCTGGGACTATAGACGTGCATCACCACGCCCAGCTAATTTTTGTATTTTTAGTAGAGACGAGGTTTCACCATGTTGGCCAGGATGGTCTCGTTTTTAAGTTGGGTCTCAAGTCAAAATAAATGCAGTACCAAACCATAGTGCATACAACATTTAGCCGGAGGATTATTCTATGGAGGATGCCATAGAATCATTTTTAGATATAGATTAAACAAATGAATGAAATCACCTATCTTATTAGAAATACACTTTTCCATAGCAAAGTGATGTTCTCAAGACTCCTGGATTCTGTAAAAAGTTTGTCAGTTTATCCGAAGTACCAAGCAAGATCTTCAGTCAAGACCACTTTCCACTATTCTCTCAAATTTTTGAACTTAACGTGGTCTCTGTGTATTTTCTTCAAACATATTTAAATTTGAATCTCACTTCATATCCTTTGGAAGATGGTTGAAATGCTTCCTTTCTTTCCCCTCCCCTTAGTTCTGCTATTAGCTGGCATGTGCTGTGTGAATGCAAATTCATTTTTACATCAGCGAAAGCAAAATTGAATAAGGAAGGCCATCTGATATGTAGTAAATCAAACAAAACCACAGTGAATTTCAAAGCCAAGTATAAATTTTAAGACATAGCATGATGTGTAGGAAAGAGCAATGAGCTCAAATCAGGCACTTTGGAGTCTAGTTTAGACTCAGCTACTGACTCACTACATGACCTTGGGAAAGTCACTTTGTTCCCTTAGGGTTCTGTTTTTTCTTTGATAAAATTATAGTGCTAGATAATCAGAAATTAATCACTAATTCAGTAAACATAATTCTCATTGGTGAGCCTAAAAAATTAATCCTCAACCTCATCAAGTGTTATAAAGTAATTCTGCAGTTTATCAAGATAAGTTACTTGTTAAAGCAACCTAATTTTCTGTTATGGGTATATCAGATAGAAGAATCTCAGGTATGATATGTTTCAGTTTCAGCAAATGACATGATCAAGTTTTTCCTTATACCATTCTGGCCAAGTTGGAAACACATAGACTAGATCAGTGGTAAGTGTGTGCTCTTGAGAGACAACCAGAATTTCCAGGAAGTTATTTAAACATATGTATTTCTCAGAAATCGTGACTGAGATGGTCCTGGGTAGTACCTGATAATCACAACAATTTCCAGCTGATTCTGAAGATCATCTTGTTTTGGAAACCAGCGGGCTAGAATAACCAGGTGGATCAGCCAGTGGTTGAATTATCAGGGTTACTTACCTGGGTAAGATGCAGGTTTGTGTCCTTGGACTGGTGTTTGTCAACACATCTGCATGATTTGGCTGAAGATATAGAAGGGGTGCTGATCAGATATATAGGTATTGCAGACACATTGGAAGACAAAATAAAAGCTCAAAATTATCTTTTTTTTTTTTTATTTTGAGATGGAGTCATGCTCTGTTGCCCAGGCTGGAGTGCAGTGGCGCAATCTCAGCTCACTGCAAGCTCCACCTCCCAGGTTCACGCCATTCATCTGCCTCAGCCTCCCAAGTAGCTGGGACTACAGGTGCCCACCACCAAGCCTGGTTAACTTTTTGTATTTTTTTAGTAGAGACAGGGTTTCACTGTGTTAGCCAGGATGGTCTCAATCTCCTGACTTCATAATCCACCCGCCTCAGCCTCCCAAAGTGCTGGGATTACAGGCGTGAGCCACCGTGCCTGGCCAAAATTATCTTAATGGGTGGAAACATCAGGAGAAACAACCACAGTGAAATTTAAAGGGGTACATTAACTCTTGCACTTTATTTATATTTAAAAACAATTAAAAATGTAGTACCAGATGAGGTAAATCTAACCTGAGAGCCATTCATGTGGCACAGACATTGAGGGTTTAGGGAACTAGAGGACAGCGTCTTTTTGAGAATAAAATGAATTTTATATAAAAACACTTTGTATAAACTGTTAAACATAATACAGTTATTGTAAAATGAGAATGATGCTACAACTGATCTCAAGCAGAGGCAGAACAGAATAGTAGTTCAAAGTCTGAGAGTCCCAGATTCCAATCCTGACATTACAATAGATAGTTGTGTGATCTTGAGCAAATTATTTAATCATTTCATGCCTTGGCTTCCGCATATGGGGATAATACTCTCCTTATAGGTTTGTATTAATGATGAAAACATTTAGCATATGTCTGGCACATGGTGATATGCAGTGAAAGGCATCTATTGTTTGAAGTATCATTATATAGTATCCAGAATAAAGGAACTAGGTCAGTTATATTCTGTAATTTCCATGTGACACCTGAAGAATTGTCTCTGGTTCTGGGCACCATACTTTAGGAGACTTGTAGACCAAAGGGAATGTGTTCAAAGGTATATAGTGGCATGTAGGACCAGGAGGGTGAGTGACTTTGAAGTACAGTTAAATGCATTTGAAGAAACTGAGAGCATTTTCTCTTGAGAAGAGAAGCTGAAAGAGAACATCAAAGGAACTGAAAGGCAAATACAATAAAGCTGTTTTGTCTTGACTGCACAAGGCAAAGCTCCATTTACGGGTGGGCAGAGAGGTTGAGAGAGTATGTCTTAAAAGCTATTTTTTATTATTAGAGGGGTATGAGTTTCGTAGGGAAGGAGGTAGTTTCTTACCCCTCCCTATGCTCAAGCCCCATGGTTGGGGTCTTTGTCGAGGGGACTGCTTTCTAAGTTGAGAAGTTACTTGGACTAATGACCTCTAAGGTCTTTTTGAATGTTATGGGATTACGTGGAGGGAGGGGTGGTGCCATTCCCAAAGCTGTCCTGAAGACCTTCATGTGCTGGGTGATGGGCGGGGTTAATGATGACTAGCTGCTCCAAAGATGGAAAGTGATTTGTGTTCCCATTGAGTTTAATGCATCTGTCTTTTCACCCCAGGCATCAGCCAAGTGCCAACATATTGGGCCCATTCATCTTTTCTGCATGACAGAATTGAGGTGGGGTGGCATTTGGCTAATGAACCTCTTCGGAAAAGCATACTTCTCCAAATTAGGTTCTAATTGGTTTGGGAAGCAGCAATTGCCTGTGACCTGTTAATATTTCGGAAGTTTCATCCACCTGAGTGATGTGAGACCTGGCAGCCTTGCAAAGGGCTAGAATGCTAGGCTCCCAGGCTGACACCCCCATTGCCCAGCCTTCCTCTCTTTCCATATCCCTTCAATGAATCTGAGTTTGAGCCTTGGTCTGTTCTGGACTAAGTCAGAACTGGCTTAACAAAATTGAACAGCGATGAAATCTTTTTTGTTTGTTTGTTTTGAGACGGAGTCTTGCTCTGTCACCAGGCTGGAGTGCAGTGGTGCGATCTCGGCTTACTAGAATCTCCACCTCCCAGCTTCAAGCGATTCTCCTGCCTCAGCCTCCCAAGTAGCTGGGATTACAGGTGTGCACCACCACAACTGGCTAATTTTTGTATTTTTCGTAGAGACAGGGTTTCACCACGTTGGCCAGGCTGCTCTTGATCTTCTGACCTCAGGTGATCTGCCCGCCTCGGCCTCCCAAAGTGCTGGGGTTACAGGCGTAAGCCACCACGCCTGGCCCCACTGATGGAATTTTAATGTCTGAGGATCCTACAACCAAGTGGGATTAGAGTTATGTAGCCACAACACTTGGATTTGCAAGATTGAAATAGACCTAGGAAAATCACATAGTCCCACTCCTCACTTAATTAATTAATTCACCTGGCAATATCCCTATGCATAACCTTGAGCTTCTCTTTAAAAATCCCTCAAATTGGGCAACTCACCACCATTAGATATTCCATTCTATTTTTATACAACTTTGAGAGGTATAAAAGTCTTATTGAGGCCAACTAGTATAATTTGCCTAGTATCATTGGGGAATTACACTAATGAGGATGTTCATAATAGTCTACGTTTACTGAACACTGACTACCAATTAAACACTCTAGTAAGTACATTTTCTGGCTTAATTCTGATTATTGTGCTTTAGGATACATATTATGCGTCCTATTTTATGGATTAGGAAACTGAGGTTCCCGTGATTTGCCCAAGGATTGGAGGTGAGTTTGAAACCTAGATTCATATGATTGAAAAAGCACATTCTCTTAACTTCTTCCCTATACTGCATATATGCATGTACGTGGGTCCTTTCCAGAGTGGGACCTCCTTAGATCTGCACTTTATCTCAAACTTTAGATCTGCATTCCATCTCAAACCTGTCCTCAGGCTTAGCTCAAATCTATCCTCACGTTTGCCTTCAGTTTATACAGTTGTCACTGCCCCAGAGCAGAGATTTTCAAAATATGCTCAGGGAAGCTTTGCACTTTGAGTAGAGGGGTCCCAGGGGCTACTATGGGGACTGAGGGGAGCTGGGCTGGTAAAGCCTGAAAACCCCATCATCAGCCAGAGTAGTTTTCTTTCTGTTATTATTATTATTATTTTTTTAAACATACTGGACTTTTGCAAAAGCTCTCAATTGGAGAAAAGATTCCATGGCTCATAAAAGTTTGAAAACTATTGCACTGGATTAGAATATCGAGATAAAATCTAAATATGAATGGGTTTTCTGATATAATAGATCAGTCTAATGTAATACCAGCCCCTCCCAAGTCCAACTTTGAAAGCATTAATGAAAAATATTGATATAATAAAGGAGGAACTTACATGTCTGTCATGCAGCAAAGTGTCCTGAGCATTTCCTCTACTTGTCCTGGTTCTTTGTCCAATGTTTCATTCCTTGTTGCAGCTGCCATCTCTCTTTCTCTTTCTCTCTCTCTCTCTTTTTTTTTTTTTTTTTTTTTTTTTTGGTATGGAGTCTTGCTCTATCACTCAGGCTGGAGTGCAGTGGTGCGATCTTAATTCACTGCAACCTCCACCTCCCAGGTTCAAGTGATTCTCCCACCTCAGCCTCCAGAGTAGCTGGGATTACAGGTGTGCCACCACGCCTGGCTAATTCTTGTGGTTTTCATAGAGGTGGGGTTTCTCCACATTGGCCAGGCTCATCTCGAACTCCTGAGCTCAGGTGATCCACCTGCCTCAGCCTCCCAAAGTGCTGGGATTACAGGCATGAGCCACCGCGCCTGGCCTCTTTCTTTCTTTAAAACATAAAAACATACACTCACACTTTGAAACACAGCTATCCTCTCAGTCTGTCTCTGTTCCTCTTACCTGCATCTAAACCTTTGCTTCTTCCCTACTCCCCACCACTCCCCTTTGTTCCCATCCTTAGAAGCTTGCTGTCTGTATTAATCATGCTTTTTTATTTACTGTATTTTTGATGTTTTGACATCTTGGGGCCTTGCTGATCCTGAAGGGACTGCCCCTCCCAGGGCTAGCAGGGCTTCTTGAACTTCACCCTCTGCCTTTCTTCTTAGACAGAGCTTACACATATCCTTTCTTTTGCCTGAGCTGCTTCAGTTGTTCCAAGAAATGATCCCAAGGCCAGTGCTTCTGCTGTGTCCTTCATCTGCACTCCTCACACGTCCCCTACCACAGGCTGAGCTCACTGGCTTACAAGTTCCTGGTTTCTCTTTAACTCCTGTACCTGGCTGGGGACTCCATGAGGCTGGGATCAGCATAGCACCTGGCTTACAGTAAGCTCTCAACAAATACTTCTTGATGGAGTGAATGAGCGAATGAATCTGATTTGTGTTTTCTCCTTTTTTCCCTTGCTTTCCTGGGAGCCATCAGATCATCACACACACACACACACACACACACACACACACACACGTACACACAGACATACACACATGCACCCAGACACATTCACACATATACACTTGCTCTCACACACATGCACACACACACACACACACACATACACACAAACTGCTCTTTACCTTGAAATGATGTTTCTGTTTATCTGTGGACAAAAATACACTGAACTATGCAGAAACAAAAATCAATTTCCTTATAATAATTTGTAGGCAGTATGTCTTGAATTCAGTAGTGAAGAAGGAAACTTTTTGAAATTTTTTTTTATTGTACTTTAAGTTCTAGGGTACATGTGCACAATGTGCAGGTTTGTTACATATGTATACCTGTGCCATGTTGATGTGCTGCACCCATTAACTCGTCATTTACATTAGGTATATCTCCTAATGCTATCCCTCCCCCTTCCCCACACCCCGCAACAGGCCCTGGTGTGTGATGTTCCCCTTCCTGTGTCCAACTGTTCTCATTGTTCAATTCCCACCTGTGAGTGAGAACATGTGGTGTTTGTTTTTTTGTCCTTGCGATAGTTTGCTGAGAATGATGGTTTCCAGCTTCATCCATGTCCCTACAAAGGACATGAACTCATCCTTTTTTTTATGGCTGCATAGTATTTCCTGGTGTATATGTGCCACATTTTCTTAATCCAGTCTATCATTGATGGACATTTGGGTTGGTTCCAAGTCTTTGCTATTGTGAATAGTGCTGCAATAAACATATGTGTGCATGTATCTTTATAGCAGCATGATTTATAATCCTTTGGGTATATACCCAGTAATGGGATTGCTGGGTCAAATGGTATTTCTAGTTCTAGATCCTGGAGGAATCGCCACACTGTTTTCCACAGTGGTTGAACTAGTTTACAGTCCCACCAACAGTGTAAAAGTGTTCCTATTTCTCCACATCCTCTCCAGCACCTGTTGTTTCCTGACTTTTTAATGATCACCATTCTAACTGGTGTGAGATGGTATCTCATTGTGGTTTTGATTTGCATTTCTCTGATGGCCAGTGATGATGAGCATTTTTTCATGTGTCTTTTGGCTGCATAAATGTCTTCTTTTGAGAAGTGTCTGTTCATATCCTTCACCCACTTTCTGATGGGGTTGTTTGTTTTTTTCTCATAAATTTGTTTGAGTTCTTTGTAGATTCTGGATATTAGCCCTTTGTCAGATGAGTAGATTGAAAAATTTTCTCCCATTCTGTAGAAGGAAATTTTTTTAATAACACAGGAAAGATATCTGAAAATATTAATTTGGGTTCAGGGAAACAGAAGAGAGAGAGGCCCCAAAAAAAAAAAAAAAAGATGAGGGAGGAATGAGTGAGTAAAAAAAAATTGAAACAAGAGAGGAAGAAAGGAACAGTGGAGAGAAAAAAAGGAAAGGAGGAAGGAAGGAAAAAAAAGGTTTATTGATTTGCTCCTGTCAAGACAGATTACTTGTTTGGTGGGCTCTGGGAGAGTGGGCTATGGGACCTCATTCCCTCAACCAGAACATACTCCCCTAAAAACACTATCTCTCCTTAGCCACACAATTCTTGAACCACTGTCAGCATCTAGGGATAAGGCTTTTCAAATGGCCCCTCTATTTGCATTTGGGTGCACATTGCTGGAAAGACTTGAAGAGGTGGAAGGTGCTGCTCTAGCACCTTCTGGAGCTGTCCAGAAGAGAACCCATGTCTGTGCTGTGCCCTCACCTCATGCTTTTTTCTCAGGCTCAAGGATGGGTGCAGTTCTCCATGCCCCTGTTGCTTTCCACATCTTTCTCACAGTCTAAAGAATCATGACAGATATGTGCAAGCTCTGAATTAAAATGACTGGTGTGACCTATGTAAGCTCCATGAAGCAGATGGCATTTGAACAATAGGTAGGGTTTGGCATGCCAAATTGGAGGGTTGGGGAGCTATTCCATTCTGGAGAATCGTAAGACATTCCAAGCCCTTCTTTCTCCCTCTCCAGCTCATACATCCAGAGACTTCTCCACCAGACCTGCCCCTGGCTTCCTGCTGAGCCACCAGTAATTGCTACCTCAATAAAGATGTTACTGGCTCCAGTTTAGAAAGGATAAGGAGATCTGGGACTCTCAGCCTGTCTGCCTAGTTGAACAGAGGCGTCACTCCTTGTCTTTTTCCGACCCTTGTTTATCTCTTCCTTCCCTTGGCCCTTGCTTCATTTTGTTGTAATTTCAGCCACGGGGGAGGGAAACGAAAGTCAGATGTGGAGATATCATTGGGAACAAATGGCATTTGCTGTTAATGTGGGGGTAAATGGCCTCCACTCTGACTTGTGATATTTTAACTCTCTTAAGGAAGAAAGTGACACTGCAGTTCTCTTGTGCTGCCTGGCCCAAAGGCAGGGGAACATTATTCATCTGGATCATTAACCCTAAAATATGATTTTACCCACAGCAGCATTCCATGGAGGGCAGCTACTGTGGGAAAATTGTGACACCAGGCAGAGCTCAGGCAGGGCTGAGCATCAGAACCTCAGTTTCTTTGTACATCCACTGCTCACAAGCTGTGTGACCCTGGGTTAATTTTCCAGGACCTCAGTTTTCTCATCTGTAAAATGAAGATAGCAGCCTATACCTTGCCTACTTTGAATCGTGATGGTGAGGATATCCTGAGATAGTGTCAAAGCCTTAAGGGGGCTAAAACACCGTATAATTGTTTGTTACAATTACGGATTTTTTGGGTTGGTTGCCAGCACATTGCTAACTCTGCACGTTTTTAAAAACCCTTTCCAGTACCCAGTACACAACATTCTTCCATCTCTAGCTCTCCCTGGATCAAATCCTCTTCTCAGAAAAGTTTCTGGTTATCAACCATTTATGGGTAACATTATTCCTTCTTCCTGTCCCTGGTTTCTCTAGCTCCAAACCATTCTCCACCATGCCAGCAGAATTATCTCTGAAACAGACACACCATCCTACTCACAACCCCCTTTCCCTGTGGCTCCAGCTGCCCATGAGTTTATCTGATGCATTCAAGCAAAATTTAGCCATCTCCTACTATGCCTGCCAGGCACTGTTGTAGGTGATGGAACTGTAGCAGTAAATAAAACAGGGAAGGCCTCTGCCCTCCTGAGGTTTGCATTCAAGAAGAAGACAGAAAAAATAAACAGGTAGATAGACAAAGAAGATGCCTTTAGATAGTGATACACTGGATGAAGATAGTAAAGCAAGGAGAAAGAGAAGAGTGATAGGTAAGTGGGAAGTCTTGTGTGTTTGAACTCTATTCTAATAAGAGAAGCAGCAGACATGTGTAGCCCCGGGATGAGAGGGTTAATGGGAAAAAATCTGCAGTCACAGAAGCTTGGTTACAGGATAGGCCTGGCAGAGCCGAAGGATAGCAAGGAATTGTGATGTGAGCAAAGGGAGAGTGGCAAGAGGCATGGTGAATGGGAAAGCTAGGACCCTGGAGACTATAATAAGATTCTCAACTGTGTCCTACCTGCAAAGGGAAGCTTTTGCCAGATGTGAGGCAGGAAAATGACATGATCAGATTTACCTTTTAAAAAGATCACTCTGGCTGTACTGTGGAGAATGGAATTTTTGTGGCTGAAATTCCAAAACTGTCTCGGAAACCTTCACCAGTTGGGTCCAACTTCCATTTTCAGCTGTATCTCCTATCACAAGCACACACATCCTGCACTCTTGGCATGTTAGACTCAATATTGTTTTCTACATGCCATGTTCCTTCACACTTTTTAATTCAACTATTGCTATCTTCTCTTCTGGTAATGCCCTCCTGCTTCCCCAGATGCTGTCACATCATGCATCTGACGACCCATGCTGCATGCTTGGATGTGGGGCCAGAACTGGGGCATTCTTGAGAGCTTGAAACAGATCAGGAAGATAAGCAAGCAGTAGACATTTAGTGTGCTCCTATTATGTGCCTGGCACTGTGCTGGGCCCCTAGGATACAGGTGGAATGAGGCAGACCCAGTCCCTGCCTTCGTGGAGTTTATAATCCAAAGGGTGGGGACGTGTAAAAAGGAAATATGAAATAAATTAGGGATTCTATGCCTTGAAAGAAAATCAGGAGCTAGAAGTACTCATCTTGGAAGCACAAAATCATAGATTTGTGGTCTCATGGAATCTTAAGCTTATAGAATCAAATCATCCCAGGAGAAAAAAATACTAGGAATTAGAAATGAATATTTATCAAGTCTCTGGAGGATGGGGTGGCTGTATAAGCTTAGAAGTGATAGAAGAAATCACAAAGGAAAATACATAAAGCAAACTGGAAAAATACCCACAGCCAATATGACAAAGGATTACTATCTTTATTATGTAAAGAGCGCATGCAAATCAATTAAATTCACTAAGACCCAGTAGATAAGTGAGCAGAGGGCAAGAACAGACAATTCTCAAAAGAGGAAATACATGCAACTGGTTAACAAACACAAGAAAAAAAAACGTTCACTCTCTCTAATAATCAAAGAAAGGCTTATTAAAACCATGAGATAACATTTTTTGCCTATTGAATTAGCAAAGTTTAAACAAAAACAAGAGGATGTCAATGCTTTTGAGAATGGGATGATATAAAGAATCTCACGCATTGCTGGTAGACATGTCAACTAGGGCGACCGTTCTGGAAAACAATTTGGCAATATGCATGAAGACTCTTAAAATAAGATATAATTTTAGTAATTTAATTTCTGGGATTTTTTTTCTAAAGAAAAAAATCCAAAAATAGAAAAAAGATACATGCATGAAGATTTTTTTTTTTTTTTGTGGAGTATTATTTATAGTAGCTAACGCAGGGTGTGGGGTGGACATGGGGAGGCGCGCAAGAAAAAGCGAACTGAGGGGTACAGTTATCCATTTAAGGAAACATTTCATGGCCATTTAAAAACATGTTTGTGAAATTCTTATGCTCTGTACTAAAGTTAAGTGAAGAAGGAGGACAGAAAAAGAAATTGCATATTCAGTACGATCGTGTTCACAGGGAGACGATCATACACGCGCTGACTTAAAGATTTCCAGGTTGTCAGATAGATAAGAACATCCATAGAGCTGTTGCATGAAATGGTTTGGGGCCAGGGACTTGGACTGGGCCATCTTGCTGGTTCCTCCCCTAAGGTTAGAGATTTGGTGAAGAAATAAGAAGCAGTCCCAGGCTTCCTTGGAGAACTTAATGCTTTAAAGCTGTATAATTTTAAGAAACCTGACGGGCTTGACTCCTCCATTTTACAAATGAGGAAACTGAGAACCAAAATGGTTTGGTAACTTGTTCGAGGTGGCACAGATTTGGGGCAAAGCTGGGACTGGAATTTAGACCTTCTGAATTCAAACCAGTGCAGCCTCCAGTCTCAATGTGCCTATGCCTGAGTGGGTAAACATTTGCATTTATTTGGTGGCGGTGGCGGGGGGACAGGGGGCATTTGTGCTACATCTATACACTTGTGCCTGTGGATGTACACAGCCTGCATGTGTATTCAGCTGACAAGTAACCAACCATCGCGATTTGCTTGAGATTGTCCGGATTTTATCAGTCAGGCTGGGACTGTTGCTCACTCTGAATGTGTGTGTGTTTCACCCTGTTTCGTGAGCACGCGCTTTGGGGACATCCTGTGCATCTCTTGATATGTCTGGGTTTGTTTTTCTGCTCCAAAGAGGCTGCCCTTTGGCTCCAGCCAGTCCGTCTGCTCCACAACATCTCCCTCCGTCCCTGGGCCAGGCTTTTCCTGTTTTGCTGGCTGGAGGAAGAGAAGCTCGCGGGAAGCCCCAGGGTCTGGTTCCCATAGGCCGGTGTTCCTTTGCAGGCAGCCACCACGGCACCATCCAGCCGGCTTTTTGGAAGCAGGTCAACGTCCCTCCCAGCAGATCACCCAGCCTAGCTCAACCCAGAAGTAGATGTGTTTTCTTTCACCACGCGCTCGCCTCTTGCATCTCGCGGCTTAATTGGCACTAATGGGGGTGGAGGCCGCCTTTGGACGGCTTCCCGCAGCTGCCCTCTGCTGGTCGGTAGCCGCATTGGCGGCTGGAGCCTGGGGACCTGGAACTGTGGTTTCCGCCTCAGAGCCTGTGGGCCTGGAGACGCGTGTTGGCCACAGCCGCCCTGAGACTTTGGGAGGGTTATGATAAAAGACCTTATTACCAGTCCAGGCACACCTAACAGCCCCAATGTCTCCCTCCTTGAATAAACAGATACAAAAATGCCCTCATTGTGTCTGCTGGAAAAGCAGGGGTTATTCAATAATTAGCCTGTGTGAGCTGGGTGTGGTGGCAGGTGCCTGTAATCCCAGCTACTCTGAAGGCTGAAGTGGGAAGATCACAGGAGACCAAGAGTTCAAGTCCAGCTTGGGCAACATAGCAAGACCTCGTCTTTAAAAAATAAATAAAATAAAATTAGCCTTTCACTTCTTTGGGCTGCAACTTTATCATCCGTAAAATGGGCAGTGCAATGGCATCTATCCCATTAGGTCCTTAACCAGGAGTGGTGGTGTACACCTGTAATTCCAGAAGTTTGGGAGGCCAAGGCAGGCAGGTCACCTGAGGTCAGGAGTTTGAGACCAGCCTGGCCAGCATGGTGAAACCCTGTCTCTACTAAAAATACAAAGATTAGCTGGGTGTGGTGGTGGGCACCTGTAATCTTAGCTACTTGGGAGGCTGAGGCAGGAGAATTGCTTGAACCTGGGAGGCGGAGGTGGCAGTGAGCCGAGATTGTGCCATTGCACTCCAGCCTGGGCCACAGAGGGAGATGCCATCTCAAAAAAAAAAAAAAAAAAAAGAAAGAAAAGAAAAGAAAAGAAAAAACCAAAACGACAACAACAACAAAAAACATTAACCTGTAGTCCCAGGTGGTGTACCTGTAGTCTTGGGAGGCTGAGGTGGGAGGATTGCTTAAGTCCAGGAGGCCAAGGCTGCAGTGAGCTGTGATCATGTCACTGCACTTCAGCCTGGGTGACAGAGTGAGACCCTCTCTCAGACAAAAAAAGAAAGAAGGAAAGAAAGGAAGAGAGAAAGAGAGAGAGAGAAAGAAAAGAAAAGAAAAGAGAAACACATTAGGTCCTTGCGAGGCTTAGTGCAGAATGTCTGTAAGGAACCTCACCCTCACCTCACCTGCCACACAAGGAATACCAAAAAAAGGTGTCTGTTATTATCAACAATGATGCTGTTCTCATTGCAGTGGGAGCCAGTGATGACACGAGCGGGTCTTTTCTATAGCATCATGGTGGAAGGCCACGTGGAGGAAATGCTTTCCAAGCTGGCTTCTGCTGGATTGCTAGGATTTAACAAATATTTGTGTACTATTGCAATGTGCCAACTATTGTCCAAGAAATTATAGGGGTATAGAAGTGAATAATTTGCTGTTCCCAAGTCAGAATAACTGCACTAAACTTGAAATAATGTAAAGAACTTTTATATTCAACTGAAGCATATTTTTAAAATAATGATAACCGTCTCATGTTTGTCCAGTGTGTTTCAGGTCTGAGTCCTGTTCCAGGCTCCTCAGAGAGATAATGGATGTGAGCACTATAGAAAATAGACAGCTTTCTGCAAAATTAAGGTGATTCATATTGAGGGGTGAAGTTTGTCTATATCCCTCATTGACTAAACAAATCGTTTGTGCCTGTTAGATTGATAAAGACGATCACAGAGCCATAGCACTGTGGGCCTTCAGAGCTAGAAGATACTTTATCTGCTTCTATTTCCATTCATTGCTGTCTGCAGAATACCTGTCAGGTGGGAATCTATGCTCTGTTTGAATGCTTCTGGGGATGGGGCACTCACTTCTACCCTAAGTAGAGGTCTATCTGTCTTTACATAAGCAGATACATTGAGTGTTCTGTTTTCTCTCTTACTGGCTAAATCCAGACAAGTTATGTTAATTTTGCCCCTAAATATCTCTCAGCATCCTCATCAGTACTGCCTCTGTACAAATATCACTTCCATTGCAATTATAGTCATTTTCTAATTAGACTGCTAGCTTAAGCTTGCCCCTCCCTCTTCACCCCAATCCACTCTCTATGTTACTTTGCCACATGCGAATCTGATCTTGAAGTTCCGTTTAAACCCTTTGCCTTTCCCCTGCCTAGAGAAGCTCATCCTCCTTAGCAAGGCCTATGCTGTCTTTAACAGCCCAGCTCCTAGTTGCTTTCTGCAGCAGGGGTTAGCAGACTGTGTCTCATGGACCAAATAAAACCCACAACCTATATGTTCCATGAACAAAAAACATGGTTTTGACATTTTTAAACATAAAGTGCTAAACAAACCATTATACTTTTGGAGAGAATAGTTGCTTAAAAAGTTAAGGACGCTGGCCCTTGGCCCACAAAACCTAAAATATTTACTATCTGACTCTCTATTGAAAAAGTTTGGTGATACCTGGAGAATCAGCTCCTAAGATCCCTACACACTTGACTTTGCAGCAAGCTGGCGCAATTTGCCAAACTCCAAGTATAACATGCTTTTACACAGCCCTGTCATTCCCTCTGACTGACATCCTACCCTGCCTGCCTCTGTGATAAACTCTTACTTTTTAATGATGATGATAATGATGATGACAATGGCTAATGGGTGTTAAATACTAACTGTGTGCCCATCACTGTTTTAAGTACCTTACACGCATTAATTCATTTAATACACACAACAAGCCTATGAGGGAGCACAATTATTATTTCCATTTTACAGAGAAGACTAACATGCCAGAGATAAGGTTACTTGCCCAAAGTTACAGAACTGCGAAGTGGCTGAGATGATTCAAGACTCAGCTGTGCTGTTTCCTGGAAAGCCTTCTCAGAACTCATGGAGTGGGTTTGCTGTTCTCTTTCCTTGGATAATGTAGCACCTGCCTGGATCATAACATAATCCCTAGAAGGTTGCCGCTATCTGTGTCAGTGACCTCCTTCCCACCCAGGTGGTGACCTGCTGGGGCTAGGAGTCTTATATTTTGCATTTCTGACATTCTCCCTGGCACGTATTCTTAGGCCCCAGTGCTATGGGTGCTGAAAACACCATTCAAGTGAATCAATTTGCAGGGCTTCTTGCAGGTGACCCTAGTGGCTATTTTAAGAATACGTTAACAGTGTGAGCCTACAATAGGCGTTGTTGACTGATATGGTTTGGCTCTGTGTCCCCACCCAAATCATGTTGAATTGTAATTCCCAATGTTGGAGGGGGAACCTGGTGGGAGGTGATTGGATCATAGGGGCAGATTTTCCCCTTGCTGTTCTCGTGATAGTGAGTTTCACAAGATCTGATGGTTTAAAAGTGTGTGGCACTTCCTCCTTTGCTCTCTCTCCTGCCACCGTGTGTGGATGTGCCTTCTTTCGCCTTCATCCTTCTGCCATGATTGTAAGTTTCCTGAGGCCTCCCAGTCATGCTTCCTGTATAGTCTGCAAAACTGTGAGTCAATTAAACCTCTTTTATTCATAAATTACCCAGTCTCAGATAGTTCTTTATAGCAGTATAAGAACAGACTAATGCATTGACTCAAGAGCAAAGGATATGTCAGGACCACAGAACTGAAAACTCTTGCTGTAAGACTTGATTGACCTAGGAGTGGTGGAGATGGTATAGGTTTTTCCAGGGTTGGGCTCCCTGAGAAGACTGGAGATTTAAGCCAGGAAAGACCAAAAAACCAGTTTCTATAACAGTAGCAAAAAGAGTGACACCTCCATGCAGGGGTGTTATAAATTTTCTATATGATAAAGAACACTGTAAGATATGAAATGCTATTTAATTGTTATACATACATATATATAAATAATACTGCTAGCTTTAGGAGTGGGGGATAAGTCATAGGAAGGTGTATAGAAAAAATATATTAGAAATTTTTATCCCTGTGGCTTATCATCCTGGGTCTTGAGAATCTCTTCTGTCCTTAAGTCTTAGGATCCCAGGATAAAAGTACAGTAGGTATTTCAGTCCACATTTAAGAACCACAGATGATTAAGGGATGAAGAAGCCTTAATGATCATCCAGTTCAACCCAATGGAGAGAAATCCTTAGGCAAAATATTACCTTAAGCAAGAAGATATTCTTCCACCAGAAAACACTGGAGCATTTTGCAAGCCTTGTGTAAAGGGTATATCTGGGTTGTAGGGACACTTGGAATCTGGGACTTCACTTAACAGAATTGCACCTTTCTTTATGTCTTTCATTTCTGCATGCCAGTTCCATTAGATAAACTGCTGGCTTCCTCTATAGGGCCGTGGTTCCTACCACTCATATTTCATGACTACCACCTGAGAGAGACTGAGACTCTTCCTTTCTCTCCCTTTAGTTCTGATAAGAAAATCCCAGGGAAAAACTCTGAATGGCCTGGCTTATATACAAGGTGTACTTCTGGGCCAGTAGCTATGGCTTGGGGCTAGGGCCAAGCATGGCCACCAGCATTCCACCTCTGTGTACCGAGGTCATTCCCAAAGTGAGAGAGGTGTAGAGAACTTGGTAGCTGCTTCAGGTGGTATCCACTGCAAAAGATGAGAAATGGGGGCCCAGGGAGGTAGTTACATGCTCCCCATCCAGAAATATCCATTTTTTTTTTTTTGAGACAGAGTTTCCCTCTTGTTGCCCAGGCTGGAGTGCAATGGCACGATCTCGGCTCACCACAACCTCCACCTCCCAGGTTCAATCGATTTTCCTGCCTCATCCTCCCGAGTAGCTGGGATTACAGGCATGCGCCACCACACCCAGCTAATTTTATATTTTTAGTAGAGACAGGGTTTCTCCATTTTGGTCAGGCTCATCTCTGACTCCCAACCTCAGGTGATCTACCCGCCTCGGCCTCCCAAAGTGTTGGGATTACAGGTGTGAGCCACCGCACCCAGCCTCAAATTTTTTAATAGAATCTGGGACTAAGGAAGCCTGTTTTCAGTCTTGGGTCCTCCTTTTAGGAAGAAAAATTATAAGAGACCTCCCACAGGCTAGTTGTTTTATATTCAATTCTCAAAGCAACCATATGAAGTGGTTATTTTTACTCCCATCTTACATGCAAAGAAATAGAGGTTTAGGAAGGTTAACTAACCTATGCAAGGATGCATGGCTGGTGAAGGTCTAGCCTGGGAAGAGAAATGAGAATCTGGGTCATCTGGGCTCCCGAGCCCTTGCTCCTTTCTTTACACAATGTAACCTTCCAAAAGCTAGAAAGTGATTACCCTTTTGGGTATTGGCTCCTTCTATGAAATTAGATCTTTTCCAATTTAAAAGTTCATCTTTTCTGATTTAATTTTCACACTTTTTTTTTGTTTTTCTCAGTCTCAGAAGACATGTATGACTCTAAGTCTCTGACAATGGACACATTCCCTATTATTACAGAGGAAGCACACTCTTGTCCTGTGAATTTCTGGGAGGGGAAGTAGTGGGCTAATCTCTTATTCTCGGTTTATGGGGGTTGGAAGGGGTATGGGTCTGATGCAAAGAAAACCCAGGATCTAAAGACAAAGCTCTTAGCGTAGCTTCCAGGTTAATCTCTTGTGTAAACGTTGGCAAGGTACTTCCTCTTCTCGTCTCATCTTCCTCAGTATCCTCGGCTACTAAAAACGAACAAAAAAAAGAAACAAAAACAAGAACAACAACAATAAAACACCAAAAGCTATACTACCTTACTTCATAGCTTCATGAACTCTGTAGTTTGGCAGCTAAGGAATCTTTTTAAAACAGTTCATGTAAGTGAACTTTTAGATTTAAAAGCTTCCCCTTCCATGTTCTTCCAAGTCCTTGGTTTTCTTATCTGTAAAATGATAGAAGTTGGACTAAACACTTTGCCTCCTTCCACCTCTCAAATTCTAAGCCTCTGGTTTCTTTATTTTTATTTTTTATTTTATTTCTATTTCATTTTTTAATAAATGGAGGCTTGTTCTGTCACTCAGGCTGGAATGCAGTGGTGTCATCATAGCTTACTGTAGCTCTGACTCCTGGGCCCTAGTGACCCTCCCACCTCAGCCTCCTTAGTAGCTGGGACTGACTACAGGCATGGACCACCAGCCCAGCTAATTTAAAAAAAAAAGAAGTGTGTGTTTGTGTGCGTGTGTGTGCGTGTGTATAAATGAAGTCTTGCTATGTTTCCCAGGCTTGTCTCAAACTCCTGGCCTCAAGCAATCCTCCTGTCTTGGCCTCCCAAGTTGCTGGGCTTATAGGTGCAAGCCACCGCACCTGCCAAACCTCTAGTTTCTATGTCCGTGAAAATTCATGCCCAACCCTTGCCTTTCCCACATTGCCCCTCACCATACTTCTGTGGGGATTCCTGTCCCTGTGCAGTCACCTGAGCTGTTCCCTGCCCCTCCCCTGCTTCTCCCTCCTCATCATCACAGTGACTCGCTCACCCCCAGCACTCCTAGAGATAATTCCCAGCAGCAGCCTCTCTTCTCTGGGTTCATAAGATGGCCACACGCTGGGCTAAATAAGCTGCTTACCAGCATGGGAAGGGGTGGCATTTAGAGTGCCATGTCTTTTTGTAGCTTTGCTTTAAAGGGAAGCTGATTTGGGAATGTATTTGGAAGATGTCCCTAATTTGGTGCTTGGAACTCCATGAATGTCGGGACAGAGGGAAAGAAGTTGCACTATTTCTACTGTCTCCTTTGGTGCTTGTCTAACCCTTGAGAAGTATTTTATCATCTCCTATGCCCCTTGAAAATGATTTGGCTCCCTCCAGAGCCTAGCCATGTCCATGCTGGCAAGGCCTTGACACTCTGGACAAGGAGTTAGAAAATCTGATTGGTGATGTGCCCTTGGTGAAGTCATTTCACTTCTCATAGCTTTGATTTCCTCTTTCATAAAGTAAAGCAATAATAACTGCACTGACTAAGATATTCAGTTATAATAATCTGACCCAGTATATACTGAGTGCTTACTATATGCAAGGCACTATCTAAGTAGATCTTTATGCATCATCTCATTTAATCCTTATAATAGTTCCTGGATTGAAATATTGTTACTAATATTTTACAGATGGGAAAAGTAAAGGTCAGAAAAGTGAAAGAATTCGCCTAATTTAGGAAATGTCATATTCTATAATACAAACCCAGTTCTGCGTGACTCCAGAGCCAAATACTCAACAATTACACTATACTATTGAGTTATACTAGGTAGATGATGTTTCAGTTATCTATTGCTATGAAACACACCACCCAAAAACTTTGTAACTTCAACAACAACCATTATATTATGCTGTGGATTCTATAGATAAGGAAGTTGGATGCGGCACAGTGCGGATGTCTTATCTCTACTTTACAATGTCTGGAGCCTCAGTTGGGAAGAGGCTTTTTGTCTGGCTGCTGGGCTGGGATGACTCAAAGGATGGGCTCATTCTAGAAAGATTGACCAGAGTGCCTACCCTGACCTTTGTATATGAATTGGGCTTCCCCACAGCATGTTGACCTCCCAGGTATTCTAACTTTTTACACGTTTATTCAGGAACTCTAAGAGTGAGAATTCCAGTTAAAAAATAAAAGTAGAAGCCACGTGAACTTTTATGAGCTAGTCTCAGGAGTCACATGGTAACACTTCTTTCTACTCTGTTGGTCAAAGCAGCCAAAAGTCCATGGGTAGGGACATAGACTTACTTCTCGATGGGCTGAATTTTTTTTTTTTAATTGCTGTGGTCACGTTACCAAACCACCATCAATTAGATCACTGTCAGCTATGCTCACATTGCATCAGGGTAGGTTGATGAAGACTGAAGAAACTGATGGGATCACAGCTAAAGAGAGCTCATTAGGTATCACATTGGCCTAAAAATGAGCTTTCTGAGAGTCCAAAGTATAGTGGCCAAAAGAGTGGAGAAAACTCAGTCTTGCTCTGAGCTGTTATTTGTGATGACCTAATCCAGGGTTTCTTATAATGCTGCAGAAGTTTCCAGGCAGTGGTCATGGGCAAAGCTAACCAGGAAGAAGATTATGATGATATAATCTTGTTTTCTGATTATAGATCATGGTTGAGAGCATGAGCTTTGGAAGCAGACAGACACAGGTGCAACTGCAAACTGTTTCCTAGCTTTGTGAACCTGAGCGAATAACTTGACCTTTCCAAGTTTCAGTCACCTCTTACGTGAAATAGAGTAATGAAAATAGTACCTATCTCACAGGGCTCTTGTGAGAATTAAATGCAAAAGTGCTTAACATGGCACTGGAACATGGTAATCACTTAAAAATATTAGTTGTAATTAGTCATTTATTCAACCCCTTGTTACATAAATATGTATTGAGGACTTACTATGTGTCAGCCAAGTGCTTATTATTGTGGCTATTCAGACATTGTCTAAAAGAGTGTTTGGAGCAGCTCTTTAGACAGAAACTGAGAGTTCAGAAGAGAGGTTGAGCTGAAAGGGAAGTAAGGGAAAGAGGCTGAGGTTCAGAGAACCAAGCTTGACAGCCAGTTGTATAACTGTGGGGTAGGGAAACCCTATGGGGTAGGGAAAGCCAAAAGCTCTGTTTGGACACCTGGGTACCCAGGAGTCTCCTTAAGTGTATCAGCAAGACCATTTCCCATTTTCTGGGGTAGATGAACCTAATATGGAAGGACTTGGATTAGGGTTTTCATGTATCTGCAATGATACTTGTCAATGCCTACCACTGTGTGACTGATGGGTGGGGGCAGGGGACAGGGGCAATGCTTTCCTCCTCAGAGTTGTGAACCTCAAATGGGACAAAGGGTTAGAATGAGCTTTGCAAATAGGGAAGGTTTTGACAGCATTAGAAGGGCAATGGGAAAGATGCATAAGCTCTGAAGCTGGCTATGCTCTTGGTAGTTTTCACGTTTCCTTAATTTGTTATACAAGGAAATAAGCAGGATCTGAAGTCAGACTTTCCTATTAGCTGTGATAACTTTGGAAAATTTTTCTTTTCTCTAAGCTTTGGCTTTTCCATCTATTAGATGTGAATAATGATAACAATAACTACCTTCACTGGTACAAGCCTTAAATAAAATTGCCACATAAATCTTCCAGAATTGGTGGGGTCTGAGGCTGGATTTCTAAAAAGGAGGCCAGGAGTCAATAGAAATCAGTAGGTGAAGAGGACTTGGGGAAACAGTTAGGCACCAAGCTTTGATAACCTTCTTGATCTTCTAATAAAAAACCCAGCTTGTCCTCTCTCCTCTGATGCTGACTTTCCATTGTATTCTCTGTCTGGGTACACTCCCAAAAAAGAGAAACCAGAAGACTCTAAGCCTAGTGGCAGGAGGATGGAAAGGAAGTACTCTGGGCTGATTCTCTATGAAACCGTGACATAGAGTAAGCCCCCTTTTTTTAACTTTTAAGTTCAGAGATACATATGCAGGTTTGCTATATAGGAAAACTCATGTCACAGCCTGTATTAGTCTGTTCTCATGCTGTTAATAAAGACATATCTGAGACTGGGTAATTTATAAAGGAAAGAGGTTTAACTGACTCACAGTTCCACATGGCTGGGGAGGCCTCACAATCATGGCAAAAGAGCAAGGAACATTTTATATGGCGGCAGGCAAGAGAGAGAGCATGTGCAGGGGAACTCCCCTCTTTAAAACCATCAGATTTCATGAGACTTATTCACTATCAAGAACAGCCCAGGAAAAACCTGCCCCAATGATTCCATTATCTCCACCTGGCCCCACCCTTGATACTTGGGGATTATTACAATTCAAGGTGAGATTTGAGTGGGGACACAGCCAAACCATATTGCAGGGGTTTGTTGTACAGATTATTTTGTCACCCAGGTATTAAGCCTAGTACCCATTAGTTATTTTTCCTGATCCTGTCCTTCCTCCAAACCTCTATCCTCTGGTAGGCCCCAGTGTCTGTTGTTTCTCTCTATGTTGATTCTTCAAAAACCTAAACACAGAATTACCATTCAACCCAGCCACCCTTTTTTAAAGTGTCCAGGGATTCCTGTGTTAGAATCCCCTGATGTACCTATAAAAAATAGAAATCCCAGATCTGCTCCTGTTAGGGCCTCTCCACTCCTTTATTTTGCTTCAAATTTTCCCATAACAATTACCATCTGGCATTTACTTATTTTTTATTGTCTGTTTTCTCTGCTTCTGTCCTGTCCCTGAAAGTAGGAACTTTTCTGCTGCTGTGTCTCCAGTCTGTAGAACAGTACTTGATGATAGGAAAATAAAAGAACAAATGAATGAATAAATGGGTGAGTGAGGAATCTCTCAAAGTGAGTCTTCAAATTAATTTTATCTATGGTCATCACAGGGGATTCTTACACACCCTCAAGTTTGAGAACCACCTTAATCAACTTTGGTTGTTTCTTCCACTCCTTCCTCCTTGAGGGTCTTTTCTCAAAATTTATTTGTTTATTATATATCTTTAAGGTATACAACCTGATGTTTTGATATACACAGTGAAATTACTACAGGCAAACAAATTAACATATCCATTACCTTCCATAGTTATCCATTATTAACTATAGTCCTCATGCCATGCATTCAATCACTAGACTTATTCATTTTATCTAACTGCAAATTTGTACCCTTTCACCTGTTTCCTTCCCCGCCCCCAACCTCTGGTAACCATAGTTCTGTTTCTATTTATTAGACTTTTTGTTTGGTTGTTGAATTTGCTTACAGAACCAAATTACCTAGGGGAGATAATAGAGTAAGCAGCTCTAGGATGGATACCTATATCTGATTCACCATCAGCCCCCACCCTCTGTTACAGAGATGAAAGTGAGGGATAGGCTCTCGGTTGGTATGATCTGATGCTAGGAGTCTCTTAGACATGGACGTCTCACAACTGGGTGCCTGGGGTGTAGGAGTCAAAGCAGCCTGCCTACAGACTCCACCTTCTGCTCAATTTGACTTTGGCCTGGCCTGCCTGACTCTCACCCTATTAGACTTGAAAGGTGGCCTAGCTCTTGACCAAAGGAGGCACAGCCTCAATGCCAGGAGGATGATGGAGGGTTCAGAACACTGGAGTTTGCTTCCTGAGCCGAGTTGCCTCTGGGTTGGGAGGAAAGATTCAGCTTCCACACCTGGGAGGGAGACTAGGGCATCAGGCTGACCAGCATCTAAGGACCATGGAAATAGATGGTGAGTTGAGGTCTCACTGGGCACACCAGGGCCTGAGGAAGACAGGGTAGGGAGCTGATGTTCATGGCATGCCTATTACCCTGTTGTTTGCGTATCATCTCTTCTGGTTTTGAAGGTTTCACGAGTCACTTGCTGTGTGACTTTGGGCAGTGACTTCCCTCTCTGAGCTGCCTCTGTTGTTTCATTAGTAAACTGGAGGTGATAATGACATCATCTCATAGAGGCCATCATAAGGATTTTGTGAAGATCAGAGGACTCTACCTGGCATATAATAAGCACCAGGTATTTGCTTCTTTCTTTTTTAACTCTTTAAATTCCAAGAAGTTTAAGGGAACACAAAGGAAATCATCAGATGGAGGAGGGTGGCTGCTGTGGGAGGCAGAACATGCAGCTCCAGGGCCAGGAACTGAGGGGAGAGACATGCTCACGGGAATTTCAGAACCACTTGACTTAAGAGGCTTGAACTAATCAGTCCCTCTCAGCTCATCACAGGGCCTTGCAATCAGGGCTCCACCTGCTCACCTGCTGCTCTATTCTTGGGGAAGCCACCGAAGCCAATCACAGGGCATTGTTCTTCCAGCTCTGCTCCTTGGAGGAGATATCTGGCCCACAGGGAGAGCCTGGCCAGGGCAGAAGAGAGCAGGAGAAGAGGATTCACAGAATCCCAGATTTGGGGTTTAGAGCTGGACTGCCTAGGGCAGCACCTTCAGTTCTCTCGTGGCAATAAGGAGGTGATGTGACTTGACCAAGGACATCTAGAAAGCCAGAGTGGAGGGAGAGGAATTAGGAATTTGCCCATTTAAATTTATTCATTGGCTCAATAAGTATTTCAATTCACTCAATATGTACTGTATTTAAATTCAGTCACTTAGTAGTTAAATTCATTCATTTATTCATCTATTTATTCAATAGCATTTGTTCATTGCCTATTATGGGTTCAAGACCTCTAAGGCCACATGCAGCCACACTTAATTCTTAATCCTGTACTCTTTCCAATGCTTCAGGCTTTCTCCTTTACAGACCCAGGCATTCCAGTGGTAACTTACTCGAATCCAGACTGGGGGCATGGAGGAGTTCCTTTTGCCCTTCCCCTCCCCACATCTCAGTCTTAGATTCTCAAGCCCTCAAGCCCTAGAAATTGCTTCAGACACCAGGAAAACAGGGATCTGATTGGAGTCAGTGGAATTTAGTTTATTTGAATTGACTTCAACTGAATGAAATGGAATTACTAAACTAAATGGAAATAATTGAATTGAAATATAGCAAATTGGATTGAATCGAGATTAATTGAAATGAAATCAATTGAGAATGTATTGAATCATGGTACTGGAAAAGGTTTAGACATTGCCTCCCCAACCCTACTCATTGTGCAGTGAGGCAACTAAAGCTTGGGAAGTGTGGGGTAGGGTATGATGGAGGGTCAATAACTTTGACAAGGTCAAGAAAGTGGCAGAGCCAGGCTTCAAAGCCAGGCTATCCGCCTCCTAGGCCAGCAACTATCCCACCATGTATACTTCCGGAATTGGTGGGGTCTGAGATTACATTTCTGAACAAGAGGCCAGGAGACAATAGAAATCAGCAGATGAAGAAAACTTGAGGAAATAATTAACATGCAATTTTAATAATCTTCTTCACCTGCTAATAAGCAACCCAGCCTGTCTTCTGTCCTCTGAGTTTGGCTTTCCATTGCATTCTCTGGGCCCACTGCAGGCTTGACCCTACCCTGATATCCTAGAGAAATCCATGGAAGGAGCTTCAGGCCAGCCACAAAGTGACTTTCCATTACTTTGGCTTAATCTCAGTTTCCACTTTTAGCCTTATTCCAGTAACTTTTTTGTTGTTGTTGTTGTTTTTCCTTTGCAATCAGGCCCCTGGTTGTGGTGGGTACACAAAGAAAAAGAAACCGGAAGACTCTGAGGCTAGTGGTGGCAGAAAGATGGAAGAAAAGTTCTGTGGGCTGATCCTCTGTGAAACTGCATTTACTTCAAGGAATAAGGATATAATGTAGATGATGACCCTTCCTAAATTCCTAATTATAAGATCATTGTGCCTGAAAGTCTGTGTTAGTGCCATTCCTTCGGTAATGTTTCAAAAAAAAAGTATTAAAACACACATATGTTAACTGGGAGAGATATCATGTTTAATATGCACCTCGTAGTATGATAATCTTATCCTATCGACTATTTAACACCAGAATGAAGGCTTGTGGTGGGGTGCAGTGGAAAGAAATGGCTTGAAGAGAAAAGTTGGATCTGTGGCCAATGTTATTTTTAAAAGTTGGTATAAATTGCTTTACCCAGAGATTTAAATCTGCAAGTCTCTATAACGAGCAGGCATTATTCTTATGATGAAAGTGTTATGTAATAACATGAGTCTGGATTCCTAACAAAAAGGCAAATAGTAGCCCATTTACCTCTCTTGCCCTTCCCTCCCCACAAGTGGTCACAAATGATAACCATTGCTCAAGAGGAACACATGGTTTCCTAAATAATCTTCCTAACAACTCTGGAAGGTAAGGCAGGCACCCTTGACCTCATTTTACAGAGGAGGAACTGAGCTCAGAGATCTTCAACAATTCACCTTAGGTCCTGCAGTAAATCAGAAACAAAGCGAAGAGCTGATCTCTATTCTCAGCTCACCAAATCCAGAGCTCTTTTAGTATTACATGCTGGCAATTTTACAACTGAAATAGATTTTCACACCCTCGTTCCTTGTTTGTGCGGGATGGGAGTGGCAGAAGTCATGGGATGGGGACCTTGGAAAGCTAAGGATGGCTCCAGTCCATTTCAAAGACTTGAGCCGCTGATGGGGGCAGCCTCCAAGTGTATAATCGTCCTAATGAGCCATGGCGCTTGTCAAGGTATGTGGTCCGGATGCTTGTTGCTGTGATATGGAGATAATTGGCCCTGCCACAGGAATGGCAAACTGGCCGACAGGCTCTTAGCAAACCACAGGCTGGGCAAAATGACACGGTGAGGGATGCTGCCAGTTGCGCTAGCTCCAAGTTCCTCTAATGTTTATGATCATGGCCATCTCTGGTCCTACCATCAGACCCTAAAACCAGAAGTAAGGGCTGTTTCGGAATAGATGGATATGGCACTAGAGGTTCACACCACAATTTTGGGCTCAGCAGGTCCTCACTCCACTCCCCAAATATTTCAGATGAAAATGAACTGGATTCAAGAAATATAGCAAAGGAGAATCCTAGTCACCCACTTTAGACCTACCCATCTCCAATCCCAAGGAAACAGGGCCCACTCTCAGCTTGATCCTACCAAAATCCATGGAAGGAGCTTCAGGCCAGCCAATAAGGTGACTTTCTATTACTTTGGCTTAATTCTAGTTTCCGTTTTTACCCTAGTTCCAGAGTAACTGTTTTTTTTTTGTTTTTGTTTGTTTGTTTGTTTTTTAATGTCCCTTGTGATCAAGCCCCTGCATTGTATACCAGTTTCTGCCACTTGACGCCAATCATCCCTTCATTTCACAAGTATTTAATAAGCACTGTTTACATGCCAGGTAGTATTCTAAGTAGGGATGTAGTGGTGAAAAAGGTAGACAATGACTTCATAGAGATTGTCTTCCACAGGGAGACAAGTAAGAAAAAGAGTAAACGAAAGTGCACTGCAATATGCAGTAGTGAGTATTATCAAGACAAATAAGCAAAGGAAAAGCATCAGAGGTGCTAATTTAGATCAGCAGGGGTGTCAGATAGGGCCTTTCAGAGGGCGTGGCATTTGAACAGAGACATGTACAGTGGAGAAGTTGTTCCTGTGCCTATCTGGGTGAGGACAGTGTGTTCCAGGTGGAGGTAATTAGGGGCACCAAGATGGGGCATGTGGGTGTCACTAGAAGACCAGCAAGGCTGCAGTGCAATGAGGACAGAAGAGAGTGGTGAGAAATTAAACCCATTAGGGAGTTGGGCTGGGTCTGTGACAAAGCCTTGGAGGCCAGGGTAAGCGTGTTGGAGTCCTTGGTCCTGCCTGTATTCTGCCAGATCCCTCTGGTGTTGGTGGTCTCCTGATGTGACAGCCGCCTGTGGCCTGATGATGATTCCTTCTGTGCTCTTGCTCAGTGGTCTCGAAGTCGGCTGACTCCAACTGTGAACTTCTTTCTCCAGGCCTTACTGTACAAGACAGGAGTGACAGTTAATAAGGCTGAATGTCACAATGTGGACTCACAGGGCCCTGTATTTTACGCCTGGATTTATTTCTCTCCCCCTATACTGAGCCCAAGTCCATTTTAGCTCAAGTCAGGTCCCTGCTGATGACTCTGCTTTCCTGGGTGGGTCTGTGAGACGCTTGTTGTTTTCACTGATGAGCCCCAGAAGTATGTGGGGGCCTGGCTTTCTTATAGTAAAACAGGAACACTTTGTAATGAGATTGTAACTGGAAAGAATAATTGTTGCATTTTCTTCATTATTCTTGGTGGGAGAAATTGGCCCCAACTAACCTTTCATGCTTATTCCCTGCCACTTTCTCTCTATAGCCCTTTCTCTCCAACCACATTTGAAGTCTATGAGCACTTGCAGATCCTGTTTCCTCTGCTGGGATTGTGTATTCCGTACTCCTTCTCCACTTAACAAACATCTACTCACAAGAGAGCCTTTTTGGAGAAGCCTCCTGATGACCCCAGGGAGCCATGCAGGCCTCTGGTGGGCTCCTTTGACTCCTGTGCCTCTTCTCCAAATTTATGTGATACCCTAATTGACTAATCCTAAACCTATCATTCTCACTAGGGAGAATCTGTCTACCTAAAGGGCTTGGATTGGCTGATTAACTTAGTGGTTTGGAACTTGGCTGCAGAGTTATGCTGCTCGAGTTCAAATTCTGGGGCTGTCACTTCCTAGCTACCCTAGCTATGTGATTTGCATCATATTATTTAACCCTTTGATGCCTCTGTTTACTCATCTCTAAAGCTGAGATAGTAATAATGCTTACCTATTAACGTTGCCTTAAGGTGACAATAACTGCCAATTCATCTCCTTGCTTATCTCCTTGATTATCTTGTACCCGTCTATGTATAATAGCAACCAGTGAGTTAAACAACAACTGTGTTCTTTCCAGATATTTTTCACATGCTTATGACCTATTTCTCATCATTCAAGTCTCAGCTCCACTAACTGCTCAGAAAATCTTCCAGCAGCCATGACATTTTAAGTAGAACTTCTCTCTATCCAAGCCAATCTCTGTCCCATTACTTTTTGGGGTTAGTAGCCAGTGTTGTTTACCAAAGATTTTCAGCTTTATCTCCTTCTTTGAACTGGATAGGATTACATGCTTCGTTTCTTCTTGTTAGGTGGGAATCTATGCCCAGTTCTGGTCAATGAGTTATGAGCAAAAATACCATTAATTACATTGAGCATTGTATTTCCAATACAATAACTTCCAGAGATCTCTCTTCCCTGTGACAGGATAACTGGCAGTACTGAAGATGGGTCTCTAAGTGATTAAGATGGGAAGAGATTCCCCTGCCCCACCCTCATGACTTAAGATAAGCAACATTGAATCTCAAGCCACTAAGATTCTGGCATTGTTTGTTATTGCAGCATCACCTAGCCTAATCTGGCTGATACACTCTTTGCATTACTTGTTATTATCTATTAAAATGATTGTTTTTCCTCAATATCTATTATTTCTTCCTTCAATCATAACAGAACCCTTAATTTTTTGCTAAGGAATGGCTGCACAGAATAAAGCCACATTTTCCAGACCTCAGGCAGGTGGCATAACCATGTGACAAGCTCTGGCCAAGGAGAGGTAAGCAGAAGTGAAATTTGGCACTTCTCACCATTATAAACTGGTAAAAAACGTATTCCCTTTCCTTCCTACTGGCTAGAAGGTCAAAATAATGGTTACATCTTTAGCTAAGCAGATAAGGGAAGCACCTTAGAGATGATAAAGCAATGAGGAGGAACCAGTTTTCCTGACATTATGGAATCATTATAGCAGCCCGGGATTCATTATGTCTAGGCTCTTATATGATTAAAAACAAACTTTTTATCACGTATGAGCTAATGTTAAATGCAGTTGCTATTACCGCCATCAAGTCCATTTGCTCACCAATATACTATCGCAAGTCACCTTGCTTGTTTATTTAATTGATCAATGTCTATTCCCACTTCCCCAACACACATGCACAAATGTAAGTTCTATGAGAACAGAAATTGTTTCTGTCTTGTTCATTGCAGTATCCAGAGAGTTCAGTGCAGAGCTTGTCAGGAAGCAAAGTCTTGAATATATTCATCAAATAGGTGAGGATAAATAATCTACAATAATCACTGTTATTAGATCTTACTCTTAATATTCCAGAACGGGTTTCTCTACTGTCCATCATAAAGATTTGATCATGTGACAATTCCAGAGGCTCCTGATGTTTATTTTGCTTGTAAAAACATTTCTCTTTCTCCTTCTTTGCCAAATTCCTTCGAGAAGGAGTGCTGGACTCATGTTAGAGGCATATAACATGTTAACGCTAAAAGGAACCTTAGTGGTTCTGTGACATAACACCGTCATTTCACAAGTGTGTGAACAAGCTCAGAAAGGGCAATTGATTTGCTACAAGTCACACATTTAATTGATGAGAGAAGAGCTTGAAATCTAGAATGATTGCCCTTCTTTTAGTGTCCTTATTATCATGAGAAATTCCAGCCCCTTTTGGATAAGATATTGTTTGATCAGCCTTAATGGGTATAGGTAGACCATGTTTTTCAATAGTTCCTACACTGGGACAGTTACTGTGCAACAATGTCCCCAATTTTACACCCTATGACTTGTCCACATCTGGAACCCAAAAACGCCAAGTGATGAGAAGGTCAGTTAGAGGCAAGTTAGGTAGCTCTTTAGTTTTCTATTAAGACGCAGAAAGAGAAAATAATATCCCTGGTCACACTTGGTCCACTTAGGAACATTGGGGAGGAACTTTTGGCATTCCCTAAGGAAATGATGGCCAGAGAAGAAGTGGGAAGTTTTGGAAGATACAGAGTTCCTCACTCCTGGAAGTATTCTCAGAGTCTGGACATCAGTTAATAGAGAGGTGGGTGAGGAGGCTTAGGGATCATGTGGGTTTCAATAAGATCTGCTGCCAACACTGAGAGAAACACAATGCAATAAATACGATTCGCAATACAGACAAATACAATACAATTAGTTAAGTGGTTTGAATATCCTTTCTTTTCTAAGTTTTCTTGTATTGAGTCCAGGAGAAGTGAAGGAGAAACCAGAAAAACAATGACTGGCGTAGAGCAGAGGCCCAATCTTTGCCCCTGAAATCAGTTAATCTGACTCCTCATTCAGTTTTTTGCAGTTTTCCCTCTGTCTCTAATTCCCACTGGTTTCTAACTGCTCTAGGCAGTTATGGATTTGAAGGGATCTCCAGGATTCGTCCTGCCCAGCAGCTCCCAGATTTGATCAAAAAGGTCTGTTTTAAAACATGCTTGTTTGATCAAATATTCACAATTCAAGTTAACATACTGATGGTTCTGAGATGTCTCATGATAAAAAACAAAACTTGTTGAGTTTCTCAACCCTGTATTTTCCCACTCTACTTTATTATGGAACCCTCTTAAGATGTGTTTTGTAAACTACAAAAATGCCACCGAACACTTTGGAAACACCACATCTAGCCCAAATGCCTCATTTTGTGTATGTAAGAAGTAGAAGCTCAGAGAAGGGAAAATTGTCAAAATCAGAACAAGCACCCAAGGTCCTCTAATCCTGAGTCCACTGCACGAAAGACATCTTCCTTATGAATAAGACAGCACATTTCTAAAGCAGTTCTGAGTGGCCAGTGTTTCATTTAACAGCTCATCTGCCAATGGATTGTGTCACAGAAATATGTGAACCAGACAATGTGTTGTGAAATGAATGGATTTACCAACCAGGGGACCAGCCCTGTGCCCTGCTCATTAGGAACAATTTGCATGCAGAACATCCGTGCGACAGGCCCAGCAAGGGATTTGTTTAGCTCATTTAGAGTAATGGAGACAAGAGATTAATCACTTGAACACTTGTGTGCCTTGCCTCTGCAGCCCCACTGTGCACTGTGACCCAGCTGAGCCTGATTTGATGGGATCTTGTCTCTGATTTCAGTGCACTGACAGTGCTCTCACTTGTGTCTCAAACCTTCGGGGTCTGGCCTGGGGCTTCCACCCACAAACAGTGTGGACCTACCCACCACATGGACCAGAGGAGTGACTCAGAAATCAGTCACATCAGTCACATTTGTCTTCAGTTCTTCCCTAGCTCATTTCTTAATTCCTCATATTCACTGGGTTTTGAATCACAAGTGGCCTTCAGGTCAGGTTTTCTCTAACTCACATGGGCACCCTACCTGTGCCTGCTCCAGTTCTTCACTTCTTCTCTCCAATGCAGCAGAAACAGTCTCTCATGCCAGCGACCACTCCCTCTGCCTGTGCTCTGTACTCCCATTCCCTCCAGCCAGTTCCACTTGTCATTCAACCTCTGTTCTTCATCATCAACCTCTCCTTCTCCATTTTGGTCTTCTCAGCAGTTGACAAATACGCCTTATTTTCCTTTTATATTGTCTAAACAGAGAGGTTAATTAACTTGCCCAAGGTAACACAGCAGATATATCCATAACAATTAGATAGCAACATATTTCCCTCCAGCTGTTGACAAATTTCTCTGCTTTTCTTCACATCCATACTTCTCAAAAACATTGCTGCTCATGGAGTTTCTTTCTTTTTTTAATTATATTTTATGTCCTGGTATATATATGCAGAACGTGTGGGTTTGTTACATAGGTACACATGTGCCATGGTGGTTTGCTGTACCCATCAACCTGTCATCTACATTAGGTATTTCTCCTAATGCTATCCCTCCCCTAGCACCCCCCACACCCCCGACAGGCCCCGGTGTGTGATGTTCCCCTCCCTGTGTCCATGTGTTCTCATTGTTCAACTCCCACTTATGAGTGAGAACATGGGCATGGAGTCTCTATTCCTCTCTACCTCATTCAGTCTTCAACTCACTTCAAACAAATTTCCGCCTCATCACCCCATCTCACCCCAGCTACCTTCATGTTGCCAAATCGAGCTACATTCTGAAGTATTCAGCTTATTTGATGTCTGTACCACATGGGCAACATTGGCCATTCTGGAAATCCTGTCTTGATTCACTCCATCCCACTCCAGCTCATCATCCCATCCCACCCCAGCTACCTTCATGTTGCCAAATCTAAGCTACATTCTGAAGTGTTCAGTTTATTTGTTGTCTATACCATGTGGGCAACATTAGCTATTCTTGAAATCCTGTCTTGATTCTCCTCCCACTAGGCTGCTCACTTATTCCCAGTTTCTACTGTGAGCCCCTCCTTTTTGACCTAAAATATTGGATCGAAACATTTCCAGTGCTGGATGGTGGGTCTCCTCTTTTCCTGGGTTCTCTGCATTGCTCCATTGTGCTCTGCCCTTCTCACTGATCACTTCCTCCTTGAAGAATCCCAACCATTCCCACGATGTTGAGTATCATCGATATGCAATGATTCCCAAATGTATCTCCCCAGCCTGAATTGTTTTCTGAGGTCTGAGCTCATGACCAGTCATTGACCTAACATTGCTACATGTCCCAAACTGAAATTTTCACTCTTTGCCCAGCCTCAGACACATTCCCGTCTATTTATTGTCCTCTGGTGTTTTCCATCTCTGTTAATTACCTAATTTCTTACCCCATAAACTTGGGGATCGTTTTTGATAGCTTTCATTCTCTCTTTCTTCTGCTATCATAAACCATCAATCACTAAATCTTACTGAGTTTACGTCCCAAATGTGGACAAATCTATCCACTTTTCAACACTCTCACGGCCACCATACTAGTCAGAGGCAGCCGCGCCTTCACGTGGTGCCTCTCTGATCTGTTCCCAGTGCTATAGGCAGCATGTTTTGTTTCTATTTTAAATCACAGATCTGATCATTTTGCTCCATCACTTAACATTTTCAGTTGCTTCCTTTTACTCTTGTTTAAAAGTCACAATCCTTCTCCTAGCCTGCGAAGACCTCCATGCTCTGACCCTCCAGAGCCTCCTCCCATCTCACTCACTGTTCTCTCTTCTTATTCTTCGTCCTCAGATCACTCTGGCATTTTGTCTGTTAGTCTAACACAACGTGCTCCTTCCCATTTCGGGGTCTCTGCATCTTCTGGTCTCTTCTTCCCTTTTGGGAAGGCCCATGTCTTACTAGTGCCCCCCAAGAGAACTCTCTCCTCACCTATTAGATCAAATAAATCCTTCTTCCCACCAAGAACACTAAAAACTCTTATGACTGCCTGTGTTTCTTTTATTTCATTCGTCAACATTTAATTGATGTAATTATTTGTGTAATTACCGACTTTATGTCTGCTTTTGTGATTAGAATGTGACATCTGTGAGGGCAGGCACCGAGCCTTGTGTGCTTTACCATTCTAGCACCAGCACTGGAGTTGGCATACAGCATAATCCCTGTGCAGTAACTGTGTGTAGAATAAAAATAAATCAATCTTACTAAGCTTCCTTGGAAAATGAAGAGGTTGTTTTCTCCATGATCTCTAGCAACCCACTCAGCTCTAGAGTATTTCAAACCAAGGTACTTCATCTCTTTGGATGCCCGTAGCCCTGCCTGGGAAATGAGAAAACAAAAATCTGCCTTGATTATTACACAGGAGGAGGGCTGATAAGAGAGTGGGCCAAACAGGGCCCACTCTCTTAAAAAAAAAAACAAACTCTTTTTAATGCTTTTTGCTTCAAACTGGCTCTGTAAGGAGGACAGTGGGCTACTTGCATCATGTGAAATAGGTTTGAGTTTCTAATACTGACACTTACCTGCATGGTCTTGGGAACATGGGTCTCATTTTCTGGGCCTGTTTCTCCAGGTACGAAAGGAAGCAGTTGGGATAGATATGCCTTTGAGGAAGGTGCATCCTTTCCATATTATTCCATGATCAACTCGTGTACACCAACATATAAAGGTTCAATCAAAGTTATCTTTGGCAGGTACTTTGCATTTTCATAGAGAGTCAGTAGGAGAGGACACATCTTATCCCCAAAGAAAGCTTAATTCTGATGGCAACTCAGGCTTGGTGACACCAGGTGAGCCAATCCTCAGGAACAAGCCCCAGACTT
Source organism: Homo sapiens (assembly GCF_000001405.40). Lineage (NCBI taxonomy): Eukaryota > Metazoa > Chordata > Mammalia > Primates > Hominidae > Homo > Homo sapiens. Next base: position 119,534,128 of record NC_000009.12, on the reverse strand, counting down.
GGTTGCAGAAGTCAGAATTTCAAATCCAGGTTTCCTCCTTATCAGATGCAGAATCAGGGTCTACTCCCTCATAGTCTTAGTGCCTCAGTTTTCTTATGCAAAACTTAGGAGTGAAAAAGCTGGCTGAGCTATAGGGAGGAGCAAATGAGAATATCATTGGGAGAGTCAGTCATAACTTCCAAAATAATTCCCAGATGGATGATGCTTCTTCCTAAACATTTTAAGTAAGCCAGCATATGAACCTCTTCTGCCAAGCAGGAGTGGGTCCTATTATCTTTCCCAAAAGAAGCCTGCTTCAGAGCTTTGGAAACAAAGGGTATCGCAAGAAGCCTGAAGACTTTAAAGCAGCAAATTGTTCCCAGCCCTCAGCCTGCAGTGCAGAGCACAATCTTTTATCCAGAGATGGCAAAACTGGGCTTGGAGTAACTTGATGCCGCAGGCTATTGTCTCACAAATGATTTATTAGCTGGGGCTGCTCTGAGCTCAGAAGTTTGCACACTGCCCAGGGCCCCTGTCTCCAGAAGGGAATCTTGCCTCTCCTGAGATAACTCTCCAGAGATGAATATGAAAACTCTGTTTGTCCCCTGACACTCTCCTAGCAGCTCCGTTTTTAGCTATGCCTTAGGATAGTTCTAGCGTCCGGCATGTGACTTGGCTAGAGAGGGACAAGAGCTCCTGGTAAGGGGTATGTTTTAGACTGTGCCTGCCTAAAAAAAATAGCATTTTGTTTTCTGTGAGAGAGGAACATCAAATATAAATAGTTTAAAATCCAAATTTTGCCATTCACTATGTTTATAAACTTCAGAAAATTGTTTACTTGTTTGAGTCTCTGTTTCCTCTCTTATAAAAGGGACCTATTAGTGCCTCTGTTGTAGGATTTGGTGCGCATCAAAAGGTAAAATACAGGTCAAGCCTTTAGCTCTATGTATGACATATTATAGCATCAGAACAGGTGTCAGTGTGTTTGTTTCCTTCCTTTAGGAGAGGGCAAGAAGTCACCCAGGCCATACAATTTGAAAAGTAGAACCTGCATTAAATATTTCTCAATTTTTATTATTAAACAGCCACCTATTGCTGCATTTCAAGAAACCACACATTTCAGAAACCATACAATAAGCACTTATTTATCATATATTAATAGCTCTGCTGACCAGCTGGGCCCGTCTAGGTGGCTCAAAGCTGTGAGCTGGGTAAGGTCAGCTCCATGTACTTCTTGACTTGGACCAACAGGCTAGCCAGGTGTATTCCTTTCACGAAACTGGTAGGGGTGCTAGAAAGAAAATGGGAACATGAGACAAATCTTAAAGCCTAGACTCAGAGCTGGCACTCTGTCATTTCCACCCCTAGTCCATTGTCCAAACAGGTCATATGGCTTAGCCCAAATTTAAGGGACGGCAAAATGTACTCTTCCTTTAGTGAAAGGAAAGAAAAAAAAATCACTTGGCAAAAGGTGTGAATTCAGGAAAGGTGACTAATGGGAGCTACTAATAAAATCTCTTGTAGCTGCTGTGTATCCAGAGACCCTTCTTACATGTGGAAAGGGAAGATACCATAATATGTAAATGGAGAGTTCTACTTTTCTCTTTCTAAGCAGAAGGGAGAAAAACATTTCTTCACCCTGCTTCCAATAGCTTAAGTATGGAAAAAAAATTAAGTAGAACAATCATGTATTTATTCCACCCTAGGCTATTGAATCTTTAAAAAGATTCTATTTTTTTGGAAATCACTTTAAATTCATCTTTTTCTCAAGCAATGAATGCACATGGTGCAACGTTTAAAGGCTCTAAATGGTCTTATATAGTAAAAGACATATCCCCTTTCCCCATTCCCCAGTCTCATAGTTCTGTTACCTAATTGCACAGGTAGACAGTCATCCAGCCCATGGACTTTGAGAGGTATCTCCCTTACTATTTATTCCCTAAAACTTTGCTACAATGTTTGACCTCTCCACCATTGTTGAGTATTCCCAGTTGAGCTGCTTCAGGTTACACTGTTCTCTACCTATGCATGAGCATTAGTTTACAGTTGCCTTTTGCTAACACTGTATAGTGAACTGGTTAACAAAGGAGCTCTAAGGAAATGAGATAGAATGTGTGAGATTCAAGCTTCATGTTGAAAACTTCAGTGATTCCATGTGGCTTATAGAATCATATTCATACCTTTTGGCATGTGGGTACTCCACAATCAGACACCAATTTGTCTTCTGAGGGACCTTTTCATTACCCCTCTTGGTAGATTCTCCATCATAAGGGTGATACACTAAAATATTTTCCAGAATATTTATTTTCCTCTCTTTTCCCAATGGGGTAGAGTATCATATCCAGCTCCACTTTGAGATTTGGCTCTTTGCTGTAGCTAGTGGAAGGTGAGGTCTTAAATATGTACATGCAATTTGGTTTGTTCTCTTGAGCTTCTGTCACCCACCATGAGAACAGATCTGAGTAGCTGGTCATCCGAGGTGAAAGCCGACACATGTGGCATTGATATGCACCAAACACAAAGTCTGGAGTGTGAGTGGAAAGGAAAAAGCTGTTGTTGTAAGGCATTGAGTTTTGGAGTGTTTTGCTATGCAGCATGTTTGCAGCAGTAGCTAACTAATATAATAATCAAACTAAAGCATCCTCTGCCACCTCTGTCCATCTTATATATAGACATTTTTGCTTGTGTCCCATCCATCTGAGATATCCTCTTTTTCCCTAACCATTGTATCTGCATGTCTAGAGCATAACTGCTAAGAAGGTATGAGCTAGAGATAAGAAAACATAAGCTTTAATTCCTGTTCAGGCATGTACCAGCTTGGGGGAATCAAAATTTCCTACGCTGCAGTTTTCTAAAGTGTAAAATGAGATTAATAATGTCTATCTTTAAAAGACTGTGCAAGGATTCAGTATATCATATATGTAAACCTTGACACAATATACTCAGTAAATGTTTACAATTTTTATTACATGTTTTCTCGGATAATTTTACAACAACCCTTTGAGACAGGTATTATTACCATTTTACAGATAAGGAAACTGAGACTCAGAGCAATTAATTCACTTTTCTTACAGTTAAGTGGCAAGGTACAGACCAGGCTGCTGTTACCAGCATTTGTAACTTTACCACTGTATTATGTTGCTTGGATGATTGCTGAAATTTCTTTCAGTTTCTCTGGTGTGTAGTTCCTTAGTCGGAAATATGTCAGAGACCTCAATAACTGAGATGTCTTATTCTAGTCGAGCATTTTCCAAAGTGGTAGGTGAGATGCATACCACAGATGGTCCAGGAGGTGATTTAGATGGGACAGGACACTGAAGACACCAAATCATATTGGGAGAAAGTCATTTCCTTTCCAAATATCTTTAAATGTCAAGGGAAAAAATCTTAGTTGGGTGCTAACATCTTTAAGATTTCTAATACTAGCTAATCACCCCACTTCTCCACTTTTTTGAAAAACAAAGACACAGCAAGTTCCGTTATGAACAATAATATGTTTTCATTATTTTTTTATTGTGTTTTATTTTAAGCACATTATTTTTGGCTTTCCATTTACTATGGTCAAGTTCTTCTATAACATGCATGTACTTAACTAATTAAGAAAAACAAATAAATAGTAGAGTCTATAAATAGCAAAAAATTATGAAGATGATTGTTGAATGACAGTGGTTTATGAAATACTCTTTTATGAGAGAGTTTTGCATTGTACTTTAGTCTACATTTCTGGTAGCCTCTGTCTTGTCCTCTATTCTTCAACCTTTATTTTATTCCTGTAATAACTTATAAGTAGTTAACTATAACCAAACTGAATAGAGTTCTGAGTATTTGAAATACAAGCACTAAACCTGGTTGTTTGAGATAATGTGATCCAGTAAAAAATACACTAAACTGGACAGCAGGAATCCTGGGTTCTCTTCTGGTATTTGCTACTGGTTAGCTGTGTGGCCCTGAGTAAATTGCTCCAGCTCTCTTAGCCCCAGTAGCCCCTTAAGAAATGAGGAGTTTTAACTAGATGAATGATCTCTAAGGTCCTTTCCAATACAGAGGTGTATAAATATTTTCAATATTACTTTTATTAAAAGAATCACTTAACCATTGAAAATTTTCATTTTTTTATAATAAACCTCCAGAATCATGGGCAACAATATATTTGCAATAGAAAGTTCATTAGCATATTTTTATAGTTTGTGATCATTTTTTCATGTATTAAAATGAAGCATTTGGTAAAAATTAAACATTATATGCAAATGAGTGCAACAAGCCTACTTTTAGAATAATAATTCATTATATCTTATAATATATATGAGTGTCTTCTCTTTTTTTCCAGTACATTGTAGCTATTAAGTCAGCATATTGGAGGTTTACCAAGAAAGTATAACAGAGGATCCTATCTTTCATTTGCATAAATCCCAGAATTCCACCTGTCTAAAATTATAAGCTATTAATAGGTGACAAGACTGTTACTAGATATTCGTTTATAATATTGTCATTGAAACCTAATGAACATTTAGGACATATTTTAAAAACTGATTTTTTTTTTTTTTTTGCCAGAAAGAAAAAATTGTGTTTGTGCTATAGCAAAAAGGTTTTACACTAGAAAGTTACAGCTAGCAGAGGTGTAGATTTTTTTTTCTTGTGCAATTTTCCTTCTTTGCTATTCAAATATAGAGTCATATGAGTATGATATTAAACTAGAAAGAAATTTGAGAATTTCTGCTTTGATGTCTTCATTTTATAGGTGAAGAAATTTAGACCCAAAGCGGTCTAGCTGTTTGCTCATGGTCACCAGAATTAATGACAGTGTTGGTGCTAGAATCCAAGTCTTCTGACTTTTTGTTAATGTGTTTATGTATTTCTACAAGTGTTGGTATATAAGATATAATTGCAGAGGCTAGAGAAATGTATGCAAATATAACAACCATTATGTACATTGATTTATCATCAAGGATAATTCTAGAGAATCACGAAGTTGGTCAAAGTTTTTCATCAATATCATAGCCCTAGCTCCTCCTTGACCTCATTCTGAACTACTCACCCCAGCCAAATGATATCCTTTCCTCAACACTGTCAGCAATTGCTGCCCGAGGAATTTTTGGAGAAATTAACTTGTGCTGTATTGTGTCATTGTTTGCTTGAAATTTTAACTCAGATTCTGTTTATTGCTGTAGCTTGTATATTCCTTGAGGAGTGAGACTATGATCTCTCCAGGTTTCCATGATTTCTGGCACCTAGTCCAGGGCCAGAATATAGAATTACTAAAATGTAAATTAATGCTTAAATGCTTAAAATTGTAATGCTTTAAAGCTTAAAGACAGAACAATTAAACCTACTAATTTCACTAAATTTAATGGTTTGTCTAAGATTGCGCAGCTACTTGAAGATGGGGTCCTAATAAAATCTATATAGCCTTCAGATATTAAAAATAGAAAACAGTAGACATCAGAGATGGATGTGTTCCACATTTGTGACTTTAAGGTAACTAAAAAGTATGCTAACTCGATTTCATTACAATAAACCTTAATATCAGGTTGGCATAGGTATACATTTTACTGTGACCATGTAAGCATTGCTTTACTGAAAAAAAAATAAGCTAGAAAATTCATGGCTACAATTCCCCCAAGCAACATAATAAAAAGTAACGGGGACATGTTCACAAAGATTGAATCTCGGGATGGCCTGGAATGTAGGCTCCGGGAGGGGTGAAGAACCTTTAGAGTTGAGACCACAGGAAGACAGGTAAACAATCCCTATTATCTTTCCTAACTTGTCCAGCCCATACAGAGAAACATTCTACTCTTTAAAGGTGTCCCATATTCATAGTGACAGGTGGCAAACACTGGCTTTGGAATCAGAAACACTTGGGCTTGATTCCTTGTTCTTCTCTACTAGCTGTATAACTTTGAGCCATTTAATTAGCTCTTCTGAACTGTATCTCATTTGCAAAATGAATATTAACTACACTTGCATGATAGGGTTGTTTTTAACATTAAATTAAAGGTGAACACTTAGTAAAGTGTTTTGGACAAGTAATTTTCACATAGTGATCAATAAAAAGTAGCTATTAATAATAGCATATGCATTCATAATTGCAGTATTTAACCAACATATTAGTGAAACAAGACCCTACAGCATCTAATTGTATTAATTTTAACTTGCCTTTAATAGTCTTATCCTTTCTGGACCATATAAACTCTTTAGGGGGAGATATGCCCCAAATTACCTTGCAGATATGAAAACTGAGGTTCAGAGATACTAACGCTCCAGACTGCAACTATATCATTCCCATGAAATCCTAAAATTTGAATAATATCAACTGATACAGGAATTTTTGCATATTTTAAGACACAAAAAGGTCATTACTCCCTTGCTCATCAAATCATTGTGAATAATTTATGACTATTTAGTATGATATTCAAAGCCCTCAAATACAAGCCTCATCTACCTTTCTAGTCTCATCTAAATCATGAAGCATACATTTCAGTTACTCTGGTTTTCTCACCATTTCCTGATGATGTTCTATTGTTTCATTCTTCCCATGCTATCCTATTTACTTTCTTTTCTGTCTGTAGAAATCCAACTTAATATTCAAGACTCAACTGTAAAGCTTTCAGCAACCACATCAATAAAATGGGAATGTTAATCTTGGCTACTATTGACTACTATTGAGCTTTCTCTGTGCCAGACACTGCGTGCCAGGCAATCAAACCATGTTCTGTGATTTCTTCCATTACACCATTTGTCTTGTTGATTGTTTATCTTAAAAATCTCTATCTACTTGTCATCTTTCCAACTAAAGATTGGGACTTAAAGGCAGAGATGATGTTCAGTCATCTTTGCAGTCCTAGAGCAGATCTCAGTGTAGGTTTCCAATCACTCTGTTGAAATGATGAACAGTAAAATTAGAGTTGCAATCAATAAGTATTTATTGAATGAGAATACTGAACAGAAGATTCAAATATCAGATTGGAGATTGGGCTAATGACTCCAAATTTCCTTCCAACTGTAAGATTTTTATGATCTAGCTACCCACATGTTGAAATAAAACCCCTCATATTGGGAGTTATGAATAAAAATGAAAGGCAGAGACATCCAAGATCTCATGCATGTTTGAGCTCCCAGACATTCCTATCCAACAAAGGACCAGACGTGGATTCACGTGCAGTCGCACACATCTGGAGCTATTCTTTTCCCTCGCGTCGGCAGAATCCCTATGGCTTTTCAGCAGACCGTGCATGAGGCTATCTATAAATAATCACCCAAATGTAATGCCACCCAGTCCGCTGGGTTAAATATAGACATTGGCTTAGCTCCAGGGAGGAGAAGACAAGTGGTTCCCAACTCAAAGAAATTGTTATAAATTCCATTTGCTGCATGAATATGTACAGTGGATGTTTCTTTCCATAAGGACACCAAAATAGCAATTAACTCAAGGCTAATGTTATAGCTGCTACTATCTCCCCTGCTTAATATCTCCCCATCTGGATCCCAACACAGATGCTGACATGTCTAAATGTGTATGTCAAATGACAGCTCTCCTGACACCTGTTCTAAGTATACCTGCTCGCTGCTTACTGCCTCTGCTTCCCTTTGACAAGAAGCAGTGTGTGTGTTACACATATCTAATGTTTTATCTTTATATCTTGCATCTCAGTAGAATAGTGGAAATGACTGACCTTTAACCTTAGTCAGAACTGGGTTGAGTCCTTCTTCACTACTTACTGGCTGTGTGGTGTTGGGAAATGTACTTAACCTCTCTGAGCCTCATCATTTTTTATATTTATAAAATAAAGGCAATCTCATTTATCTGATAGTCCACTGGGAAGATCTGACATGATACTATATGTAAATTGTCTGTCACATCAGTAGACTTTGGGTAAGATAACTCATCTTCTTCTCACCCTGTAATCCCATTTTATAGATCTGTGGATATGAAATGGTCATAACTGATTATCTAGTCCACTGCTGTCATTTAATAGATGAGGAAACTAAGAATTATAGAGGTAAACAATGTGTTTCAGAGGTGTCAGGTAAAGTCAAGAGATTGAAGAGGTCCAGCTCATGAATATGTGTACCGCCCTAAACCAGGGTTCTTCTTAACATCATTCATTTATTCATACTATCTATGCATGTTTTTAATATTTGTTGAGCACCTATCAAGCAGCAGGTATTGAAGTTATGGAAACGAATAAGCAAGTATCTCCACCGCTATTGCAACCAAAGGTGATCCCATGTTGGCACAGCAAAGAGCTAATAATATTAGCTAACTAAAAACTAATAATATTAGTTCTTGAGGTCTACTCACACTCCACTAAGTATTAGAAACTGCTTTAAATATTTTACATACTTATTTTATCCTCTCCAAACCATGTGAGATATTGATATTATTATCTTCCCAATTTTACTATGAGAAAAACTGAGGCGCAGGGAGGTGAAAAGATTTGCACAAATGTACATAGTCAGGAAGTGGTTGTTACTGGATTTGAACCCCATGCAGGGTTTTTCCAAAGTCACACTGTGAACCACTAATTTGTATCATCTATTAATGCAGAAATAAAACTGGTGATTATAGCACAACAATCCAAAGAAGCACAGGAGCTGCGGGAGTTGAGCACTGGGCCACCCCAGCCAGCAAGTGAGAGTCAAGGAAGGCTTCCCAGATGAGTTGATTTTGTGAGTGATGTTGTCCATATTTTAAATGATATGTGATATCTTTAACTCCAGAGGTGAAAATTTGGTAGAATTACATAGGATCAGGCCTAAGACTTCAAGTGAATCACAGAAACCCAATATAGAAGAGACCAACCTTAAGTTTGCTGGCACTTTAAAATTTTTAAAGCACTTTCACACATATTTTTTTGCTTAAGCTGCACAGAACCACCTTTGTGATGACAGCAGGATGTGAGTTAGAGTGGCAACTCTCTAGCTGAGAGAGAGAGAGAGTTGTTTTGATCAAATTTGCAAGATTGTGTAAGAACTGGGAATAAGAAATGGTTCTAGATATCCAGGGTACTTTCTGTCGTTCCCTCTATTCCTCTCTTTCTGTTTATCTAACATAAAAATGCAGAAAACCTCAATAATTTAGAGAAAGGGAGGATTCTTCTGCCAATTGGACTGTCTCCCCAGACATCAGCTGTTATATCAAAGTTTAGTATGATCCTTAATCTCAAATAGATCTCGATGAAATCCTTGAACAAGAAGATGTGGTGTAGATATTCAACATTGTTGGCTAGTGACAGGCATTTGTTACCAGAAGCGGGAGGCTTTGGGGAACGATGGATGTGTATTCTTGCCCTGGGAAAAAGATTTACCGAACCTAGGGTAGGTCTGAGCAAAAGAAGGACACAGATAAGCTCATCATTTTTCAAAGAAAATGTGCTTTGGATCATACAAAGGTTCTGCTCTATAAGACAAAAAATGATAACATTATCTGTTGTAAGCTTTTTATAGTGCTCTGATCATCCAACATATAAACCTCAGTGGCCTCTGGCAGCATGTCATTTTGAGGACATCTTCCTGATAGGATGAGTCAGCAAGGAAATGCACCCCTTAATAGATTGGACTGCTATGTGAGTGTTGGGCAGTGTGAACAGGTTTAGATAACATTATCATACAGTGGTTCTCAACATCTTCTGGGGCACTTATTCTTTTTGAGAACATGATGTATAAACCAAGGGCTTTCTCTTCAAAAAATATACATAGGCACATACATGCAAAATTTTAATACATTTTTCAGGGACTCAAGAGACCAGCCTGAGACTTAAATGTAGACACTGTAGTGTTGCATAAATTAAAGGTTAAAATCTCATGTGTTTTTTTAATTGCTTAGTTACCGTTAAGAGGTATTGGCTTGTAAGTTTCCCTAAACAGGGACTGTGTCTTATTATTATGCCTCCAGTAACTAGGAACATAGTAGATATTCAAAGTGATTTGCTCAAATAGAACTGATCTATAATATAGTTAAGTGTTGTATCAGTTAGCTATTGCTGCATAACAAACCACCCCAACACATAATGGCCTCAACAATGGCTGTTTATTTAGCTCATGATTCTGCAGGTTAGCAACTTAAACTAGGCTTAGCTGAGTGGTTTCTTTGGTCTCAGATGGGTTCTATCATGTGACTGTGGTCAGCTTGAGCCAGCTGTGTTTTTGCTGATATTGGCTGGACTTTCTAACACATTTCAGGCCTTGCCTAGACAAATGACTGGACACATCTCTGGTTCACATTGTCTGTCATCTTCCATCAGGGGAACATGAGGTAGGTCCTATGATAGAGACAGTGAGAAATATACTTTCAGGCTCAGGGCAACCTGGTTAGTTTCAGATACCAAGGATACTTTATCTGCCTGTCTTCCTCTGTCCTACATGGAAACAAAATACTCGTTGGCCCCTTTAAGTCCCCCTTGCCTCATATTGTCTTTCCTCTCAGCTAGAAAAGAGCTGAGTCATTAATTCACACAAATATATTAATGACTCAGATCATTTCATGCTATGCCTTGCATTCAGAGGTCATATTATCAATGGGTGGCATGGAGGTTAGCAGTTTGGAAGAAATTAGCAGTGGTATTGGCCACTGGAACAAGAAGGAACCAATGAATAGCAGAGGAACAGGAAGAGAGGGTGGAAAATTAGTGAACCAATTAAAAAAGTGTTCAGGCTATATCTTCACTTATATGTGAGGGCAACTTTCCCACCTCCCCACTCTCACCATCAGTATTTCCTAGATAGAATCACTGGGGAAGAAAGCGCTTGATATTCCCAAAAGCCAGAATATGAAGTCTGAAAGTATTGAGATTTGGGGTATTGCTACTAATGTGATGTATGTGTACAGAAGAGAGCACACAGAGAACGTTACCTATCCTCCCTCCTGACCACCCTAGGAACTCCTCTGCTCCTTGTACTTTCCCCATCACCTGTATCTTGATTCCCTATTCAGTGGACCATGTTTTTCATTGAAAGTTCTATGAGGGCAGAGACCTCATCTGTACCACTGCCATTCTTGTACTCCTGGCACACAGTAGGGGTCTGGTATGTCAATTTACTTACTTACAACTCTCTATGAATAACATAAGAAGTGAAGAGAAAAACAATAGCAGATCTAGGATATGACAGAGCAGGATGCAGTATTTAGACTTGTGCCCCCATCATTCCACAGTCATCCATAAGATTTGCCACATCTTGAATCTAATCCTCTGATTCAACTTCAAGGCCAGGTGTTTTCAGAGATGACGTGTTGCTCATGGTGAACCTATCAAAATGCAAGCAATTTTGATGTGGGTGGGGAAATAATGATAATTGTAATAATCATTATAAAAGAGATGTGTTGTTCTTTTCAACTCTCATTAACCTGGATTTTGTTTACGAGGTTTCCAATTAGCTTCTTGTATCTGCACAGTTAACCTTTTCTGAGCTTTTCTCTTCAGGCTCTCTCTCCCCAAGCCCTCAGCCCTCATTCCTGCCCATGGAAGCTTGCAGGAATAGCTGGAATCCAGCCTCCTGAACAGCTCCTGAGCATGGGATAATTGCAATATAATTAATGAATTAAAAAGAATGAAATGTTTTAAGTGCTTTCAATATTCCCTTTCCTATAATTATCTACAGGAAACATGTTCATTAACAATCTTGTGCTGACAGCCCCTAGGCTCTGGATAAGCTAGCTCAGCTTCCAATAGCAAAGTGAATTGATGACCTCTCTATATTGTGCCTCCAACTTCAATGGGGAGAGAAGCAGGCAAAGCTGGACCCTCCCGTGAATAACTGTCGACCAGATCTGACTCTTTTCCTCACCTTCAATCTCAGGGCACCATGGCTAGTCTTGAATGCCAAGGGCATTTTCTCTGCTTGTCTCCCCTAGACCTGTTTTACTCTGTCCCATAAGAAAACACAATGCTATTTGGCCCCTATTAATTCTCCCATGCCTCATATTGTCTTCCCATTGCCCTCAGCTAGAAAAGAGCTGAATCATTAATTCACACAAATATATTAATGACAAAGATCCTTTAACACTGTGTCTTGCAGTCAGGAGTAACATCCACTATACTGGGGAGCCAGCAGGTACTCAGTGCCACTGGATGTGTCTGGTGCAGATGAGTGAGGTTCAATTTTATTTAACCATTGGGATAAAATATTTAAATTAAACTAAATATTTATATCTTATGAAAGAGAATTCAAAATGCACATGGATTTTAAAAAGATAAATCACTATATTTAAAATGAAATCTTGCTTATGTGAGGCTGCTTCAGTCTGGGTCCCTGATTGTTTCAGGAGCACCTGGTCACTGACCACATCACTGGAGATATTTGATAAATGTGATCTGATGAAATACTCCCACTATGGGCACGTGGTGCCGGCCCAGGGTAACTGTTCTTACACTTTAAGAGTTCCGTCAATATGACAAACTAATGAGAGGGACATTTTGGGGTAGGATCCCATCCCAGAACTCCTCAGTTTAGTTATTTATTAGATATGTGAATTTCCAATATGTACAAGGTACTAAGCCAGGTCCAGTGTGGAATACATTGATGAATGACAAAGGGATTGTACACTCAAAGGCTTTATAGACTAGTGGGGGAGATAAGATTTCTATCTGTAAATAGCTATAATAGAGACAGGACTAGGAGCTGTAAGATAGGAGCAATAAAAATGCTGTGGAAGTCCAGAGGAGGCGGATATTGTCTCCAGCCAAGGGGATCTGAGGACGTGTCATGGAGGAAGAAAATTTTTGGCCAGAACTTGAAGGATGGGTGATATTTGGATGAGAAAAACTTCAGGAGGATGGTTATGATGGTCTAAGGAAACAATCCTTAGCAGAGGTGCAGAGACTGAATCCAGAGAGCAGTGGTCTGCCCAGGATGGGCCAGGGATGGGGTAGTTGAGGCTGAATGTGCAGTTAGGGTGTGACTTCAAGGAAGCAAAGCTGGAAGAGCCATTTAGGAAGAGTTTTCAAGGACATTTATATGTCACATTCAAGAAATTGAGTAGATGACAGGTTTTTAGCTAATGCGTAAAAGGAATCTTTGTTTCAGAAAGATAGTGCAGCTGGGTGAAACATAATATAGGTGTGCGGGGTAAGAATGGAGGTAAAAATTCAAGTTAGGAAGTTAGTGAAAGGGTTCTTCTATCAGCCAATAAAAAAGAATTGATCAGACAATATCAGATTGAACCCCACTACCTACAATGCATACACAAGGGAAAACTAACATGCTGTTGTACCTTGGAGCAAATACAAATGAACAAAAATTGAAGAGTAGAGCAGTTGAGGTGATGATGAGAAGCCACAGAACACACTAAAAAGATATAAAAGCTATAAAAATAAAAACAAATCAATTTCTATATAATCAACCCATCGAAGTCTATATTCTTGAGATGGGAAAATTGGTAACCAATAAAATATTCATTGGGTATGTCTTTGAAGTACCTACAAAATTCTGTTTGGGGCATAGGCTCTTGAAGGTAGGCTTACCAGGGATACTGATTAGATTTGTTGGGTAGGCATTCATTGGGGCTGCTCTCAATGTAACAAAAGGACTGCAATGAGTGGGCAGTTTAAGGGTTTTTTGAGGTCAGGGCAGGCAAGGATCCAGGCATGCTGACATTGGGTGCCCTTGTCAGAGGTCCCTAAAGCTGGCACTGCACAGAGTTTAAGGTAGGCAGAGATGGTCTGTCATAGAGACAGTGGAAGTTGCTTTCAGACCCTTAACAGCTCTACTGGCACTACTCTGGCACTATTCTACCAGTTTGGAGTCAACTGGAGGCTTTTACAATCCTCTGAGACCAGGAAAAATTGTGTCTTAATCTTTTTTTTTCAAAGGAGCCCCACCACTTTTATATTTGCTCCTTAGTTTAAACCAGGCATCATCCTCACATCCTCAAGATGGTGTGGTCTCTGAATTAAAATGAAAGATCAAGACTTCTGATCTCACAAGGATGACAGAATATGGCTTCTGAAGTCAGACCTTTTGGATTGACTTCCTCTCTGTCTGTCTGTCTGTCTCTCTCTCTCTCTCTCCTTTCATGGTCTGTTACTCACTGAGTAACCATGGGCAAGTTTCTTAAAATCTGTGAGGGTCATTATCCTCATCTGTTAGCTGAGATTATGATAGTATTTGACTCCAAAGGGCATTATGTAGATTAAATTAGATAATTAATATGAGTAATTAATTAGAGATTCTGGTATTCATTAAATACTCAGTAAAAGTTACCTACTATTCTTTCTCTAATTATCATGGTTATTCTTGGTATGCTGTTCTCAAGTTGTCTGACCAGCTAGTTCTTAAAAGAACTGTATTTCTTTCTTTTTTTTTTTTTTAATTATACTTTAAGTTCTAGGGTACATGCGCACAACGTGCAGGTTTGTTACATATGTATACATGTGCCACGTTGGTGTGCTGCACCCATTAACTCATCATTTACATTAGGTATATCTCCTAATGCTATCCCTCCCCGACTCCCACCCCACTACAGGCCCCGGTGTGTGATGTTCCCCTTCCTGGGTCCAAGTGAAAGAACTGTATTTCTATTTCAAATTTTTTCTATCTGCTCATTGCCTCAGAGTATAACTTCTTAGAAGTTTTTTTTTTTTTTTTTTTTTTTTTTTTTTTTTTTTTTTTTTTTTTTTTACAAAAAGACTAAATTCAGACTCTGTTTTTGAAAAGTGTACATATTATTTAGGATTATCTGGTTGCAAGTGACAGAAACCCCAGTAGCTCAAGCAAAAAAGAGCACATGTGATCCCATAGAGCATGCTTCAAGATGACTGCAGGAGATCAAGTCGAGTTTCAGGAATCTCTGCCTTGCATGTCTCAGCTCTGATTTCTTCTGTCAGTATAGTCATCAGTAGATGCAGGATGGCCCTCAGTGGCTTCAAGCAACCCAAGCAGGAAGTTGTTTCTGCTAAAGCATTGTAGTGAATTGGTCTGATATGAGTCTCCTGCCCTCCCCCGTAATCTTCTATGACAAGGTGACGAGAGGTGGTTGAAATAAACTAATTAGCTGGTTCTGGTTCGTGTTCTCAGTCTTTTATTTTTGTTTGTTTATATATATATATACATATATATATATACACACATATATATACATATATATACATATATATACATACATATACACACATATATATACATATATATACATATATACATATATATACATATATATACACATATATATGTATATATATAAAATAACTTCTAGGGTACATGTGCACAACGTGCAGGTTTGTTACATACGTATACGTGTGCCATGTTGGTGTGCTGCACCCATTAACTCGTCATTTACATTAGGTATATCTTATAACGCTATCCCTCCCCTCTCCCCCTACCCCACAACAAGCCCCAGTGTGTGATGTTCCCCTTCCTGTGTCCAAGTGTTCTCAGTGTTCAATTCCCACCTATGAGTGAGAACATGTGGTGTTTGGTTTTTTGTCCTTGCGATAGTTTGCTGAGAATGATGGTTTCCAGCTTCATCCATGTCCCTACAAAGGACATGAACTCATCATTTTTTATGGCTGCACAGTATTCTCTGGTGTATATGTGCCACATTTTCTTAATCCAGTCAATCATTGTTGGACATTTGGGTTGGTTCCGTTCCAAGTCTTGGCTATTGTGAGTAGTGCTGCAATAAACATACATGTGCATGTGTCTTTATAGCAGCATGATTTATAATTCTTTGGGTATATACCCAGTAATGGGATGGCTGGGTCAAATGGTATTTCTAGTTCTAGATCCCCGAGGAATCACCACACTGTCTTCCACAATGGTTGAACTAGTTTACAGTCCCACCAATAGTTTAAAAGTGTTCCTATTTCTCCACATCCACTCCAGCACCTGTTTGTTTCCTGACTTTTTAATGATCGCCATTGTAACTGGTGTGAGATGATATCTCACTGTGGTTTTGATTTGCATTTCTCTGATGGCCAGTGATGATGAGCATTTTTTCATGTGTCTGTTGGCTGCATAAATGTCTTCTTTTAAGAAGTGTCTGTTCATATTGTTCGCCCACTTCTTGATGGGGTTGTTTGTTTTTTTCCTGTAAATTTGTTTGAGTTCTTTGTAGATTCTGGATATTAGCCCTTTGTCAGATGAGTAGGTAGCAAAAATTTTCTCCCATTCTGTAGGTTGCCTGTTCACTCTGATGGTAGTTTCTTTTGCAGTGCAGAAGTTCTTTAGTTTAATGAGATCCCATTTGTCAATTTTGGCTTTTGTTGCCATTGCTTTTGGCGTTTTAGACATGAAGTCCTTGCCCATGCCTATGTCCTGAATGGTATTGCCTAGATTTTCTTTTAGGGTTTTTATGGTTTTAGGTCGATGTTTGTTTGTTTTTGAGACAGAGTTTTGCTCTGTCACCATCACCCAGGCTGGAGTGCAGTGGTGCAATCTCGGCTCACTGCAACCTCCACCTTCCGGATTCAAGCGATTCTCCTGCCTCAGCCCCTAGAGTAGCTGAGATTACAGGTGCCACCACCATGTCTGGCAAATTTTGTATTTTTAGTAGAGATGGGGTTTCACCATGTTGGCCAGGCTGGTCTCCAATTCCTGATCTCAAGTGATCCACCCGCCTCGGCCTCCCAAAGTGCTGGGATTACAGGTGTGAGCCACCACACCCAGCCATGCTCTCACTCTTGAAGCCAAGGGCTGAAATTAGCCTCTAAACCTCATGGGCTGAGAATAAGAAAAAGTGGATTTCTAGTGCAGTAGTTCTCAAAGTGTGGTCCCCAGACCAGTAATGTCAACATCCCCTGGGAAATAGCTAGAAATACAAATTCTCAAGACCTATCCCAAATCTACAAAATCAGAAACTCTGGGAAGAGGATACAGGAATCTGTTTTAACAAGGCTTCTATGTGATTCTGATATATGCTTAAGTTTGAGAATAATTATTCTAGAAGAAGACACATGAACGATTTCCAGAAAAAGAGAAAGGTTGAGAAAATGGAAACAACAGATGCCTACCACAGCTTGCACCTAATAAATCATCCTGCTCACTTTATTGATAGAGAATATGAGGATCTGAAAGATAATGGGACTGGACGGAGGTCTCATGTCTTATTATCCCAGAACCAGGTCTTGGATTCAGATATTCTGGTTTCTAAGCCAGCACTCCTTCCACCAGAACATTGTAAAAGAAAATGAGAGAAGAAACTACTCGCTGCAAGGCATTGCACCTGACTGTGTAAGGAACTTTTCCACATAAGTAACCACTACCTAATAGTGGAATGCCCAAATGTATTTTCAAGACACAAGCTCCTCTACTGCCCTAGAGGGAATCAGCCCCTGAGAAGTGATGAGGCTACATCAGGTAGCAGTTTCCATTTCGTATCTCCTCACATACCAGAAAACTTCCCCATGCCCAGAGGTTCTGCATGGCCAGATGACATGATTATCTGCAGATGTTACTGACTCCAGGGCCAAGTTATTCATATTTCACATTTGAAAATCACCTCCCAGCGAAGGCCAAATGAAATGACCTTTGCAGAATGAACTAGATGGAAGTCAACAAGAATTTATTGAGCAGGGAGTGTGTGGCCAGGACCATCAGTAATGGCTGAGCTTACGAGGGAGGAAGAAAGCACGAACACTTCCCCAAAGGAGATCACAAGTCAGTGAGGCGGATGAGATGAACACAACTAAAACAATTAGAGAATTTTATGGGCACTCTCATCCTCCAGCAGTGTTGCCGTGTGCCCGCATCTGAATCCTCTTTCTATGTCTGGGGAGTTTTCCACCTTACAAATCTTGATGGAAAACAGTCCACTTCGCACTATAGAAACTAAAAATAATAATTAAAAAATATATAAACTTTCCCAGGTATCCAAAGAATGAGGGAATGGTTGGCCAATTAGAAGTGTCTGACCAGGGCCAGGCACAGTGGCTCACGCCTGTAATCCCAGCACTTTAGGAAGCCAAGGCGGGTGGATCACCCGAGGTCAGGAGCTTGAGACCAGCCTGGCCAACATGGCGAAACCCTGTCTGTAGTAAAAATACAAAAATTAGCTGGGTGTGGTGGCGGGCGCCTGTAATCCCAGCTACTCAGGTGGCAGGGGAATTGCTTGAACCAAGGAGGTGGAAGGTGCAGTGAGCCAAGATTGCGCCACTGCACTCCAGCCTGGGTGACCGAGGGAGACTCCATCTCAGAAAAAAAAAAAATATATATATATATCTATATATATATATCTATATCTATATATATATCTATATATATCTATCTATCTATCTATCTATCTATCTATCTATCTATCTATATATATAGATATATATAGATATATATAGATATATATATCTGACCAGGGCTGACAGGAAAAAAACGGGAAAAAAAAAAAATCCAGTATGATGGTGGCAGTGACATTTGCCTATTTTCCAGGGCACTAGTAACACAGAAGCTGGAGGTGGCCCCACAAGCCCTGTGCTGAGGGTGCCAATGGTGCTGGCTACAGAGTTCAAAGTTAAAACAATGGAGCCATCAGTATCCTCACCAGACGGCTTATGTGGCTTGAAGGGTTTTGGTTGTGAGCACCCATTTTGTTTGCTAGGCCTTTCTAGTGATGCTGGGAACTTACCAGTCTTTCCAATAGTTTTCTGTGTGGCTTAAACTTAACCAGAGTCAGTTTCTGGTTGCTTGCTCCTGTGTGTCCTGATGGTTGAACAGAACCTCAGAATATCCTGCTCTTTTCCACTGAGAGCTTTAGGCAGGGTATTTCCTCCACCTAAGCCACTCTTTTACCCTTTCTCTCTCTCTGTCTCCACTTAGTTAAACCCTACCCACTCTCTAACCCTTCATATCCCGTCTTGGACATCATTTCCACATAGCAGCAGCCTTACCTGAGCCATTGGGATGCTTTTCTCCTTATACACTCTTGCCACCTTGAACTTCTCCTTCAAAACAGTTCCCATATTTGTAAACACATGACTTAGTTTTTTGAGCCAAGGTCTTGCTCTGTTGCCTAGGCTGGAATGCAGTGGTGCAATCATAGCTCTCTGCAGCCTCAAACTCCTGAATTCAAGTGATCCTTCCCCCTCATCCTCCTGAGTAGCTGGGGCTACAGGTGCATACCACAAACATCTGGCTAATAAAAAAAAATACAGATGAAGCCTTGCTATGTTGCTCAGGCTGGTCTTGAATTCCTGGCCTCAAGTGATCCTCCTGCCTCAGCCTCCTGAGCTACTGGGATTATAGGTGTGAGCCATGGTACTCGGCTAACACATGACTATTGATTGCTCTCTATCTTCTTGTCTTAGTTCATTTGGGCTACTATAACAAAATACCTTAGACTGGGTAGTTTATAAATAATAAAAAATTATTGCTCATGGTTCCAGAGGCTGGAAAATTGAAGACCAAAGCACCAGCAAATTTGGTGATTGTTGAGGGCTCACTCGTCCTCATCACTGGCACCTTCTGGCTATGTCTTCATATGGTGAAAGGGGTCCCTCAGACCTTTTTTATGAAAGCACTAATACCATTCATGGGAGCAGAACCCCTATGACCTAATCACCTTTGAAAGGCCCACCTCTTAATAGTATTGCATTGGGGATTTAATTCGAACATATAAATTTTGGGAGAACACAGACATTCAGACCATAGCACTTCTCGAACTAGCCTGAAGATATGTGAGAGTAAGAATTGTCTTTTGCTTGCCATAGTATGACCACTGCCTAGCATGAGGCAAAGTACATGGAAGCTGTGTACCACTTGAGATTGTTGAATACACCATTGAGTAGTCCTTCTGAAAGGGCCAGGGAAGGTTTCCTAGTGCAGGTGGAGCTTGAGTTGAAGCATGTGTAGGATTTGAACTGGATGAGGAGAGGAGCAGCACACCCTAGATCAAAAGAACAGCATAGATGCCAGAGCAGGAAAGGAATATGTCACTGTGTGCTCAAGGAATAGGTAAGTGACTTATCAGCTGGAACAAGGGGTCTGTGTAAAGAGAAAAAATAAGTTAAATAACATAGGTAGAAGATAGCAGATTTTGGTGGATTTCTATTTAAAGAGTTTGTTAGAAGTGCATAAGAACTATTTGGTTCTGCACAGGTTCCTTATCTTGCCTGAACCTCAAGTTCTCCATTTGCGAAACAAAAATAACATGCAATTCATACTTTCCTTGAAGTGAAGAATATGGTAAAGTAACTTACATTGTTCCTTTTGAAAATCAAGCATGAGCATCTGATACTATCAACTCTGCAACTATAGCCTGCAAGATGAAACCTGAGACCCAAAGCCAGGTTTTGATCTTAATCATGTGATTCATGTCTATTTTCCCAGTCTAGCTTCTTACTGATCCATCCTCACATTTATTCACATTTCCTCTATCTCTTTCATACTTATGTGTCTTTTGACATGCTCTTCGCTCTGACTATAATGGCTTTCTCTTTCTTCTTTCCTTTCCTAGTCCATCTGGTGAACTTTATTAATTATCCATTTGAACTGAGATCATGTCATCTCTTCCAGGAAGCCCCTATTGATACAGAGCCAAGCATTTTGACTTCTTTCATGCTTTTCATACATTTTGATCATTATGTTTTTTATATTTTTCTATATCCCATCATCACCTCTGTGCCTAGGACATAGTAGACACTCAACAAATGTTTATTAAGTCAAATTCAGTTTGCAAACTAATGGACACTGGACAAATTCATCTGCTATGCAGTAAATACTTTGGGTATCCATTATGTTCCAGGTTAAGCATTAGACAGCAATAATGTGGGTGCTGGTGATTGTGGTGGTGGTAACAGAACCACACAGACTCATGAAATCTCCTTAATGGAACTTGGAGAGCACCTAATCCAACGATTCTCATTGTCAGATAAGGCAATCAAGGCACAGAGAAGTTAAGCGTTTGTTTAAGGTCACAGAGTTTTTCATAGCAGAGCAAATGAAGATCCTGCTTCTTGTGACCTTAGCTCGGGAATATGTCCACATTACCTTCTGCTTTTATGCTTATTATGGTTATGATTATCCTGCCTCTTAGCCACACTGGTTAACTCTTATTTTTATAGCTTTAGCTAATGTTATAAAAATTAATATTCTTTTTTTCTACCTTTATTATCATATTATATGGCTGCAACAAAGTCATAGCATATGTTTTCCCTTGTTTTTAAGATGGGTGTACAAAAAGTGACTTCCTAATATTTGAAGAGTTCATAAATTATAAATTCAGAACATTTCCATTTCCACCCACCTCCTTTCCTGCGGTAGCAATTCTGGAGCCATTTGGCGATGATTTGTAAATCTTTGAACCTGTAACAGGAGAATGGATAATTCTAAGAGTGCATCTAAAAGAAATAGTTTGCATCGTTTGGAACAATGAACCATTCTGTAATTCAATAGAAGACCTGAGACAGCATGAATGAGATCATGTCTATAAAATGGTCTGAGCCCCTCAGAGACAGCCACTCCATAAATACAAGGTATTGTTGCTCCAGCATGTGTAACACCACATAATATGAGCACTACTCATTGCGAGAGGAAAATGGTCTACATGAGCCTTCATAAATAAAAGCGTGAGTTTGCCTCACTCCTCCTCTCATTGCTCCCAGCTCTGCTTTGGCCTCTGGTACAGTATTTTTCCCTGTTTTCTATCTTGCCTCTTAAAATAGGCATGAAAACGTTAGAAATAACTCAACAAAATGTGCCGTTCATTTAGTAATGCATCAAATGTTTATGAATAGCTAATATTTGCCAGTAGTATGCTAGGTCCCCAGTAGGTTGATATGCTCTCAGTCCACAAAATATTATCCTCAACCTTCCCTTTGGCCCCAAGAAGCTATGGCTGCAAGTGTTTATTTTCACCACACTGGGACACCTCCCTTGTGCTGTGAACTCTCTGAGCTCACCTTTGTGCACACATTTTACAGGTCATTTTGTAAGATCCCCTAGGAGAATAGCCATTTTCTGTTTTTGTCCCACCACAGAAATGCCTTAGCTAGTGAGACACTGCTGTGATTTAGGGGTAAATGAAGATTATTCATTCAATCATTCATTAAACAAATACTTACCAAGTCCCTATAATTAATGGGTAGGCACTAAGGATATAGGCATGAATGAAGATGATAAGTTCCCCACCCTCAAAAAGACAGATAACAAAAATATAAACAAGTAAGGATATGCCATAGTGACAGGTAGCATAATTTTTGCGAATAGAAATAAACCAGGATGAGAGGCTTAAAAATGACTGGGGGGTATTTTAGACAGGTTAGTGACCGCTAGGTAAGATAAGAGTGTTATAAGGAACTGAACCATATGGGTGACTAGGAGAGGAATATCGCAGGCAGAGAGAAAAGCGAGTGCAAAGATCCCAAGATTTAGGTACACTGGGGGCATTCTATTAGGTTGGTGCAAAAGTAATTGTGGTTTTTGCCAGTAGTATGCCAGGTCCCTGGTAGGTTGATATGCTCTCCGTCCACAAAATTGCCATTAATTGCCATTAATTTTAATGGCAAAAACTGCAATTACTTTTGCACCAACCTAATAGGATCAGAGCAGAGGCCAGTCTGTTTAGAGGATAGTGAGTAAGGGAATAGAGCAGCAGGAAAGGAGGCGAGAAGGTAGTCAGAGGCTAAATTATTCAAGCCATTGTTGGCCAAGGTAAGGAATTATGGGCATTCCCTGGAATAAATTGAGTAATACCTACTGTCTAGACCACTGCAGAGCTTTTCACTGCCCTTCCTGCTGCCAGGGTCTTTTCTTTCCAATCGTCCTTGTGCATCTGACTTTGAAATCTCCATCCAATTTCGGGTCAGATCATGTCATATCCATTCTCAAAACTTCACAATGGCTGCCTGACATTCAAAAAACTAAGTTCAGGTTACTCTCCATGATAGTGAAACATCCTAGCAGCAGATGTGAGCCTACATTTTCCAGTTCTACTCTCTGTTATACCTATCTATCCTTCTTATGCTCTAGCTGCATCAGACAACATGGTGTTCCTTGAAAATGCTCGGCTCTTCTTCAGCATTGCCCATCCCATTCCCTCAACCTTCTTCCTCTTCTTCATTGTTCTTTCTTCAGAATGAAGCTCTAATGCCACACCCCCTTCAAATCTGCCTTTACAATTAAGCTCTCTTCCCTGTGTGCTTCAACACCAGCATTCCATTTATGCTGTGTTTAATTTGCCTCAATGAATAAAACTTGTGAACATGTCAGGTTCCAGTGACAGCATCAAGTTTTGGGGAACACGGATTTTGATCTTAGTTTTTCTCAAATCTCCAGCACTATGCAATGCCTGGCATAGGACAAACCCTCAGGAAAGGTTTGCTGAGTGACTGATTAT
This sequence comes from Homo sapiens, assembly GCF_000001405.40. Taxonomy (NCBI): domain Eukaryota; kingdom Metazoa; phylum Chordata; class Mammalia; order Primates; family Hominidae; genus Homo; species Homo sapiens. Next base: position 119,510,892 of record NC_000009.12, on the reverse strand, counting down.
CTTCATGTAAGCAAACAGCCACAGGAACTAACATTTGTTGAGGACTTCCATGGGCTTAGTCCTGGAGTAGGAAACCTGTGCAGATAATATTTAATCTTCACAGAAACCTAGGAGTCAGTGCTGTCACTGACACAATTTGCAGAGGAAAAAACCAGAAACTTAAATAGGTAAGAAACTTAACCATGTTCAGTCTGATACCAAAGTCTGTGCTCTTAAGCATTATGTTAGACAAAAGCTCTAAGGTCATTAAGCTCCATTTCCCTGGAGGTCAGAACCAATGCAAAGCAGGATGGAGAGATTCCAGTTGGCTATAAAGAGGGACTTCCTGGAAATTAAGGTTTTTCAGTTCCAGAATGGATTGCCAAGGGCATTGATGCATGAAGGGAAGATTGCCATGACCCTCCCAGAAGGTGGCTAGGATTCCTCACTCTACAGGTAACTTCTGAGAGCTCTTTCTCCTGAATTTACTCTAACATCCTATGTCTTACCCAAAGAGAATAAAGGTCTCAGACCCATATTCAGAAGTCCGCGGTTCTAATTCTGGTTCTTAGTATGACCTACCTACAAAATCTATAGTTTCTTTGCCTTTGAAATGGTAACGATAATATGTTCTCTTATTATGGAGCTTCAAAAAGTTGACAGGGCTGGCCATCTTCCTCTCTCCTTCTAATAACATACACTAAGTAGATATCTAACTCCGAGTAAACTTCAAGTACAATATACATACACATGTGACAAATAGCCTGTATCATTGTGAAGGAGTCTGTGTTAGAGTTGAGAAGACAAATCATGCATACAGAGAATCGTAATACTAATCAGCATATGATAAACCCCAAGGTAGGACCTTGCACATAGAAAATGCTGAAGAAGTGTTTGTGGATGACTAACTAGCTGAGTTAATTAAATAATTCAAGAAATATTTGTCAGGCATTACTAAGTTTCTGGTCTTATATGCTCTAAAAAAATATTGAAAGATGGACCATTTATGTCTGGAGTGACCTGACAAGGCTTCACTCAGGAGGTAATACTTGAGAAGAATCTGTGAAGTCCAGGCTCCAGGAAAGCAGGGTCCTTATTTAATTTGCTATTGTATACCTGAATCCAGGACAGTGTTGGCATGTGTAAGCACTTTCTACATATTTGTCTGATGAATGAATAGATATAATTGCAATGGCCAGGTGGCAAGTGCATGTGATAAGCAGGAGCTGAGCTGGCTTTATTGTAACACAGCCACACCCACACATAAAAAAGTCAGAGGAACACTGCTCAGCCCCAACAGTCACGATTGCACTCTGGGCCTCAGTTTCCTCATCTGGAAACTATTTTGAAGCTGACCTGTTCAATCTTAGAGGCTCTCTTCCCTCTACCGTTCTGTGCTATATCTTGCATTGCTTAGAGTCATCAGTAGTCATCATCATGACTAATATGTTCTAGGACCTGCAGGATGAGTGGGTTTCTCCATGTGCTCCTTTCTGCTAACAGAGCAGAAATCACCCTTCAGCTCTAAGAGATGGGCTTCAGCATGGGCACCTGCCCACACCAAGCTTGACAGTCCAGTCCCCAGAGACAAGGGCTCATGAATTTCATGGCAGTGCCTAGAACATAAATCCTGGACTCAATTTAGGTTCTAGGTAGGAGGATGTTGTCACTCAGAAGTCAATTTCACTCAATCAATGGAAAATTCCATTCCACCCAAGATCTGATGCCACAGGGATCCAGAACAAAGCTTTTGTTTCCGAAAACCTTGAAGCAGAGCCCATTAGAGGAGGTTCTCCAAAGCCCTACAGATGCAAGACTGAGAAATATTTTACTGTATGGCCTTCTAAAAATTATTCACCTTCCCTTGTCCTTTCTCTACCTCCCTTAGAAAAGATGCTGGGGTGGGAGTTGAACAATGAAAACACATGGACACAGGGAGGGGAATATCACACACTGGGGCCTGTCTGGGAGTGGGGGGTAAGGGAGGGATAGCATTAGGAGAAATACCTAATGTAGGTGACAGGCTGATGGGTGCAGCAAACCACCATGGCACGTGTATACCTATGTAACAAACCTGCACATTCTGCACATGTACCCTAGAACTTAAAGTGTAATTAAAAAAATAAATAAAATAAAAGATGCTAGGGAGTTACAAAGGATTTGAGATCCTCCAAGGCATAGTGGAGGGAGGTTTTTCATTAACAAACACTGCATTTCTTATACGCAGCTGTGCCCTCAAAATTGTTATGTGACAAGGGACACCCATTGTTATCCCTTTTCAAGTTCTGATTCCTTCTCTAAAATGGACACAGTGTCCTCTACCTCCCAAGGCTGTTTTAACAATAAATAAATTAATGCTTGAGAATAAAATTTGAAAAGGACAACAGAGTAAAATAGAAGAAACAGTAAAGACTTCAGAGTCTCTTGGACCTGGGTTCTGATACTTGCTGTATTCCCTCTAAGCTGCATAGCCTTGGACAAGTTATTTTACTTCTTGAGCATCAATTTTCCAATCAGACAAATGGGAATATCTTGAAGGATTATTACAGGGATTAAATGAAATGCCCTACAAGAAGTGTCTTACACAGCACCAGGCTCCTGGTAGAATGCAGTAAATGTTTTATGACTCCTTTTCTCTCTTTAAAAATATAACTCATCAATGTATCAGTAAGACGTACTGTGCAATGTGGTGTTTCTGCTTCTAAAACGCTGAGTGTGCTCTGGCTTTACTGGGAGTTTTAAGGTAAGACAGACAAGAGGAAATTAATCTTGTCCAAGGGAACCCATGAGGCCTGCCAGGATTGTGGAAGAAGAAAAACCAGTATCTCAAACCTAACTCTAAAAAAACTTTCACTTTTCATTATTATTTTTTTAAGGGATGGACAAAATGCCTTTATTCAAACCAACAGTAACCACATTTCAAGAACTAGTGACATAGATTTGAATAGGGGTTTCATTGGATTTTTTTTAAATTATACTTTAAGTTCTGGGGTACATGTGCAGGAAGTGAAGGTTTGTTACATAGGTATACACGTAACATGTTGGTTTGCTGCACCCATCAACTCGTCACCTACATTAGGTATTTCTCCTAATGCTATCCCTCCCCTAGCCCCTCAAACCCCCAAGAGGCCCCAGTGTGTAATGTTCCCCTCCCTGTGTCCATGTGTTCTCATTTTTCAACTCCCACTTATGAGTGAAAACTTGCGGTGTTTGGTTTTCTGTTCCTGTGTTAGTTTGCTGAGGATCATGGTTTCCAGCTTCATCCATGTCCCTGCGAAGGACATGAATTCATCCTTTTTTATGGGTGCATAGTAGTCCACAGTGTATATGTACCACATTTTCTTTATCCAGTCTATCCCGATGGGCATTTGGGTTGGTTCTAAGTCTTTGCTCTTGTGATTAGTGCGCAATAAACATACGTGTGCATGTGCCTTTCTAGTAGAATGATTTATAATCCTTTGGGTATATACCCAGTAATGGGATTGCTGGGTCAAATGGTATTTCTAGTTCTAGATCCTTGAGGAATTGCCGTGCTGTCTTCCACAATGGTTGAACTAATTTACACTTCCACCAACAGTGTAAAAGCGTTCCTATTTCTCTACATCCTCTCCAGTATCTGTTGTTTCCTGACTTCTTAATGATCGCCGTTCTAACTGCCGTGAGATGGTAACTCATTGTGGTTTTGATTTGCATTTCTCTAATGACCAGTGATGATGAGCTTTTTTTTCATATGTTTTTTGGCCACATAAATGTCTTCTTTTGAGAAGTGTGTGTTCATATCCTTCACCCACTTTTTGGTGGGGGTTTTTTTTCTTGCAAATTTGTTTAAGTTCCTTGTAGATTCTGGATATTAGCCCTTTTTCAGATGGGTAGATTGCAAAAATTTTCTCCCATTCTGTAGGTTGCCTGTTCACTCTGATGATAGTTTCTTTTGCTGTGGATGAGCTCTTTAGTTTAATTAGATCTCATTTGTCAATTTTGGCATTTGTTGCTATTGCTTTTGGTATTTTAATCATGATGTCCTGAATGGTATTACCTAGGTTTTCTTCTAGAGTTTTTACAGTTTTAGGTCATACGTTAAGTCATTAATTCATCTTGAGTTATTTTTTGTATAAGATGTAAGGAAGGGGTCCAGTTTCAGTTTTCTGCATATGGCTAGCCAGTTTTCCCAACACCATTTATTAAATAGGGAATCCTTTCCCTATTGAGCATGGAATGTTTTTCCATTTGTTTGTGTCCTCTCTTATTTCCTGGAGCAGTGGTTTGTAGTTCTCCTTGAAGAGGTCCTTCACATCCCTTGTAAGCTGGATTCCTGGGTATTTTATTCTCTTTGTAGGAATTGTGAATGGGAGTTCCCTCATGATTGGGCTCTCTGTTTGTCTGTTATTGGTGTATAGGAAGGCTTGTGATTTTTTCCAAATTGATTTTGTATCCTGAGACTTTGCTGAAGTTGCTTATCAGCTTAAGGAGATTTTGGACTGAGACGATGGCGTTTTCTAAATATACAGCCATGTCATCTGCAAACAGAGACAATTTGACTTCCTCTCTTCCTATTTCAATATGCTTTATTTCTTTCTCTTGCCTGATTGCCCTGGCCAGAACTTCCAATACTATGTTGAATAGGAGTGGTGAGCAAGGGGATCCTTGTCTTGTGCTGGCTTTCAAAGGGAATGCTTCCAGTTTTTGCCCATTCAGTATGATATTGGCTGTAGTTTGTCATAAATAGCTCTTATTATTTTGAAATATGTTCCATGAATACCTAGTTTATTGAGAGTTTTTAGCATGAAGGGCTGTTGAATTTTATCAAAGGCCTTTTCTGCATCTATTGAGATAATCATGTGGTTTTTGTCATTGGTTCTCTTTATGTGACAGATTACGTTTATTGACTTGTGTATGTTGAACCAGCCTTGCATCCCAGAGAGGAAGCCAACTTGATCGTGGTGGGTAAGCTTTTTGATGTGCTGCTGGATTTGGTTTGCCAGTGTTTTATTGAGGATTTTCACACTGATGTTCATCAGGGATATTGGCCTGAAATTTTCTTTTTTTGTTGTGTCTCTGCCAGGTTTTTGTATAAGGATGATGCTGGCCTCATAAAATGAGTTAGGAAGGATTCCCTCTTTTTCTATTGTTTGGAATAGTTTCAGAAGTAATGGTACCAACTCCTCTTTGTACCTCTGGTAGAATTCAGCTGTAATCCTTCTGGTCCTGGGCCTTTTTTGGTTGGTAGGCTATTATTTATTGCCTCGACTTCAGAACTTTTTATTGTTCTATTCAGATATTTGACTTCTTCCTGGTTTAGTCTTGGGAGGGTGTATGTGTCCAGGAATTTACCCATTTCTTCTAGATTTTTTAGTTTATTTGTATAGAGGTGTTTATAGTATTTTCTGATGGTAGTTTTTATTTCTTTGGGATAGGCGGTGATCTCCCCTTCATCAGTTTTTATTGTGTCTATTTGATTCTTCTGTCTTTTCTTCTTTATTAGTCTGGCTAGCAGTCTATCTATTTTGTTAATTTTTTTCAAAAAACAAGCTCCTGTATTCATTGATTTTTCAAAAGGATTTTAGTTTCTCTATCTCCTTCAGTTCAGCTTTAGTCTTAGTTATTTCTTGTATTCTGCTAGCTTTTGAATTTGTTTGCTCTTGCTTCTCTAGTTCTTTTAATTGTGATGTTAGGGTGTTGATTTTAGATCTTTCCTGCTTTCCCTTGTGGGCATTTGGTGCTATAAATTTCCCTGTACACACTGCTTTAGCTGTGTCCCAAAGATTCTGGTATATTGTGTCTTTGTTCTCAGTGGTTTCACATAGCTTATTTATTTCTCCCTTAATTTCGTTATTTACCCTGTAGTCATTCAGGAGCAGGTTGCTCAGTTTCCATGTAGTTGTGCGATTTTGAGTGAGTTTCTTAATCCTGAGTTCTAATTTGATTGTACTGTGGTCTGAGAGACTGTTATGATTTCCATTCTTTTGCATTTGCTGAGGAGTGTTTTACTTCCAATTACGTGGTCAATTTTAGAATAAGTGCAATGTGGTGCTGAGAAGAATGTGTATTCTGTTGATTTGGGGTGGAGAGTTCTGTAGATGTCTATTAGGTCCACTTGGTCCAGAGCTGAGTTCAAGTCCTGAATATCCTTGTTAATAATCTGTCTCATTGATCTAATATTGACAGTGGGGTGTTAAACTCTCCCACTATTATTGTGTGGGAGTCTAAGTCTCTTTGTAGGTCTCTAAGGACTTGCTTTGTGAATCTGGATGCTCTTGTATTAAGTGCATATATATTTAGGATAGTTAGCTCTTCTTGTTGCATTGATCCCTTTACTATTATATAATGCCCTTCTTTTTTTTTTTTTTATGTTTGTTGGTTAATGTCTGTTTTATCAGCAACTGGGATTGCAACCCCTGCTTTTTTTGCTTTCTGTTTGCTTGCTAAATATTCCTCCATCCCTTTATTTTGAGCCTGTGTGTGTCTTTGCATGCGAGATGTGTCTCCTGAACACAGCACACTGATGGGTCTTGACTTTTTATCCAACTTGCCAGTCTCTGTCTTTTAATTGGGGCATTTAGCCCATTTACATTTAAGGTTAATATTGTTATGTGTGAATTTGATCCTGTCATTATGACGCTAGCTCTTTATTTTGCCCATTAGTTGATTCGGTTTCTTCATAGTGTCGATGGTCTTTGCAATTCGGTATGTTTTTTCAGTGTCTGGTACCGGTTTTTCCTTTCTATATTTAGTGTTTCCTTCAGGAGCTTTTATAAGGCAAGCCTGGTGGTAACAAAATCTCTCAGCATTTGCTTGTCTTTAAAGGATTTTATTTCTCCTTTGCTAATGAAGCTTAGTTTGGCTGGATGTGAAATTCTGGGTTGAAAATTCTTTTCTTTAAGAATGTTGAATGTTGGCCCCTACTCTCTTCTGGCTTGTAGGGTTTCTGCAGAGAGATACACCATTATTCTGATGGGCTTCCCTTTGTGGGTAACTTGACCTTTCTGTCTGGCTGCCTTTAACATTTTTTCCTTCATTTCATCCTTGGTGAATCTGATGCTTATGTGTCTTGGGGTTGCTCTTCTCGAGAATTATCTTTGTGGTGTTCTCTGCAGTTCTTGAATTTGAATGTTGGCCTGTCTTGCTAGGTTGGGAAAGTTCTCCTGGACAATATCTTGAAGAATGTTTTCCAACTTGGCTTCATTCTCCCTGTCACTTTCAGGTGTACCAATCAAATATAGGTTTGATCTTTCCACATTGTCCCATATTTCATGGAGGATTTGTTCCTTTCTCTTCATTCTTTTCTCTCTAATACGGTCTTCATGCTTTATTTCATTAAGTTGATCTTCAATCTCTGATATCCTTTCTTCCACTTGATCGATTCGGCTATTGATACTTGTGTGTGCTTCATGAAGTTCTCATGCTGTGTTTTTCAGCTCCATCAGGTCATTTATGTTCTTCCCTAAACTGGTTATTCTAGTTAGCAATTCCTCTAACCTTTTTTTGAGGTTCCTAGCTTCCTTGCATTAGGTTAGAACATGCTCCTTTAGTTCAGAGGAGTTTGTTATTACCCACCTTCTGAAGCCTACTTCTGTCAGTTCATCAAATTCATTCTCCATCCAGTTTTGTTCCCTTGTTGGTGAGGAGTTGTGATCCTTTGGAGGAGAAGAGGAGTTCTGGTTTTTGGAATTTTCAGCCTTTTTGCACTGGTTTTTCCTCATCTTCATGGATTTATCTACCTTTGGTCTTTGATGTTGGTGACTTTCAGATGGGGTTTTTGTGTGAACATTCTTTTTGTTTATGCTGATGCTATTCCTTTCTGTTTGCTAGTTTTCCTTCTAGTAGTCAGGCCCCTCTGCTGCAGGTCTGCTGCAGTTTGCTAGGGTCCACTCCAGACCCTGTTTGCCAGGGTATCACCAGTGGAGGCTGCAGAACAGCAAAGATTTCTGCCTGTTCCTTCCTCTGGAAGCTTTGTCCCAGAGGGGCACCTGCCAGATGCCAGCTGGAGCTCTCCTGTATGAGGTGTCTGTCGACCCCTTTTGGGAAATGTTTCCCAGTCAGGAGGCACAGGGTTCAGAGACCCACTTGAGGAGGCAGTCTGTCCCTTAGCAGAGCTCAAGCACTGTGCTGGGAGACCTGCTGCTCTCTTCAAAGCCAGCAGGCAGGAAAATTTGAGTCTGCTGAAGCTGCACCCACAGCTGCCACTTCCCCCAGGTGCTTTGTCCCAGGGAGATGGGAATTTTATCTATAAGCCCCTAACTGGGCCTGCTGCCTTTCTTTCAGAGATGCCCTGACCAGATAGAAGGAATCTAGAGAGCTACTTTTCATTATTATTTTGTTAATGATAGCACTTCTGGCTATGTCCAGAGCACAAGAACAGTCCTAATCCTCCTCCTTGAGCTCAGTCATTAGATTATCAAGTCCAAGCAGAAAGATGAAAGTTTTCATATTTTTTTTAGGGTTTCCATCAGATATTCCTGGGATTCATGTGGATCTCAATATCTTGTATAGTCAACCCCTACCAAGTAGCATCTCCACATGGAGAGAGGTTCCCCTAAAATATTGGAGTCAAAGATACCCTGATACCATGTGTGTTTTATCCAACAGCCAGAAACCAGGCATCAGAATAAAGAGGATACCAGATATGTAAATCCCAAGCAAGGACTATAGTTCACATGTACTAGTGATTACTCCCTTGCTAAACAATTAACCTTGATTACCTTTTCTGATTATCAAAGTAATACTCAGAGATAGGTCACTTTCCTTTCTACATTTTGTAAATGAAGACTTAAGCTTAAAGAGCTCAAGTAAGTTACCTAAGCTCAACACATTAGTAAAGGACACAGCTGAGATTTGAATCCAGGCTGGCTGGCTGCACAGTCCTTGCCCTTAACCTCGATCCAATCCTGTCTTTCAAAGACAAAAGCTTCTGTCCTGGGAGTACCCAGAAGGGTAACACTAAAGCCCTTTGAACTTATGCTCAACATAGGTTGACTTAATTCCATTTGCATGCCCTCATTCTGGGCTTGCCCCACATGGGAGCTCCTATAGTCTGACCAAGTCAGTTTCTTCTATAATGAGGGCTTTGGATAAGAATTTCATGGAGAAAAGCCAGAGGATCCGAAGCATACAAATAATGTATGTGTGTTGGGAGGGGATGGGGGACAGGGAAGAGCATTTTATCATTGATACTGTCTAGCACTGCCTATTGAAAAACAGACCAAATTTTAGTTAATATTATTGGTTTATATTTGTTGTTTATCGATTGCATTATTGTTTTTAAATTCTCTACAGATAATATACCCCCTATTGCCTACACCCCAAAGTGAAACACCCTCCTGCGCCACCCTAGGTACACCACTAGGGAAGAGTGAAGATTCTAAAAATTCCTTCCCCTCTGCCCCAGCCCCTACATTAGCCAGAGACCTTTGATTTCATGTGGTTTATATGTTGGGGTTTGGACACAGCTTTGGCTGAGAAACAGGCTCATGACTAAAAGAGAATTTGAAACCGTTAAGTTGGATGCTGTTTGTAGCACTCTGGACATTGCATGGTTCTAAAGTGACTCTTCCCCCAGAGGGGTGACAAAAGCACTGATTTACTTAAATGCACAAGTTCCCCAAAGCCCCTTTGGGAAAGACCATGCATATTCTGCGCTTTATGGCAGTTATTCCTGATGTTTGGACTCAATGATTATACATTTATTTTTTTTTAAAGCGAACAAAAAAAATCTTCCTCAGTGTTCACTACTTTGCCAGGCACTGTGCTATGGACTGACATTTCAGGGATGAGAAGAATAAACATGTTTCTTGGTCTTGGGAGGCTTGGCAATAATAGGGAGGGAGAGAGAGAGAGAGCAACAAATAAGCCTAAATAAATACAGAATTACAAATTTAGGTAAGTGTCAAGAGGACAACGATGATGTTAAAATAGTGTGAACCAGAATAAGAAACAGGATCATCATTTAGAGTGAGAAAGGGTAAGAAGAGCTTTCCTGATAAATTGATACATAATCAAAGAGTGAAGAAAAATCAGTGATAGATGGTCAAAGAGTGGGGAGAACAAAATTCCTGGTGGCAAGAACAGAACATACAAAAGCAATGAAATGGGAATGAGTTGGGTTCTTTGAGAAAAGGATGGGACGACTGTGAGTGGACTGTTGCAATGAGTGGGGAAGTATGGGCTAGAAGGAGGCCAGAGAGGCAGGCAAAGGCCACATCTCACAAGACTCTGGAGGCCACAGCAAGGATTGAGGAAGTCCCTGAAAGGTTTTCAGCTAGAAAATGCCATGACCCAATTTTTATTTTAGAAAGATTTGTCTGGCTATGGCATGGAGAACTGAGTCATGAAAATTCGCTGAGTCATCCTGAAATATCTTTATCACAAAAATAATGTTCTCCTTGAATCTCAGTGAGAACATTGTGGATTAAAATTTTGGGGTTTGCCTGAGTCAGCTACAAGCCTTTTGTGCACAGTAAAGGCCTGGGGATTCAGAGCTTAGAAGATCACAGACACCTTTTGTGGAATGTCCCATGCTACTGGCTGAGGTGCCTCCCTCCTTCCTTCCTCCACTTGGTGAATCATAGCTTTTGTCCAAAGTGGGTGGATCCTCCTGCCAGCTCCCACCCTCCCCATCCCCATCAGAGGAGGCAGCTCTGCCAAGTCCCCCTCCAGAGTCAGGGACACCACCTGTCATGCTGCGTCCTCCTCCTACTCGGGTATCTGACAGTTTCCACGACACGTGAGCCGGGGAAGCACAGACCATCAAAGCTAAAGGGACCTTAGAAACCATTCAGATCAGCCACCCAATTTACAAACAGAGAGAGTAACAGGGTGCCCCTGAGGGCCATAGTTAGCTAGTGGCAGCGTCAGGTCAGGTAAGCTACAATACAAGGGAGCTGGGGTAATAAAGACCTCTATCACAGACTGGTCCTGGAATTTGATTTGAGACAGTGCAGTCATTGAAATGTGTTCTAATTGGCATCCAATTACCTAAGTTCCAGACCTAACTCCAGAGCGGGCCTGCTGTATGACTTTGGACACATGTCCTTCCTCTCTGACCTGCACTGCTTTCTTCTGGACCATGATAGGATTGGTCTAGCAAATCTCTGTCTGTTCAGGCTCTCAGGTTGCAAGACACAGGGCTCTGGCAGGAACTTAGAATAGGGCAGTCCTGGTGACAGACGATATTTGACTGACCTCCCATCAAGCTTGAAGAGACTAAAGTAACTGTTGCTATTACAGGGCCATCATCCCCACACCTACACACATGTGAAAGTTTGCCCTCCCATCACCATCAACTCCGGACCCTACTCAGCTCTGCTTTTCCTGATGAACATCCCCTCATCCTTGGCAGTTCCTCATTCCCTCTTTCATATCAAAAGATATTCATCCTATTGCTCATCTTCTGTGATTTGCAGTCACAGAACTGGTCAATCTGCCACTACATCTTACATAAGAGATCAATGGCTTGTGAAGACAATGATAGTGTTGAATGAGACTTCTACTTCATTTGCATCTCCTCATTTAATCCTCTTCACCATGCTATAGTGTAAAAATGACACCAGTAACAAAAACAAACAAAAAAGAACAAAAACCATTTTATACATGAGAAGATGGCAGCTAAGAGAGGTACAAAAGGTTGCCAAAATCATTCAGATAATTAGTAGTGCAAACAGGATTTAACCTTATCTCTAGGACAAGATTGTAACTAACTCACTATATGGATAGAGAGTTAATACATAAACATCTCCCCTCCAACCCCTGCCAAAACATAAGCACTTTTCCCTAAGCTCAAAGAGTGACTTGTGGGAGATGATCCAGGGTGCTGAAGAATTACTAAGGGGAGACTTTGGGGTGGAGAAGAGATTTCCAACATGGCAGGTAGGCAGTCACCCATCTGCCTTGGCCTTGATTTTGCATATAATGAAAGACACCCTGTCCCCTAATCAAGGAGGCTTCTCTTACTGGCCATCTCTCTTTCTCTCCCTCTCCCTCCCTTTTTCTATGTCACTCAATAATATTAATTTGTGTCTTTAAGAAATCTATTACTTTCATGTGCAGCCCTAAATGGATCATTCAGATGGCCCCCTGGCATCCCTGTCCCCCGAATTAATGCACACACATAGATGCATACATGTACTTGCACATACATACATGCACACACACCCATATATGCATACATTTGCGGTCACTAAAAAAATGAGTGAATGATAGAAGCGCTGTGTATATTACTGAGTTCGTATGATTGTGAATTTGTGTGTATGAGTGAATGGGCTTGTTTTGTGGGTTTATGAGCAGTGTCTATGGAAATATTTATAGAATATGTGAGCTTCCCCCTTCTAGTACTGCCTCTCTATTCCTTGAGGGTGGAGTAACTTTTAGGAATAAAGTAGAGAACAGGTCCTTATTTCATGGCAGTGGATGTAGTTTCCCCCTGTATGCTGAGTCCTTTGACTACAAACGTTGATCCAAGGCACAGCTACTCCATAAGGCACTGAGATGCTTTGCATAGTGGTTCTTCTCATTGCACACAGACATGGCAGCACACTTTCATTTCCCAGGCCAGTGTCTGCTACTCAGATACATCCCCTCTCTAGGCAGAAGATGCTCAGTCTCCTCCACTCCTGTAAAACTCTTTCCACCACTCCCTCCAAATAAAAGACCACATTTCTCCTTCCTATGGTCATCTGGGATGATGCAGCGTAATTCCCTTCAAAGACCCAAGTCATAAATGTTGGCTCCCTTCCTCGGATCACAGTGGGAAAAAAGATGTCAATGCCAAATAGTATATTTTCAAAGTAACTTACCCTTTTTCATAAACTTGTTAAAAGTCAGAAAAGAGTCTGGAGATAGAAAAATTGATCTCATAGAGGCAGTGATTAGAATGGTGGTAACTAGAAGCTGGGAAGGGTAGTGGGAAGGGGGGGATGAAGAAGTGTTGGTTAATGGGTACAAAAATACAGTTAGATAGAAGAAATAAGTTCTAGTGTTCAAAAACAAAATAGGGCAACTATAGTTAACAATAATTTATTGTCCATTTCAAAATAGCTAGAAGAAAAGATTTGGAATATGCCCAACCAAAGAAATGATGAACATGTGAGGTGATGAATATTGCAGTCACCCAGATTTAATCATTACACATTGTATACATATGAAAATATCACATGTAGCCCCTAAATATGTACAATTATTATGTAGCCATAAAAATTAAAAATTAAAAACACAGAAAGAGTTTGGAAAAGCTAAGTGGAGGGCGAAGCGGAGGGAGTCTATATTTTTACTCCACTGAGAGGGAATATATAATGATTAAGAAATACTATGGAGCTGTTGTAGGAAGAAGCTAAGATAATGTAGGCAAACACTGAGTGTCATACTTGACACATAATTAGTGTTCAGTAAAGCATTTGTGTGTGTGTGTGTGAGAGAGAGAGAGAGAGTGTGTGTGTGTGTGTTTGTGTGTGTGTGTGTGTGTGTGTGTGTGTTTGTGTGTGTGTGTGTGTTTGTGTGTGTGTTTGTGTGTGTGTGTGTGTGTTTGTGTGTGTGTGTGTGTGTTTGTGTGTGTGTGTGTGTGTGTGTTCATGCATCCCTGCAAGGCCCCTGTGGCCCCTTGGGTTGGAGCAGAATGAGGGCCAGCACTCTCATTTTCTCTGAGACAAGTGATTTCCAGAAGCACTTCTCACTACTCTAAGGCCCGAACTGAGATTATAATTAATAGCTGTTCCTCACTCAACCCAGATTTCTTTCTCTCATGCTCCAAAACGTTGGCAGCCTGTGCACTTCATTTTTGTTTGGCCAGAGAGGCTGTTTCCATCGGCTGAGGTGCCAGGTGCCCCTCTGCCATAGCAGAGCTCATTAAATGCACGCCCTGTCCTGGGCAGGTGCTTATGGAGGCCCCAGTGCTCAAGGCTTCCAGAGTGGTCTGGCTCTAGCCAAGTCTAGTGGTGGGGTGAGGGTAGCCAAGGTCTGCCAGCCTTGGTTGCACTTATTCACACCGCTCATAGCAGCCAAACTTCAGTGGGATTTAGTCAACATGGGTCACATGTTTTCAGACACTTTACAAAAAATCCAAAGTAATTCTTTGCATAATTACTTTACATAATGGTAAAATGAAAACCATTTTGGTTTCAGATTAAGCAGCCCTACATGGATTTGGGATTTGGTTCTGACACTCAAGGCACTGGTTATGAGACCTTGGGTAAGATTTCTGACCTACCACCATGAGGCTGGGTGCTTTGACCTTGCTCTTCCAAGCACTATGGGCTTAACCACATTACAGAACTTTCTCCACTTAACTGTAATCACCCATTTACTTATTTGCATCTCTACTAGACTACGAGCTCATTGAGGGTATGGACCATGTCTTGTTTACCAATATAACCTCAGTGCCTAACCAGGTACCTTCATTGTAGTGCTCAGTAAAATATTGGGTTAGGTGGGTGAGTAAATAAGCTGGTGGATAGATGGATGGATGGATGGATGGATGGATGGATGGATGGATGGATGGATGGATGAATGCAAGGATGGATGGATGGATGGATGGATGCATGGATAGATCCCTGAATGGATAAATTTGTCTAAAGTAAGTATTCCCTAATCTGTCAAAGGACAGAAATACCACCTACATCATAGAAAGGTTATGGAGATTAAATAAAATGAGAATCTCTAAATCCTTATCACAGTCCTTGGTGTATAAAAGATGCTGAACAAAAACTGACCCCTCTCCTTTGTCTATTCATCTTGCCCACAAGGTGACAACTTCACTATATCTTACTAGATACTGATTATCCATATGTAAGCTTTCAGTGTTCTAATTCCTTACATATGGCCAGAATAATCTTTAAAAACTACAAATTCAGTCACTTTACCTATCCACTAAAACCCATCAAGGGTCCCAACAATTAGTGATCAAAGTAAATTTTCCATCAATCAGGTATCAGAACGCTCATTGTAGCCCACAGAGCACTGCCTGAGTTGATTCTCACCCACCTCTCCATCCCTGGGTTATTCCCCTCTCTCCCCCAGCCTCACTGGCCTTATTTTGCACAATAGGCTTAGAACACACTGGAACACTTTCTCCTCATGCCTTGCTCCCGCCTCCTGCCTGCAATGGCTCCCTGCTCAAGCTAAATCAGAACTTCTTCTTGTACACATTCATACCTTCATAGAATTTTTTCCTTCATTAAACACAGTTTATGATATTTGTGTGATCACATTAGTGCCAGTCTCCAACATGAATTCTATCTTCTTTGCTATATCCTTACCAACTAGCATATTATCCTGACAAACACAAAGGTATCGATGAATATTTATTGGTGAAACCCTAATTTTTCCCCAAACCCTGTTCTTATTTAAGCCCCCACACCACACACACTCACCAGCAAAGGTATGTACATTTTCCTTTCCATCCTACATTTAGGGAGTAGCCATTGCATTTTTGCCCCTCAGCCTGGTATGCTCCCTGGCAGGCTGCAGCTGACACATGTTCTGATAGAAGCTCAGCATTCATAAGACCTGAGGAACTTTAGATATGCTTTCTTATTCAGCTCCACTCTTTGTCGGTGCACTGGCTATGTGCTGTAGCCCGCGTTTCTGTGCCCACTTTGCCTGCTTCCTTCCTCTACATCATGGCGATTACATCCTAGGATTCTTTGGAAGAGGAAATAGGAAGCTGAAGCAAATTATGGAGACAGCAGAGATGGTCTTGCTGCATTCAAAACATCACCACATTTGCTGCCTTTCAGATGATACAGGTCAATTCAATAGATGATGCCCTAGAAGAGAAGTAAGACAAGGTCCCCTGGATCCAGCCATGAGCTAAGTCTAAACATAAAATCCTCTGGAATCAATCAAGGCAAAGTTCAGAACACACATCCATTGAGAAGAGGAATGCACAAAGGTGACTGAGGAACAGGTGCATATGCAGCTTGGAAGAAAAGAGGTGCACATTTCTAACAGCATCCTTTTGAACAAAAGCTTCTTTTTAGACTTTATTTTGGATCAAGTCACGCTAGAGAAAGGACTCTTGTCCTACAGGGAACTCCCCAGTCATGTCTTTTTTTTTCTTTTTATTTATAAAGACTAGTGTCTGGGCACTTGGAAAGAGAGAGTTATTTACAGCATGCCACTTTGAATCAAAGAATAAATATGCCCCTGGGTTTGAAAGCATAATCCCTGAATTGTATAGGGAAAAGTATGTGTTTAGAGAAGAGCAAACTGGATCTTATGTGCATCCACAACCTGGCTGGCTGGCCCTGCCTCATTCTCACTTTCTTTCTGTAACTGTTTCTTTGCCGTTAAACAGGAAGATCTGTGTGTCATATCAATAGGGTTGATGTGAGGTTTCAATGTGACAATACAATATCTAGGAAGGCTCTCGAAAAGGGCATCCCCTTTCCAAATTCTCTTCTCACATAACCCAGATTTGGTGAGTTCCTTGGGAAACTTTGAGGTGATGGAGCCTGCCAAATTGGATGAGAACCATCATGAACAACTTCCTCACTGGTTATGTTGGAGTTCCTGCCATTGGCTGGAGCAAAAATTTGCATTAGGAAGTCAGTCGTTTAATCCTTGTTGCTTGAATTAGACCTAAAGTGAAATCTAGTTCCAAATTGGAATTATATATCATTTCCTTGAGAAAAGTATATAGGAAGTCATTTAAGGTACACATATACATCTAGAGAGATATTTCATAAAATTATTCACTTGGGTATCCAATTTGTCATTGAGACGTGACACCTATTCATTTAAATTGCCTCTCTGAGTTGACATTTTATCTCCATTTCTGCAGCCATTCTTCAATCCAGGATTCAACCATTCAGCTTATGGATATTTTTGAGCCTCTAACCATGTGTTGTAGGTCTTCAATACCTCTGGCTGGATTTCTGCAGCAATCTCCAAGCCAGCCCCTCAATGCCAATTCCTCTTTCATGAGCCACAAGAATTATTTTCTTAAAATCCTGCTCTTATATTGTCACTCCCCTGTTTCCTATTTTCTGTCAATAAATCTTACTGTTGGCTTCTAGGTAAGTCCAAACTTCACTGTCTCCAAAACCTAACTTCACCCCATCCCTCCAGACACCTCCCCATGTCCTCTGCTCACCAGTGTTGTTGGGATTATTCTTCTCATTCCCAAACAAGCCACGTTGAGTCCCAGTTCTGTGCCTTTGCTTATTTTCTTACCTTTCCTGAAATGTATTCTCTTGGTATTTTCCTGTTGTAATAGTGTATATATGTATTCAGATCTTATCCCTTACACTTGTAAAGCTTATTACCACTTTTTCTAATATCCCCTCCTATTCTTCAAGATCACTTCAAATCCAGTCTCATCCCGGAGGGTTTTGTTAATCTCTCCGGCTCATTTGACCTTTCTTCTCTAAACTCTAAATACATTTGTAATTAGTCAAAAGAAAACTACTACTTAATTATTCTCAAATGATTCATATATTACTTTGCTTTGGTTGTTGTTATTGCTTTTCTTGTATTTTTTTCTGTGCTTTCAAAATGAAAATGACTGTTGAGTGTTGCCCTGATGTGCCAAGTTCTCAGGCAGTTGCTGGCTGGATCTCATGAGTTTGAGGGAAAGTTTTGAAACTGACTTCCTGTGCCTCTGCCCATCTGCTCACTTCTTTCCTAGCTCTGCCCAGGACATTCATTGCAATACTTTTTACCAGTGAGCAGGGTTACTGTGTAACTTATTCCATACACAGGCACAGTGCTCCCTTTTACCCTTTCTTTGTTCTATGGTCAGTCATATGCTTACCATGGCAGGTGGCTAATTCAGGGACTGCCATCTGTGCAGATCCAGCTACATATTTCTATTTCATCTCTCTCCTGCCTAC
Organism: Homo sapiens; assembly: GCF_000001405.40. Classification (NCBI taxonomy): domain Eukaryota; kingdom Metazoa; phylum Chordata; class Mammalia; order Primates; family Hominidae; genus Homo; species Homo sapiens. The sequence continues at coordinate 119,493,094 of NC_000009.12, read as the reverse complement.
AACCTATGAGTAGTTAGGTGGCACACACTCTGCAGATCTTGAGTTCCCTGGCAAAGAACAGAAAGAATGGCTTAGGCCTTCAACCCTTCTAACAGGAATAACAGAATTCATGACCATCACAAGGAAGGTGACTTGAAGCAGCTTCGCAATGTCTGATTTTAACCTCTATCCAAATATCCACACCCTTCACTGTCTGATAGAGTTATGCCATTCTTTTTTTTTTTTTTTCTTGACAGAGTCTTGCTCTGTTGCCCAGGCTGGAGTGCAGTGGTGCGATCTCGGTTCACTGAAAAACCTCTGCCTCCCGGGTTCAAGTGATTCTCCTGCCTCAGCCTCCTGAGTAGCTGGGATTACCGGCGTGCACCACCACGCATGGCTAATTTTTGTATTTTCAGTAGAGATGGGGTTTTACCATGTTGGTCAGGTTGGTCTCGAATTCCTGACCTCGTGATCTGCCTGCCTTGGCCTCCCAAAGTGCTGGGATTACAGGCGTGAGCCACCGCGCCCAGCCAGAGCTATCCCTTTTATAGACATCACAGAAATTTATGTCAGAGGAGCACATATAGATCATCTTCTCCAATGTTTTCAAATGGCACATGATAAAATAATAACTCAGAGGAAATGTGATTTTTCTGGATGTCTCAGATCAAAGCGAAGACAGAATCTGAACACAGATGCTCTCTAGTCTCTTTACCCTACACGGTTTCAAGGATGACCTGCTCCAATGCACACAGTGGCGAGTTTAACTTCTTTTGGCTCCCACACCTATATCTCACCAGAAAGACAGCCTCTGATGCAAAAAAATGACAAATTAAATTCACAAACCATTTCAGTTCAAAGGTATTCATGTGTTTTGTGATAAGGAAAATCTTATGTTTCAAGGAAGGTGATCGACACACAATGGCATGACCAATGACTACACTGTGAGCCAACAGGAATCTTCTGTCCATGAATCCTGGAAATGGATCTCAGACCCTTGAAGTGCTGAAGGATGGGTTGAAAGTGGGAACATGCCTGGCATGGCCGGAGAGACACAGAATGTCCTAAAATAATTAGAGAAGGAAGTCAGGAGTGACATTTGACATTAGCTTCCTCAACTCTAATAACGCAAGGGTGTAGAACACATAAAGTCCAAAATGAAATGCTGGATCTGAAACAGAAAAAAAACAGAAAACCAAATATCCAAAAACCCCTTTCAGTTGTAACTTTCACCTGAATTCACAGATGATTTAATTCCACTTAAAGTTCAGCTCAAATTTCACTGCTTCTCCAAGACTTTTCTCAATCCTCACTGTCAAGTACATTTTTTCTCCAAAATATCATCATAGAAGTTTGTTAATATTTCACTGTGGGCTTGTGTGCCTTGTGGTTTAGTTATTTATGTATTTGTCTGTCTTTCCCACTAGACTGAGAGATTCTTTGGGACAAGAAATCCCTTAATATGTGTTTATATCTCCTTTAGTTAGGATGGCAAGTATGCAATGTTCTGCCTGCCTTTCCCTCATGTCTTGCTCCAGGCAGACATTGATAATCAATCACAACATTCCTTACCAAAATGTTTGGAAAAGTCTTCAGAATCCTTTAAAACAAAGCTCCCTGGACTTCATCTATTGATTAATCTGAGTTTTCATACAAAAAGTATTTATTTATTGTATCTACTTACCTCAAGTAGTACAGTGGTTTGTGCAGCATTGGTGTTCAGTTAGTACTTGTTTATTTGAATTAATGCCTACAGGCATACCTAAAAAGGGCTTAGGAGGTTGGGGTGTGTGTGCATGTGTCCACAATCATTAGGACCTGCAGCATGGAGTGAGGGAAGAAGACGGATCCAGGGCAATTTCCTGATGTTATAGGAACCTTAGGTCATAGGATCATTGCAGTGGGCTATGGATGGCAGAATTGCGTCCTAGACAGAGACTAACCATGGGGTCAACAGATGGGCATGTTCCAGCTGGACCATAGCTTTGCTTATGTTGGCAAAGACAAGAGAAACTCTAGAAGCATTTGTTGTAGTACCTTGCAAATGTAACTTTCATGCTCTGTATCTTGCAAAGACTTGCATGCTCTATATCTTGCACAGATTGAATGAATTAGAAATCTGGGGTGGCTCCATGAGCTATTTCTTCTAGGCTTATGTGGTCTCTTTATTATGTAGTTTTTTCATCTCTAAATCTAATGCTTTATTTTTCTGTTGTTTTGAATTAACTAGTTCTTTCCTTTTTTTAATCCTGGTAGATTAGTTAGCTAACTAAAAGTATTCCTACTGAGCAAAAACTTGGCTTCATGGCAAACTAGGGGTCACTGGCCATTTATGCAGGGATTGCCTCTGAATCCAGTTTACTACACAAGTGGCATTTTTATGCAAAGAATAACCAAACACCACTTCCCTTGATGACTTTATGTAGGCTCAGATTAGTCTGACTTAGACAGTGACAGAGGCTGACATGGTTTGGATGTTTTGTCTCCTCCAAATTTCATGTTGAATTGTGACCTCCAGTGTTGGAGATAGGGGCTAGTGGGAATTGTTTGAGTCATGGGGGTGGATTCCTTATGAATGGCTTGGTGCTGTCCTCATGGTAGTGAGTGAGTTCTTAGTTTATGAGTTCACATGAGATCTGGTTGTTTAAAAGAGCCTGGCACCTCCTCCCTCTCTCTCTTGCTCCCTCTCTAATCATGTGATATGCTGGCTCCCCATTCATCTTCCATCATGACTGGTAACTTCCTGAGGCCTCGCCTGAATCAGATGCTGGTGTCATGCTTGTACTGCCTGCAGAACCATGAGCCAAATAAACCTCTTTTCTTTATAAATTACCCAGCCTCAGACATTCCTTTATAACAAGGCAAAATGAACTAACACAGAGGCACTGGTAGCTCCCATGCTGGATCTCTTCAGTACAGTGAGGGTTCCACTAGATTAGGCAGTAAAGTCTGGATGTCAGTCCATAGGAGTTAATGGAGGGAGGACAGATTCCAATGCAAGGGGAAATTAACATACCCAGTGGTCATCTCTGGCGCCTTGAGATTGGCTAGGATTGTCTTCAATTTGATTGAGTTTCCAAGATATTATTGAACCTATAGTTTGGCCTATTTCCTAAATCTTGGAAAATGCTTCACCATTATTTCCCTTAATATTTCTTCTGTTCCATTCTTTCCTTTTGGGACTCCAATTAGACCATTTGCTATTGTCCCACATGTGTCTTTTTCTTTATTTTTTCCCTGTGTGCTTCAGGTTGGATAATTTCTATTGATTTGTGTTTGAATTCATTGTTCCTTTATTCAACTGTGTCAGGTCTGCTGTTAGACATATCCAATATAATTCTCAGTTTTAGATATGGCACCTTTCCGTTTTAGTGAGTATATTTGGATCTGTTATAAGAGATTCTGTTTCTCTATCAAATTCTTTTTTTAATCTATTTTTCACTCTTCTAAGTTCTTTTAATATTTATAATTTTTTTTGGAGGCCATTATCTGCTAATTCTAATAGCTGGGTCATGCCTGGGTCTGCTGTTTTGGCTATTTTCCCCTCTTGTTTATGGGTAACAGTTTCCTGCTCCTTTGCATAACTTGAAATTTTATTGCATGCCATGTATTGTGATTTAAACAACTCTAGGGACTGGAGAAAATATTACTTTATCCAAGAGGGGCAAACTCTTTACTAAGTCAGAAAACCAGAGTAAAGGAATGATGACTTCAATTAGATTCAATCATGGGTTGAGTTAGGTCACATCTGGGCTGCAGCTTTATTTACTTTTAGTTCACCTCTTGTTTCAAATGTGTATGGCCAAGATAAGGTGTTGCAATTGTTACCAGCCCCCATCTCTAGGAAGACTTTGAGCTCTGAGGACCATATTATAAAGGGAAATTGTTCTCTTTCCATCCCAGCCCTCTACCTCCCAAAATTTGACCATGCACTCAGCCAAAGTCTGGTGGGGAAGAATCAGTGGGTGGGGAGAATTAGTGTTGTGTTGTTGGAATTGGAGTCTCACAAATTTAATTTTCACATGGCCTGGCACAATGGATTGAAAAGATTTGCTGGCTTATTCCTAACCCCTACAGGACTGTCTGCAGAAGGAAGGTATAGTCTTCCACCCTTTCATGGGTAGACATGGCAGATACTGCCAGGGAAGAAAGCAGACACTATGCTCACATAGAAAAGCTCAACTCTCTCTGGAATTTAATTCTTTTAGATTTCTTTGTATTTGTAGTTAACTAATGTATTTGAAACCTATATACTATTTTCTGTGTTTTTTTTTTTTTTCTGGCTTTGTTTGCTTGTTTATTGTTGCTCTTTTGCCCAGGCTGGAGTGTAGTATCATGATCTCAGTTCACTACAACCTCTGCCTCCCAGGTTCAGGCAATTCTTGTGCGTCAGCCTCCCGAGGATCTGGGATTATAGGTGTGCACCACCACACCCGGCTAATTTTTGTATTTTTTGGTGGAGACGGGGTTTCATCCTGTTGGCCAGGCTGGTCTTGAACTGCTGACCTCAAGTGATCTGCCTGCCTCAGCCTTCCAAAATGCTGGGATTACAGGAATGAGCCACCGTGCCCGGCCTATTTTCTGTTAGTTTTAGTTGTGGACGCAGTGGTCTGTCTTGAACTTGCACATCCTAAGCAGAAGCAGAATTCCCTCTGGTAATCGTTATGATCATATTCTAAGACCTCCTTATGAAGGGCCTGGAACTGCTTATATTTGTCCTCTTTTGTGAGGGTCAGCTGCAGTAGATATCTTTGGTAGATCCTGAGACTCTCTCAGCGTACTAGTTACTGCTGGTAAAAAGCTCAGTGGCTTGCAACAAACATTTATTTTCTTGCTCATGAAGATTTGAGTTGGCCCTGCTTCACTGGGATCATTTGGACTTAGCTTTATGCTAAGAGTTGGGTTCTGTTATGATCCATATGCCCCATACCTCTCTTTGGCTATCTGGGACATACTCTTATGGTGGCTCTATGAGATTAATGGGATTATGATATATGCTATGGACTGAATGTTTGTGTTCTTCTAAAATTCATATGTTAAAACCCTAATCCCCATTGTGATGGTATTTACAGATGGGGCCTTTAAGAAGTCATTATAGAATGAGGGTGGAGTTGCATGATAAAATTAGTGCCCTTATAAGAATAGTCATGAGAGTGCTTGCTTCTTCTCTATTCTGTCTCTGTCGTGTGATCATACAAGAAGACAGCCATCTGAAAACCAGGAAGAGTGCCTTACCAAGCACCAGATCTGCCCGTTCCTTGATCTTTAGCTTTCCAGTTTCCAGAACTATGAGAAATAAATGTTTGTTATCTAAGCCACCTAGTCTATAGTATATTTGTCATATCAGCCTACACTGATGAAAACAAAAATGATATACAAACAAATTTAAAGCCTCCTCTCATGTTGTGTCTGTCAACATTCCACTGGTCGAGACAATTTATCAAGACAACGTCAACATCAAAGGGGCAGGGAAGGAGACTCCACCAACAGAGGGAGACACTGCGAAAGCCAAGTGTGGATGCAATTTTATTACAGAAGAAGAAAGGATTTAAAAACATCATTCAATCTTCCCTTTCAGGGTAGGAAGATCAAGGCACGGCTGCATTAGCAAGATCTTGAAGAATGCACTGTTTCTCATACCCGCAAAAAGAATCCTTTACATTTTCTGCAATAACCTTTTTATACTGAGCACCCATATGGCAAGTCTCACCCAGGAGGAAGGGAAAGAATAGATTTGAGGCAGCTAAAGCCAAGATGCTGACCCTGCTTCAGCTGGAAATGTTCCTCTCACCTGTTTCTTTCAATTCAGATGCTAATGGACAAGTGGTCTATTAAGGAAAAGGAAAACCAGGTGCCTCGTGAAACAAACAATGCAACTACAGTAGCTCAGACAGATCACAGGATTGTTGCTGTTGGTAACATACATCTCTATTTGTGCCATAGAATCTGCCCTAGTATGGTAGTTCTCAAACTTTAGCAAATAATGTAATTACCCAGAAAGTTTATTAAGCAGAGTCCTGGGCCCCAAACCCCAGAGTTCATAATTTAGTGAGTCTTGGGTGGGAATCAATAATTTGCATTTCAAACAAGTGGCCAGGTGATGCTGCTGCTGCTGGTCTGGGTACTATAGGTTGAAGACCATTGCTATAGGTCAAAAATTCTCTCAAGAACAGGCAGTTTCCACTCTCCTGAGGATAGCGGGAAGCCTTCATCTTTGAGTTGTCATGATAGTCTGCTAGCACTTCTGATGGGCTGAAGATATTCATAGACAAAAATGTGTGAAACTGCAGCCTGGCATGTCAGAGAGAACCCTGTGTTAGGATTGTAGGGTTTTAATTCATCTCTACAACCGACTTGCTTTGTAACCTTGGAGAAGCCATTTTCATAATTCGGGGCCTCAGGCTTCTGATACCCTAAAGAAAATCGAAGCATTAGAAGGCTGGTCAGTTAGTTGGCCTTTAAGGAGTCTAAAAACATTGAGCTAATAGAAACAGAGAGTAGAAGAGTCGTTGCCAGGGGCTAGAAGGTGGGGAAAATGGTGAGATGTTGGTCAAAGGATACAAACATTCAATTATAAGATGAATAAGTTATAAGGATTTAATGTAAAACTTGGTGATTATTGTTAATAATATTGTATTGTTTACTTGAAATTTGATAAGAGAAGATTTTAAGTGTCCTTACCACAAATACACAGAAAACAAAAATGGTAACTATGGGTATCAATGGATGTGTTCATTAATTTCATTCCAGTCATGATTATACAATGTTTATGTATGCCTAATCATCACATTGTACACCTTGAATATATATGTATATAATACTACATAAATATATATAAATATAAATATATATAAACTATATATAAATATAAATATATATAAACTATATATATAGCTTTTATTTGTCAAATATATGTTTTAAAATAAAAATCTGTTATCCATAAATTATATAATTTTGTGGTATCATTACTGGTAGCTCTGCAACCTTGTGCAATTTGCTTAAATTCTACAAACCTCGGTTTTTAATCTGTAAAGTAGATATAACAATAATATTGACTTTAGAGGACAGTTGTGGGGATACAGTGAGATTATACATGCATGATCTTAGTAAATGCTTACTAATATCATGTGTTGTTATTGTTTTTGTTATTCTTAATCATATGGAATTCACATCATGGTATTAAATTTAAGGGAAGAGAGAGAGAGACCACTTCAGAATAAAGAGAAAGGAAGATTTAAAGGAGGAAGGAGCTCTAGAGCTGCATCATAAAGGTCAAGTGAGATTTGGGCTCGTGGACATTTCAGGTAGAGAAGAAAGGAAAAGGTAGGCGGAAGGAGGAAAGTGAATGTGAACATAAAGCAGGGAAAATACAGGCTGTGTCTACTGATCAGAGAGGAGCTAAATTTACTGGGAAGCTGCATGTGTGAAGCAATACAGTGGAAAATAATTTAAGTCTGGAACTAAAGTAAGATAAAGAAAACCTGGGTTTACAAGACCCATGACTTCAGATTTTGTTTGGGAGACAATGAGGAATAAATAATAAGTTCAGAGCACAAAGAGATCATCAGACTTGGGATTAAGGCTGCATTAGTTTAGATATTTAAAGTTTCAGATGGTTCCTTCGACATTCTGAGTTTGTTTTCCTCCTCCTGATTGTGAAATGGAGCTCATGCATATACAGCATAGTGCTGTTACCAGGATTAAAGGAGAATACATACATGAACACATTGATAGCGGTTTTCTGCACATGGTAGACCTGAAGATAATGCTTTTTAAAAAGTTATTTTAAAATAGATTTACAGACGAGTTGAGACGATAGTACACAGAGTTTCTGTATACTTGCCACCGAACTTCTCGTTAACAGTTTAATACCCATGATTCATTTATTAATACTAAGAAACTAACATGAGTACAATACTATTAAATAAAACAAAGACTTTTATTTGGATTTTAACAGTTTTTTTTACTAATGTCATTTTTTTCTGTTTTATAATAACTAATGTCATCTTTTTCTGTTCCATAATCTAATACCCTGTTACATTACATCATTTTATCTCCTTAATCTCCTACAATCTGTGATGGATTTTGGTCTTTCCTTTGCCTCTTATGATCTTGACACATTTGAAGGATATTGTTCACGTGTTTTGAGAATGTCCCTCAGTTTGGGTTCATCAGACATTTATGGTTATACTAGAGTTAAGTATTTTGAGGAGGTCTATCAAAGAGGAGATACCATCATATTAGGTGTATAGCTAGGGTTGGCTGCATAATTTGCAGGGACCAGTAAAAGTAAAAATGTAAAGCCACTTGTTCAAAAAGCAGGAAAAAATGTATTAAAGATAATAATATATAAAGCTTTTATCTCTCAACTTGTCATGATGTTTTTTATTTGCTATTTAATATTATTCTAAATAAAATATAACATTTTAACTTATTAACAAATTTTATTATTTATCTTTATATTGTGCAAGACAGTCTTAAGTATATATATAAGAGCATTAACTCATATGCAGAATCACCAAAATTGCACAATTAGTATTTTGAACTTTGTACACGAATGTGTCTCATTTTTACCCAAACAACAGAGATGGTGCACAAAATGAACTCAACTGTTTTTTTATTTTGCATCTTGATATGCACATGTTCTACCAACACTCCACCTGCAGTTTATTGATGAATAAGAAAGGACTGAAAAGCAAAGAAACATTGGTTGCCCTGCATTTCACTTTCCTTTTGTTATATCATTTTCAGCATAATTAGCTGAAACATGGAAGTAACATGGGTAAAAAAGGATATGATAGGATTTCATGGTGATTTATGTTTCAGAGAACACCACTGCTTTCCTTCTGTGTTCAAAGAATGTTCTCGTTTGAAAGGAAGTATGGTTTCTAAGTGCTGTCATTGTCCCTGCTTACTAAGTCATAGATGTTAGTAAGTGTATTGACATTTCCCTTGTACCTTGCTTTGGGCTGAACTTCCATGCACCACGGGCTCCCTGAAATCCTGTGCTCATGGGCATCCTAGCTACTTGTAAATCAGGTGGCAAAGATTAGTAGACATTCAAATTGGACATCATCCTCTCTGCTCACAGACAAGCTCCATTTTCCCATCACACTTCACTCATCATTCATAGAATATAAGTCCAAAGATAAAATTATTAAGAATTTCAAGATGCCAAGAGCAGAGCATTAAACCAAGTGTGCGGGCCCTACCAAGCATGCAGCTGTCTGGCTACACAGGTTACACATCTATGAAGCCAATGCTGGGTACAACGTATCAATGTTACCATTGCTGTTAACCTTAATTGTTTGGTCAAGGCAGTGTCTGCCAGGTTTCTCCATCATAAAGTTCCCAGTTTTCCCTTGCCACACTCCATTTGTTAGAAGCAAATCACTAATTCCAGTCTAAACTTAAAGGGAAGGAAATGAAACCTCATGTCCTAGAGGGAGGAGTCTCAAAAAATTTGTGGAAATATGTTTAAATTACCACTGTTATTAATATACATTTTGGGGTAGCTAATGCTTTTTGAATCTCATAACTCATGGGCCATTTTGGAATCTCATGACCCACATCTTACCTTCAGTTCTGTGATACTATATATGGCAAAAATAGTACAAAACCTAAGAAATTAACATGAATATAATACTAAGAGCAAGAGAGCAAGTTAAATCTCCCTGCAGTATAGATCTCAGCCTCTTATCAGTAAGAGACTCTTAGGTCTTGGAACTGACCCAGACAACAGGTGAAGTGACCCTCTCTATCCAGGAACTGCACTGACCTACTTTCCTTGGAAAATCTTTTCCTTTGTGGGCTATGGACACCATGTGGTGAGGTGGAGTTCTATACATAGAATCATCTCCAAGTGGATGACTGGGAGTAAGTAATTATCTGCCCATGGTGCAGGGAGCTCCAAGCCCCCTCATCACCCATGGAGTGCACAGCATCTCTGCCTGCCTGCAATTCCCCTCGTTTGGCAGATGCTGTCGGCAGAAGACGCTGAGTGCAGGCAAATTATTTCCACTACTTCCTGCTAATTTCAGTACTGCATTCATCCAAGGCTCTCAAAACTCTTAATCAACAGGAATATGCTACCCTGAGACTGGGTCATAGAGGGACAGCCTAGAGATCTGGGTAGATTGGTGGCAGCTGCTGCCCTCTCTCTGAAGAGAATTAGTGTACATATCATCATGCTTGGTGGCAGGAGGAGGGATGAGACAGTCTTTTAAGGTCTCTTCCAATCTGGGAAGTCTATGAATATCGCTACCAGCTGAGAGTGATTCTCCATGCTTTATTCATCATGAAAATGACGCAAATTCAGAAAAGCAGCTCTCTCAAAGGTAGGTGGCCACTAAACCAGGCATTGAGACACTTAGCATTCTGAAAACACTTGCTGAGGAATGTTCTTGAGTTTTTAATAAAAGGTCATTTCAGGTATAGAGAGAAGAAGCATACTGTACTTAGTGTAATGCATGGAAATAGACTAAAGGGCTTTAAGTTCCATAGCAGTGAGCTATGGTTACCTAGAAAAGCTATTGTAATTCTAGACTGTGTTAACAGAAGTAAAAGATATCGGATAAGGAAGGAGACACTTTATCTCTTGTGCTGATCAGACCTTACCTGGACTATACTGTTCCATTCTTGTTACACTTGGGAGTTTAGGGAAAATCAAAGACTTTCAAAGAAAGGTCATCCAGATTGTGAAGGGTCTCAGAATCATGCAAAAAACAAAGCAAAACAAAACAAACAAACAAACAAAAAAACAGCTGGAAGGATCAGGCATGTAAAGCCTGAAAAACTAGAAACTGATAAGACTTATGACTGTTATCTTCCCATACGATGGAATGAAATGTAAAAGAAGTTTCAAGAAGCTAGCAACCAGTTCTAATGAGGTAGTGATGAGGATTTTTGTCTCAATGGTTTGTAAGGAAGACCTTTATAACATCCAGAGCTGTGCAATGATGGAATTGTGGATCCTGGCACACACTCATCAGAAGTAGCTTGAGATATCTATCAATGATGCTGAAGAGGTGCTTAAACAGTGAGTAATCTATTTCTAACTGCAAAGACTAAATACAGATATGAGTTTTCTTCATATGAATCTCTAAAATTCACACAATTGCAATCAACATCTTCTCTAGGATTTTTTTATTTTAAAAGTTTTCAAATATACAGTAAAATTGAAATAACTGCAGTAAACACCATATACCCACCATCTAGATGTTATCCTTGACAACTTTTATAATCACAACTTTATTGAGATATACCATAAAATTCACCTATTTAACGTGCACAATTCATTGTTTTGCAGCATATAGTATTTACAGAGATGTGAAACCATCACCACAATCGATTTTATATTTTCATCACTCCCCCAGAAAACACCATTCCTATTAGCAGTCACTTTCCTTCAGACCCTCACTTCCCATGTTCTTTCCACCACCTAGTGCTAGGAAACCAACAATCTACTTTCTGTCTCTATAGACTTGCCTATTCTAGACATGTCATACAAATGAAATCATACAATATGTGACCTTTTATTACTAGATCTTCTTTCATCTAGCAGAATATCTTCAAGGTTCATCCATGTTGCAGCATGTATCAGAAACCCCAGAAATATGTCCATGCATACACTTCTTTTGAGACGGAGTCTCACACTGTCACCTAGGCCGGAGTGCAGTAGCATGATCTCATCTCATTGCAACCTTTGCCTCCTGGGTTCAAGGGATTCTCCTGCCTCAGCCTCCTGAGTAGCTGGGATTTACAGGTGCCTGCCACCAGGCCCGGCTAATTTTGTGTGTGTGTGTGTATTTTTAGTAGAAACTAATAGTTTTGCCATTTTGGCCAGGCTGGTCTGGAACTCCTCACCTTAAGTGATCCACCCACCTGGGCCTCCCAGGGTGCTGGGATTACAGGCATGAGCCACTACGCCGAGCCAATATTTTATTTACTCAGTCATAAGTTGGTGGGCATATTGGTTGTTTCTACTTCCCAGCCTCCAGGACTGTGAGCAATAAATTTATGTTGTTATTAGTAAGAAGAAGAAGGAAGAGAAGGAGGAGGAGGAGGAGACCTCCATGAACATTCATGTACAAATTGTTGTGTGGATGTATATTTTTATTTCTCGTATGATTGGATTTGCTGGATCAAAGTAAGTATGTATTTATGTTTGTCAGAATCTGTCAGAACTTTCCCTGCAGTAGTTGTACCATTTTATAATAAATACCCCTTGATTATATACTTTATAACCAAGAATATAAGAGAGTTCTGATTGTTCCACATCCTTGTCAACTTCTAATATTACCGGTATATTTAATTTTGGCCATTTTCTTAGGCATGCAGTTATATATCTTATTGTGGTTTAATTTGCACTTATATGATGACTAATAATATTACACACTTTATGATTTGCCTGTTGGTCATTTGTATACTTCTTTTGTAAAGAGTGTACAAATATTTTGCCTACTTTTTATTGAGTTGTTTGACTTTTTATGTTTGAGTTATAGGACTTATTTATATACCCAGGGTACATAGTCCTTTATTGAATATTTATTAATATTTTCTCACAGCCTATAACTTTTCTATTCATTTTCTCAATGGTGTCTTTTGATGAAAAGACTTTTTTTTTAATTTTGAGGAGGCCATATTGGCATGTTTTGTCTTTTATAGTTACGTTTTCTATGAGCTGTTTAAGATATCCGTGTCTATCCCCAATAATGAAGATCATCAGCTATGTTTTTAAATCACAAAAGTTTTATGGTTTTAGCTTTTTTTTTTTTTTTTTTTTTTTGAGATAGAGTCTCACTCTGTCGCCCAGGCTGGAGTGCAGTGGTGCAATCTTGGCTCACTGCAAGCTTTGCCTCCTGGGTTCAGGCCATTCTCCTGCCTCAGCCTCCTGAATAGCTGGGATTACAGGTGCGTGCCACCACACCCAGCTAATTTTTTGTATTTTTAGTAGAGATGGGATTTCACTGTGTTAGCCAGGATGGTCTCCGTCTCCTGACCTCGTGATCTGCCCTCCTCAGCCTCCCAAAGTGCTGGGATTACAGGCGTGAGCCACCGTGCCCAGCCTGGTTTTAGCTTTTTAATATTTAGGTCTATAATTCACCTCAAATGAATTTTAGGTAAGGGTTGAAGTTCAATTCTTTTTTTTTTCATATGAACACCATTTGTGGAAAAAACTTTTTTTTTTTGGTAACATTGAATTGCTCTGGTGCCTCTGTTAAAAAAACAAACAAATAAATGACGCTTTAAGTGTGGGTCTATTTCTGAACTCTCTATTGTATTGATCTGTTTGTCAATTACAGTGCCAGTGTCACAGGGTGTTGATAATTTAGGTCTTCTAAAATTTTTCTCAGCAACATTTTGTAATTTTCAGTGTAGAAGTCTTGCTTATATATTGATAATTTTTTCTAAGTATTTTATACATTGATGCTACTATAAAGGGAATTGCTTTGAATTTCATTTCTTTATTGTTTGCATAATTGTGTATATAACAATACAATTGATTTTTTAAATGAAGTATACATGTACAGAACTGCAAAAATTATAAGTGTATATAGCTCTATAAATTTTCACAACATATAAACTACTTTTAAAAATAGATTTTGTTTTTTAGGGCAGTCTTATGTTCACAGCAAAATTGAGCAGAAGGTACAGAGACTCCCCATATACCCCTTGGCCTCACGCATGCATAGCTTCTTCCATTATCAACATTCCCAAACATAGTGATACATTTGTGGCAATTCGTGAGTCTATATTGACAATTATTATCACACAGAGTTCATAGTTTATATTAGGTTCATTCTTGGTGTTGTACATTTTATGGGTTTAGACAAATGTATAATGGCATGTATTTACCATTATAGTATCATACAGAGTATTTTCACTGCCCTATAAATTCTCTACATTTCACCTGTTCATCCCTGTCACCCTTAGACCCTGACAACCACTGATCTTTATGCTGTCGCCATAGCTCTCTCTTCTCCAGAATGTCAGTTGGAATAATACAGTATGTAGCCTTTTCTGATCGCCTTCTTTCACTTAATTATACACATTTAAGATTCCTCCATGTCTTTTCATGGCTTGATAGTTCAGTTTTTTGTTTTTTTTTTTTTCACATTGAGTGATATTCCAACCTACTGAAGGACATCTTGGTCACTTCTAAGTTTGGGCAATTGTGAATAAAGCTGCTATAAATATCCATGTATTGGTTTCTGTGCCTACATAAGTTTTCAACTTCTTTGAGTAAATACCAAGGAATATAATTGCTGGATAGTGTAATAATAGTATGTTTAGCTTTGCAAGAAACCACCAAATTATCCTCCAAAATGGCTGTACCATTTTATTTCCATCAGAAGTGAATGAGAGCTCCCATTACTCCACATCCTTGACAACATTTGGTGGTATTTATGCTCTGGATTTTGGCCATTCTAATAGATGTGCAGTGGTTACAGTTAATTTTTTAAACAAAACCTTGTATTCTGCAACTTTGGTAAATGTACTTATTATCTCTTGTGTAGCTTTTTAGATTTTCCATGATTTTTTTTGTAAAGAATTATGTCGTTTTCATATGCACAGTTTTGCTTCTTCCTTTCTGATTTGTATGCCACTGACATCTTTTTTCTTATTATTGCAAATGGTTAGGATTTTCAGTATGATGTTGAGTAGAAGTGGTGAAAGTGGGAATCCTTGCCTTGCTCCTGATCTTAGGGGAAAAGTGTTCAATATGATACCACAAAGGATGACGTTATCTGTAAGTTTTACAGATTCCCCTTGTTGGTTTGAAAAAGTTTCCTTGTATCCCTCATTTGCTGAGAAGTCTTATCATTATTTGGTGCTGGATTTTGTGTAAATGTTTTTTCTGCATCTATTGAGATGATTGTATTGTTTAATTGTGTTAATATGATGAATTACATGCATTTTTTGTTGAAGCGAAATTTGCATACTATAAAATTAACCATTTTAAAATGACAATTCAGAGAATATAAAACCAAACTGAATTCATGGGATAAGCTCTTTATGGTCATAATGATATGGGAGTGGGGCAGGGAAGTACTGGGTAGAGAAGGGCGAGGTCCTTGGTGAAGGTTCCACCTCTGGCCTGTGCCCACAGACCTAAATAAGGACAAGCATAACTGTTTTCAAGCCCAAAAAGTTGACTTTTGGTCTACCACGCCCCCCATACTGTGCCCACAAAAACCCAGAACCACAGTGGACCACACACAAGCGGCTGTCGAGAGGAGCAGAACACACCAACAGACACTAGCAGACACTGGCAGACCATCAATGGCAGAATGACATGAACTCTGAGGGGAATTCGTCTGCGGGCAGTCAGAGGAGAGTCTAGCCGCTGGGTAGCCCCTCTCCAGGGGAAAAACACCTTCCCACTCCATCCCCCTTCTGGCTCCGCATCCATCTCACTGGGAGCTACCTCCACCACTCAGTAAAATGTTGCACTCATGCTCTAAGCCTACATGTGATCCCATTTTTCCGGTACACTAGGACAAGAACCCGGAATACAGAAATCCCTCTGTCTTTGGAATAAGGCAGAGATTCTAATTGAGCTGATTAACACAAGCCACCTACAGACAGCAAAACTGAAAAACGGCACTGCAACACACGCCCACTGGGGCTTCAGAAGCTGTAAACACTCAACCCTACAGGCTGCTGTGGCATCGGAGCCCAAAAACCCTCCCCCAACCTGCATGTTCTGCATAGGGATCTGAGCAGCAGGGCATGGAAGAAGTGAGCCACACCCCTGTCCCGCCCTGCGAGCAGGATAAGGGAATGTCTCCCATTTCAATAAGTTATCTTTTAAGGCCAGGCACGGCGGCTCATACCTGTAATCCCAGCACTTTGGGAGGCCTAGATGGGTGGTTCACCTTAGGTTAAGAGTTCAAGACCAGCCTGGCCAACATGGTGAAACCCCATGTCTACTAAAAATACAAAAATTAGCCAGGTGTGGTGGTGCCTGTCTGCAATCTCAGCTACTTTGGAGGCTGAAGCAGGAGACTGGCTTGAATCTGGGAGGTGGTAGCTGCAGTGAGCCAAGTTGGCACCAATGCACTCCAGCCTGGGTGAGAGTGCAAGACTCTATCTCAAAAATAAATAGATAAAGGAATAAATAAGTTATCTTTTAAGATACTGTATTTGATTTGCTAATACTTTGTTTGTTTGTTTTTATTATACTTTAAGTTTTAGGGTACGTGTGCACAATGTGCAGGTTTGTTACATATGTATATGTGTGCCATGTTTGTGTGCTGTACCCATTAACTTGTCATTTAGCATTAGGTATATCTTCTAATGCTATCCCTCCCCCCAACCACCACCCCATGACAGGCCCTGGTGTGTCATGTTCCCCTTCCTGTGTCCATGTGTTCTCATTTTTCAATTCCCACCTATGAGTGAGAACATGTGGTGTTTGGTTTTTTGTCCTTGCGATAGTTTGCTGAGAATGATGGTTTCCAGCTTCATCCATGTCCCTACAAAGGACATGAACTCATCATTTTTTATGGCTGCATAGTATTCCATGGTGTATATGTGCCACATTTTCTTAATCCAATCTATCATTGTTGGACATTTGGGTTGGTTCCAAGTCTTTGCTATTGTGAATAGTGCCTCAATAAACATACGTGTGCATGTGTCTTTATAGCAGCATGTTTTATAATCCTTTGGGTATATACTCAGTAATGGGATGGCTGGGTCAAATGGTATTTCTAGTTCTAGATCCCTGAGGAATCGCCACACTGACTTCCACAATGGTTGAACTAGTTTACAGTCCCACCAATAGTTTAAAAGTGTTCCTATTTCTCCACATCCTCTCCAGCACCTGTTGTTTCCTGACTTTTTAATGATTGCCATTCTAACTGGTGTGAGATGGTATCTCATTGTGGTTTTGATTTGCATTTCTCTGATGGCCAGTGATGATGAGCATTTTTTCATGTGTCTTCTGGCTGCATAAATGTCTTCTTTTGAGAAGTGTCTGTTCATATCCTTCACCCACTTTTTAACGGGGTTGTTTGTTTTTTTCTTGTAAATTTGTTTGTGTTCATTGTAGATTCTGGATATTAGCCCTTTGTCAGATGAGTAGATTGCAAAAATTTTTTCCCATTCTGTAGGTTGCCTGTTCACTCTGATGGTAGTTTCTTTTGCTGTGCAGAAGCTCTTGAGTTTAATTAGATCCCATTTGTCAATTTTGGCTTCTGTTGCCATTGCTTTTGGTGTTTTAGACATGAAGTCCTTGCCCATGCCTATGTCCTGAATGGTATTGCCTAGGTTTTCTTCTAGGGTTTTTATGGTTTTAGGTCTAACATTTAAGTCTTTAATCCATCTTGAATTAATTTTTGTATAAGGTGTAAGGAAGGGATCCAGTTTCAGCTTTCTACATATGGCTAACCAGTTTTCCCACCACCATTTATTAAATAGGGAATCCTTTCCCCATTTCCTGTTTTGGTCAGGTTTGTCAAAGATCAGATAGTTGTAGATATGCGGCATTATTTCTCAGGGCTCTGTTCTGTTCCATTGGTCTATATCTCACTTTGTTAAAGATTTTCATGTAAATGTTCATTAAACAAATTGGTCTATAATTTTCTCTTTTGATTATGCCTTTGAGAATTTTGGTATAAGATGTATGTTGGTCTCATAAAATGTATTGGGATGTATTTCTTCTTCCTCTATCCTTTCAAATATTTTATATAATGTTGTTGTTTTTTCTTTCTTAAATATTTGGTTGAATTCACCAAGGGAACATTTCTGAGGCAAGGGTTTCTTTGTGGCAAAGTCTCTGATAACAGATTTATTCTTGAAAATTGGCAATTTATATTTCTGTTTTATCTCTGTCAATTTGGGTCACTTGTATTATTTCAAGAATTGGTCCATATATTTGAAATTGTCAAATTTGTTGGTATTAAGTGCTTTATTATATTCTGTTATTTTTTAAAATATCTTTATTAAATATTTTAAAAATACAAATTTTTTTATATTTAATCTGTGATGATAGTCTCTTCTTCATTCTTCATACTAGTGATTTGTGCTCTTGCTCTTTTTTGATTTGGGTTTTTTTTTTTACTCAGTCTAGCTGAAAGTGTATCAATTTTGTTAATCATTTAAAATAACCAGCTTTTGGCTTTGTTAATTTTCTTTATTTTTGTATTTCATTTTCTTCTACTTTTTAATATTTCCTTTCTTCTATTTACATTGGATTTATATTGCTGTTTTTTTCCTGGCTTTTTAAGGTGGTACTTTAGGTCATTAATTCTAGACATTGGTACCTTTTTAACATGTGTTTAAAACTATAAATTCCCCTCTAAGCATTGCTTTAGCTGCATCCTACAAATTTTGATATGTAGTCTTCTTTTTATTCAGAACAAAATGTTTTCTAATTTCCTTTTTGACTTCTTTTATGATCCATGGCTTATTTACTACTGTATTATGTAGTTTCCATTTTTCTTCTAGATATCTTAATTGTTATTAATTTATAAACTAATTCCATTGCATTTAGAGAATATTCTCTGTATTATTTAACTCTTTTAAATGTATTAAAGCTGTTTTTGGCCAAGCACGTGTTTTATCTCGTGCACTGGGAAAGAATACAACTGTGTATTCTACAACTGTTGGATATAGTGTTGTATAAATACCAAATAGGTCAAGAAAAATGATACTGTTCTTCAGATCATCTATACCTTTACTGGTGAAATTTTGACTAGTTGTTCTAGCATTAGTGACAGAAGGGTGTTACAATTTCCGGCTATGACTGTGAATTTGTTTATTGCTTTCTTGATTTCTGTCCACTTTTGCTTCATATAATATAGAGATCTGTTACAGGGCAAACACATTTGTGACTGTTATGTCTTGCTGATGAACTGATCTTTTTGTCATTATTAAATATTCCTATTTACCTCTGGAAATACTTTTTTCCTGAAGTTTATTGTATCTGATATTCATGAAAACTTACTCATTTTCTGATGCTTATTGTTTGCATGGTGTAACTTTTTAATCCATTTACTTCCAAGCTATCTGTGTATTTATATGTATCGTATAGCTCTCTTAGGTGACATATATTTGGGTCTTAGTATTTTAGCCATTTTGATAATCTCTGTCTTTTGATGGAAGTGATTGTTCCATTAACATTTAAGATTGATAATGTTAGATTTAAATCTATCACTTTTATTCTTTGTTTTTGTTTATCCTTTTTGATTTTGATTCTCTGTCTCCTTTCCTGATCTTTTTTGAATTATTTGAGTGTTTATAGAACTTCACTTTAATTTATCTATTGTGTTTTCAGCTATACTTCTTTGCATTATTATTATTCTAGTGGTAGCTCTACGGATTAAAATATTTATTCTAAACTTTTCACAGTCTACGTAGTGTTAATGTTGTACCACTTTACATAAAATATAGAAAACCTGAAATTTTAAAGATCTGTCTTTATTATTTCCCCTTCCAGCCTTTGTACTGCAGTTGTCACATATATTAAACAACATATATCACAATCTCCACTTGGCAGCATTATAAATTTTCCTTTAAACGATCATATATTTTTAAGAAGTTAAATGAAAAATAGCCTTTTATATTTACACAGAAGTTTACCATGCATAATGCTTTTTATTCATGTCTGAAGTTCTTGCATTATCTCTGGTATCATTTCCCTTTAACCTGAAGATCATCTCTTGCTACTAATTTAGTATGGGTCTGCTGGTGACATAACCTTTTAGTTTTAGTATCTTAATATAGTTTTGCTTCTGCCTTCATTTTTGAAGGATATTTTTGTATAATATGATATTCCAGACTCATAGTTGTTTGTTGTTTTTCCTTTCATCACCTTAAAGATGCTGTCTGGTTATCTTCTGGTTTTTGCAGTATCTGATAAAAAGTCAGTGTCAATTCACGTAACTATTATTCTGTATGCTGTTTTGAGTTCTTTCTTTTTTTTCTCTTTTAAAATTTAAAAAATTTTACATTTTATGGGTACATAGTAGATGTTTATATTTATGGGGTACATGAGGTGTTTGATACAGGCATGCACTGTGTAATAATCATATCATGGAGAATGAGGTATTCATCTCCACAAGCACTTATCCATTGAGTCACAAACAAATCAATTATGTTCTTTGAGTTATTTTACAATGTACAGTCAAGTTATTATTGATGATAGTTACCCAGCTGCTTTCTGTATTTTCTTGTTATCATTTTTTTAAATTTGACTGTAGTGTGCCTGAGCATGAATTTTCTCATAATTATCCTGCTTGTAGATTCTTGAATCTGTCAGTTCATGTCTTTCACCAAGTTGGGGAAATTTCAGGTCATTATTTCCCCAAAAGTTTTTTTCTGCATCAGTCTTTTTCTTCTCCATCTTCTATTGTAATTACATGTATTTAGACATTTTAATATTGTCCATTATTTTCAATATTTTTTCTGCTCTTCAAATTGATAATTTATTTTGATTTAGCTGCATGTTTACTGACTTGTTCTTTTGCTGTCCTCATTCTGGTTTTAAGTCCATTCAGTGTTTTTAAAAAATATTTTACATTGTCGTTTCTGATTCTAAAAAATTTATTTGGTTCCTTATAGTTTCCATTCTTCTATTGAGAATGCTTATATTTTTTCCATTACAAGCATATTATAGTTTACTTCACTGAGCATAGTAATAATAATTACTTTAAAGTCATTGCTTGCTAATTTCAATATCTGGGTTATCTCAGGGTTGACCTTTATTGATTATCATTCTCTTGAGAATGGGTAACATTTTCCTGGTTCTCTGAATACAAAGTAATTTCGTGTGTCTTCTGAACATGGTGAATATTATGTTACGGAGATTTGGGATTTTGTTATCCCGCTCCTCTGTAGAGTGTTGATATTTTTTTAAGCAAAAAACTAAGTGATCTCAAATCACAAAATCTCTTACATAGCAGTTCAAATCACAGCTCAACACTCCTCCACCACCCTGAAGTGAGTTGTTCCCATCTGTCTTACATATGTGTGGTTTAAGGGTCAATAGAGATTTTGTTAATTTTTAGGCACAGAATTTGAGACTTCCTTCCAGGCTACCCCTTTCACTTTTCTGTGCCTGTAGTTGGCCTCAAATCAACCTTGTGGTTCTTTAGTCCAGAAACGCTATAGATTATTGGAGTTTCAGATTATTGTGTGATACCAAAACTGGAAACTGTCTTCCCACTAAAAGACAAAAGAAAAAAGAAAACAATTACCCCTTGCCTGTTTCTTTTCTTACATTTTGACTCATCTCCAGGATCTCCCTTTTTTTTTCACTTGTCAGAAGTTTTTTGTTGTTGTTGCTATTTGTTTCTTATAATGAAGCATTATGACTTTGGTGCAAGACCTAACTGAGAAATAAAAAAAAGCCTGAGAGTCATAAAAAAAAATTTGAAAGAGAAGAACAATGAGAAGAGATTTTCCCAAGTAAACTTCAAGACATAATTCCATGATAAATAAGTAATGTAGTACTCACAGCCAGGCTCAGTGACTCTCCCCTGTAATCCCAACACTTTGGGAGGCAAAAGTGTGTGAATCACTTGAGCCTAGGAGTTTGAGACCAGCCTTTGCACCATGATGAAACCTTGTCTCTATCAAAAATACAAAAATTAGACAGTCTTACAACCCGGTCTGAAAATAATAAAACAGGTGAATTTTTTTTAAATGTAGTATTCACAATAAAATAGTAAATCAAAATGAGATATCAAGAAAGTGATGACAGCATATTGAAGATATAGTACATTATAAAAATGACATTTTTAGTCAGGGTCAAAATCGATGAGTTATTCATTAAACAGTTCTTGTAAAAGCTTTTCATGTGGAAAAAAGTTTGAGTTCTCTTTTACATTATATTCAAAAAATAAGTTTCATGTCCTAGACAGAGCAATTAGTCAAAAGAAGGAAATTAAGAGCATCCAAGTTGGAAAGGAGGAAGTCAAATTGTCCCTATTTGCAGATGACACTGTCTTATACGAAGAAAAACTTAAAAGTTTTGGCAAAAAACTCTTAGAACTGAAATTAAAAGTTAGCAAAGTTGCAGGATACAAAATCAACATACAAAAAGCATATAGCATTTCTATACACCAAAAACAAACTAGTGGAAAAAGAAATCAAGAGAGTAATCCTATTTACAATAGCTATGAATACAAACAACAACAACAAAAACCTAGGGATAAATTTAACCAAGAAGACGAAAGATCTCTACAAGGAAAGCTATGAAACACTGCTGAAAGAAATGGAGGAGGACATAAAAAATAGAAAAATATCCCATGTTCATGGACTAGAAGAATTAAAATTGTAAAAATGGTCATGCCACCACATGTAATCTACATAGTCAGTGCAAAACATATCAACATACTAATTACATTCTTCACAGAAATAGAAAAAACAATTCTAAAATTTGTACAGAACCACAAAAGACTCCAAAAAGCCAAAATGATCCTGAGCAAAAATAACAAAGCTGGAGGCATCACATTGCCAACTTCAAAATATACTATAAAGCTATAATAATCAAGAGATCATGGTACTGGCATAAAAATAGATATATAGGCCAATGGAACAGAATATAGAGCCCAG